>NC_000019.10:55990874-56615874 GCF_000001405.40 Homo sapiens
TGGGGAGGTTGAGGCAGGAGAATCACTTGAACCCAGGAGACGGAGATTGCAGTGAACTGAGATCATATCACTGTACTCTAGCCTGGGCAACAAAAGCAAAACTCCATCTCAAAGAAAAAAAAAATTCCGCTGAGCTGTTGATCATTATCATGGATTGGAAGAGCTGTTTACGTAATGCATTCTTTGTCATGTCTCAAATTTATTTGCAGCAGTTTTTTCAGCGGGACTTTAAAGATTTGTTTGTTTTTCTGGAGTGAGGAGGGTACTGTATTGAATTAATCTGTCATCTTGTCTCTTTTATACCATTCGATTGAGACCTTCTATTCCATTTGCTCATTATTTGGGGGCTAAATGTAAAGTAGGAATTCATGAACATAAATATTTCAAAATTTAGCCCCCGGAAATGGTGACCTTCTATCGTAGATGTTAAAGTGCAGCCTAGACATCAACAGAGTGAATATCATTCTTCTTAGAATTTTCTTGTCTAGTTTTGGCTTTTCATAGAAACATTGAGTTTCTTGTCCTGATAACAATATCAGCAGTACTTCTTGGATGATATTATACTGATGGAGGATGACTGATGTGTTGGGAATCTGCCTCTGCCTCACCACATTGAGCCTTTTATCTAGCAGCCGCATTTTAAAGCTCTCAAAACAGATAGCCACTTTTCTAAATTATGCATGTTTTACCTCTATAGTTGCTGTTCATTTGATCTCACGTTTAACTGGTTATTAGATTTTGTGTGGGATTTCATCGTTACATTTGTTACCAGCCCAATTTAATAACTACATATAATTTAAAATTGAGTAATTTATTAGGCATACATACCTACATACAGATGTTAATTTTCACCTTTTTCCACTTTTATACCTCCTCTTTATCTGATTGCTTTCCTATCAAATATAAATTAGGTAAATATAAATAATAGTGGAATATCAGATATAAAGAATAGGGAGAGAGTACAAAACTGAACGGAAGTGCTGACAGCTAACATTCTTTTTTTACTTTTTAGTTTTGGGGGTACATGTGAAGGTTTGTTACGTAGGTAAACTTGTGTCATGGGGGTTTGTTATACATACTATTTCCTCACCCAGGTTATTAAGCCCAGTACCCAGTCGTTATTTCTTTCTGCTTCTCACCCTCCTCCCACCCTCCACCCTCAGGTAGACCCCAGTATCTGTGGTTCCCCTCTTTGTGTCCATGTGTTCTTATTTAGCTCCCATTTATAAGTGAGAACATGTGGTAGTTGGTTTTCTGTTCCTGTCTTAGTTTGCTTAGGATGATGGCCCCCAGTTCCATCCATGTTCCCACAAAAGACATGATCTCATTCTTTTTTATGGCTGCATAGTATTCCATGGTGTACGTGTACCACATTTTCTTTATCCAGTCTGTCCTTGATGGGCATTTAGGTTGACTCCATGTCTTTTCTATTGTAAACAGTGCCACGGTGAACATTTGCATGCATGTATCTTTATGGGAGAATGCTTTATATTCCTCTTAGTGTATATACCCAGTGATGGGATGGCTGGGTCCAACGCTACTGCTTTTAGCTCTTTGAGGAATCTCCACCCTGCTTTCCACAATAGCTGAACTGATTTACACTCCCACCAACAGTGTATAAGCTTTCCATTTTTTCCTGCAACCTCAGCAGCGTCGGTTTTTTGACTTTTTAATAATGACACGTAACATTCTTATGGGATTCTCTGTAGGGCTTGTGTCAAATCCAGCCCATTGCCCAGTTTTGTAAATAAAGATTTATTGGAACACAGCTTTTCTCCTTTGTTGACAAATTGTCTACAGCTACTTTCCCAGTGCAGGAGCAGCTAAGCACGGGTGGCAGAGAGCAAATGGCCCCAAAGCCAAAAATGCCTGGCTCCTTCTGGGAGATTTGCTGACCCCTGATCTTTGTCAAAAATAGATACATTTGCTGCAGTTTTTCCTTTATTTTAGTTGACACATAACTGTACATATTTATGGAGACTTTTTTTTTTTGAAATGAATTTTCGCTCTTGTTGCCCAGGCTGGAGTGCAATGGTGCAATCTTGGCTCACTGCAACCTCTGCCTCCCAGGTTCAAGCGATTCTCCTGCCTCAGCCTCTTGAGTAGCTGGGATTACGGGCACCTGCCACCATGCCTGGCTAATTTTGTATTTTTAGTAGAGATGGGGTTTCTCCATGTTGGTCAGGCTGGTCTTGAACTCCCGACCTCAGGTGATCCACCCACCTCGGCCTCCCAAAGTGCTGGGATTACAGGTGTGAGCCACTGCGCCCGGCCCGAGTGATATTTTGATACCTGTATACAATGTATCATGATCAAATCAGGGGACTTAGCATATTCATCACCCCAAACATTTGTGTTGTGAACACTCTGTCCTCCCTTCTAGCTTTTTGAGAGTGGACAATAAGTTATAGTTCACCATATTCACCTGCAGTGCTGCAGAACACCTGCACCCATTTCTCCCTTCTACCTGTAATCTTAGCACCCATGAGCCATACTCTCCCCCTCCTCTCCCCCTCCTCTCCCCCTCCTCTCCCCCTCCTCTCCCCCTCCTCTCCCCCTCCTCTCCCCCTCCTCTCCCCCCTCTCTCCCCCCTCTCTCCCCCCTCCCTCCCCCTCTCCCCCCTCCCCTCCTCTCCCCCCTCCCCTCCCCCCTCCCCTCCCCCCCTCCCCTCCCCCTCCCCCTCCCCCTCCCCCTCCTCTCCCCTCCTCTCCTCCCCCCTCCTCCTCTCAACCTCCCCTCTCCCCTCTCCCTCCTCTCCCCTATCCTCTAATACCCACAATTACATCCCCTACTTCCATAGTCCCATTTGCTCAATTTAACTCCCACATATGAGTAAAATACATTCAGTATTTAGTTTCCCATGCCTGGTTTATTTTGCTTCACACAATGAACTACAGGCTGTAGCTCACATGAAGAGCTACAGGCTCATCTGTGTTGTCACAAATGGCAGGATTTTTTGAAGGCTGAAACATGTTCCCTTGTGTGTGTATACCACGTTTTCTTGATTCATTTGTTGATGGACAGTTAGGTAGATTACATATCTTAGCTATCGTGAATAGTGGGGTGGTAAACATGAGAGTGCAGACATACCTTTGATATACTTCGGGTAAATCACCAGATCGCTGGATCATAGGGTATTAATCTATTTTCAGTTCTTTGAGACACTGCTACACTGTTTTCCATAATGGCTGTGCTAATTTACATTTCCACTGACAGTGGAAAGGAGTTTCTTTCTCTGCATCCTTGCCAGCATTTATTTTTCGTCTTTTTTGATAGTAGCCATTCCAACTAGAGGGAAATGCAAATCAAAACCACAGTGAGATTGCGATGATGAGTAATGTTGAATCTTTTTTCGTATCTGTTGGTCATTTGGATGTCTTTTGAGAAATGTCTGTTCAGGTTTTTACCCACTTCTTAAATGGATTACTTGGAGTTTTGCTATACAGTTGTTTGAGTTCCTCATATATTCTGGGTATTAGTTCCTTGCCAGATCATTATTTTGCAAATATTTTCTCCCATTCTGCGGGGTTTTTTTGGGAGGGGGGACAGAGTCTTGTTCTGTCACCAGGCTGGAGTGCAGTGGCACCATCTCAGCTCACTGTAACCTCCAACTCCCTAGTTCAAGCGATTCTCCTGCCTCAGCCTCCCCAGTAGCTGGGATTTCAGGCACGTGCCACCACACCCAGCTAATTTTTGTATTTCTAGTAGAGATGGAGTTTCACCATGTTGGCCAGGATGGTCTCGATCTCCTGACCTCATGATCCACCTGCCTTGGCCTCCCAAAGTGCTGGAGTTACAGGCCTGAGCCACTGTGCCCAGCCAGGTTGTCTCTTTACTCTTGGACTATTTCCTTTGCTGTACAGAAGCTCTTTAGTTGGATGTACTCCTATTGGTCTATTTTTGCTTTTGTTGCCTGTCCTTTTGAAGTCTTAGCCGCAAAATATTTGCCTTGACTTGTATTCAGAAGAGCTTTCCCTATGTTTTCTTCTGGTAGTTTTATTATTTCAAGTCTTATGTTTAAGTACTTTATCTTGAGTTGATTTTTATATATGGTGAGAGACAGGGGTCTAGTTTAATTCTGCATATGGTTATCCCGTTTTCGCAGTACCACCTAGTGAACACAGTGTACTTTCCCTAATCTTGGTGCCTTTGAAAATGAGTTGGATGAGTTCATGCTCTTTGTAGGGACATGGATGAAGCTGGAAACTATCATTCTGAGCAAACTATCGCAAGGACAGAAAACCAAACACCACATGTTCTCACTCATAGGTGGGAATTGAACAATGAGAACACTTGGACACAGGGTGGGGAACATCACACACTGGGGCCTGTCCTAGGGTGTGGGGCTGGGGGAGGGATAGCATTAGGAGAAATACCTAATGCAAACGATGAGTTCATGGGTGCAGCAAACCAACATGGCACATGTATACCTGTGTAACAAACCTGCACGTTGTGCACATGTACCCTAGAACTTAAAGTATTAAAAAAACTTAAATATTAAAATATTCTAACAAGTCCTGAAAAATACATTAAAAAAGAAAGAGTTGGCTATAAATATATGGATTTCTGAATTATCTATTCTGTTGGTCTATGTCTGTTTTCATGACAGTGCCATGCTGTTTTGGTTACTATAGCTTTGTGAAGTCAGGTAATATGCCTCCAGCTTTCTTTTTGCTCAAAATTGTTTGGGCTACTTGGGATCTTTTGTGGTTCTATACAAATATTAGGATTGTTTTTCTATTTCTGTGAAGAATGTCGTTGGTGTTTTGATAGGGATTGCATTGAATCTGTAGATTGTTTTGGGTAGGATGGCCATTTTAACAACATTCTTCTAATCAGTGAACGTTAGATGTCTCCATTTTTATCTATCCTCTTCAATTTTTTTCAGTATTCTGTGGGTTTTACTATAGATATTTCTTACCTCCTTAGTTAAATTTATTTCTAGGTACATTTTTGTAGCTATTATAAAGGACATTGCTTTCTTTTTCAGCTAGTTCATTATTGGTGTTTAGAAATGCTACTGTTTTTATGTTGATTTTTGCATCATACTGAGTTCATTTATTATATAAAAACTTGCATCATACTGAAAAATTTATCCAAAAATCAACATTTTTGTATGTTGATTCTGCAACTTTACTGAATTCCTTTATCAGTTCTCTGTCTTTTGGTGGGGTCTGTAGGCTTTTCTAAATGAAAGATTATATTGCCTGCAAACATGAACAATCTACTTCTTCTCCAATTTTGATGCCCTTTGTTTCTTTTTCTTCCCTAATTGCTCTGGCTAAGACTTCCAGTACTGTGTTAAATAGGAGTGGCGGAAGTGGGCACCCTGTGTGCCAGTTCTTAGGGAAAAGGCTTTCTTCTTTTCCACATTCAGTATAATGCTAGCTGTGGGTTTGTCATACATGGCCTTTATTGTTCTGAGTTATGTTTCTTCTGCGTCTTATCATAAAGGGATGTTGAATTTTTTTTTCTTTGTTCATCTTTTCTTTTATACTTTAAGTTCTAGGGTACATGTGCACAACGTGCAGGTTTGTTACATATGTATACATGTGCCCTGTTGGTGTGCTGCACCCATTAACTCATCATTTACATTAGGTATATCTCCTAATGCTCCCTCCCCCACAACAGTCCCCGGTGTGTGACGTTCCCCTTCCTGTGTTCAAGTGTTCTCATTGTTCAGTTCCCACCTATGAGTGAGAACATGTGGTGTTTGGTTTTTCGTCCTTGCGATAGTTTGCTCAGAATGATGATTTCCAGCTTCATCCATGTCCCTACAAGGACATGAAATCATCCTTGTTTATGGCTGCATAGTATTCCATGGTGTATATGTACCACATTTTCTTAATCCAGTCTATCACTGATGGACATTTGGGTTGGTTCCAAGTCTTTGCTATTGTGAATAGTGCCACAATAAACATACGTGTGCATGTGTCTTTATAGCAACATGATTTATAATCCTTTAGGTATATACCCAGTAATGAGATGGCTGGATCAAATGGTATTTCTAGTTCTAGATCCCTGAGGAATCGCCACACTGACTTCCACAATGGTTGAACTAGTTTACAGTCCCACCAACAGCGTAAAAGTGTTTCTATTTCTCCACATCCTCTCTAGCACCTGTTGTTTCCTGACTTTTTAATGATCACCATTCTAACTGGTGTGGGATGGTATCTCATTGTGGTTTTGATTTGCATTTCTCTGATGGCCAGTGATGATGAGCATTTTTTCTTGTATCTGTTGGCTATATAAATATCTTCTTTTGAGAAGTGTCTGTTCATATCCTTTGCCCACTTTTTGATGGGGTTGTTTGTTTTTTTTCTTGTAAATGTTGATTTTATCAAATGCTTTTTCTGCATGTCTTGATGATCGTGTGGTTTTTGTCCTTCAGTCTGCTGATGAACCACCCTTGCAACCCTGAGATGAATCCCACTTCATCATGGGGAATGATCTTTTTGATGTGTTCTTAGATTTGGTTACCTAGAATTTTGTCAAAGATTTTTGTATCTATGTTCATGAGAGACGTTGGCCTGTAGTTTTCTTTTTTGTGTGTCCTTTTCTGGTTTTGGTATCAGGACAATGCTTGGCTCATAGAATGAGGAAGAATTCCCTCCCCTTCAATTCTCGGAATAGTTTGAGAAGAATTGGTATAAGTTCTGTAAAAGTTTAAAAGGTAGCTGGGCATGGTGGCTCATACCTGTAATCCCAGCACTCTGGGAAGCCAAGGTGGACAGATTACTTGAGGACAGGAGTTAGAGACCAGCCTAGCCAACATGGTAAAACCCCATCTCTACCAAAAATACCAAAATACCAAAAATTCTGGTTAAAATACCAAAAAAATAGCTGGGTGTGGTGGCTGGCACCTGTAATTTCAGCTACTTGGGAGGTTGAGGCAGGAGGATCACTTGACCCCAGAAGGCAGCAGTTGCAGTGAGCTGAGATTGCACCACTGCAGTCCAGCCTGGGTGACAGAGCAACACTCTATCTCAAAAAAAAAAATTAATTTGAAGGATATCTAGTCCTGGTTTGTAAAGTGTTTCTGTTGATACTATTTATACATCCATTGAAGCTATATATTTTTTTATTCTCTGAATGTTGAAGGTAGGGAGCAGGAAGTACTATCTACTCTTATAAATGGTTTTATCATAATCAAAATAATCAAAACAACCATGGTAGCATACACACACACAGAAAACATCTTTTCCTGGAGGGTAGGTAGGTTAATGAAAACCTTGCCTCTTTTAATGAAATTAAGTAGGAATTCCAAAGATTGGATTAGATTTATCTTATCTCAGTCCTGAATTTCAGACATTCTAAAATTATAAAAATATAAGAAACCAGGTGTGGGGTGTGCACCTGTAGTCCCAGCTACTTGGGGAGTCTGAGGCAGGAAGATCACTTGAGCCCAGGAGTTCAAGGCTATATGGTGAGCTATGATAGTCACCACACTCCAGCCTGAGGGACAGAGTGAGACACTTTTTCTAAAAATATATATGAGGCCAGATGTGGTGGCTCACGCCTGTAATCCCAGCACTTTGGGAGGCCGAGGCGGGTGGGCCACAAGGTCAGGAGTTCGAGACCAGTCTGGCCAACCTAGTGAAACCCTGTCTCTACTAAAAATACAGAAAATTAGCCGGGCATGGTGACAGGTGCCTGAAATCCCAGCTACTCTGGAGGCTGAGACAGGAGAATTGCTTGAACCCGGGAGGTGGAGGTTGCAGTGAGTTGAGATTGTGCCACTGTACTCCAGCCCGGGCGACAATGCAAGCCTTCGTCTCAAAATATGTGTGTGTGTGTGTATATATATATATATATATATATATATATATGTGTGTGTGTGTATATATATATATATGTGTATATATATATACACACACTTTAGCCTCACCTGCAGATTCACAAATTGAAGCAATCCTAAATCCACTTTTATTTTTAATTGACAATAATTGTATATATTTGCGAGGTACAATGCGATGTTTAGATATATGTATACATGGCAGAAAAAAGCTAACATGTCCATTGCCTTAGTTACTTTTTGTGGTGAGGATGTTTAAAATCTACTTTTAGCAATTTTGGAGCATATATTAATACATCTTTTCTTAAATTCCATGGCAGGTTAAATACATCATTATTAACTCTAGTTGCCATGCTGTGCAGGGGATCCCTAAAACTCATTTCTCTGACTGAAACTTGTTTGTACCTTTTCATCAATATTTCCTTTTTCCCCATTTTATCCCCCAGTCTCTGGCAACCACCATTCTTCTCTCTGCTGCTATGAATTTAATTGTTTTAGAATCCACACAATTGAGATCCTACTAAATCTTTTTTTTTCTTTTTCTTTTTTTTTTTTTTTTTTGGAGACAGAGTTTTGCTCTTGTTGCCCAAGCTGGAGTGCAATGCCACAATCTTGGCTCACTGCAACCTCTGCCTCCCAGGTTCAAGTGATTCTTCTGCCTCAGCCTCCCGAGTAGCTGGGGTTACAGGTGCGCGCCACCATGCCTGGCTAATTTTTTGTATTTTTAGTAGAAATGGGGTTTCACCATGTTAGCCAGGCTGGTCTCGACCCCCTGACCTCAGGTGATCTGCCCGCCTCGGCAGTAGCGTCGTAAGCCTGAGCGCTTGTGTACCGTGACATACTCTTCTGCTCAGGACGTCTCGGTCTGGCAGGTAGCTTTAGAGCAGGTGGTGTTCAGGGTTCCCATGCATGCTCTGTGCCAGCCCTTCCGACCGGCTCACTTGTTGCTTCACTGAAACCTCACAGTAACCCTTGAAGAGGCAGGTACTCTGATTTCCAGCTTCCAGAGGAGAGCCCAGCCTTCGATGTTCAGTTACTTTCCATGGCGATGTTATCATGAAGGTTGCAGGAGGACTTGAACTTGGAGCTGCTGCTCTGCTCTCAGCATCACCACGTGCGTCGACAGCCTCTTAGAGTTACCTATGAGGAAACCGACCCTCAGCCTTGGTACCATGACACACGGATCGAATCCCCTGCCCTCGCTGCTGTCTGCTGCAATGTTATTAGCAATCCGTTGCAGCAGAACACTCCCCGGGGTAGAAAGAAAGTGAAAGAATGCAGGAAAAAGCCTATTACTTCTCCAGGGAGGTGGTCAACCCATGACAGTTGTCCAGGGACTGCCACCTCCCCACTCTTTTCAATGACAGTTGTCCAGGGACTGCCACCTCTCCACTCTTTTCAATGACAGTTGTCCAGGGACTGCCACCTCTCCACTCTTTTCAATGACAGTTGTCCAGGGACGGCCACCTCTCCACTCTTCTCAATGACAGTTGCCCAGGCATGGCCACCTCTCCGCTCTTCTCAATGACAGTTGTCCGAGGACTGCCACCTCTCCACTCTTTTCAATGACAATTGTCCAGGGACTGCTACCTCGCCACTCTTTTCAGAGGCCCTTCCTGTATAGAGGATATTCATGATAACATGTTTCCTGTGTCCCAGGGGAAAACGTGTACCCACATATATCACCTCATGTTTTTTTTTGTTTGTTTTTTTAAGACAGAGTCTCATTCTGTCACCCAGGCTGGAGTGCAGTGGCACGATCTTGACTCACTGCAAGCTCCGACTCCCGGGTTCACACCATTCTCCTGCCTCAGCCTCCCTAGTAGCTGGGACTACAGGCGCCCGCCACCACGCCCGGCTAATTTTTTGCATTTTTAGTAGAGATGGGGTTTCACCGTGTTAGCCAGGATGGTCTCGATCTCCTGACCTCATGATCCGCCCACTTTGGCCTCCCAAAGTGCTGGGATTACAGACGTGAGCCACTGCGCTCAGCCACCTCATCTTGTAAAGCATATTAAATTACTAAATCAGAACAGGGTTAGAAATATTCAAACTTGGTCGGGTGTGGTGGCTCACGCCTATAATCTCAGCACTTTGGGAGGCCGAGGCTGGTGGATCATGAGGTCAAGAGATAGAGACCATCCTGGCCAACATGGTGAAACCCTGTCTCTACTAAAAACACAAAAATTAGCCAGGCCTGGTGGTGCACGCCTGTAATCCCAGCTACTTGGGAGGCTGAGGCAGGAGAATCGATTGAACCCAGGAAGCAGAGGTTTGCAGCAAGTAGAGATCATGCCACTACACTCCAGCCTGGGTGACAGAGTGAGACTCTATCAAAAAGAAAAAAAGAAGAAGAAAATATTCAAATTTGGCTGGGCGCAGTAGCTCATGCCTGTAATCCCAACACTTTGGGAGGCCAGGGGTAAGAGGATTACTTGAGCCCAGGAGTTTGAAACCAGCCTGGGCAACATAGTGACACCTTGTCTCTACTTTTTTTTTTTTTTTAAAGGCCTGGTGCAGTGATGCAAGCCTGTGGTCGCAGCTACTAGGAAGGCTGAGGTGGGAAGCTTGCTTCAGCCCAGGAGTTCGAGGCTGCAGTGAGCTGTGACTGCACCACTGCACTCCAGCCTGGGCAACAGCAAGACTCAGTCATTTAAAAAAAAAAACAAACAAAAAACACCACAGCTTATTGAATAGATTTTAGCTACCATGACATTTCTAGGCTCTTGTCTCCCACCTCTACCCTCCTTTAAATATTTTCTTCTGACTCTCCTAATTACTTGAAATTTTATAATTTATCTTCTGACTCTCCTAATTACTTGAAGTAATCTCAGCAAGCCCATCTTAAAACTTTCCCATGGAAAGAATGGTAGGCAGAAGGAAAGACGGGGGCTAAATACTGGGGACAACTTTGTCCCTGCAGGTCAAGGGAGTATAAAGCAGGTGCCCTGTCTAAGCAAGCAGAGCCAAAAATCCGTGTTAACAGAAACCCTACAGGCTGATTTTTACTTTGGTGGGATGCTTCCAGTTCCAGGGAGGTGACATGACAAGACTTTACTGTGTATCTGCAAGTTTAGCTCAAAAACTATAAATGTACAGATGTCAAGCAAGGGTGATCTCACACCAATACCGCCCCTCAGACAATGACAAGCTGCTGTCTACCTGAGTCTTTAAAATGTTTTATTACATGGTATTCCTTCGATTGCTTTGTCATCTACCACAAAGTAATGGTGGGGGGAAAGGAGATTTGCTCAAACTGGCCAACCAGTACTGGCTGTCACTATTTATAGGGCTCTTATAATGACAAGAAAAAAGGAAATTTGAGAGATTTAGGAATTATTCCTGGGGCCTTATAACAACTGCTACATTTCAATGTCATCATAGACCAGGCTTCTAGACAACTCGGGGAGGTAATTGATAGCAGAGGTCCTGGACGTGCACCTATAAAATGAGTTAGCAGGTAGGGATAGAATTGGTCCTGATGGTGATTTACGACATTAATCTTTTCATGTGCTCATTAGCCATTTGCATAGCTTCTTTGGAGAAATGGATATTCAGACCCTTTGCCCATATTAAATTGGATCGTCTCCCTTTTAGTGTATGTATATTATCTAGATATAAATCCCTTATCAGATATGACTTTTAAGTATTCAGCAGTTTATTTTTACACCAAAACTGTTTACTGTGTTTATGGAACCTGATGTTAACAGGTGTAACAGAAATCAACTGATCTAAGAACCCTGTAACTGGTTATTAGTAACTGGTAGGAATCTATTTGCCAGAGGTTTTTTTTTTTAATTTTATTATTATTATACTTTAAGTTTTAGGGTACATATGCACAACGTGCAGGTTTGTTACATATGTATACACGTGCCATGTTGGTGTGCTGCACCCATTAACTCATCATTTAGCATTAGGTATATCTCCTAATGCTATCGCTCCCCCCTCCCCCAACCCCACAACAGTCCCTGGTGTGTGATGTTCCCCTTCCTGTGTCCAAGTGTACTCATTGTTCAATTCCCACCTATGAGTGAGAACATGCAGTGTTTGGCTTTTTGTCCTTGCGATAGTTTGCTGAGAATGATGGTTTCCAGTTTCATCCATGTCCCTACAAAGGACATGAACTCATCCTTTTTTATGGCTGCATAGTATTCCATGGTGTATATGTGCCACATTTTCTTAATCCAGTCTATTGCTGTTGGACATTTAGGTTGGTTCCAAGTCTTTGCTATTGTGAATAGTGCCGCTATAAACTAGAATGGCGATCATTAAAAAGTCAGGAAACAACAGGTGCTGGAGAGGATGTGGAGAAATAGGAACACTTTTACACTGTTGGTGGGACCGTAAACTAGTTCAGCCATTGTGGAAGTCAGTGTGGCAATTCCTCAGGGATCTAGAACTAGAAATACCATTTGACCCAGCCATCCCATTACTGGGTATATACCCTAAGGATTATAAATCATGCTGCTATAAAGACACATGCCAGTGGTTTTTTGTTTTTTGAGATGGAGTTTCACTCTTGTCCAGGCTGGAGTGCAATGATGCAGTCTTGGCTCACTGCAACCTTCGCCTTCCAGATTCAAGCGATTCTCCTGCCTCAGCCTCCTGAGTAGCTGGGATTACAGGCATGTGCCACCACTCCTGGCTAATTTTTTTATATTTTTAATAGAGATGGAGTTTCACCATGTTGGCCAGGCTGGTCTTGAACTCCTGACCTCAAGTGATCCACCTGCCTTGGTCTCCCAAAGTGCTGGGATTACAGGCGTGAGCCACTGCACCTGGCCATTGCCAGTGTTTTTGAGTATGACATACTAGCTAAGAACATCTGTGGCATGCACGTCCAATTTTATTCTAAGATGCTGTTTGGGAACTAAGGGTACAGACAACAAAATGTCCCAGCACTGATGTCTAGTAATAGGATAAACAGATATTGTGGCAACAAATGCTTCGTCCATGAAGAATTGAAAAGAGAAGGCCGTTCATCTAGTGAGGTGATTGATGTTAGTTGTATCTACTTGAGAATTTGCTGCAAGATCCTCTTTTAAGTCTTGTCACTCTTTCCACAGGTCCTACTTGCTCTATATTACCAAAGAATCCACTTTTCCCCCAAAACCTGAGCTCTCAGCCTTGTATCAAGATGGAAGGAGACAAATCGCTCACCTTTTCCAGCTACGGGCTGCAATGGTGTCTCTATGAGCTAGACAAGGAAGAATTTCAGACATTCAAGGAATTACTAAAGAAGAAATCTTCAGAATCGACCACATGCTCTATTCCACAGTTTGAAATCGAGAATGCCAACGTGGAATGTCTGGCACTCCTCTTGCATGAGTATTATGGAGCATCGCTGGCCTGGGCTACGTCCATTAGCATCTTTGAAAACATGAACCTGCGAACCCTCTCGGAGAAGGCACGGGATGACATGAAAAGTAAGCGAGACTTGGGACAAGTCTAGGGCAGGGAGGGGAGGTGATTTCAGGTTCTCATGGGAACAGGGAAGAATCGTTGTTCAGTAACCGGCTCCACCTCTGCAGTGTGAGTCTGAGCTGTGAGAAGGATCCTATTGGTCATCGTCATTGGTTGGAAATTAGTGTAGTCTCTAGCCTGTAAAATAATGGAGGAGGGAGAAATGGGTAGACAACGGCTCCACCCACATGGACTTCATTGAAGTTAATAGGATTTGGGTTGTAAGTGCTAAGCTTGAGCTCTGGCGCTATCACGGGTCGGTTGTGAGACTTCGGGCATGTCTCCTTCTGTTCTGACCCTTGGATCCCACATCTTGGAACAGGAAATGTGTTACTGTGTGTGCCATTGCAAAAGTTCAATAATGTGTAATGCATAGGAAGTGGCTAAGAACCTCATTGGTTGATAACATTGGTAGTGGTTTGGTGCGAGTCTCGTGCTTGGCCGTGGGATGAAGGACTGAGGTTCCAGGTGCTCATCTGAGGCTTGGACTTTCTTGGGCTATTGGTGTCCGTAGTGCAGCAAGAATTCGGATCAGATTCTATGATTATTTTAGGGTACTTAGGAGAAAGGTCATTTAGAAAATAGCAGTTCTTTTTTATCTAGAGAATCTCTCCAACTGTAGACTGAAAACAAATCCCTTGACTGAGCCCTTGAATTGGCCCTACAAATACAGGTGTGGGCTGGATGCAGTGACTCATGGCTGTGATCCCAGCACTTTGGGAGGCTGAGGTGGGTGGATCACCTGAGGTCAAGAGATCGAGACCAGCCTGGCCAACATGGAGAAACCCCGTCTCTACTAGAAATACAAAAAATTAGCCAGGCGTCATGGCACATGCCTGTAATCCCAGCTACTCAGGAGACTGAGGCAGGAGAATCACTTGAATCCGGGAGGCAGAGGTTGCAGTGAGCCGAGATTATGCCACTGCACTCCAGCCTGGGCAACGGAGTGAGACTGTGTCTCAAAAAAAAAAAAAAATATATATATATATATATAATATATACACACACACATATATACACACACATATACACATATATTTTTATATATACACACATATTTTTATATACACATACACATACACACATATACACATATATTTTTATATATACACACATATATATTTATATATACACATACACATATACACATATATTTTTATATATACACATATATATTTATATATACACACATATTTATATATACACATACACATACACATATATTTTTATATACACACATATATATTTATATATACATATACACACACATATACACATATATTTTTATATATACACATATTTATATATACACATATATTTTTATATACACACACACATATTTATACACACACACACGCAGGTGGCATGCCTGTACACATATATATTTATACACACACACGCACACACGCAGGTGGCATGCCTGTACACACATATATATTTATACACACACGCACACACGCAGGTGGCATGCCTGTACACACATATATATTTATACACACACACACACACACGCGCGCAGGTGGCATGCCTGCACATCCGTGACCTGGATGCAGCTCAGCAGCATTAGCTGCAAAACGCTTCAAGGGCTCTCTCTCCTGAGCTTGGAAAAAAGGCCCAGTGTGGAGGGCATGTGGGTATTATTCCCAGGAAGAGAGTGCATAAAAATGAGAGCTAGGGTTTATCAAGTCAGCACTGCACTGAAACTGTCATGTCCCCACCATCTGACTCTCAACCCCACCCAGTGAAATGGGTTCCCTATGGCTGAAGCTGTGATAGAGGATCTTACAAGATACATAACTTGACCAACTTCATGGGCTAATAAGTGGCAAAGATGAGATTGATTGTTTAACATTCATCTACCGTGGCATATGTTTAAATTCTCATATGTCTGGTGTCAGAGATTTGCAGTTTTCCATGAGGTAGAGAGAAAGAAATGGGCAACTTTAAAAATGAATGATAGCCATAAAAAAGGATGAGTTCATGTCCTTTATAGGGACATGGATGAAGATGGAAACCATCATTCTCAGCAAACTATCACAAGGACAGAAAACCAAACACCGCATGTTGTCACTCATAGGTGGGAATTGAACAATGAAAACGCTTGGACACAGGAAGGGGAACATCACACACCGGGGTCTGTTGTGGGGTGGGGGAAGTGGGGAGTGATAGCATTAGGAGATATACCTAATGTAAATAACGAGTTAATGGGTGCAGCACACCAACATAGCACATGTATACATATGTAACAAACCTGCACATTGTGCACATGTACCCTAGAACTTAAAGTATAATTTTAAAAAAAAAATGGATGGTATAGGCCAGGTGGGTGTGGCTAATGCCTGTAATCCCAGCACTCTGGGAGGCCAAGGTGGGTGGATCATTTGAGGTCAGGAGTTTGAGACCAGCCTGGCCAACATGGTGAAACACTGTCTCTACTAAAAATACAAAAATTAGCCAGGCATGGTGGCACACACCTGTAATCCCAGCTACTTGGGAGGCTGAGGCAGGAGAATCACTTGAACCCGGGAGGTAGAGGTTGCAGTGAGTCAAGATCGCGCCACTGCACTCCAGCCTGGGTGACAGAGCGAGACTCCGTATTTAAAATAAAAATTTTTTTTTGTTTTTGAGACGGAGTCTGGCTCTGTCGCCCAGGCTGGAGTGCAGTGGCGCAATCTCGGCTCACCGCAAGCTCCGCCTTCCGGGTTCATGCCATTCTCCTGCTTCAGCCTCCTGAGTAGCTGAGACTACAGGTGCCCGCCAGCACTCCTGGCTAATTTTTTGTATTTTTAGTAGAGAAGGGGTTTCACCTTGTTAGCCAGGATGGTCTCGATCTCCCGACCTTGTGATCCACCCACCTTGGCCTCCCAAAGTTCTGGGATTACAGGTGTGAGCCACTGTGCCTGGCCTAAAATAAAATTTTTTAAAAATTGTATATAAAAATGTCTTATGGCTGGGCACCGTGGCTCACGCCTGTAATCCCAATACTTTGAGAGTCCTAGGCGGGCGGATCACTTGAGGTCAGGAGTTCAAGACTAGCCTGTCTAACACGGTAAAACCCTGTCTCTACTAAAAATACAAAAAATTAGCCTGGTGTAGTGGCAGGCACCTGTAATCCCAGCTACTAGGTAGGCTGAGGCAGGAGAATCGCTTGAAGCTGGGAGGCAGAGGTTGCAGTGAGCTGAGATTGTGCCGTTGCACTCCAGCCTGGGCGACAGATTGAGACTGTCTTTTTTTTTTTTATAGAAAGTCTTACAGTTCCTATTCCAGATGAGAGGGAAGTTTAGAATCACTTCCTAGAAGGAGTAAGCTTTAGGCTGAGATAAACAAAGAAGAGGAGTTGGCGGAGTTGCCTGAGCATGGTAGAGAAAAACATTCTGAGCATAAAGTCAGGGCATCCCAAAGCCTTTAACAGAGGGTTTGGCTGGGCCACGGAGAATGAGCAGGAGGTGAAGACGGAGGGACTAGAAGTCAGATAACATGGCATCTTGAAAATACTTGTAATAGCAAGTAGAAGCAATTACATAGTTTGAAAGGGGTGGTAATAGAAATCATCAAACTTTCCTTTCAGCACTGTTGCAAAAGTGTTGAGTGACCCAGAGGGGATTGTGGAATAAACACAGGGAGACGAGTTTGAGGTCTTTCTACTGTCCATGAGATAAATAAAGGTGGCTTGGAATAGGATGATGGCACAGAAAGAAGTAGAAATGGAAGATGCTTCCAAAGTGTACAAGACAGTTTGTGTGTGTGTGTGTGTGTGCGCGTGCGCGCGTGCGTGTGTGTGTGTGTGTGTGTGTGTGTGTGTTTGAAACAGAGTCTTGCTCTGTCGCCCAGGCTGGGCTGTCGCCCAGTGCAGTGGCGCGATCTCGGCTCACTGCAAACTCCGCCTCCCGGGTTCGTGCCATTCTCCTGCCTCAGCCTCCCGAGTAGCTGGGACTACAGGCGCCCGCCACCACGCCCGGCTAATTTTTTGTATTTTTAGTAGAGACGGGGTTTCACCATGTTAGCCAGGATGGTCTCGATCTCCTGACCTCGTGATCCACCTGCCTCAGCCTCCTAAAGTGCTGGGATTACAGGCGTGAGCCACCGCGCCTGGCCACAAGACAGTTTTTAAGAACTAAATGCAGAGAGAGAGAACGCAGTGTCATGGGTGATCCCCAAGTTTCTGGCATGATAAACTGGGTGGATGGGGTTCCATGGCCTCACCCCATGGAAGAGATGTTTTGCAAAAAGTAGATTGGGGGATGGGTAGTCAATCTTGGACCTTGTAAGTTGTTGAAGGTACCTGTATTTGGGTAACTCATAGGCATCTAGTGAGTCATTGACTAACTGGGTCTGGAGTTCAAGACAGGTCTTGAGGAGGACTCCTGAAAAGAAACTTAATCACCACAATTAACCTCATTGTGTGACTTACCCAAGGCCATCCAGCAAAACGGCCAGAGAATTCTTCACAAACCTCTGTTTCTTCAGTGTGCTTCTGCTGGCTCAGGAAAGTCTGACTTTGTTGTCTCCGTTATAGGCCAATCATGGAATAAACTGAGATCCTGAGGTTTGTCTTGGTTCCCCTCCATAATTTGGACACGGGACATTCTTATCCTTGGCTTGGGTAATTACAGTGACTTCATTGAGGCCAGTCTCCCTTTTTCTTTGTCTTCCAGGACATTCACCAGAAGATCCTGAAGCAACGATGACTGACCAAGGACCAAGCAAGGAAAAAGTGCCAGGTTAGAGGGGTGGAGTTGGGGGAAATAGGATGTGCTTAAAGACACATGGCAGCCAGTTTGCATCTCTAGGCATTAGAACCATGACTTCTGATAGTCTAGTGTTCTTTCTAGTCTAACTACCCTACATTAGCTGACCGGATGGGTTCTGAGGATCTGGTAATTCTGGTATTTCTCTTTCCAAGTTGAAGAGTTCTGTGGCCTGGGGCCAGGTCTAGTGGCTCATGCCTGTAATCCCAGTACTTTGGGAGGCTGAGGTGGGCAGATCACCTGAGGTCAGGAGTTCAAGACCAGCCTGGCCAACATGGTGAAACGTCGTCTCTACTAAAAATACAAAAAAATAGCCAGACGTGGTGGTGGGTGCCTGTAATCCCAGCTACTTGGGAGGTGGAGGCAGGAGAATCACTTGGACCCGGTAGGCAGAGGTTGCAGTGAGCCGAGATCACACCACTGCACTCCAGCCTGGGCGACAGAACGAGACTCCATCTCAAAAAAAAAAAAAAAAAAAAGAGTTCTGTGGTCTTCAGGCTTTCTTACAACTTGAGGACTTCCCATCGTCTTCAGTTTGGGTAACCTTATGACCCCACTATGACAAGCTCCTCCCAATAACCCAGTAGGAGGCTTTGGTGGAAAGAATCAGATAGCATGAAACCAGATTCAATACAATTCCCCAAACATTAGAGCACTGACCTCATGCCAGCCACTGCTCTGCGTATTTACAATACATCGTTGGCCAAAGCATACGTGTTCATGAAATTCACACATTGTGGGACAGGAAAGACAAACCAAAAAACTAAGATGACACAAGGGAAGGCAAAACACACAGGGAGAAAGGCAGGCTGCATAGACACCATGAATTCTCCTCTGCTACCTGCGCCGCTACCATCTTGCTCAGCTCCCAGCAGCCAGTGTTGACCGTGAAACCTAATCTGGTTTGGAAGGGGTTGAAGCCAACCTCGTTTTGATGGAGCTTTGCTCAGGCTGTGGGTGGGGAAAGAGCTCTTCAAAGCTAACATCTGAGTAACTGGCATCTGAATCAGAGGCTCTGAATCCCAAAGGTTCTACTTTGCTCAGAGTTTGATGTCAATCTAGGCTTCACCGGGTGAGTGTGACATGTTATCCTTCATGTGATAAGACTGCGTCTCAGAGGTTTTATAAGTTACCAAATGGTGGCTTAGAGCGTAAAATAAACACACAGAGTAACCTTGATAGTAGGACTGAAACAAACCTGACAAAAGCCGGGGGTCTTGCCATCAGCCACGTTAGGAGATCCCTCTGAGCTGCTCCTGGACACGAGAACTACCACTTCTTGAGACCACTTGGATCACGCACCGTGCCAGTGCTTTAGTCCATGCTTCTCAATCCTCTGTGGTACTGGCTGTCGTTAGTCATGCAGCGAGACCCAGAAGCTCAATGCACACCAAAGTCTCACATGGTTAAATTGAGGCAAGGTGGGCTTGTGCCAGAAAGACCTGACTGCAGGTGTTATCCACGTACAAAGATGAAGGCCATCAGAGACAGACACTCTACCCTCAAGGAGCTTACATCATAGGGGATCACAGGCCTTCGTCGTTGCTCCTGATGGGCTGGGTATGGAAAGATGTCCCTCAAAGGCTGGGCGCGGTGGCTCACGCCTGTAATCCCAGCACTTTGGGAGGCCGAGGTGGGTGGATCACCTGAGGTCGGGAGTTCGAGACCAGTCTGACCAACATGGAGACACCCCATGTCTACTAAAAATACAGGAAAAAAAAAACTAGCCAGGCGTGGTGGCATGTGCCCGTAATCCTAGCTACTCAAGAGGCTGAGGCAGGAGAATCACTTGAACCCAGGAGGTAGAGGTTGTGGTGAGCCACTGCACTCCAGCCTGGGAAACAAGAGCTTAACTCTGTCTCAAAAAAAAAAAAAGTCCCTTGAAACTAAGCCAACCCAATAAATGCAGTTTTTTTTTTATCAAGCTATAGAATCAAATGTGGTCCATGTATACAATAGTATATTATTTGGCATAAAAAGGAATGATGTGGCTGGACACAGTGACTCATACCTGTAATCCCAGCACTTTGGGAGGCTGAGGCAGGCAGATTGCTCGAACCCAGGAGTTCGAGACCAACCTGGGCAATGTAGCAAGACCCGACGTCTACCAAAAGAATTAAAATTAGCTGAGTGTGGGAGTGTGCACGTATAGTCCCAGCTACTTGGGAAGCTGAGGCAGGAGGATTGCTTGAGTCCAGGGGGGTTGAGGCTGCATTGAGCCATGATTGTGTCACTGCACTTCAGCCTGGGTGATAAAATGAGACTATGTCTTTAAAAAATATATATACACACATACATTAATGTATGCTACAAGATGGATGGACCTTGAAGACACTAGGCTAAGTGAAGGAAACCATCACAAAAAGATATATATTGAATGATTCCATTCATATAAAATGTCTAGAATCGGCAAATCCATTTAAATACTAGATTAGTGGTTGCCTAGGGCTGGGGTGAATGGGGAAACTTAGAGGGTGAGGACTAAGAGGGCAGGGTTTTTCTCGTTGAGGGTGATTAAGATGTTCTAAAATTGTACTGATGGTTACAATGTGAATATTCTCAATCATGATTGCACACTTTCAATGGGTGAATTGTATGATTTGTGAAATTTATTTCTGTAAATCTATTACAAAACTCTAGAGAAGACAATAAGATACATCCATCCGAAGTCAGCATCGTACGTATGACGACTACAAAGCCCAGAGAGACAGATTTGCCCAAAGAAGATCAGCCAACAGAAAGCCTGATTTTTTTTTTCTTTCCAGACTGAGATGTCATCTTTGTGTTAGATCTTTTTTCTTTTCCTATGTCTTTTTTTTTTTTCTTTCCCGCCTAGATAGTCTCGCTCTGTCACCCAGGCTGGAGTGCAATGGCTTGATCTTGGCTCACTGCAACCTCTGCCTCCCAGGTTCAAGCGATTCTCCTGTCTGCCTCCCAAGTAGCTGGGATTACACACGCGCGCCACCGTGCCTGGCTAATTTTTGTGTATTTGGTAAAGATGGAGTTTCACCGTATTGGTCAGGCTGGCCTAGAATTCCTGACCTCAGGTGATCCACCCACCTCAGCCTCCCAAACTGCTAGGATTACAGGCATGAGCCACCGCACCCAGCCTAGATCTTATAAATTCTATGTAAGTTCAGATTCTTTCATCTCTTACATGGTGAATCTATTTAGTCTAATAGATTGAATGTATTATGATGCTCAAGACATAGCTCCTAATATAAATCCACCCCCACAAGGAAAGGTGTTCTTCCCGTAGTGGCTGCTTTTTTTCTTTTTTCTTTCTCCCACAGAGTCTCGCTCTGTCGCCCAGGCTGGAGTGCAGTGGTGCAGTCTGGGCTCACTGCAAGCTCCACCTCCCAGGTTCACACCATTCTCCTGCCTCAGCCTCCCAAGTAGCTGGGACTATAGGCACCTGCCACCATGTCCGGCTAATTTTTTGTATTTTTAGTAGAGATGGGGTTTCACCATGTTGGCCAGGCTGCCTTCGAACTCCTGACCTCGTGATCCACCTGCCTTGGCCTCCCAAAGTGCTGAGATTACAGGCATGAGCCACTGCGCCTTGGCCTTTTTTTTTTTTTTTTTCCGGATAACTCGATGCAGGTTTACATATCGTAAAATCTTGAGAATACAATTCGAAAATTTATAAACATGAACCTATTACCATAATCCAGTCTTAGGACATTTCCATAACCCAAAAAAAAAAAAAAATCCTTCAGCAGAGACAACAAGATGGAGAAAATTGGCCTGTCTTACTTTTGCATAATTTGGAACGATCTTACAATTATTTTCCTTGGAACGATCTTACAATTATTTTCCCAGAACCTGATATTGTAATGAATGACACTTACAGACTTCTTTCAAGTGTTAAACTGCTGTTGCTTTCCTGGAATACCTGTGATATAAGCACCATTACATACCTTTGATACACTTCTGATACAGTTTGCTGATAAGTCACTTCAAATTTGGCGTCTGTGTTTGAGTGAACTGGTCTGTAATCTCTTTATATACTTTCCTTGCTTTTTTAAAGTTGAGAGAAAATTCATATATCATAAAATTCATCTTAATACAATTCAGTGTTTTATTGTATTAACAAAGTTGTGTAACCATCACTGCTACCTAATTTCAGGAAATTTTCATCACCCCAGAAAACCACATACCTATTAGCCATCACTCCCCATACCCAGCCCCTGGAAACCAGTCATCCACTTTGTGTCTGTGAATTTTGCCTTTTCTGGACTTTGCATATAAATGAAATCAGACACTTTGTTATATTGTGTGACTGGCTTTCTTCATTTAACATAATGTTTTTGTTTTTTGTTTTTGTTTTGAGATGGAGTCGTGCTCTGTTGCTGAGGCTGGAGTGCAGTGGTGCGATCTCGGCTCACTGCAACCTCCGCCTCCCTGGTTCACGCTATTTTCCTGCCTCAGCCTCCTGAGTAGCTGGGACTACAGGTGCCTACCACTACACCCAGCTAATTTTTTGTATTTTCAGTAGAGACGGGGTTTCACAGTGTTAGCCAAAATTGTCTCGATATCCTGACCTTGTGATCTGCCCACCTCAGCCTCCCAAAGTGCTGGGATTTTAACATAATGTTTTAAAGATTTGTCAATATCATAGCCTGTCTCAGGACTTCATAACTTTTTATGGCTGAACAGTATTCCTTTTATATATATACCGCTTCTTGTTCATTTATCACATGATGGACATTTGGGTTTTTTTTTTTTTTTTTTTTTGCTATTATGAACGATGCAGCTATGGATTCCCACGTGTGTGTTTGTGTAGATGTGTTTTTGATTCAGGGAGGCCTATACCTAGGAGTGGAAGTGGTGGGTCATATGGCAACTGTGTTTAACTTTTTGAGGAGCTCTGCCAAATGGTTTTTCTTGAGTGACTGCACCATTTTGCATCCTCACCAACACCTTAATGAAAGCTACAGTAACGTTTGCTCCACTATTTTTCATTGTAACCATCCTAGTAGTTATGAAACATTGACTGTGGTTTTGATTTGAATTTCCCTAATTATGTTCAGAATCTTTTCGTGTGCTTATTGGCTACTTCTGTGTCTTTAGAGAAATGTATATTCAAATCCTTGGTCCTTTTTTAACTTCATTATATTGTTGACTTGCAATACTTAGGTTTTATCATCTAGATTATGTAGAGACATAATTTTATATATTCCCCTGTTCTCTGAGTTGTCTTTTCACATTGCTGATACTGTCCTTTGAAGCACAGCGGGCTTTTATTTTACAAGACAAATTTATTTCCTTGATTGTTTGTGCTTTTGGTGTTATATCTTTAAAAAAATTGTTTAACCCAGCTGGGTACGGTGGCTTACACCTGTAATCCCAGCACTTTGGGAGGCCAAGGCGGTGGATCACAAGATCAGGATATCCAGACCCTCCTGGCCAACATGGTGAAACCCTGTCTCTACTAAAATACAAAAAAATCCACCAGGCATGGTGGCGCTTTCCTGTAGTCCCAGCTCCTTGAGAGAGTGAGGCAGGGGAATCGCTTGAACCCAGGAGGTGGAGGTTCCAGTGAACCAAGATCGTGCCATTGCACTCCAGCCTGGTGACAGAGAAACGCTCCATCTCAAAAAAAAAAAAAAAAAATTGCTTAACCCAAAATCAGAAGGTTTACACCAATATTTCCTCTTAAGGATTTTGTAGTTACAGCTCTTAAAAACATTTAGGTCTTTAAACATTTTGAGTTAATTTTGTATATAGCATGAAGTAGAGGGTTCAACTTCATCCTTTTGTGTGTAGATAACCAGTTCTCCAGCAATATTTATTGAAAACACTATTCTTTATCATTGTCTAGATATTCTTGTCTAAAATCACAGATGTATGGGATTATTTTTAAACTTTCCAATCTATTCCATTGATCTCTATATCTGACCTTGTGCCTGAACCACACTGACTTAACTACTATTGCTTTATAGTTTTGAACTCAAAGTGTGATTCTCCAACTTGACTTCAAGATAGATTGGCTATTCTGGGTCTGTTGAATTTCCATGTGACTTTTAGTATCAATCAGCTTTACAATTTCTGCAAGCAAAAAAAGGTAGCTGGGATTTTGATGAGATTGCATTATGTCATGTAGATTAATGTTGGGTATATGACACAGTAACAACATTAAGTCTTCAACCCATGGACACAAGGTGGTCTTTCCATTAATTTAGGGTTTTCTTAATTTTTTTTGGTTACGTTTGTGGCTTTCAGGATACAAGTCTCTCATTTCATTTGTTAAATTTGTCCTGAAATATTTTGTTCTATGCCATTATAAGTGGAGTGTTTGTTTTGTTTTCGTTTTGTTTTGTTTGTTTGTTTGTTTTTGACAGAGTTTCACTCTTGTTGCCCAGGCTGGAGTGGTGTGATGTCGGCTCACTGAAACCTCTGCCTCCTGGGTTCAGGCAATTCTCCTGCCTCAGCCTTCCAGTAGATGGGATTACAGGCACACGCCACCATGCCTGGCTAATTTTTTGAATTTTTAGTAGAGACGGGGTTTCACCATGTTGGCCAGGCTGGTCTTAAACCCCTGACCTCAAAAGATTCGCCTGCCTCGGCCTCCCAAAGTGCTGGTATTAGAGGAGTGAGCCACTGTGCCTGGCATTGTTCATTTTATTTTGTTTACTGCCAGTGTATAGAAATACTTTTGATTTTGAATCGTCGGATCTTGAATCTAGTACTTATGTTACTGGCGCACACTGCCCTGGCGCTGAGCCAGTGGTTCTGTGCTCTAAACTGGTCAGAAAATTAACTATGGCATGACTAAGTTTATCTGGGGTGTCCAACATCTCTGATTTGAATAATATACACAGTATGTTTGTGTTTATTCTTCTCCCTTCTCTTTTGCAGGAATTTCACAAGCTGTGCAACAAGATAGTGCCACAGCTGCAGAGACAAAAGAACAAGGTGAATGAAATAGATCTATTCATTTGTTGCCCTCCTGGAAGAAAGTTGGGTGAGAGAAGTTCATGTAGTTCAAAGGACGGGGAAATCCACTTTCCCTTTCTTCATCCTCATTTGTCTCTGGTGTGTGAGTCCCTCTTCCCTAAGAGATCTTGGGATCAGCACCATGGACAGAACCTTGCACGTTCACTACGATTATTTTCACTACAGTTTTTTATTTTTAACTGAAAAATAAGAATTGTATATACTTATGGGGCGTGAGGTTTCAATACACGCATATATTGTAGAATGATCAAATCAGGGTAACTAGTGTATCCATCACCTCAAATATTCTTTGTGCTGAGAACATTTTATTTTTACTTATTTATTTATTTTGAGATGGAGTTCTTTTCTTGTGGCCCAGGCTGGAGTGCAGTGGTGTGATCTCAGCTCACTGCCAGCTCCGCCTCCCGGGTTCAAGCGATTATTCTGCCTCAGCCTCTCAAGTAGCTGGGGCTACAGGCATGCACCACCACGCCCAGCTAATTTTGTATTTTTAGTAGAGACAGGGTTTCTGCATGTTGGTCAGGCTGGTCTGGAACTCCCGACCTCAGGTGATCCACCCACCTCAGCCTCCCAAAGTGCTGGGATTACAAGCTTGAGCCACCACACCCAGCTGTGCTGAGAACATTTAAAATCCTCTTTTAGCTATTTTGAAATAGACTTTGTTATTAACCAGTCACCACGTTGTGCAATAGAATACCAGAACTTACTCCTCTTGTCTAGCTGTAAGTTTGTACCTGTTGACTAATGTTTTCCAACTTTCCCGGTCCACTCTCTGCCCCACCAGCCTCTGGTAACCACTGTTCTACCCTCCAATTCTGAGTTCGACATTTTTAGATTCCACGTGTCAGATCCTCTGGTATTTCTCTGTGCCTGGCTTACTTCACTTAACATAATGTCCTCTAGGTTCCTCAATGTTGTAGCAAATGACAGAATTTCCTGTATGTTTTAGAGCTGAATAACCCATTGTGTATATACACCACATTTTTTTAAGGGAGTCTTGCTCTGTTGCCCAGGCTGGGGTGCAGTGGCGCGATCTCAGCTCACTGCAAGCTCCGCCTCCTGGGTTCAAGTGATTCTCCTGCCTCAGCCTCCCAAGTAGCTGGGATTACAGGCATGCGCCACCATGCCCAGCTAATTTTTGTATTTTTAGTGCAGATGGGGTTTCACCGTGTTAGGCAGGATGGTCTCAGTCTCTTGACCTCGTGATCCGCCCGCCTCGGCCTCCCAAAGTGCTGGGATTACAGACGTGAGCCACCGCGCCCGGCCAAAATCCTTTTCATTTCTTTAAGGCTGTTAGTTGTGACCCTCTTTCATTCCCGACTCCAGTAATTTTAGCTGTCTCTTTTTTTCCTTGGTCAGTCTGGCTAAAGGTCTGTCAATTTTGTTCTTTTCAAAGAACAAACTGGTAGGTTTGTTTTCTCTATGGTATTTCCATCTTGTATTTTGTTTATTTCTTTATTCCCTTTCTCTGCCTGTTTTGGGGTGAGTTTGCTACTCACTAACCCCAAAAGGGGGTTCTTTCCTACTTTAAGGTGGGAAGTTATATTATATTTCAGATCTTTCTTAGGCATTTATGGCTATAAATTTTCCTTTATGCACGGCTCTACCTACACGCTGTAAATATTGCTGTGTTTTGTTTCCACTCATTTCAAAGTATTTAATTCCCTTTTGTTTCCCCTTTGACCTGTTGAGGATCGTGTGGCTTCACTTCCATATATTTGGAAATTTTCAAATTTTCTGACTGATTTCTAATCTTATTTCATTGTGTTAAGAGAGCATACTTTGTATAATTTCAAGGAACATAAACTTGAAGCATGTTTTATGCCTGATGTATCTATCTTGAAGAAGGTCTGTTTGCAGTTGAGAAGGGCATGTTTTCTGCTGTTGGGTGGAGCGTTGGTTTGATATCTGCCTTCACTGTTTTCCATATCGGTAAATAGCGTCACTATGTGCCTGGTCGTTTACACCAAAAGCTTAGTCGTTTTTTGCTCGTTTGTTTGTCTCACTCTGTCTCCCAGGATGGAGTGCGGTCGCGCAATCTTGGCTCACTGCAACCTCCACGTCCCAGGTTTAAGCAGTTCTTGTGCCTTGACTTCCTTAGTAGCTGTATTTTTTAATATTTATTTTCTCCACCATATATCTAGCAAATCAGAAGATCATATGGTCTCTACCCGTAATATATGACCCATTTTTACACAGTTCTTCCCATCTTCTGTATTTCTGTGGTGTATATACACAATGGGTTATTGAAGGCATTTCATTTGCGTCCCAAACGCAATCCACTTTTACATACAATCAATTTTTCATACAATAACCAAGGCGATCTAAAAATTTACGCCTGTAACTTGATTCCCATGCTTAAAAATCCTTAAGTGGTTTTTATTCTGTTTGTGATTTTAAAAAATCTATAATTTTTCTCTAATTGACAAGACAAAGACCACCCTAATGATTGTTCTTTAAAATGGCAAATCTATTCTCATATATCCTAAGACGAATTTGTATTTAGCCTCACATGGTAACTATTTCCTGATAAATATATATAGTGGTTATTCTCAGTCAGTGGTAGCTACTATATGCCAGAGGCTGTGTTATTACTCTACCAAATCATCTCCACAGCAACTCGACAACATAAGAACAATTTCTTTGCTTTTCTAGATGAGCATACAGAAACATTTAACTTCAGTAACTTGATGAAGATCTTACAAATAGTTTATGACAACTCACATTTGAATCCTGTGTCTAATTCAAATCCAATTCTTTTTTTAAGAGAGAGAGTTTTGCTGTATTGCTGAGACTACAATGCAGTGGCTATCCACAAGCATGACCGTAGCTCACTACAGCCTCAAACTGCTGGACTCAAGTGATTCTCCTGCCTCAGCCTCCCAAGTAGCTGGGACTACAGGCATGTACCACAAAATCTGGCTCTAAGATCCTAAGATCCTTAATTCTTAACTGTAGGTTTTGCCCCTCATTTAATTTTTGTATTCTTATTATTATTTTTGGAGTGCAGTGGCATGATCTCAGCTTACTGCAACCTCTGCCTCCAAAGTTCAAGTTACTCTCCTGCTTCAGCCTCCTGAGTAGCTGGGATTACAGGCACGTGCCACCATCCCTGGCTAACTTTTTGTATTTTTTAGTAGAGATGGGGTTTCATCATATTGGTCAGGCTGGCCTCGAACCCCTGACCTCTGGTGATCTGCCCGCCTCGGCCTCCCAAAGTGCTGGGATTACAGGTGCGAACGACCACGCCCAACCTACCCTTCATTTTAATAACTTGTGCAAGGCTCTTCAAGGAGAAATGAGCCTGGGACCCTCACCCTCAAGCTTTGAATTAGTGCTCATTGTACCAGTGCACTCTGTCTTCTAGCTGAGACAGTGGTTGCCATGTTTTCAACTGGCCAGAAAATAAATATGGCATGACTAAGCTTATCTTGGGGGTGTCTGACATCTCTGACTCAAATAATAAACACAAGTATGTTGGAATTCATTCTTCTTTTGCAGAAATTTCACAAGCTATGGAACAAGAAGGTGCCACAGCAGCAGAGACAGAAGAACAAGGTGAGGAAAATAGATGTATTCCTTGGTTGCCCTCCTGGAAGAAAGTTGGGTGAAAGAAGTGTAAGTAGTTTAGATTTCAAGGGTATGTAGTTTAGATTGCCTTTCTTCATTCTCATTTGTCTCTGGTGTCAACCCCTTCCCTTCAAGCTCTTGATCAGTACCATGGATAGAGCTACGCAAGTTCACTGTGATTATCTACAGTCAGATACTATGAAGACAAAATTCTAAAGAACCCATAATTCTAGGGGACTCGAATCAATCACAACTTTGTTTGATGGATGTTAAACATATGGCCAAGAGTAGTCAAATGCTGTCTTCAAACTTAAGTGGCAGTAATTATTTTTGTAATTCCTTCTATCAACTAATATGTACATGAATACCTGCCATTGAAGAATTGTGCTGGAATTACAGTGGTAAGAAAAACATGTCTTGCCTTCATGGCATTTTTTTTTTTTTGAGAAGGAGTCTCGCTGTGTCGCCCAAGCTGTAGTGCAGTGGCGGGATCTCAGCTCAGTGCAACCTCTGCCTCCCAGGTTCAAGCGATTCTTCTGTCTCAGCCTCCCGAGTAGCTGGGATTACAGGCACCTGCCACTGTGCCCGACTAATTTTTGTATTTTTAGTAGAGATGGGGTTTCACCATATTGGCCAAGCTGGTCTCGAACTCGTGACCTCGGCTGCCCACCTCGGCCTCCCAAAGTGCTGGGATTACAGGCATGAGCCACCACGCCCGACCTACCCCTCATTTTAATAACTTGTGCAAGTCTCTTCAAGGAGAAATGAGCCTAGGACCCTCACCCTCAAGCTTTGAATTAGTGCTCATTGTACCAGTGCACTCTGTCTTCTAGTTGAGCCGGTGGTTGTCATGTTTTCAACTGGCCAGAAAATAAATATGGCATGACTAAGCTTATCTTGGGGGTGTCTGACATCTCTGACTCGAATAATAAACACAAGTATGTTGGAATTCATTCTTTTGCAGAAATTTCACAAGCTATGGAACAAGAAGGTGCCACAGCAGCAGAGACAGAAGAACAAGGTGAGGAAAATAGATGTATTCCTTGGTTGCCCTCCTGGAAGAAAGTTGGGTGAAAGAAGTGTAAGTAGTTTAGATTTCAAGGGTATGTAGTTTAGATTGCCTTTCTTCAATCTCATTTGTCTCTGGTGTCAACCCCTTCCCTTCAAGCTCTTGATCAGTACCATGGATAGAGCTACGCAAGTTCACTGTGATTATCTACAGTCAGATACTATGAAGACAAAATTCTAAAGAACCCATAATTCTAGGGGACTCGAATCAATCACAACTTTGTTTGATGGATGTTAAACATATGGCCAAGAGTAGTCAAATGCTGTCTTCAAACTTAAGTGGTAGTAATTATTTTTGTAATTCCTTCTATCAACTAATATGTACATGAATACCTGCCATTGAAGAATTGTGCTGGAATTACAGTGGTAAGAAAAACATGTCTTGCCTTCGTGGCATTTTTTTTTTTTTTTTTGAGAAGGAGTCTCGCTGTGTCGCCCAAGCTGTAGTGCAGTGGCGGTATCTCGGCTCAGTGCAACCTCTGCCTCCCAGGTTCAAGCGATTCTTCTGTCTCAGCCTCCCGAGTAGCTGGGATTACAGGCCTGCCACCATGCCCGACTAATTTTTGTATTTTTAGTAGAGATGGGGTTTCACCATATTGGCCAGGTCGGTCTCGCACTCCTGATCTCGTGATCTGCCCACCTTAGCCTCCCAAAGTGCTGGGATTACAGGCATTTGCCGCTGTGCCCAGCTGCCTTCATGGCATTTATCATCCAGACTTACACATTAGCTAAACCTTATGGAATGAAGATGAGTCTAAAGTGCTATAACTTTGCAGGATGATGATTAAACAGCCAAAGATGTAAGAGCAGGCTTCCCTGAGAAACTGTTGATTGAGGCTTTTTTGTTGAGATATAATTAGGATTTTATATACCATAAAGTTGACCCTCCTGAAGTATATGATTCAATTATTTTTAGTCTATTCAGTTATCCAACTGTCATCACTAATTCCAAGACATTTTTTTTCTCCCAAAAAGAAACCCCATACCCCTTTGCAGTCACCAGTTTCCTCTCCCTCAAAACTCTGGACAACCACTAATCTACTTTGTATCTCTAAACTCTCCGATTCCAGATCGGTCATGTAGATGGAATCATATGATATGTAGTTTTCTGTGACTGGCCATGTTTCACTTGGCATAAAGTTCCAAAGCCCGTGTTCCAGTGTCTATCAGCACTTCGTTTTTGTTGCTGAATAATATTCCATTGTATGGAAAGACCCCATTTTCTTCATCTGTTGTTCAGTTCATGGGAATTTGGCTTTTTTCTCACTTTGGGGCTGTTAACAGTGTTCCCTGAACACTCATGTCCTAGGAGGCAGTGATGGAAAGAAGTGACTTGACTAGCATGAGATATTGAAGATATAAAGCTAACTGGAATTGGTGATTGGCAGAGTTCTGAAAAAAGGGGCTCTGGGAATTGCTCTCACCTTTCTTCTGGAACGATCTGGTGGGTGGTGATGCCAGGAGTCAGTGACTAACATTTTGAGCTCTGAGACAGCTTCAAGCTGGGCTATTATCCCACCTGTGCAATGTAATGTTGATCCTGTGTGAGCTACATAATCATTCACTCAACCAATATTTGAAAAACTAATGGTTGCCAGTGTTGTCAACTTTAAATTGGGACGAATAATATACACAAATATCGGTGACATTTTTAGAATAATTACTCTGGTCTAGGCACTGTTCTCCACATTTTGATTGTCAAGACACCTTCACGCTAACCTAGTAAGGGGAGATACACTCTCCACTCCACCCCTTTTTTGAAACAGGGTCTTGCTGTGTCGCCCAGGCTGAAGTACAGTGGCACAATCACAGCTCACTGCAGCCCCTAACTCCTGGGCTGAAGCAATCCTCCTGCCTCAGCCTCCTAAGTAGCTGGAAATTAGGCATATGCTACAACATCTGGCTAATTTTCATATTTGTTATAGAAAGGAGGGGGCAGGGGGTCTCGCTATGTTGCTCAGTCTGGTCTTGAACTCCTGGCCTCAAGTGATCTGCCCATCTCAGCATCCCAATGCACTAGGATTACAGGGATGAGCCACTACGCCCAGCCAATCCCTACTATATAAATGAACAAATTACCATATACCGGATTGATGGGAAGCCACAATTAAATTTATGTAAAACAAGGAAAACAATGAGCTCATCATCTGCTCCAAAGTAGGATCACAAACACAACCTTTTTTTCTTGTTATCACTTAGAAAAAACCTATGAGAGAATATTTTTTGTTAGAAGTAAAAGATGAGGTTTTTTGTTTTTTGTTTTGAGACTGAGTTTAGCTCTTGTTGTCCAGGCTGGAGTGCAATGGCGCGATCTCAGCTCACTGCAACCTCCGCCTCCCAGGTTCAAGCGATGCTCCTGCCTCAGCCTCCCGAGTAGCTGGGATTACAGGCATGTGCCACCACACCCGGCTAATTTTGTATTTTTAGTAGAGAGATGGGGTTTGTCCATATTGGTCAGGCTGGTCTCGAACTCTCAACCTCAGGTGATCCGCCTGCCTCGGCCTCCCAAAGTGCTGGGATTACAGGCGTGAGCCACTGCACCCAGCGAGACAAAAGATGAGTTTTTGATGCTTTGAATTTGAGGCCCTGTGACCCCTTAAAGGGGCGAGTTAGACACACAAGTCTGGAATTTTAGGAAAGAAGCCCTCACGAAGGAGAGGATGGGAACCCTGAAGTATAGACGTGATAATTAAATCCATAGAAAAAGAGGTGTTTGAGGAAGAACTGAGGGAGGCCTGAGTTTGAATGCAGACTGGCTTCCTGGGGTTTCCCTCCCTCTGTAAAAACCTACATTCCAGTGGCACTGCCAGTCCTCTGAGGACAACAGGTCGGTCTGAGCTCAGCAAATAGAGGTTCTAGTCTTAAGGTGTGCTTCCCGTGGTTTCAACACGGCTCTGTTAACACGTCCCCTGATGTGGACGACAGACGGCCCTCCGTTTCCCATGGGTTCTGTGTCCATGGATTCAACTAACCATCGATCAAAAATATTCAGGAAAACTCCACAAAGTTCCAAAAAGCGAAATCCGAATTTGCTACATGCTGAGCGGTGCGTTGAGTCCACACAAATTGAAGCGATGTGTAGACATCGTGTTAGATATTATAAGTAGCCTAGAGATGACTTAACCTACGTGGGAAGAATCCACACAAATGAAGCAATGTGTAGACATCGTGTTAGATATTATAAGCAGCCTAGAGATGACTTAAACTACATGGGAGGATGTGCGTAGGTTATATGCAGTTATACCATTTTATATCAGGGACTTGAGTATCTGGAGATTTTGATGTCATTTGGGGATGTCCTGGAACCCATCTTGGACTGATTCAGAGGATACAACTACAATGAAGTGTAAGTTCTAGAATTTTTATGTGGAGACTTTGCATACAGTTAGTAATTGTATTACACATTTGTGCAGAGAGACTCTTGCTGCCTTTTTAAGGTAAATAGTAGTACCAGTAAACTTAAGGTCCCAGGATATGAATCTTTTTCACGTTCATTGAGTACCTATCAGATATCAGAGGCTGAAGAGGCTGGAACTATTGAGGCAAAAAGACAAGGTATTTTTCTCATGGAGCTTACATTATAAGCTAGGGGGCTGACAAAAACTAAATGCATAAAAGAGTTGAAGTTTGTGATAAATGTCAGGTGGTATAAAATAATTATAGTTTGTGATAAGTTTCATTTTTTCACATTTTCAGGCCCTGTGCTAATGTTGAATGCATATTCTTAAATCTTTATCAGGTGGGCCGGGCACAGTGGCTCATGCCTATAACCCGAGCACTTGGGAGGCTGAAGTGGGCGGATCACTTGAGGTCAGGAGTTCAACACCAGCCTGGCCAACATGGTGAAACCTCATCTCTGCTTAAAAAAAAAAAAAAAAGAACAAATATATATATATGTGTATATATAACATATATACATATATGTACATATATGTATATATGTTATATATACACATATACATATATTTATATATACGTACATACATATATACGTGTGTATACGTACATGCGTATATACATATGTATATGTATATGTGTATGTATATGTATACATATGTATATGTATGTATATGTGTATATATGTATATATACACATATATATACATACACACACACACACACACATGAAATTAGCTGAGCATGGTGGCAGGCACCTGTAATCCCAGCTACTTGAGAGGCTGAGGCAGGAGCATTGCTTGAACCTGGGAGATGGAGGCTGCAGTGAGCCAAGATCACGCTGCTGCACTCCAGCCTGGGCAACAGACTGCAACTGTGTCTCAAAAAAAAAAAATCTTCATCAGGTGGGGAAACTGAACAGCAGCTTGTATCAAATCATACAGATGCTCTACAGCAGGGGTCCCCAACCCCCAGGCCATGGACTTGTAGGGTGGCCTCTTAGGAACCAGGCAGTATAGCAGGAGGGAGCAAAGCTTCATCTGTATTTACAGCTGCTCCCCATGACTCATGTTACCACCTGAGCTCTGCCTCCTGTCAGATCGGATGTGGCATTTGGTTCTTCCAGGAGCATGAGCCCTATTGTGAACTGCACATGTGAGGGATCTGGGTTGCGTGCTTATGAGAATCTAATGCCTGATGATCTGTCAGTGTCTCCATCACCCCCAGATGGGACCATCTAGTTGTAGGAAAACAAGCTCAGGCTCCCACTGATCCTACATTATGGTGAGTTGTATGATTATTTCATTATATATTACAATGTAATCATAATAAAGTGCACAATAAACATAATGTGCTTGAGTCATCTCAAAACCACCCCCTTCCACCCCGGTGTGTGGAAAAATTGTCTTCCACAAAACCGGTCCCTGGTGCCAAAAAGGTTGGGGATCACTGCTCTACCGTAGAGCTTGGGTTCCAGGCGGGATCTGTTTGACCTCAAGGAACGTGCTCCGTTCTCTCTCTCTCTCTCTCTGTCTCTCTGTTTTTTTTTGAGATGGAGTCTCGCTCTGTCGCCCAGTCTGGAGTGCAGTGGCACAATCTTGGCTCGCTGCAAGCTCCACCTTCTGCGTTCATGACTTTCTCCTGCCTCAGCCTCCCGAGTAGCTGGCATTACAGGCGCCCGCCAACATGTCTGGCTAACTTTTTTTTTCGTATTTTTAGTAGAGACGGGGTTTCACTGTGTTAGCCAGGATGGTCTCAATCTCCTGACCTTGTGATCCACATGCCTCAGCCTCCCAAAGTGCTGGGATTACAGGGGTGAGCCAGCACATCCGGCCATTCCCCTCTTTATGTACAGCAGGATTCCCCCATTGCGTGGGGGAAACCAAGGGATGGAACAGGAGGGGCACACCTGTCCTACAGGTGTAGAACTTGGGGCCATGGTACATGCATCCGTGGCTCCCTCAAGTTCCCCTCCCCCTCCCCAAGGCCACTTATGTTGGCATACATCATTCATTTAACAAATACTTGATTTCCCACAGAGTGCCAGGCACTGTCATAAATACTGAAGGTCCAAGAGTGAGTAAGAAAGTCCATGTTTAGATTCTACGGGGGGAGACCATCAGCAAATACAGCGTAACCCATCAGGTCCCCAGTGCAAAAAGGGACATCGGGTTGAACAAGGGAAGCAGAGCTATTTTGTAGATTGTTAAGAAGCTTTTGAGGCCTTTAAAGTAGGGAACGAAGAGTGAGCATGTTCTCAGCACCTGGCTAGGAAGAAACAAGACCCATGTCTGGAGGCTGACTCAGGCCCCACTGATGCTCGGTCCAGGGTTTCTGTGAGGTATATTTTTACTAAAATTCAGATTGGCTTCAGCTGGGCGCAGTGGTTCATGCCTGTAATCCCAGCACTTTGGGAGGCCGAGGTGGGTACATCACTAGGTCAGGAGATTGAGACCATCCTGGCGAACACGGTGAAACCCCGTCTCTACTAAAAATACAGAAAATTAGCTGGGCGTGGTGGCAGGCACCTGTAGTCCCAGCTACTCAGGAGGTTGAGGCAGGAGAATGGGGTGAACCCAGGAAGCGGACGTTGCAGTGAGCTGAGATTGCGCCACTGCACTCCAGCCTGGGTGACAGAGCAAGACTCCATCTCAAAAAAAAAAAAAAAAAAAAAATAGACTGGCTTCAAATTTTGTTTCCCGATTTATTTTTATTTTTATTTTGAGATAGAGTCTCGCTCTGTGACCAGGCTGGAGTGCAGTGGTGTAATCTCAGCTCACTGCAACTTCCATCTCCCGGGTTCAAGCAATTCTCCTGCCTCAGCCTCCTGAGTAGCTGGGGACTACAGGTGCCAACTACCATGACTAGCTAATTTTTGTATTTATTAGAGACGGGGCTTTGCCATTGACCAGGCTGGTCTCAAACTCCTGACCTCAGGTGATATGCCCATCTTGACCTCCCACAGTGCTGGGATGACAGGTGCGAGCCACTGTGCCTGGTCTGTTTCCTGATTTTCATTCTACCCTCTCTGACTCCAGGACATGGAGGTGACACATGGGACTACAAGAGTCACGTGATGACCAAATTCGCTGAGGAGGAGGATGTACGTCGTAGTTTTGAAAACACTGCTGCTGACTGGCCGGAAATGCAAACGTTGGCTGGTGCTTTTGATTCAGACCGGTGGGGCTTCCGGCCTCGCACGGTGGTTCTGCACGGAAAGTCAGGAATTGGGAAATCGGCTCTAGCCAGAAGGATCGTGCTGTGCTGGGCGCAAGGTGGACTCTACCAGGGAATGTTCTCCTACGTCTTCTTCCTCCCCGTTAGAGAGATGCAGCGGAAGAAGGAGAGCAGTGTCACAGAGTTCATCTCCAGGGAGTGGCCAGACTCCCAGGCTCCGGTGACGGAGATCATGTCCCGACCAGAAAGGCTGTTGTTCATCATTGACGGTTTCGATGACCTGGGCTCTGTCCTCAACAATGACACAAAGCTCTGCAAAGACTGGGCTGAGAAGCAGCCTCCGTTCACCCTCATACGCAGTCTGCTGAGGAAGGTCCTGCTCCCTGAGTCCTTCCTGATCGTCACCGTCAGAGACGTGGGCACAGAGAAGCTCAAGTCAGAGGTCGTGTCTCCCCGTTACCTGTTAGTTAGAGGAATCTCCGGGGAACAAAGAATCCACTTGCTCCTTGAGCGCGGGATTGGTGAGCATCAGAAGACACAAGGGTTGCGTGCGATCATGAACAACCGTGAGCTGCTCGACCAGTGCCAGGTGCCCGCCGTGGGCTCTCTCATCTGCGTGGCCCTGCAGCTGCAGGACGTGGTGGGGGAGAGCGTCGCCCCCTTCAACCAAACGCTCACAGGCCTGCACGCCGCTTTTGTGTTTCATCAGCTCACCCCTCGAGGCGTGGTCCGGCGCTGTCTCAATCTGGAGGAAAGAGTTGTCCTGAAGCGCTTCTGCCGTATGGCTGTGGAGGGAGTGTGGAATAGGAAGTCAGTGTTTGACGGTGACGACCTCATGGTTCAAGGACTCGGGGAGTCTGAGCTCCGTGCTCTGTTTCACATGAACATCCTTCTCCCAGACAGCCACTGTGAGGAGTACTACACCTTCTTCCACCTCAGTCTCCAGGACTTCTGTGCCGCCTTGTACTACGTGTTAGAGGGCCTGGAAATCGAGCCAGCTCTCTGCCCTCTGTACGTTGAGAAGACAAAGAGGTCCATGGAGCTTAAACAGGCAGGCTTCCATATCCACTCGCTTTGGATGAAGCGTTTCTTGTTTGGCCTCGTGAGCGAAGACGTAAGGAGGCCACTGGAGGTCCTGCTGGGCTGTCCCGTTCCCCTGGGGGTGAAGCAGAAGCTTCTGCACTGGGTCTCTCTGTTGGGTCAGCAGCCTAATGCCACCACCCCAGGAGACACCCTGGACGCCTTCCACTGTCTTTTCGAGACTCAAGACAAAGAGTTTGTTCGCTTGGCATTAAACAGCTTCCAAGAAGTGTGGCTTCCGATTAACCAGAACCTGGACTTGATAGCATCTTCCTTCTGCCTCCAGCACTGTCCGTATTTGCGGAAAATTCGGGTGGATGTCAAAGGGATCTTCCCAAGAGATGAGTCCGCTGAGGCATGTCCTGTGGTCCCTCTATGGTGAGTACCCCAGGCAGTTTTATCCTATGCCGTGTGCTGAGCTCTGTGTCTCTACTGCTGGGACTTGACATGACTTCCAGGAACTTCAAGGTCCCAGAGAATTCTTTCAGGATGAATGGCCCAGATGACGTCCAGCTGGCTAAAATGCCAGGACCGGAATCTGGCTCATTGTCCACACCTGGGAAAGGTCTTTCACAATACAGGGCCCCGCCTAAGACTAAAGGAAAGGCTCTGGGGTTGAAACCCAGGAATATGTGGTTTATTTTATTATTTTAAGTCAGAGTCTCACTCTGTTGCCAGGCTGGAGTGTAGTGGCACGATCTCGGCTCACTGCAAACTCCACCTCCCAGGCTCAAGAGATTCTCCTGCCTCAGGCTGCCGAGGAGCTGGGACTACAGGCATGCACCACCATGCCCAGCTAGTTTTTGTAATTTTAGTAGAGATGGGATTTCGCCACGTTGGCCAGGCTGGTCTCGAACTCCTGACCTCAGGTGATCCACCCGCCTCAGCCTCCCAAAGTGCTGGGATTACAGGCATCAGCAAGCCCCTCCCATGAATGTGACCGCTCAGGTTTGTGGACTGCTTATTTGGTATGGTGTCCAGGGCCGTGCTGTCCAGTAGAGGGTTCTGTGATGGAAATATTCCATGTGCCTTGTCCAGTAGGACAGCCACCAGCCTCATAAGCCTGTTGAGCATCTGAAACATGGTGAGTGAGACTGTGGAGGTGAAACTCATCTCACTCCATTTCAACTCATTTGTATTTTTTTCTTTTTTTGAGACAGAGTCTCACTGTGTCACCAAGGCTGGAGTACAGCAGCATGATCTTTGCTCACTGCAATCTCTGCCTCCCGGGTTCAAGCGATTCTCCTGACTCAGCCTCTCAAGTAGCTGGGATTATAGGCAGTGCCACCATACCTGGCTAATTTTTGTATTTTTAGTAGAGACAGGGTTTCACCATGTTGGCCAGGCTGATCTCGAACTCCTGACCTCAGGTGAGCCACCTGCCTTGGCCTCCCAAAGTGCTGGGATTATAGGCATAAGCTGCTGTGCCCGGCCTCATTTGTATTTAAATAGTCACACATAGCTGATGCTTGCTGAATAGTGCAGGTCTAGAAAACACACTTTGCTGGACTGTCTCAGTGTCATCCTCCTATGACCCAGAACACAGCAGTGACGAATGTGGACAGGCTGGGTGGACGAGGATTACTTGAGGCCAGGTTTTTGAGACCAGCCTGGGCAACAAAGTAAGACCCTGTCTGTGGACAGGCTGGGTGCAGTGGATCATGCTTGTAATCCCAGCACTTTGGGAGGCTGAGGTGGGTGGATCACGAGGTCAGGAGTTCGAGACCAGCCTGGCCAACATAGTGAAACCCCATCTCTACTAAAAATACAAAAATTAGCCAGGCATGGTGGCGCACACCTGTAATCCCAGCTACTCAGGACGTTGAGGCAGGAGAATTGCCTGAACCCAGGAGGCAGAGGTTGCAGTGAGCCGAGATCACGCCACTGCACTCCAGCCTGGGCAACAGAGTGAGACTCCATCTCAAAAAATAAAAAAAGCCTCAAATTATCACATGGGGCTGGGCGCGGTGGCTCATGCCTGTAATCCTAGCACTTTGGGAGGCTGAGGCAGGTGGATCACACTAGGTCAGGAGTTCGAGACCAGCCTGGCCAACATAGTGAAACCCCATCTCTGCTAAAAATACAAAAATTAGTGGGGCGTGGTGGTGGGTGCCTTTAATCCCAGCTACTCAGGAGGCTGAGGCAGGAGAATTGCTGGAACCCCGCGGGCGGAGGTTGCAGTGAGCCAAGATGGCACCACTGTGCTCCAACCTGGGTGACAGAGTGAGACTCTATCTCAAAAAAAAAAAATTCTCACATGGAAGAGGTCTGGCACAGCACCTGCTGTGTGCTAAGGCCTTGATAACAGGGCAGCTACCTTTGGTTGGAAAACAAGTACAAATGCTTGCTTTTTAGGAGGTGAGCTCATGTCAGTGCAGAAAGAAAGAACAGCTTGCCCGTTACTTTGTTCTTTCCACAGCCAAGAGGAGTCACAGCCTGGGCAATTTTCCTGTAGATTGGCTGAAAACGTGCGCAGCCACAGGCTAAGCACTGAGATGGGAAATTTACATATCATAAAAAGTCAAAGCTACTTGTGTTCACAGCTACCCTGTGCTATACTTACATTCATTCGCTTTCTTCTTCTTTTTTTTTTTTTTTTTTGAGACGGAGTCTTGCTCGGTCACCCAGGCTGGAGTGCAGTGGTGCGATCTCAGCTCACTGCAACCTCCACCTCCTGGGTTCAAGCGATTCTCCTGCTTCGGCCTCCCTAGTAGCTGGACTACAGTTGCCCACCACCACACCCGGCTAACTTTTGTATTTTTAGTAGAGATGGGGTTTCACCATATTGGCCAGGCTGGTCTTGAACTCCTGACCTTGTGATCCTCCCATCTTGGCCTCCCAAAGTGCCGGGATGACAGGCGTGAGCGACTGCGCCCGGCCTCTATTTTTCTTTTATTCTTGAGGGCAAACCCATGAGGTTAGCTCCCTGTTCACAAACGTGGGAAGGTATACACTCAGACACGTGGGAAGGTATAAACTCAGACAGGAGATGATTGCCAGTGGACGGGAGACTAATTGCTCCAATTTTTAGGTGTACGATACAATATTAACTACAGGCACGACATTGAACAATGGATCTCTAGAACTTTTTCATCTCACATCACTGACCCTTCATGCCCATGAAACGATAACTCCATCTCCCCTGCTCCCCAGGCCCCCGGCAGCCTCCACTCTACTTTCTGCTATTTTAGACATTTCAAAGTAGAATCATGAGCCCAGTGTATTGGTGGCTCACGCCTGTCATCCCAGCACTTTGGGAGGCCAAGGTGGGTGGATCACTTGAGGTCAGGAGTTTGAGACCAGCCTGGCCAACATGGTGAAACCCCATCTCTACTAAAAAAATACAAAAATTAGCCAGGCATGGTGGTGGGCACCTGTAATCTCAGCTACTTGGGAGGCTGAGGCAGGAAAATCACTCGAATTTGGGAGGCAGAGGTTGCAGTGAGCCAAGATCATGCCACTGCACTCCAGCCTGGGAGATAGAGACTCCGTCTCCAAAAAAAAAAAAAAAAAAATGTAGACTCATGCAGCATTTTGCAGTATTTGTCCTTTTGTGACTGGTATAGCTCACCTAACATAATATCCTCCAGGTTCATCCACACTGTCAAAAACGGTAGAATGTCCTCCTCTAAGGACGAGTAATATTCCATTAACATATGTATCACATGTTCTTTGTTCATCCATGGATGGACATGTAAGTTTTCCAGATCTGAGCTATTATGAAAATGCCACAGTGAGCGTGGGAGACCAAACACCTCTTCCACATCCTGATCTCAGTTCTTCCGGGTATACACCCAGAGGTAGGATTGTTAGGTCCTATGGTAGCTCTATTTTAATATTTTTTTAGGAACCTCTGTACTGTTTTCCACAGCTGTTGCACAGTTTTACGTTCAAGTGGGGCTGGAATTGAAGCAAAGATCTGATGCAGGGCTGGGCACGGTGGTGGCTCACACCTGTAATCCCAGCACCTTAGGAGGCCAAGGCGGGGGCAGATCATGAGATCAGGAGTTCGAGACCATCCTGGCCAACATGGTGAAACCCCATCTCTATTAAAAATGCAAAAATTAGCTGTGCATGATGGCATGCGCCTGTAGTCCCAGCTACTCGGGAGGCTGAGGCAGGAGAATCGCTCGAACCCAGGAGGCAGAAGTTGCAGTGAGCCGAGATTGCGCCACTGCGCTCCAGCCTGGGCAACGGAGCGAGACTCCATCTCAAAAAAAAAAAAAAAAGATCTGATTCAGGAGCTGGCGGTTCCCAGTCATGCCTGCATACCCCCTCGGGTATCGGTATATCCGGGAGGCAGGGTGGACACCGGGCTAGTCATGCAAAGTGTGATGGCAGCCGCTAAGTTGCCTCAGGGCCTCTAAAGCCACCGTGGTCTCACCTCGAGAGCTCGGTCCCTCTCCTCCGACGTGTTGCCACGACTGCTCATGTTAAACTCCATCCCATGAGCCCATGTTTCTATCCCCCCTGACATAGGATGCGGGATAAGACCCTCATTGAGGAGCAGTGGGAAGATTTCTGCTCCATGCTTGGCACCCACCCACACCTGCGGCAGCTGGACCTGGGCAGCAGCATCCTGACAGAGCGGGCCATGAAGACCCTGTGTGCCAAGCTGAGGCATCCCACCTGCAAGATACAGACCCTGATGTAAGGCTGCCCGCCCCCTACGAGAGAATCCCTTCCCATGACGCTATCCCAGCTCTCCCCTACCTCCTGAGAGACCCATCTGAAGCCTTTCAAGTGCAGCCTGAGGGCATAAGTGCCACCAAAGGTGTAGGAACCAAGTTCCCAAAAGCACAGAGTGGGGAGTCGCTAAAGACCTTGTGATCGGCCGGGCGCAGTGGCTCATGCCTGTAATCCCAGCACTTTGGGAGGCCGAGGTGGGTGGATCACCTGAGGTCAGGAGTTCAAGACCAGCCTGGCCAACATGGTGAAACCCCATCTCTACTAAAAATACAAAAAAAAAATTAGCAGGGCATGGTGGTACGTGCCTGTAATCCCAGCTACTTGGGAGGCTGAGGCAGGGGAATTGCCTGAACCAGGGAGGTGGAGGTTGCAGTGAGCCAAGATCGCACCACGGCATTCCAGCCTGGGTGACAGAGTGAGACTCCATCTTAAACAAAAAACAAAAAAAAACCTTGTGCTGATGTTACTGAAGCAGGCTCCTTGACACCAGGTTTGGACGGGTTTGGATGGATTAAGCTCCCCAAGGCAGGGATTGTTAATACTCTTTCATACACCATTCCCAGTAGCTGGCCCATCACAGGCACTCAGGTATTCGTTGTTTTAAAAGGAAATACAATTAATTAGAAATTTGCAAGTTAGAATGGGAGAAGGATGGGAAGGAAAAATGAGGATACAACTAAACATCACCAGTGTCGAATGTGTCTCCCCTTCCCCATTGCAGGTTTAGAAATGCACAGATTACCCCTGGTGTGCAGCACCTCTGGAGAATCGTCATGGCCAACCGTAACCTAAGATCCCTCAACTTGGGAGGCACCCACCTGAAGGAAGAGGATGTAAGGATGGCGTGTGAAGCCTTAAAACACCCAAAATGTTTGTTGGAGTCTTTGAGGTACGTCTCTGGTAGAGCTTTTGCCTTGTTTTTCTTCGTTTTTACTTGTGTTTGAAATGATTACATAAAGTGGCAAAAATTAAAGAGCTGCAAAGATGGAAAAGTTTTGGTGATGGATGGTGGTGACGATTGCAGGAGTTGAGTGCCACTGAATTGCACACCTAAATAGTTAAAATAGTGCATTCGGTTATAAATACTTTATCACAATTAAAAAAACTCAGTTTCATTAAAAATTGTTCATGCAGAGGCAAGGTCTCGTTTGGTTGCTCAGTCTGATCTTGAACTCCTGGGCTCAGGTGGTCCTCCCCGCTTGGCCTCCCAGAGCACTGGGATTATAGGCTTGAGCCACCATACCCAGCGAGATTTTAATTGTATAGAGGTTGAATGTGCCCTTCTGGGCCGGGCGCGGTGGCTCACGCCTGTAATCCCAGCACTTTGGGAGGCCGAGGCAGGCAGATCACTTGAGGTCAGGAGTTCAAGACCAGCCTGGCCAACATGGTGAAACTCCATCTCTACCAAAAATACAAAAATTAGCCAGGCGTGGCAGCCACCTGTAATCCCAGCTACTCGGGAGGCTGAGTCAGGAGAATCTCTTGAACCCGGCAGGCGGAGGTTGCAGTGAGCTGAGACCGTGCCACTGCACTCCAGCCTGGGCAACAAGAGCAAAACTCTGTCTCAAAGGAAAAAAAGTGCCCTTCTGGCAGTTTCTCCCAGTGGTTAATCTTACATACTATCGCATAATATCAAAACTGGGAAACAGATCCTGGTATGGTGTGTGTACATTATTCTATAGCAGTTTATTACATCTAGATTTGTGTAACAGTCACAGTAACCAAGATGCTCTGGGGTCACACACCCCTCCCTAACCGCACCATTCCTAATCCTCAGGAGCCACGTGTGTCTTCCATCTCTGTATAACCTTGTCATTTTGACAATGCTCTTAAAGTGAAATCGGTGTGGTACATCGTCGCCTGAAACTGGCTTTGCTCCATCAGCGCTTGAGATCCACCCAAGCAGTCAAGTGTTACACACTTTCTTCCTTTCTGTTGATGATGGCCATTCAATGCTATGGAGTACCACAGTTTAACCATTCACCATCCAGGGACACGTTGGTTGGTTGGTTGGTTGGTCGGTCCCAGTTTGTGGCTCTTACTGTGGTTTGTAAGTCCTGGGAAGGTGGTTTTTTCATTAGATTAGCTTGGTTTAGAGATACAACTATTTAATGTTTATATAGTTTTCTTTTCTTTTTGACTGAGTCTAGCTCAGTTGCTCAGGTTGGAGTGCAGTGGCATGATCTCAGCTCACTGCAACGTCCACCTCCCTGGTTCAGGCAATTCTCCTGCCTCAGCCTCCCAAGTAGCTGGGATTACAGGCACCCGCCACCATGCCTGGCTAATTCTTGTATTTTTAGTAGAGATGGGGGTTTCACCATGTTGGCCAGGCTGTCCTCGAACTCCTGACCTCAAGTGATCCACTGGCTGTGCCCTCCCAAATAAAGTATTCTGAGACAGACAAGTACAAGCCCTGCTTTGAGCTTTGTTAGCTGGCACATCAACTAACATCGAAGAATAGTAAGAAAGAAGAAGAATTTGCTTTGTACCATGTGGTGTTTGCCTGGCAGCCAGGGAACTGCACTTTAAGAAGATGTAACCCAGGGAAATTAGCCAAAGCATAAATGTTGTCTCAGGACGGAAATGCTGTGCCTGACATCGTGTGGGGTTTATCTGGGAACAGATGGAGGAAGCTGCATGCTCACTCTTTTGCTCACTGTCTGCACCACAAGTGCAGAGAGCTGGAGCTTAGATTCAAAGAATAAATAAGATAGACATTGTCGGAAAAGATGGATGGAGGCTATTTGGGGCCAAGGAAGGAAAAAGCATGAAGTCACTTAGGTCCAGTTTCCTGGAAGTCTAACGAATTTACCTTCTCATAACTCAACTAATGAATTTACCTTCTCATAACTCACAGGGGCAGGAGTATTGCTCTCTTCTCTTCACTCCTGTATTCCCGGAACCTAGAACTGCTCTTTTCCTGACACCTGGCCCGTATTCCCCAAAGTACTTATTGGATAGAGGGATGGGATGATCAGCTAAGTCTCTAAATGGGAGACTTTGACATTGGAAGATGGATTGGGCCACATCGTGAAGGGTTTCCATTCACTATCACATTGAGGAGTTGGAACTTCCTTTATTCAATAACGACAGATGCTTGATTCTGCGTATAGTACATGTTCCAGGGATGTGCTGATGAATGAAACGAGATTCTTTGATTCAATAACGACAGATGCTTGATTTTGCATGTAGTACTACGACATGTTCCTGGGACATGCTGATGAATGAATTGAGATTCTTTTTTTTTTTTTTTTTTTTTTGGAGACAGAGTCTTGCTCTGTTGCCCAGGCTGGAGTGCAGTGGTGCAATCTCGGCTCATTGCAAGCCCCACCTCCTGGGTTCACGCCATTCTCCTGCCTCAGCCTCCTAAGTAGCTAGGACTACAGGCGCCCGCCACCACGCCCGGCTAATTTTTTTGTATTTTTTTAAGTAGAGACAGGGTTTCACCAGGTTAGCCAGGATGGTCTCGATCTCCTGACCTCGTGATCTGCCCGCCTCGGCCTCCCAAAGTGCTGGGATTACAGGCTTGAGCCACTGCGCCTGGCTGAGATTCTTTCATTCAATAACGACAGATGCTTGATTCTGTGTGTAGTAGTATGACATGTTCCTGGGACATGCTGATAAATGAAACGAGATTGTTTTATTCAATAACGACAGACGCTTGATTCTGCGTGTAGTACTACGACATGTTCCAGAGATGTGCTGATGAACAAAACGAGATTCCTGCTCTCATGGTGCTCACAGGCCAGCACAGGGAGAGCAGAACAAGACAAAAAGAATGATGTGTGCACACACACGGCAGGAGCATGTATAGGCTTGGAGAGCTCTAAAAGTTCTGTCTAAAATTCAACACAGACCAGGCACAGTGGCTCATGCCTGTCATCCCAGAACTCTGGGAGGCTGAGGCAGGTGGCTCACCTGAGGTCAGGAGATCAAGACCAGCCTGGCCAACATGGTGAAACCCCGTCTCTACTATAAATACAAAAATTAGTCGGGCATGATGGCATGCACCTGTAATCCCAGCTACTTGGGAGACTGAGGCAGGAGCATCACTTGAACCCAGGAGGCAGAGGTTACAGTGAGCCGAGATTGCGCCACTGCACTCTAGCCTGGGTGACAGAGTGAGACTGTCTCAAAAAATAATAATAATAAAATAAACCTGCTTCCTTCATCTCTGCCCTAGCCAGGTACTGGCCTAAGTGTTTCGTGGCTATTCTAATATTCTAATCCTCACAACCATCGCTGAGGTTGGTAGTGCTGTTGTCCTCATTTCCAGGGCATAAACTGAGTTGCAGAGATGCTAAGCTATTCGGTTAACAGGGAATTAAGTGATGTGTTAGATTTGGGGGTGGATGTGCTGGCTCGTGGGGTAGCTGTGTACGTTCCTCTTTCGTAAATACTGCCGGTCATCCCGGAAGCTCGTGCCCTTCAGCAAATGCTCGAGTGCCCTTTGTGTACCAGGCACCGTCGCAGCTGCCGAGGGGACCATAGAGAACAAAGCAACCAGGCCTCCACCTTCATGGAGATGACATTCTAGGAAGGAAGACAGGCAGGAAACAAGCACTAACATAAGTATGTGGAACGTTGGGTGGAGGCCGGGCACAGTGGCTCATGCCTGTAATCCAGTGCTTTGGGAGGCCAAGGCGGGTGGAGCACAAGGTCAGGAGTTTGAGACCAGCCTGGCCAACATGATGAAACCCCGTGTGTACTAAAAATACAAAAATTAGCCAGGTATGGTGGTGGGCACCTGTAATCCCAGCTACTCAGGAGGCTGAGGCAGGAGACTCGCTTCAATCCGGGAGATGGAGATTGCAGTGAGCCAAGATTGCGCCACTGCACTCCAGCCTGGGTGACAAGAGCAAGACCCTGTCTCAAAAAAAAAAAAAAAAAAAAATGTTGGCTGGGGTGGGTTGCTATGAATGTTGAGACAATGGAGGGAAGTGGGGTAGGCACCATTTAAGGTCTGGCTTACCCGAAAGGCGACCTTCAAGAGACATGAAAGGACGTGAACCCCATGAAAACCTGAGGGAGGGAGGAGGGGAGGTTGCACTGGAAGGAACAGCAACTTCTCAGGCCCGGAGGCAGGAGCAGACAGAGTTCGAGGACCAGGAAAACGGCCAGCGCTGCTGGCGTGTGCTGAGTAGAGGGGAAATGGGCTGCTTTGGACAAGAGCTGGGATTGCTTCATGCTGCCTGTCTCTGCAGGCTGGATTGCTGTGGATTGACCCATGCCTGTTACCTGAAGATCTCCCAAATCCTTACGACCTCCCCCAGCCTGAAATCTCTGAGCCTGGCAGGAAACAAGGTGACAGACCAGGGAGTAATGCCTCTCAGTGATGCCTTGAGAGTCTCCCAGTGCGCCCTGCAGAAGCTGATGTGAGTGCCACTTCCTTTCCACCAGGATTATCGTAACTTCCACCAGGATTATCGTAACTTCGATTCTCCAGGTCATGGTGGGAGGGAAATGAGCAGATGTACAAACCAGGGGTGAGGAAGGAAGTTGGGACCTCCCAAGACCTGCCCAGTGTGGGGTGTAAGAGTGACCTGAAAAACATCTGTTCTTGCTCCCAAACTCTAAATGGAGATAAAAGGTGGACGCGGGAATCAGCCAGGTGGAAATTGCATAATGACCTTCCCTCCTGATAAAGCTCTCCTGGGCGTGAGGCTTATGTGTGCAGCTTGCACTGTGGGTTAGTGAATGCTTGGCCCCACCACTGGAGAGGTATACCCACTCAGTCACTCAAAGAACATGGGTGGCGGTCAGGCTCCCCTCTGCCTGGTAAAGTCCAGGCCAGAGCTCATGCATTCTGGGCTTCTGGGCACAGAGAGGCTCAAAAAGGAGGAGGGTCACCCAAAATCCCAATCCCACCTCCTTCTATGGAGACGAGGGAGCCCAGAGCAGGGATGAACCCAGGCCTGTGTTGTTGTAGCAGAAGGGCCTCCGAGTGGAAACGCAGGGGGCAGCAGTTCTGCACCCCTAACACCTAAAGGGATATCACTTCTTTCCTTTTCCGTGTCAGAGTTTTGTTGTTGCCCAGGCTGAGTGCAGTGGTAAGATCCTAGCTCACTACAGCCTCAACTCTTGGGCCCAAGTGATCCTCCCGTCTTGGCCTCCTGAAGTTCTGGGACTACAGGTGTGAGCCACCATGCCTGGCCCACTTGCTTACTGATAACTGATCTAGGGAGGGGAGGCGAAGCAGCAGCAACAGTTACAGCAACCACTATTCAATGCTTACTGAGCTGTGCCAAGCACAGCGCTAAAATCCCTCCAACCCTTCCTCGCTGAGTTCTCAAAACAGGTCTACGGAGCAGGTGCTGTTGATAACCCTATCGACAGATGAGACAGCTTCAGAAAGGCTGTGTCACTTGTCCACAGTTGGACGGTGCTCAGATGGTGATGCCGGGAGTCAAGGGTGGGGCTAATTCAGCTGAGCCACCCAGCGTGGCAGCCATTATCCACGTGTGGCCAGCCAAATCTAAATTAAATGGGAAAGTCAGTTTCCTCATCACACTAGACCCATGTCAAGAGCTCAGTAGCCATGTGGGGCTAGCAGCTCCCATTCTGGACAGCACAGCTCTAGGTGACCTTTAATCTTACCTGGATGGCAGTGCTGGTATCAGCAGTGAGACATCCAGGCTCAGAGGGTGACATCTGAGCTCTCGATCACACCCTGAGCTCTCGATCTTGGGTGTCATATTCTCAAGGGGAAGGGGCGTTCACTCCAAGTTCTCTTTACGGGAAAACACCTATCACTCATGTAGCAGACTGTTTCTGGAATCACTTCAGTGCTACATAAAAAGCTGCTTAAATGGCCAGGTGTGGTGGCTCACGCCTGTAACCCAGCACTTTGGGAGGCCGAGGCGGGCGGATCACCTGAGGTCGGCAGTTCAAGACCAGCCTGGCCAACGTGGTGAAACCCCATCTCTACTAAAAATACAAAAAAATTAGCTGTGCATGGTGGCAGGCGCCTGCAATCCCAGCTACTCGGGAGGCTGAGGCAGGAGACTCACTTAAACCCGGGAGGCGTAGGTTGTGGTGAGCCAAGGTCACGCCATTGCACTCCAGCCTGGGCAACAAGCGCAAAACTCCATCTCAAAAGCAGACAGAGTATCTAGTTTATGCCTAAGGGTCATGATGTGTTAGATGTAGTTTTGGGGGGTGGTCTTGCTCACTGTTCTGGAGTACAGTGGCACAATCACAGCTCACTGCAGCCTCTACCTCCCAGGCTCCAGGGATCCTCCTGCCTCAGCTTCCCAAGTAGCTGGGACTACATGCATGTACCACCATGCCCGGCTAATTTTTTCTTTTTAGAGACAGAGTCTTGCTATGTTGCCCAGGCTGGTCTCGAACTCCTGGGCTCAAACAGTCCTCCTGCCTCAGCCTCTCAAAGTGCTGGGATTACAAACACAAACCACGGTGCCCGCCCTAAGTGTACTTTTAAATTGGAAAAATTGGCCCAGTACAGTGGCTCACGCCTGTAATCCCAACACTTTGGGAGGCTGAGGCAGGCAGATCCCCTGAGGTCAGGAGTTGGAGGCCAGCTTCGAGACCAGCCTGACCAATATGGTGAAGCCCTGTCTCTACCATAAATACAAAAATTAGTCAAACATGGTGGTGCATGCCTATGATCCCAGCTACTCAGGAGGCTGAGGCCGGAGAATCATTTGAACCTGAGAGCAGAGGTTGCAGTGAGCTGAGATCATGCCACTGCACTCCAGCCTGGGCAACAGAGCGAGACTCCATCTCAAATAAATAAAAATAAATAAGAAAATAAATAAATTGGAAAAATTACTCATTCCGGCAAAGCCTTACATCATAGCCATGTGGGGACTGGAAATGGCTGAGCAGTGATTGTTGCCCAGCCATTCCCCATTGTGACTGGCAGATCTAATCACCCACAATACTTAGAGTATTCTTTTGGGGCTGATGCACTGGAGTTGAGTTTGCAAGTTAAAGGCAGAGAGGATGCGACTTCACCATATGTCTGCAAGGACATGCCAACTATGGGGGTGATACGTCTTTCCCCTCCTTGTAAAGGAGGGAAAGATGGAACTTTAAGAAGGCATCTCATCATGTCCTCTCTGGGGCTCTCTTCTTGCAGACTGGAGGACTGTGGCATCACAGCCACGGGTTGCCAGAGTCTGGCCTCAGCCCTCGTCAGCAACCGGAGCTTGACACACCTGTGCCTATCCAACAACAGCCTGGGGAACGAAGGTGTAAATCTACTGTGTCGATCCATGAGGCTTCCCCACTGTAGTCTGCAGAGGCTGATGTGAGTCTGGCTTGCTCCCCTGCAAGGACTTCCTAGCTTTCTAACATAGCATGGTGTAGCTCTCAAAGCAGAAGGCAGTGGGGAGGGGGTGTGGACATCATCACATGAAGGGACCTGGTATATGCTGAATTCTGTCCATGTCTCCTAGGTTTCATCCTTTCTTGGAAAATTCTGTGTCTGCCTTTGTGTTATCTTACAGTGGGAAGTCATTTGTTCAAGGACAGTCAGTTCTCATAATTGGAGGTCATCATGTTCTACAAAGTCACTCTTGAGCACTGAACCAGCCAGCATGGAGCCATTGCCCCTGGGAGAGGTACAGGGTTAGCTTCCTGTGAACCTCTAGTCACGTTTTCATCAATCGATGAAAATGTATTTCATGTTTCTGTTCAATGACTTTTACTTGATACACATCGTTGATTCGTTAACATTGAGCACATGACCAACGGCACCGTGACTCGTGCCTGACAAAGCCTATCTGACACAAGTGATGGACCTCACAGCCTCCCCACGCTCCCCAGCATTGGAGAGCACTTTGGCGCTATGCTAGGAGGTCATTTTAAACAACACTATTGCAGCGGGGCGCGGTGGCTCACACCTGTAACCCCAGCACTTTGGGAGGCTGAGGCAGGTGGATCATTTGAGCTCAGGAGTTCAAGACCAGCCTGGCCAACATGGTGAAATCCCATCTCTACTAAAAATACAAAAAATTAGCCGGGTGTGGTGGCGCATACCTGTAATCCCAGCGACTCAGGAGGCTGAGGCAGGACAACCACTTGAACCTGCGAGGTGGAGGTGGCAGTGAGCTGGCATGAGCTGAGATTGTGCCATTGCACGCCAGCCTGGGCAACAGAGTGAGACTGCATCACAAAACAAACAAAATTGCCCACAAAAAGCACAAAAATCCAACAAACACGGCACTAAATACCCTCAAAAAGGACATTGTTGACAGTGGAGAGCTGAAATCAGTTCAGCCTCCACTGGGAGCAACGTGTGTCTGGAGACTCAAGTTCTTCTCTGCTCTGCACACATGCATGACCAGGAAGGACTGAGCACTCCCGGTATTGATTTGGAGAATTACCAACACATTATAGCAAGTAGGAAAATTCACAAATACAGAATCCATAAATAATGAGGATCAATTGTGTTGATTACTACTGCATTTATTAGTTGCTAGTGATACAGACACAATACAGATGCAGTTCTCATTATTTTTCCAAAAGTTATTGGGGTACAGGTGGTTACATGAGTAAGTTCTTTTCTTGTTGTGTTTTGAGACAGTTTGGCTCTGTCACCCAGGTTGGAGTGGCATGGCGCAATCTCAGCTCACTGCAACCTCCACCTCCCCTCCCAGGTTCAAGCGATTCTCCTGCTTCAGCCTCCCAAGTAGATGAGATTACAGCTGTGCACCACCACACCTGGCTACTTTTTGTATTTTTAGTAGAGGCAGGGTTTCACCATGTTGTCTAGGCTTGTCTTGAACTCCTGACCACAGGTGATCTGCCTGCCTCCCAGAGTGCTGGGATTACAGGCATGAGCCACCATGCCCAGCCAGGTTACATGAGTAAGTTCTTTAGTGGTGATTTGTGATATTTTGGTGCACCCATCACTCAAGCAGTGTACACTGCACCATGTTTGAAGTCTTTTATCCCTCGCCTCCCTCCCATTCTTCCCCCAAAATCCCCAAAGTCCATTGTATCATTCTTATGCCTTTGTGTCCTCATAGCTTAGCTCCCACATATCAGTGAAAATATACGATGTTTGGTTTTCCATTCCTGAGTTACTTCACTTAGAATAATAGTCTCCAACTCATCCAGGTCACTGCAAATGCTGTTAATTCATTCCTTTTTATGGCTGCATAGTATTCCATCATATATGTATGTGTGTGTGTGTGTGTTTCTTTATCCACTCATTGATTGATGGGTATTTGGGTTGGTTCCACGATTTTGCAATTGTCAGTTGTCCTGCTATAAATATATGGGTACAAGTATCTTTTTCGAATATTGACTACTTTTTCTCTGGGTGGATGCCCAGTAGTGGGATTGCTGGGTCAAATGGTAGTTGTACTTTTAGTTCTTTAAGGAATCTCCACACTGCTTTCCATAGCGGCTGTACTAGTTTACTTTCCCACCAGCAGAGTGGATGCGTTCCCTGATCACCACATCCACCCCAGCATCTACTGTTTTTTTATGTTTTGATTATGGCCATTCTTGCAAGGGCGATGTGGTATCACATTGTGGTTTTGATTGCATTTCCCTGATTATTAGTGATGTTGAGCCTTTTTCATACGTTTGTTGGCCATTTGTATATCTTGAGAATTGTCTATTCATGTCCTTAGCCCACTTTTTGATGGGATTGTTTTTTCTTGGATTTGTTTGAGTTCGTTGTAGACTCGACTCTAGATTGTGAAGATTTTCTCCTACTCTATGGATTGTCTGTTTACTCTGCTATTCTTTTTTTTTTTTTTTTTTTTTTTTTTTTTTTTTTTTTTTTTGAGATGGAGTCTCGCTCTGTCGCCCAGGCTGCAGTGCAGTGGCGTGATCTCCGGTCACTGCAAGCTCTGCCTCCTGGGTTCATGCCATTCTCCTGCCTCAGCCTCTCGAGTAGCTGGTAGCTGGGACTACAGGCGCCCACCACCACACCCGGCTAATTTTTTTGTGTGTGTTTTTAGTAGAGACAGGGTTTCACCACGTTAGCCAGGATGGTCTCGATCTCCTGACCTTGTGATTTGCCCTCCTCAGCCTCCCAAAGTGCTGGGATTACAGGCGTGAGCCACCACGCCTGGCCTCTGCTGACTATTCTTTTGCTGTGCAAAAGCTCTTTGGTTCAATTAGGTCCCAGCTATTTATCTTTATTTTTATTGCATTCACTTTTGGGTTCTTGGTCATGAAATCCTTGCCTAAGCCAATGTCTCGAAGGGTTTTTCCCATGTTATCTTCTAGAATTTTTAGAATTTTTATAGTTTTAAGTCTTAGGTCTTTTTTTTTTTTTGGAGACAGAGTCTTGCTCTGTCACCCAGGCTGGAGTGCAGTGGCACGATCTGAGCTCACTGCAACCTCCACCTCCCAGGTTCAAGTGATTCTCCTGCCTCAGCCTCCCCAGTAGCTGAGATTACAGGCACCCGCCACCATGCCCAGCTAATTTTTGTATTTTTAGTAGAGACGGGGTTTCACTGTGTTAGCCAGGCTGGTCTCGAACTCCTGATATGCCCACCTCAGCCTCCCAAAGTGCTGGGATTACAGGCGTGAGCCGCCACACCCGGCCAGGTTTAAGTCTCTAATACATCTTGAGCTGATTTTTGTGTTAGGTGAGAGATGAGGATCCGGTTTCATTCTCCGACATGTGGCTAGCCAATTATCTCAGCACCGTTTGTCGAAAAGGGTGTCCTTTCTCCACTTTAGGTTTTTGTTTGCTTTGTTGAAGATCCGTTGGCTGTAAGTATTTGGGTTTATTTCTGGGTTCTCTATTCTGTTTCGTTGGTCTATGTGCCTATTTTTGCACGAGTACCACACTGTTTTGGTGACTATGCCTTATAGTTTGAAATCAGGTAGTGTGATGCCTCCAGATTTGTTCTTTTTGCTGAGTTTTGCTTTGGCCATGCTGGCTCTTTTTTTGGTTCCATTTGAATTTTAGAATTGTTTAATTCTGTGAAGAATGATGGTGGTATTTTGATGGGGATTGCGTTGAATTTTGTAGATTGCTTTGGCAGCATAGTCATTTTCACAATATTGATTCTACCCATCCATGAGCATGGGATGTGTGTCCATTTGTTCGTGTCGTCTGTGATTTCTTTCAGCAATGTTTTGTAGTTTTCCTTGTAGAGGTCTTTTACCTCCTTGGTTAGGTATATTCCCAAGTTGTGTTGTGTTGTGTTGTGTTTTGCAGCTGTTGTAAAAGGGGTTGAGTTCTTGATTTGATTCTCCGCTTGGTTGCTGTTGGTGTATAGAACTATTGATTTGTGTACATTAATCTTGTATCTGGACACTTGAATTATTTTATCAGTTCTAGGAGCTTTCTGGAGGAGTCCTTAGAGCTTTCAAGGTAAACATTCATATTGTCAGCAAACAGTGACAGTTTGACTTTCCTGACTTGGATGCCCTTTTTATCTTTCTCTCGTCTGATTACTCTGGCTAGGACTTCCAGTACTGTGTTGAAGAGGAGTAGTGAGAGTGGGCATCCTTGTCTTTGTTATGCATGCATCTAAGTGAAGAGACAACCTGAACAGGCTAAGTGTGAGCAACAAGGCTGTGTATTCACTTGGGTGTGAGCGGGCTGAGTCTGAAAAGAGAGTCAGCGAAGGGTGATGGGATTGGAGCTAGTTTTTTTTTCTTTTTTTTATTATACTTTAAGTTTTAGGGTACATGTGCACAACATGCAGGTTAGTTACATATGTATACATGTGGCATGTTGGTATGCACCCATTAACTCATCATTTAACATTAGATATATCTCGTAATGCTATCCCTCCTCCGACCCCACAACAGGCCCCAGTGTGTGATGTTCCCCTTCCTGTGTCCATGTGTTCTCATTGTTCAATTCCCACCTATGAGTTGAGAACATGTGGTGTTTGGTTTTTTGTCCTTGGGATAGTCTGGAGCTAGTTTTATCGGTTAGGGATAAGCAGTGGAAAGTAACAGTCTGGGACCGTTTATTGCGGGCAGGGGAAGAATGTCACATGGTACACTGTCACAAGGTGGGAGGGGTCACAGGGCACAATGCCACAAGGTTGATTGATCAGTTAGGGTAGAGCATGTTACAATGATAGAATGTTGCAGGTTGGCTAATCAGCTAAGACAGGAGCTAGCTGTTTTTCTTCTGTGGTTTTCCTGTTATCCTAGACTTTCTGGCTCCAAGAGGCCTTCTGGATGTGTACATGTGGGTCACAGAGGTCACCATGGCTTGACCATGGTGCATCCTGCTCAGAAGACCTCAGTCTTATTCCAGTTCTCAAAGGGAATGCTTTCAACTTTTCCCCATTCAGTATTATGTTGGCTGTGGGTTTGTCATAGATAGCTTTTATTACATGAAGGTATGTCCCTTGTATGCCAACTTTGCTGAGAGTTTTAATCATAAAGCATTGCTGGATTTTGTCGAATGCTTTTCCTGCATCTATTGAAATCACGTGATTTTTATTTTTAATTCAGTTTATGTGGTGTATCACATTTATTGACTTGTACATGTTAAACCATCCCTGGTATGAAACCCACTTGATCATGGTGGATTATCTGACATGTTGTTGGATTTGGTTAGCTAGCATTTTGTTAAGGATTTTAGCATCTATGTTCATCAAGGATATTGCTTTGTAGTTTCGTGTGTGTGTGTGTGTGTGTGTGTTTCTGTTACGTCCTTCCCTGGTGTTGGTATTAGGGTGATGCTGGCTTCATAGAATGAATTAGGGAGGGTTCCTTCTTTCTCTATCTTGTGGAATAGTGTCGAAAGGATTGGTACCACTTCTTGTTTTTTTTTTCTGACACGGAGTCTCACTCTGTCGCCCAGGCTGGAGTGCAGTGGCGCGATCTCGGCTCACTGCAAGCTCTGCCTCCCGGGTTCACACCATTCTCCTGCCTCAGCCTCCCTAGTAGCTGGGACTACAGGCGCCCGCCACTGCGGCCGGCTAATTTTTTTTTTGTATTTTTAGTAGAGACGGGGTTTCACCGTGGTCTCGATCTCCTGACCTCGTGATCTGCCCGCCTCGGCCTCCCAAAGTGCTGGGATCACAGGCGTGAGCCATCGCGCCCAGCCACCACTTCTTCTTTGAACGTCTGGTAGAATTCTGTGAATCCGTCTGGTCCTGGACTTGTTGGTAATTTTTAAATTACCATTTCAATCTCACTGCTTGTTACTGGTCTGTTCAGGATATCTAATTCTTCCTGATTTAAGCTAGGAGGGTTGGATCTTTCTAGGAATTTATCCATGTCTTCTAGGTTTTCTAGTTTATGTGCATAAAGGTGTTCCTTATAGCCTTGAATGATCTTTTGTTTTCAGTGATGTCAGTTGTAGTATCTCCTGTTCCATTTCTCAGTGAGGTTATTTGGATTTTCTCTTCTCTTCTTGGTTAATCTTGCCAATAGTCTATCAATTTTATATTTTCAAAGAACCAGCTTTTTGTTTCATTTATCTTTTGTATTTTTTTGTTTCAGTTTCACTTAATTCTGCTCTGATCTTGGTTATTTCCTTTCTTCTGCTGGGTTTGGGGTTGGTTTGCTCTTGTTTCTCTACTTCCTTGAGGGTGTGACCTTATAGTATCAGTTGATGCTCTTTCAGCCTTTTTGATGTAGGCGTTGAGGGCTATGAACCTGTTAGCACTGCCTTTGCTGTATCCCAGAGGTTTTGATAGATTGTGTCATTGTTGTTCAGTCTGAAGAATTTTTTAATTTCTGTATTCATTTTTGACCCAGTGCTCATTCAGGAGCAGGTTATTTAATTTCCACGTGTTTGCATGGTTTTGAAGGTTCCTTTTGGAGTTGATTTCCAGTTTTATTCCACTGTGGTCTGAGAGAGTGCTTGATAAAATTTCAATTTTCTTAAATTTATTGAAGCTCATTCTATGGCCTGTTATGGTCTATCTTGGAGAAGGTTCCATGCACTGTTGATTAGAATGTGTATTCTGCAGTTGTTGGATGAAATGTTCTGTATAGATCTGCTATGTCCATTTGTTCCAAAGTATAGTTTAAATCCATTGTTTCTTTGACTTTCTGTCTTCATGACCTGTCCAGTGCTGTTAGTGGAGTATTGAAGTCCCCCAGTATTACTGTGTTGCTATCTATCTCATTTTTTAGGTCTATTAGCAATTGTTTTATGAATTTAGGACCTCCAGTGTTAGGCACATGTATGTTTAGAATTTTGATATTTTCCTGTTGGACAAGGATTATATAATTATATAATGTCCCTTTTTGTCTCCTTAACTGCTGTTGCTTTAACGTTTGTTTCATCTGATCTAAGAATAGTTACCCCTGCTCGCTTTTGGTGTCCATTTGCATGAAATGCCTTTTTGTACCCCTTTACTTTATGTGAGTCTTTATGTGCTAGGTGAGTCTCCTGAAGGCAGCAGATGGTTGGTTGGTGAGTTTTTTATTCTGCATTCTGTATCTTTTAAGTGGAGCGTTTGGACCGTTTACATTCAGTGTTAGGATGGAGATGTGAGGTACCATTGCATTCATCGTTCTCTTTGTTGCCTGTGTACCTTGGGTTTTGTTTTTTGTTTTTGCTTTTTAACTTATATTTTTGTTTTGTAAGTCCTGTGTGATTTATGCTTTAAAGAGGTTCTGTTTTGATGTGTTTCCAGGATTTGTTTCAAGATTTAGAGCTCCTTTTAGTGGAGTCTTGGTAATGGCAAAATTTCTCAGCATTTGTCTGTCTGAAAAAGACTGTATCTTTCCTTCATATAAAATGCTTAGTTTTGCTGGATACAAAATTCTTGGCTGATACTTGTTTTGTTCAAGGAACAAACAAGGGCCCCAAATCCCTTCTGGCTTGCAGGGTTTCTGTTGAGAAATCTGTTAATCTGATAGGTTTTCCTTCATAGGTTACCTGGTGCTTCTGTCTCACAGTTCTTAAGATTCTTTCCTTCATCTTAATTTTAGATAAGCTGATGACAATGTGCCTAGGTGAAGATCTTTTTGTGATTAATTTCCTGGGTGTTCTTTGTGCTTCTTGTATTTGGATGTCTAGTTCTCTAGAAAGGCCAGGGAAGTTTTCCTCAATTATGCACCCAAATATGTTTTCCAGGCCTTTAGAATTCTTTTTTCTCAGGAATACCAATTATTCTTAGGTTTGCATTTAACATAATCCCAGACTTCTGGAGGCTTTGTTCAAATATTCTTTTTTCTGTCTTTGGTGGATTGGGTTAATTCAAAGACCTTGACTTCAAGCTCTGATTTTTTTTTTTAATTTTTTTTTTTTTTTTTTTTGAGACAGAGTCTTGCTCTGTCACCCAGGCTGGAGTGCAGTGGTGCAATCTCGGCTCACTGCAACCTCCGCCTCCTGGACTCAAGCAATTCTCCTGCCTCAGCCTCCCAAGTAGCTGGGACTACAGGTGTGTGCCGCCACACCCAGCTAACTTATTTTTTATTTTTTATATTTATTTATTTATTTATTTATTTATTTAGAGACGGAGTTTTACTCTTGTTGCCCATGCTGGAGTGCAATGGTGCAATCTCAGCTCACTGCAACCTTTGCCTCCTGGGTTCAAGCGATTCTACTGCCTCAGCCTCCCGAGCAGCTGGGATTACAGGCATGCACCACCACGCCCAACTAATTTTTTGTATTTTTAGTAGAGATGGGGTTTCTCCATGTTGGTCAGGCTGGTATCGAACTTCCAACCTCGGGTGATCCACCCACCTCAGCCACCCAAAGTGCTGAGATTATAGGCATGAGCCACCGTGCCCAGCCTGTATTTTTAGTAGAGATAAGGTTTCACCATGTTGGCCAGGATGGTCTCGAACTCTTGACCTGGTGATCCTCCCGCCTTGGCCTCCCAAAGTGCTGCTGGGATTACAGGTGTGAGCCACCGTGCCCAGCCTGAATTTCTTTCTTCTACTTGTTCAATTCTATTGCTGAGACTTTCCAGACCATTTCACATTTCTAAAAATGTGTCTAAAGTTTCCTGATTTTTTTTTATTGTTTTTAAGCTATTTCCTTGAATATTTCTCCCTTTGCTTGTATCATATTTTGGATTTCCTTGCATTGGGCTTCACATTTCTCTAATCCCTCTCTGATTAGCTTAATAACTAAGCTCCTGTATTTTTTCAGGAAATTCGAGGATGTCTTCTTGGTTTGAATCCATTGCTGGTGAACTAGTGTGATTTTGGGGGGATGTTAAAGAGCCTTGTTTTGTCATATTACCAGAGTTGGTTTTCTGCCTCCTTCTCATTTGGGTAGGTTCTGTCAGAGGGAAGGTCTTAAACCTGGCCAGGTGTGGTGGCTGACACCTGTAATCCCAACACTTTGGGAGGCCAAGGTGGGCAGATCACCTGAGGTCAGGAGTTCGAGACCATCCTGGTCAACATCGTAAAACCCCATCTCTACTAAAAATACAAAAATTAGCCAGGCGTGGTGGTGCATGCCTGTAATCCCAGCTACTCAGAAGGCTGAGGCAGCAGAATCTCTTGTGTCCAGGAGGCAGAGGCTGCAGTGAACTGAGAGCTTGCCACTGCACTCCAGCCTGGGTGACAGAGCAAGACTCCTCAAAAAAAAAAAAGAAAAAAAAACAAATATGACCCCACCCTACACAGAAGCAGACTGCAGCTGGGAGGAGAGCAGCAGCTCACTTGAGGCCATGCTGGGGAATGAGCATCACGATCTTCTTTCCCATGTGTGTGCCCCACAGGCTGAATCAGTGCCACCTGGACACGGCTGGCTGTGGTTTTCTTGCACTTGCGCTTATGGGTAACTCATGGCTGACGCACCTGAGCCTTAGCATGAACCCTGTGGAAGACAATGGCGTGAAGCTTCTGTGCGAGGTCATGAGAGAACCATCTTGTCATCTCCAGGACCTGGAGTGAGTTTCCCATGGGCGTTGGGTCAACTCTATCATACTGGGGTCTGGAGTTCCTGAAAGGTCAAGAGATAGGAGCAGGGAGACCGGAACCAAAAACTGCTTTCAGGGTGAGCTGACACTCATTTTTCCAAGGGCAATCTAGGTAAACTGAGGTGTTGACACCACGGTGAGCATGGGAAGGGCCGATGGAGCCTCATGGGAGGAACCATGAGTTCTGAGAAGCCCTTGATACCTAAACACTGTGCATTCCTCAGAGGAAGGCATCTTGCCCTAAGTTCATCTTCAGCTATTTATCTGTATGGAGAAGGGAGAGTGCTTGTCTCTTAATCTCTTTCCCTCTGGGGCTCAAATTTCTTCACCCTTTGTTGAAATGTTTCTATTGAATAGGAATATCCCATTATTAAACAGACTGTAGAAAAAGTAAAAGAGCTCAGTGAGCAAAAATCGATCTTCAGTCTCACAACCATGCAGTCATCCCTGTTAGTGGTTTGGATGTCTTCTGGGGTTCTCTTGTTCTAGATGCAAGCGTGCATTTGATGTTTTACAAAGAAAGGATCATAGTAGTCAGCACTTAATGCAACTTAATGCGTTCTCTTTTTTTCTTTTTGTTTGTTTGTTTATTTATTTTGAGTCTTGCTCTGTTGCCCAGGCTAGAGTGCAGTGGCATGATCTCTGCTCACTGCAACCTCCGCGTTCCAGGTTTGAGCGATTTTTCTGCCTCAGCCTCCTGAGTAGCTGGGATTACAGGCATGTGCCACCAGTCCCGGCTAATTTTTGTACTTTTAGTAGAGACGGAGTTTCACCATGTCGGCCAGGCTGGTCTTGAACTCCTGACCTCAGGCAATCCACCCACTTTGGCCTCCCAAAGTGCTGGGATTACAGGTGTGAGCCACTGCACCCCGCCAAGCACTTAATGCATTCTTAACATGTGGCAGGCAGAGCACTAAATATTTTCTATATCTAATCTCATGTAGTCTCACCACCCCCCCATCATATCCAGTGGAGAACTGAACTCCCAAGAAACCAAAACTTTGGCATTGGTCTCACATTGTGTCTGAGGATATGTCTATTATAATAAATGAAGTACAGTAAGGTATTCCATTGAATGGTGTAGGCTTTAAAAATCTCCTAAAATTTAAAAATCTCCTAAAGCTGGACACGTACCTTATATCTAGTGTTTTCATCATGAGCATAAATGATTTCATTCCAAACGCTTGTATGCTTGGTAGCATTTGCTTATTCATTACAAAGGCAGAATTAATGGACCACAAGTGGGGTATCATTTTGAGATCTCTCCCTTCCCAAGAATAAAATAAAGGACTTTGGTATGGATTCTAGTTCACAAACTTCTGAGTGCCCCCAAGTATTAATTCTACCATTTGTTTTAATTGTTTCAAGCCCTACTTCTGCATGGTGTAGAATCTTAGTCAATTAGAGACATCATTTTTTTGAGATGGCATTTAAGTGCTGGGAGATTAACTGGATCTCTCCATCACCATTTATCCATGCTAGCGCCAATGACTAGGTCACCCCTACCTGGTCTTCAAGGGTTGGCCCTCACAACTGCATCCGTTTTTTCTTTTGTTTGTTTTTTGCTTTGCTTTGTTTTGGTTTGGATTTTTGTGTGTTTTGTTTGGTTTTGGTGGGGTTTTGTTTTGTTTTGTTTTTGTTTTTGTTTTTGTTTCTGTTTTTGTTTTGAGACAGAGGTTCTTTCTTGTTGCCCAGGCTGGAGTGCAATAGCGCAATCTCAGTTCCCTGCAACCTCCACCTCCTGGGTTCAAGCAATTCTCCTGCCTCAGCCTCCCGAGAAGCTGGGATTACAGGCACCTGCCACCATGCCCAGCTACTTTTTTGTATTTTTAGTAGAGACGGGGTTTCACCATGTTGGTCAGGCTGGTCTCAAACTCCTGACCTCAGGTGATCCACTCACCTTGGCCTCCCAAAGTGCTGGGATTAGAGGCGTGAGCCACTGTACCCAGCCTGCATCCCTCTTTATTCTTCACCCGATGGCTCCTGAGGATGGACCATCCCCCTCCCCAGTGCTATCATCCTACCCTTAGCCTCCCAAGCTGAAGACAGACTTGGAGGCCGTTTCAGTCATTTCTCCTGCGATAAACCATTCAGATGTTATTTATGGGGCCACCCACCCCATCTTCCCCATTTTTCCTAAGAATAGAAGCACAAAACTTCCCCTTTTGGATTCCAGACCTATCAGCATTTCAGTAACTTCTGTCCCCTTTTCTCTCCATCTTGGCTCTGTCAGAATCTTTCCAGTTTCTCCTCCTCCCCCGTGGAGAATCTTGACCTCATCTCCAAGTGGAAGCAAACTCTGCTGTGCTCATTTCTTTTAAAGATACCTTTAGCCAGGTGTGGTGGCACATGCCTGTAATCCCAGCTACTGGGGAGGCTGAGGCAGGAGAATTGCTTGAACCCAGGAGGTGGAGGTTGCAGTGAGCCGATATCGTGCCATTGCACTCCAGCCTGGGCAACAGAGTGAGACTTTGTCTTGAAAAAAATAAAAAATAGGCTGGGCGTAGTGGCTCAAGCCTGTAATCCCAGCACTTTGAGAGGCCGAGGCAGGCGGATCACCTGAGGTCAGGAGTTTGAGACCAGCCTTACCAACATGGAGAAACCCCGTCTCTACTAAAAATACAAAATTAGCTGGGCACAGTGGCACGTGCCTGTAATCCCAGCTATTCGGGAGGCTGAGGAAGGGAGAATAGCTTGAACCTGGGAGGTGGAGGTTGCAGTGAGCCGAGATCACACCATTGCACTCCAGCATGGGCAACAAGAGCAAAACTCCATCTCAAAAAAAATTAATTAAAAAATAAAGATACCTTCAATCACACCAGACACTTTCCCCGCCTCCGCTATCATTCCTCTCTCAAGCCAACAGATACCACGTGGTCTAAGCTGTTCACAGGAGTGGACAAAACAGTGGCCCGTCAGGAAGGAATAAAGGAAACTCCAGTTAATGCTGCTGAACCTTCTCCCGCTGTTCCACTTTCCTCGAGAGAGGCAGACTCTCTCTATTCCCCGCCTCTTGCAGGTTGGTAAAGTGTCATCTCACCGCCGCGTGCTGTGAGAGTCTGTCCTGTGTGATCTCGAGGAGCAGACACCTGAAGAGCCTGGATCTCACGGACAATGCCCTGGGTGACGGTGGGGTTGCTGCGCTGTGCGAGGGACTGAAGCAAAAGAACAGTGTTCTGGCGAGACTCGGGTAACTTCCTGGGGCGCCTCTTTGCGGGCCGGGCTGGGAGGAGGTGGGGGACCCCAGCATGAGGTTGCTTGAACAGGGATGATGATGATCTGGTTTCCATGAGTCCCTCAAGTTAGATGGAGTGCAACCTTCGCAGCACCACAGATCTGGGTATAAGTTCCAGCTCGGCTCCTATGGATGAGACGGATGAAGTGGCAAATGCTTGGGAACAAGGTCTGGAGGTAGAAAACCCTCAACTGCCGATTGAACGACCCCTGCGTGCTAGTCCTGGTGCTAAATGGCGGAAGTATGGAAGTGAAAAGACCTTTGTGTTGTAGTGTGAACAGTCTAGAGACAAAGACGGGCAGAAAGCAAGTGATTACCTGAGTGGTCCTTAAAACTTCAGTGAGCATCAGAGCCAGCCAGGGGCTTAAGACAGAGCTCCAATATAGTGGACTATGGTTCAGCCATGAAAAGAAAAGTGCTGAGGCTGGGCACAGGGGCTCACGCCTGTAACACCAGCACTTTGGGAGGCCAAGGTGGGCAGATCACTTGAGGTCAGGAGTTCAAGACCAGCTGGGCCAACACTGGGAAACCCTGTCTCTACTAAAAATACAAAAATTAGCCAGGTGTGGTGGCGCATGCTTGTAATCCCAGCTATTCGGGAGGCTGAGGCAGGAGAATCACTTGAACCCAGGAGGTGGAGGTTGCAGTGAGCCGAGACCACACCACTGCACTCCAGCTTGGGTGACAGAGTGAGACTCCATCTCAAAAAAAGTGAAAAAAAAAAAAAAAAACGTGCTGATACGTTCCACCACATGGATGAGCCTTGAAAACGTCGTGCTGAGTGAAAGAAGCCAGCCACAAAAGGTCACCTGGTGTATAATTCCATTTGTATAAAATACCCAAAACAGTCAAGTTCGTACATAAAGTAGAGGGGTTGTCATGGCTAGAGGGAATGGGAAGTAGAAGGGGGGCAGCTGAATTGGTATGGGGTTTCCTTTTACGGTGATGGAAATATTCTGGAAGCTAGCAGAGGTGGCTGCAGCGCACTGTGAACTACTCTAGAATGGAATGTTTACCATGTGTGAGCACTGACCATGCACTAGTCTTGTATGTGTGCTGCTTATAACCCTCCATGGCACTAGGGGAGGTCACATTCCTATTGTGTTGAGTAAGAGGCTTTAATCTGGGCACCCCTCCCCTTTTTTTTTTTTTTTTTTTTTTTTTGAGACAGAGTCTTACTCTGTCACCCAGGCTGGAGTGCAGTGGCACAATCTCGGCTCCCTGGAATCTCCGCCTTCCGAGTTCAAGCCTCAGCCTCCCGAGTAGCTGGGACTACAGGTGCCTGCCACCATGCCCGGCTACTTTTTTTTGTATGTTTAGCAGAGACAGGGTTTCACCGTGTTAGCCAGGCTGCTTTTAAACTTCTGACCTCAAGTGATCCGCCGGCCTCAGCCTCCCAAAGTGCTGGGATGACAGGCGTGAGCCACCGCGCCTGGCCGGGACCCTTTTCCTTCTTGAAGTCACACATTGTTCTTCAAGCTCATCACACCTTGGTTCTCTGTCCCCTCAACTTCTTTCTACGTGGTCATGTCCCTTCTTTAGTTCCTCTTCGATCTAGCTTTGTGTTTTATTTTTATGATTTTATTAAACTTTATCTTATTTCTTATTAAATCAAGGCTTACTTATCTTACTATAATACCATCACTCATCTTTTAGCTCCATGTTCTATTTTTCTTTCTCTGTCTTTTTTTTTTTTTTTTTTTTTTTTTTAAGATAGAGTCTTGCTCTGTCCCCCAGGCTGGAGTGCAGTGGCGCGATCTCAGCTCACTGCAAGCTCCGCCTCCCAGGTTCACCCCATTCTCCTGCCTCAGCCTCCCAAGTAGCTGGGACTACAGGTGCCCGCCACCACGCCCGGCTAATTTTTTGTATTTTTAGTAGAGACGGGGTTTCACCGTGTTAGCCAGGATGGTCTCAATCTCCTGACCTCATGATCTGCCCGCCTTGGCCTCCCAAAGTGCTGGGATTACAGGCATAAGCCACCGCGCCTGGCCTGTTTTTCTGTCTTCTAAATGCAGTGTCTCCCTTAGCCTTCTGTTCTGGGGTGTGTCCACCTACAAACACTCCAAGCTTCACTGAACCGCACTCTCCACCCTCTCTGCTCTTTGGTAGCTGAGAATCACAGGATCAAAACAGGCAATGGCGAGTTGCTGTTGTGTGCAGTCAGGGATCATGGATGTAAATTTGTTTTCCCAGCATTAGTTGTCTGGTCCACTCGTTTTCCCCACCACCTGAGTCAATTTCACAACAATTCATTCCCTGGAGACATGCGCACCTACCTTGTTCTACTGGGTGCTTCACAAATAACTCCTACCCCTTCAAATAATATAAAATCATTTACTAGGAAAGCCCTAAATCTTCTATCAAGAAGCCAACTATGATCTGCACCAGTACACACTTCCTCCTGTAACAATAAAGAAAGCATGGCCGGGTGTGGTGGCTCATGACTGTCATCCCAGCACTATGGGAGGCTGAGGGGGGTGGATCACCTGAGGTCAAGAGTTCGAGACCAGTGTGCCAACATAGGAAAACCCCATCTCTACTAAAAATATAAAAGTTAGCCGGGCTTGGTGGCGTACGCCTGTAATCCCAGCTACTCAGGAGGCTGAGGCAGGAGAATCACTGGAACCTGGGAGGCGGAGGTTGCAGTGAACCGAGAACGTGCCACTGCACTCCAGCCTGGGCAACAGAGCGAGACTCTATTTCTAAAAAACAAAAGCATCCCTGCGGTAGTTAATTTAACCCATGTTAATCAGAGGTTAGTTTCCTCCACGATGGGAATCCCACAATCATCCGTGTGCAGCACCTTATACCATCACTGATTTACCTCTCCCTTGCCTCTATCCTCAGCCTCCCTACTGGATGTTTTGTCTTTATAAATGCTTAGATATTATTTTAGAAGCAAAATGAAAAATAAGCATTCAATCTTATCTCACCATCTCGCCATAGGTGGCTAAAACAACTTGAGCTGCATCTCATTAACTTTTTATTCTATCATAAGAATTCCAGCCGGGTGCGGTGGTGCACGCCTGTAATCCCAGCACTTTGGGAGGCTGAGGCCAGTGGATCACTTGAGGTCAGGAGTTCGAGACCAGACTGGCCAACATGATGAAACCCCGTCTATACTAAAAATACAAAAATTAGGCATGGTGGCAGGCGCTTGTAATCCCAGCTACTCAGGAGGCTGAGTCAGGAGAATCACTTGAACTGGGGAGGTGGAGGTCGCAGTGAGTCGAGCTCGTGCCACCACACCCCAGCCTCAGCGATAGAGCAAGACTCAGTCTGTGCATTTTGGATTTTTTCTTTTTCAATCTAGAATGATTAGGACATGTAAAACCTATATACCCACCACCTAATTTAAACAATCATTAGTATTTTAGTATATCTGGTGAACTATTTCAGAGCAGCTTACGGATTTTGACATCCACCCCAAAATAACCAGCGTGCTCCCTTCAAAATAGAACACGCCTATAAAATGCCATTATTATATTCAATGAGGTCCCTTGGCTTTCTGTTGCTCTTAAGATGAAATTCTAAACCCTTAGTATGACCTAGGTGCCCAGCCTCCGCTCTCACCACTGTCTGGGACTCTTTTCTAGCCATCTAGTCATCTTTGTTTCTCAAATGTGTCTCCTTTCCGCAAGCACAGTGTACAGGTGATTTTTTTATATCAATGCATATGTCAATATGTCCTTCCGCCTTCTCACCTTTCTTCAGGTGCAGTGTTGCTTTCTCTGCAGGTCTGTGTTCCTTGTTATGTTTCCTTGCTACAGGCACTCTCAGCCTTTCTTTCATTGTTTTCCACAACTATAATTTGAGTTACCCACCATCTCTCAAAGTGAGAACCAAGCACAGTAGCCTCACCTGGGAACTCGTTAGAAATGCAAATATTTGGCCGGGTGCAGTGGCTCATGCCTGTAATTCCAGCACTTTGGGAGGCTGAGGCAGGTGGATCATGTGAGGTCAGGAGTTCAAGACCAACCTGGCCAACATGATGAAACTCTGTTTCTACTAAAAATACAAAAAATTAGCCAGGCATGGTGGCACGTGCCCATAATCCCAGCTACTCCGGAGGCTAAGGCAGGAGTATCGCTTGAATCCCAGAGGTAGAAGGTTGCAGTGAGCCAAGATTGTGCTACTGCACTCCAGTCTGGGCAACAAGAGTGAAATGCTATCTCAAAAAAAAAAAAAAAAGGCGAATATTTGGGTCTTTCATCAGAACAACTAAACCAGAAACTGGGAGGCAGAGCCCACCAGTTTCATTTTTTGTTTGTTTTTGTTTTGTTTTGTTTTCCCAAAGAAAAAGTATCAAGGTGAAATTCATACGGGTTGAATGAAGGGTCCATCATCGATCTTTGGGGTTATTTTCTGGGTGTCCTGACCCTGCAGGTTGAAGGCATGTGGACTGACTTCTGATTGCTGTGAGGCACTCTCCTTGGCCCTTTCCTGCAACCGGCATCTGACCAGTCTAAACCTGGTGCAGAATAACTTCAGTCCCAAAGGAATGATGAAGCTGTGTTCGGCCTTTGCCTGTCCCACGTCTAACTTACAGATAATTGGGTAAGTCGCCAGCAATTGTCTTCTGAGATACAGACCTGCTTCTGTTCCAGGCTTGTTAGCTGGTGGAGAAGCAGTTTATGGGAAAAGTTGACGTCATACCTTGGGAGCCACATTTTACTCCATTGGTGAGTGCCCACTACGTTCTGAGTACCATGCTGGATGCTGGAGATACAGGAATATGGGAGATAGAGGCCAGGTGCCTGATATCATGGAGTTCACTTCTGGGTAGGTTGGGAAGGGCACAGAAAGAACGTTATAAATGTTTATGCTGAAAAAACTAGAATTGCTATATGATCCAGCAATCTTACTTCTGAGTATGTTACCCAAAAGAATTAAAAGGAAGATCTCAGATTTCACACCCATGTTCATAGTGGCATAATGCACAATAATAGCCAAGAGGTGGAAGTAACCCAGGCGCTCGTGGATGAAAGGATAAGCAGAATGTGGTGTATACCAACAATGGAATTGTATTCAGTCTCAAAAAGAAAATTCTGACACATGCTACATGATGGAATCTTGACATGCCGAGTGGAATAAGCCAGTCCTAAAAAGACAAATACTGTAGGATTCTACCTCGAAGAGGTACTTATAAGAGTGAAATTCATAGAGACAGAATGGTGATTTCCAAAGGATTGGGGTGAGGGGTTGGGGAGTTGTGTAATAGGTGCAGAGTTTTAGTTTTGCAAGATGAAGAATTCTGGCGATAGATGGTTGTGGTGATGCTTGCACAGCCGTGTGAATGTAGTTAACAGCACTGAACAATTCACCTAGCAGGAAGTTTCTTCAGTAGCTCACACACATCATTTCAGCTTCCCCTCTCATTCAGTCCTTGTACAAGTCTGGAGGGCTGAGTTGATGGAGTTCACAGAAGTTCTTCAGGACCATCTCTTAAGACTAGAAGTTTCTTTCATGACAAAGTGGCAGTTCACTGATGTCTTCAGTGTTTAGTGGTAGAAAAAGCATTTGTCATTTAGGAGCTCATATCCGTAGACTAACAGGAGTTCAGAGACTTCCCTGAGCATGAAGGAACACAGTTGTACTTGAAGGGAGTAAAATCTTGACCAGAGAAATGTACAGCTGGCAGCATTGATAGCCCATTTGAGGTTGGTTGTGGTATATTTATTTTATTTTAAGTTTTTTGAGATGGAGTCTCACTCTGTTGCCTCCAGGCTGGAGTGCAGGGGTGCAATCTTAGCTCACTGCAACCTCCGTCTCGCAGGTTCAAGCAATTCTGCTGCCTCAGCCTCCTGAGTGGCTGGGATTATAGGTACGTGCCACCACGCCCAGCTAATTTTTACATTTTTAGTAGAGAAGAGTTTTCACCAGGCTGGTCTCAAATTCCTGACCTCATATGATCCACCAGCTTCAGCCTCCCAAAGTGCTGGATGACAGGCATGAGCCACCACGCCCGACTTCCTTGTGGTATATTTATATCAATAGAAAATTTCTCAGTTGAGTAACTGTTTTCTCCAGTATGGTCCAGCTGATGGCAGTTGAGTTTATCCAGGGTTCAAGTTATGGCACATGGGTATAACCAGGAAGAAGTCAAGAGTGGCTGTGGTAGACCCTGGAATCATAGGAGGAAGGTGAAGACAGGATGAGGAAGGTGAATTGAGAAACATGGCTCAATGAATCTGGGAGTCTTGGTTTGGTCAGGACTGTTACAGTGACAAAATGAGCTGAAAAGGTGGAGTGCTGTTGAAAGAATGTGTTTATATCCTTGATTTATGAGGCACTATAGCCATTGACAAGATCAGTGGTGACTATGGGACTTAGTAGTTGAAGTAGGATAGAAGTCAGACCTGGATTTACTGATTGACCTATTATGGGTCTATTTCCCCATCTGTGAAATGGGGGCGGTGCTATGTATCTATTTAAATATGTTTATTTCTCCTCTAGTAGACTATAAGCTTGGTAAGGGTGGGAAATTTGCCTTGTCCATCCCTATATGAGAAGTCCTCATTTAATGTCATTGATACATTCTTAGAAACTGTGACTTTAAGCAAAACGACATATAATGAAACCAATGTTTTCTCGTTGTTATAGCAATGACTCTGAAGAAAATGACGTTCTTCGAGAATCTGCTCTAGTAGTTTTGCTTAAAGTCACTGTTTCCAAGAACCTATCAATGACATTAAGGGAGAACTTACTGTACCTCCCCAAACCCTATAACACGACCCGGCACAGAGACTCTGAGGAAGGAATTCATGGATGGACTGAAAGGTCATGCCTGCATCTTAGGACTGTTAGGACTGTTGTAAGGAACAGATGCCTTTAAAAGCTCAGCATAGTATCTGACATATCCAAGTTTTTTTACATGCAGAGAATTACTTTTATTCTATAGGGAACATGCTACTGTTATCAAGCAAAAGTGGCTCACTGCCTGATGTGCTAGAGGCCAATACTGTGACACTGGAGATTTGTCGGGGGAAAAAAGCCCTATATTGCAGGTCAACTCACAAGGAGACAGGAGTCAAGCTCAAATCTGTCTCCCCATGCTGGCTTCAAGGCAGCATTATTATTAGAAAAGGTTCAGGGAGTAGATCTTGAGATTAGTAGGTGATTGGAAGAAAAGAGGAGATCTAGAAAGTCACTGGGCATGCATAATTATCTATTCATGCTACATCATGGGTTGCATGTGCCAATTTAGGGAGAGTTAGTATAAAACATGGTGGAAATTCAGGCTGTGACATCAGCAAGCTCATTCTGTGCAAACTCCAGTCTGCCATACTTTTTCTAACCGATTTCAGCCAGTTCTTTCATAAGTGGAGGGGGAGTCTCCATGTTTCAGCAAGCTGTTTCTTTTCTTGTCTGCCATCCTACAAACTCAATAATTTGTTAGTCATTGGTTTAACTCTTTGGGGCACGTTCCTTAAGAGTACAAGAAAAGGTTTGAGATCCTTGATGAGGCTACCAGGAATTTTGAAGAAGGGAGAAGAGTCGAAAGCAACATCTCAGTAACGAGTCCTCTCTCTGCCTCCCCAGGCTGTGGAAATGGCAGTACCCTGTGCAAATAAGGAAGCTGCTGGAGGAAGTGCAGCTACTCAAGCCCCGAGTCGTAATTGACGGTAGTTGGCATTCTTTTGATGAAGATGACCGGTACTGGTGGAAAAACTGAAGATACGGAAACCTGCCCCACTCACACCCATCTGATGGAGGAACTTTAAACGCTGTTTTCTCAGAGCAAGCTATGCACCTGGGAGTTCCTTCTCAAAGATGGAGAATGATTTCTGATTCTCACAAAGCCCTCAATGGTAGTGATTCTTCTGTGTTCACTCTACGTTGGTTACTGGATTTGAAGGCTAGAGACCTTCAAGTCATAGGACTCAGTATCTGTGAAATGTCCGTCATATCTCAGAGCATATAGAGGGAATTAAATAAACACAAAGCATTTGGAAAAGTTGTCAAGTGGTTTTCTTAACTAGTGGGGATATGGTTTAGGAGCAGAGAGGTTGGGAGGACCTAGATCTTCAAAAGCAGCCCCTGAATTTGGGTACCACAACTAGTGGTGGTTTTTTGTTTTTTGTGTTTTTCTTTTTGTTTTTTGTTTTTTTTTTTTTTTTGAGATGGAGTCTTACTCTGTTGCCCAGGCTGGAGTGCAGTGGCACGATCTTGGCTCACTGCAACCCCTGCCTCCTGGGTTCACAGCATTCTCCTGCCTCAGCCTCCCAAGTAGCTGGGACCACAGGCACCCGCCACCACGCCCGGCTAACTTTTTGTACTTTTAGTAGAGACAGGGTTTCACCATGTTGGCCAGGATGGTCTCAATCTCTTGAGCTCGTGATCTGCCTGCCTCAGCCTCCCAAAGTGCTGGGATTACAGACGTGAGCCACTGCACCTGGCCAACTACTAGTTTTTTAAAGCACATACCTGAATACCAAAGGATGGTGTTACTGTCACTCAATATCTGAACTATAAACATAAAGCCGAATTTATTCCTTAGTGTAATGAAAAGCTGGTCTACCACAGTATCTCTGAGTAGAGCAGACTTCTGATCTTTGTGGGGAGGAATTTGGGGAGGTACAGAATGAGGCTAAACCTTGAAGGTGTAAGTTGGCCTGTGGTTACTCAGGTGAGGCTGATTGGTAGAGGTGTGTTCATCAGAGTGCATCCCTTCTGACTGGCTGAATTTCCAATGCAAAGGGCAGCTGTTGATTGGCTTGCAAAAGCATGTTCACTGAGGTAAGTTGTCTTGGATCCATTTAATGGATTTAAACCTGTCTAGGTAGCTACTTATTACCATGGCTACAGAACCATCAGTCTATTCCTAGAAGAGTGGAAAACTCTTACATTCTTACCAAAATATACTTCTTATGATTTCTTGTATTTATTTCTCTCATCCATGATGACGATGATGAATGATGATAATCTAACACAGCCCTGTATACCATGCCCTGTCCTAAGCAGTATGAATTAACTTATTTGGTCTTTACAACACCTTAGAGGTAAGTATATTTTTTGCTTCCATCTTACAGATGAGGACATTGAGGTGCAGAAAATAATGCACAGCAAGGCCGGGCGGGGCAGCTCACACCTGTAATCCCAGCACTTTGGGAGGCTGAGGCAGGCGGAACACTTGAGATCGGTGGTTCGAGACCAACCTGGCCAACATGGTGAAACCCCGTCTCTACTAAACATACAAAAATTAGCCCCGTGTGGTGGTTCATGCCTGTAATCCCAGCTACTCGGGAGGCTGAGGCAGGAGAATCACTCGAACCCGGGAGGCAGAGCTTGCAGTGTGCTGAGATCATGCCACTGCAATCCAGCCTGGGTGACAGAGCGAGACTCCATCTCAAAAAAAAGAATGCACAGCCAGTAAGTAGCAGAGCTGCCATTCAGACCCAGGAAATCCATTTCTGGAGTTCATTCTACTCATTGAAATGTTGCCTCTACCATACAACCACCTTCCACGAGCCATTCACTGTACTGTGTGTAAACCTCTAACTCCAGCAGCCCCTTTCAAACCGGGGGAATGTTCTAGCATCATTCCCTGTCAGCGTATATTAGACAGGGGCTGGCATGCCCCCTTTTCTGCTCCCATTGCAATGGAGCTAATAAAGTTTATATCAGATATAGGAGGAACGTCAACTCTGCAGTTTATTTGTGGTTATAGTATTAGCATTATCTTCAACCTATGGTTTCTTTGCAGGAATACTTTTTAAATACTTGTGTGTTCTGGGAGTGTTTGTTTATAAAATACTTGGACATTGGACCAATGTGATAGGGTTTACGAGGTGAATGGGTGAAGTAGTGGGGGAAAAGCCCTTCCGAATCAGAGTATCTGTCTTCAGGATACCTCTTCTCCCACATGGGACACAGGCCCATCTAACATAAAGACAGGGCAAGGAGGCCGGGTGCAGTGGCTCACGCCTGTAATCCCAGCACTTGGGGAGGCTGAGGTGGGCAGATCACGAGGTCAGGAGATTGAGACCATCCTGGCTAACACGGTGAAACCCCATCTCTACTAAAAATACAAAAAATTAGCCAGGCGTGGTGGTGGGTGCCTGTAGTCCCAACTACTTGGGAGGCTGAGGCAGGAGAATGGCGTGAACCCGGGAGACGGAGCTTGTAGTGAGCCAAGATCGTGCCACTGCACTCCAGCCTGCACAACAGAGCCAGACTCTGTCTCAAAAAAAAAGGGGGGGGGAGGGGGGCAAGGAAACCACCATTAATGTTTGTGTTAACAAAGCATTACTATGTTAGTCTTGTTAAAGATCTATCACCTTGTATATAGCTAAAAATACACAATGCCCTCCTGTGTCCAGTGCATTATCTTGAGCACTGCTGCCTACCCCACCCCCAACAGTTACAAATATCCCACTTTGTAAAGTTACAGCCAAAGGGAAGGTCAAAGGGAAAAGCCAAGTTTAGAAACAATATTTTTATTTTTTAGAAACATCTCATTATCTTGCCCAGGCTAGTCTTGAACTCTTGGGCTCAAGTGATCCTCCTGCCTCAGCCTCCCAAAGTTCTGCAATTACAGGTGTGAGCCACTGTGCCCAGCTTCAAGTTTTTTATGCTGACCTGTGTTCAAATTCTGGCTGTTTCGAATGATTTTTATGACACTATACAAATGTCAACCTCCATGGGCTTTTGATTTCTTATCTGTAAAGTAGGAAAAATTGTACTTACCCTATAGAATCAAGAAGAGATGAATCTCTGTAAATCAGCTGTAGAAGTGGCTGGAACATTCACTCCACCAATATTTACCTACTTGTATTAGTTGTTTGTTGCTGTTTACAACATTACCACAAACTCGGCAGTTAAAACACGTGATCTCGGTGTTTGAGTCCAGATATGACTCAGCTGGATCCTCTGTCTCAGGGTCTCACAAGGCTGCGATGAAGGTGTTGACCAGGGCTGTGGTCTCATCTGAGACCCAACCGGGACAAGGACCTCTTCCAAGTTCATGCAGGTCCCAGGAACATCCATTTTCAGGCTGCTGGACTGAGGGCCTTGGTTTCTTGACTGTCAGCCCCAGGCCATCCCCAGCTCTTTTCTGCTTGGCCGTCTCCATATGGCAGATTGGATCTTCAAAGCCAGCAAAACAGTCACTCAGCAAGACAGACTTACAATCTCATGGCATCACAGAAGTCAGATCCCATCAACCCTGCCACATTCCGTTTGGATAGAAGTAAGTCACAAGCCCCTCCCACACTTGAGGGAAGGGGATCTGGCAAGATGGGAACACCAGGATGAGGATCATGAAACCGCCTAGAATCTGATGCACTACTCCACACTGGCAGAAAGCTGTGTTCTACTCACTGCTGCCTGTTGGAAAAGAGTTTCTTTCTCTTGAGCCTCTTGGCCATTTCCAAGGGTAGAGGGAGTTACCCAGGTGCTACGGCTAGGAGGGAGGAACTGGACCTTCTAAGTGCTCTTCACAAGCCTCCTGTCTCCAGATGTGTACACACTTTCCTCTTTCATGCAGCAAGCTTTGCTGAGGGTGGGATGGGTGGGCGGAATACTGATTGTGGCGAAGTGCTAGGAGGCTGCAGATACAGACCACTTGCCTCAGAGTCTGTGTGTGTGTGTGGTGGCGGGCGGGGGGACGGGGGTTGGTGTTTTTTTTTTTTTTTTTTTTTTTTTTTTTTTTTGAGACAGTTTTGCTCTTGTCACCCAGGCTGGGTTGCAATGGTACAATCTAGGCTCGCTGCAACCTCCGCCTCCCGGGTTCAAGCAATTCTCATGCCTCAGCCTCCTGAGTAGTGGGGACTACAGGTACCCGCCACCACGCCTGGCTAGTTTTTGTATTTTTAGTAGCGATGGGGTTTCTCCATGTTGGCCAGGCTGGTCTCGAACTCCTGACCTCAGTTGATCCACCCGCCTTATCCTCCCAAAGCACTGGGATTACAGGTGTGAGTGACCATACCCAGCCTGGCCTCAGAGCTTTGAATAATAGGGATGATACCTTGATTTCTACCCAACTCCTTGTTTCTTATTCTAAATTCCTAAACGTAGAGGATGAAGTAATGATGAGTCTGTATAAACCCTATAACCCTATGTGCTGGCCGCTGCCCTCAGGCTGATAGTGCAGGACAAAGATCCCTGTTCTCCTAAAATGTATTACCTTCTAATGAAGGACAAATGCATGAATTGCAGCTGTTCTCACAGCTAAAATGGCAGGTTCGCAAGAGACTAGGACTATTCTATTTTTCTAGACTAGCTATCTTTGAGGTCTGAGAAAAACTTTTTTCTGCACTGCTGGTTTTTCGTCAAGTTTGGGACATGACATACCATGAAAATGTACCCTTCCTACATAGTTTTTCGTTTTGTCTTGTTGTTTGTTTTTAACATTTGTACCACGGGGAGGGAAGAGCATCAGGAAGGCAACGGACCCGGTCCTGGAGGGCAACCGTGGGGAGTCCCAGGCCCCCGCTGCCTGGTGCATCACATCGTGGGTAGGACAGGTGGGAGCGCTGTCTCCCTGCTGATCTGGGCTCTTATCTCTATGAGGAAGGACCCTTTCCTCACCCGTGAGTCAAACGATAGAGAATTCACCTCCACCTGCCAGCCACGCTGTAGCTGGGGTGTGTGTGGAGCCGCACAAACTCTGATGCTTTGAGCTGCATGGCACAGAACGTCCACCTGAGATCACTGCGTAGAAGCTTCCTGGGAAGGCAATTCCAGGGTCAGTGAACCCCGCGGGACGCCAGCTCCCTGGTTGAGTTTCCCCTGATGGCCGCTGGGTGGCAGCAGAGCGTCATCTTCCCTGAGACCCTCCCGGGAGCAGGGCGGGCTCCTCCCCGCATCCCCACTGTGGATTTTCTCACCGCAGGCACTGCTGACGGTGGGACCGGCCACTTCCACATCGGGGTCCCGCCTGTGGGCTGTAGGGTGTTCAGTGACGTCCCTGCTTTTACCTGCCAGGTGCCTTCCCTCCCGCAGTTGTGACAACCAAGAAAGTCTTCAGACACAGCCGGATGTTACCCGGGGCACCAGCCTGAGACCCGCTGGTCCACGGGAAGCAGGGAGCCCTCCCTCACCAGCACACCCAGCGGCCTCCCCTTCCCCTCGCCGGACGCGACTGGCTCACAGGAAATCCGTGTCAGCCCTGCTCAGAAGGTATCAGCCACTTGTTGGTTCTATTGGAGGTGACAGCTGCTTAGCAGACACCCAAGAATGTAGGTTTGTTCTTTAGCTTTATTCCCCATTGTCAAAATGGAATCAACCAAGATTATCTGGAGGCCCAGGTGTAAAATGAAAATGTGGGTGCTTTGTTCAAAAATTAAGAATTTCAAGATGACTGTGAGTCACTATACTGAGTGCAAAGCCATTCTGAGCCGGGGTCCTGGATGAATGACCCAAGCAGCTGGCCTCCATTGCAGCTGACTGGACCAGGAGCTAGCGTTTGAAGAACAGCCAGTCTTTAAGCTGCCTAATGACCTGTAGGCCGCCTGTGACCAAGGTAAGAGATGAAGTAGGTATCCTTGTTCACAACAGCCAAAAGGTGCAGACAACCCACGTGTCTATCAGCAGATGAATGGGTAAACAAAATGTGGTCTATCCACACAATGAAATATTATTCAGCCATGAAAAAAAGAATGCAGGCTGGGTACAGTGGTTCATGCCTGTAATCCCAGCACTTAGGGAGGCTGAGTTGGGAGGCTCACTTGAACCCAGGAATTTGAGACCAGCCTGTGCAACATGGCGAAACCCCGTCACTACTAGAAATACTAAAAATTAAATAGGTATGGCGGTACAAGCCTATAGTCTCAGCCCGTTGGGAGGCTGAGGTGGGAGGATCACTTGAGCCTGGGAGGTCAAGGCTGCAGTGAACCGAGATTGTACCACTGCAGTCTCCAGCTTGGGTGACAGAGTGAAACCCTGTCTCATTAAAAAAAAAAAAAAAACAACAGGTGCAGTGGCTCATTCCTGTACTTCTAGCACTTTGGGAGGCTGCAGCAGGCAGGTCACCTGAGGTCAGGGGTTCAAGTCCAGCCTGGCCAACATAGTGAAACCTCGTCTCTACTAAAAATACAAAAATTAGCCCAGGGTAATAGCGTGTACCTGTAATCCCAGGTACGCAGGAGGCTGAGGCAGGAGAATCACTTGAACCCAGGAGGCGGAGGTTGCAGTGAGCCGAGATGGCACCACTGCACTCCAGCCTGGGCAACAAAGTAAGACTCCATCTCAATTTAAAAAAAAAAGGAATAAAGGAATATAGTAGCGATACGTGCTACAACATGGATCAACCTCATAAACATTATCCACTGTAAAGAAGCCAGATACAAAAGGCCACTTGTATGATTCCATTGATATGAAATGACCAGAAGAGGGAAATCCACAGAGACACAAGATGAGAGTTTGCCCAGGGCTGGGAGAGGAGCAGGGAATGAGTGACTCTTCCTGGCACGGGGTTTCCTTTTGGAGTGATAGACGTACAACTATGTGAATATACTAAAGCATTATTTAATTGTACACCTTAAAATGGGTGAATTCCATGGTTTGTAAATTATTTTTTAAAAAGCAAAAAATGATGAACCAATATAGTTGCCTCCATCTGAGATCTGATTCAGAATTCCTGAGGAAATAAAGCAGTTAAAAGGCAGGAAATTAGGCTGGAAATTTATTAGTGAAAGTGGAAGATGTGGTTTGCAGAGTGGAGAGAGCTCAGGGCTGTACTTTTATGCAGGGGGTGTTATCAGCACAGTATCCAGGGCTTGTGAAGTTTTCATTAGCCTGAAAATATCTTAGAAACCTGGCAGGGTGTGGTGGCTCACGCCTATAATCCCAGCAATTTGGGAGGCCAAGGTGGGTGGGTCACTTGAGGTCAGGAGTTCAAGATCAGCCTGGCCAATGTGGTGAAACCCCATCTGTATTAAAAACAAAAAATTTAGCTGGGTATGGTGGCAGGCGCCTGTAATCCCAGCTGCTTGGGAAGCTGAGGCACAAGTATCACTTGAACCCAGGAGACAGAGGTTGCAGTGAGCCAAGATCATGCCACTGCACTCCAGCCTGGGCAACAGAGTGAGACTGTCTCAACTGGGGAGAGAGCAAGCTTCAGGTTCCTGAGCCCCACGGCCAATTCTGGTATGGCGGGACCCAGGTGAAGCCTGGGAATATGAATTTTAAAAAGCTTTCCTAAGCCATTCTGATGCAAGTGCTCTTCAGATCACACTCTCAAAGCCAGAACTGCAAAAACGAAGCTCTGAGTGTACCACAAGTGTTGGTCAGAGAGAATACGGGCTGGAGGGTGAGGACCCTGTTTGATGGAGACAGAAAAGAGAAGGAAACTCTGGAGGAGAAGAGCGAAGACAAGTCCTGACTAAGACCATAAACCAGGGGTTGGCAATTTTTTTCTGTAAAAGGCCAAATAGGCCAGGTATGGTGGTTCATGCTTACAATCTCAGCACTTTGGGAGGCCAAGGCGGGAGCATCACTTGAGCCCAGGAGTTCAAGACCAGCCTGGGAAATGTAGTGAGACTCTGTCTCTACAAAAAATAAACTTGAAAAAAAATTAGCCAGGTGTGGTAGTGCACGCCTGTGGTCCCAGCTACTCAGGAGGCTGAGGTGCAAAAATCACTTGACCCCAGGAGGTCAAGGCTGCAGTGAGCCATGATCGCACCACTGCACTCCAGCCAGGGCAACAGAGTGAGATCCTGTCTCCAAAAAAGAGCCAAACAGCAAATATTTTAGGCTTTGGGGGCCATTTAGTCTATTGTAACTGCTCAGCTCTGCTGATACAGGGTAAAAACAAGCATAGGTCTATTGTAACTGCTCAGCTCTGCCGATACAGGGTAAAAACAAGCATAGAAAATACAAAGAGAATTTTGTCACATGCAACATGGATGAACCTGGAGGATATTACATTAAATAAAATGAGCCAGGCACAGGAAGATACAGATGGTCCCTGACTTGTGATGGATTTGACCTTACTTACACTGGTGTGAAAGTGACATTCGTTCAGTAACAACTGTCCTTCGAGTACCCACAGAACCATCTGTCTTTCACTTTCAGTATGCCATCAATCACATGAAATAGTCAACACTTTATTATAAAATGGACTTTGTGTTGGATGATTTTACCCAACTGGAGAATAATGTAAGCATTAGGAGCCAGGTGTAAGGTAGGGTAGGCTAAGCTATGACCTTCTGTGGGTTAAATATATTAAATGCATTTCCCTAGACTGGGCAACATAGAGACCCCATCTCTAAAAAAAAAAAATTTGTTTTTTAATTAGCCAGACGTGGTGCACACCTGTAGTCCCAGCTACTCAGGAGGCTGAGGCAGGAGGATGGTTTGAGCCCAGGAGACCGAGACTACAGTGAGTCATGATTGTACCACTGCACTCCAGTCATGGTGACAGAGTGAGACACTGTCTCAAAAATTAAAAAGTATTTTCAACCTGTATTTTCAACTTATAGTGGGTTTATCAGGACGTAGCCCCGTTGTAAATGGAAGAGCATCTGTATTGCATGATCTCAGTTATATATGGAATCTAAAGTCAAACTCACAGAAGCAGAGAGCAGAATGATGGTTACCAGAGGCTGAAAGTGATGGGGAGGTGGAGTCTGGGGAGGTGTTGGTCAAAGGATATAAATGTTGATGTTACAGGAGGAATAAGTTCAGGAGACCTATTGTCGTACAACGTGGTGACTATAGTTAACAGCAAAATATCACGTACTTGAAACTTGCTAAGTAAGTAGATGTTAAGTGTTTTTTTGTTTTGTTGAGACAGGGTCTCCCTATGTTGCCCAGGCTGGTCTTGAACTGGGCTCAAGGGATCCTCCTGCCTCAGCCTCCCAAAGTGCAGGGATTACAGTCACAAGCCACCACACCTAGCCCTGATGTTAAATGTTCTTACCACAAAAAAAAAAAAAAAAAAAAAAGCATGTAAGGTAACGTACAAGTTAATCAGCTCAATTTAGCCATTCCATAATGTATACATTTTTTTTAATGGAGTATTGCTCTGTCACCCAGGCTGGAATGCAATGGCAGGATCTTGGCTCACTGCAACCTCTGCCTCCCAGGTTCAAGCAATTCTCCTGCCTCAGCCTCCCAAGTAGCTGGGATTACAGGTGCCCACCACCACACCCAGCTAATTTTTGTATTAGTAGAGATGAGGTTTCACCATGTTGGCCAGGCTGGTCTGGAACTCCTGACCTCAGGTGATCCATCTGCCTCGGCCTCCCAAAGTGCTAGGATTACAGGAGTGAGCCACCACACCTGGCTGTAAACATATTTCAAAACAGCAGATTGCACACCATAAATATATATAATTTTTGTCCATTTAAAATTTTTTAATTAAAAAAATATAAACATTTTGAAGAAAACACAAAAGCAAATGGGTGTGGCTGTGTTCTCATGAAATTTTATTTTCAGAAACAGGCGGCTGGCTCCATTTGGCCTTTGGGGCATTTTGCTGACCCCTGCTGGAGATGAGGATCTTGCAGACCAGCTTGTCTGTGTTTCCTGTTTGTCCTGGACTGACTGTTCCTCTGTTACCTGCATTTCTGTAAGGGTTATGAGCTGGGTGCCAGGGATCAGTGGTGCAATCCTGGAAAGGAGCCTCCTGGCAGCTTGAACGGTTGAGGGTACACAGGACCGCTCAGGTTAAGGCCCTAGCCCAACCTCTTGCCAAACCCGCCACACACTGGACCTGCTTGTCTGTGATAGTAGGTTTTATATATCAACATGCCTGAGCCACGGGGTTCCCAGATTAAGCATTGTTTCTGAGTGTGTCTGGGAGGGTGTTTCTGGTTGAGATTACTGTTTGAATTCGTGGACTTAGTAATGCAGATTTCCCTCCCTTCTGTGAGTGGACTCATCTCATGAGAGTCTGAATAGAACAAAAAGGTGTAGAGGGAGTCATTTACCCTGTTTGCTCCCCGCCTGCCTGTTGGAGTGGGGACGCCTATCTTCTCCCGCCCTGGAACTGGGATTTGCACCCTTGGCTCCTCTGGTTCTCAGGCCTTTGGACTTGGACTGGAACCACCCCACAGGCATTCCTGTTTCTCCAGCCTGCAGACGGCAGATCGTGAGACTCCTCAGCCTCCACAATCACGTGAGACAATTCTCATCATAAACCTCTTTCTCTGTTCTGAGAACTGCATCATCAGTCGTGTGCAAATATCAAGTGTATTTACACAAAACTAGATAATACAGCCTACCATACACCTAGGCTATATGGAGAGAAGTGGCATAATCACAGCTCACTGCAGCCTTGAACTACAGGGCTCAAGCCATCCTCCCACCTCAGCCTCCCAAGCAGCTGGGACTACAGGCATGTGCCACCATGCCCAGCTAATTTAAAAAATAATTATTTTCTAGGCTGGGTGTGGTGGCTCATGCCTGTAATCCCAGCACTTTGGGAGGCCGAGGCAGGTGGATCACCTGAGGTCAGGAGTTCGAGACCAGCCTGGCCAACATGGAGAAAACCCCATCTCTACTATAAATATAAAAAGCAGCTGGGCATGGTGGCGCACGCCTGTAGTCCCAGCTACTTCGAAAGCCGAGGGAGGAGAATTGCGGGAACCTGGGAGACGGAGGTTGCAGTGAGCCGAGATTGCACCACTGCACTCCAGCCTGGGTGACAGAGCAAGACTCCGTTTCATTCATTCATTCATTCATTCATTCATTTAGAGACGGAGTCTTGCTGTGTCACCCAGGCTGAAGTGCAGTGGTGCGATCTCAGCTCACTGCAAGCTCCGCCTCCCGGGTTCACGCCATTCTCCTGCCTCAGCCTCCTGAGTAGCTGGGACTACAGGCGCCCACTACCACACCCAGCTAATTTTTGTATTTTTAGTAGAGACGGGGTTTCACTGTGTTAGCCAGGATGGTCTCAATCTCCTGACCTTGTGATCCGCCCGCCTCGGCCTCCCAAAGTGCTGGGATTACAGATGTGAGCCAGACTCCATCTCAAAAAATAATTGTTATTTTCTGTAGAGATGGACTCTCGCTGTATTGCACAGGCTGGAGCCTATTTGCTCTTAGAGCCTATTGTTTTTAGGCTAAAACCTGGACAACATGTTACTGTACTGAATACTGTAGGCAACGGTAACACAACACTAAGTATTTATATATTTAAACGTAGAAAAGTTACAACAAAATACCAAAGAAAATATTTGAAGATGGTATACCTATATGGGGCACTTACCATGAATGAAGTTTGTAGACATGGAAGCTGCTCTGGGTGAGTCGGTGTGTGAGTGGTGGGTGAATGTGAAGACTGGGACGTTACTCTACACTGCTGTAGACTTTATAAACACTGCACACTTAGGCTACCATAATTTATAAAATATTTTTCTTTCTTCAAGAATAAATTAACCTTAGCTTACTGTAACATTTTTACTTTATAAACTTTTATTTACTTATTTTTGAGACAAAGTCTCACTCTGTCGCCCAGGCTGGAGTGCAATGGTGTGATCTCGGCTCACTGCAACCTCTGCCTCCTGCGTTCAAGCGATTCTCCTGCCTCAGCCTCCCGAATAGCTGGGACTACGGGCACCTGCCACCACGCCCAGCTAATTTTTGTATTTTTAGTAGAGATGGGGTTTCACCATGTTGGCCAGGCTGGTCTTGAACTCCTCACCTCAGGTGCTCCATCTGCCTCGGCCTCCCAAAGTGCTGGGATTACAGGTATAAGCCACTGTGCCCAGCTAACTTTTAATTTTTTTTTTTAATTTTTTGACTCTCGTAATAACACTTAGCTTAAAACACAAACATAGATCAGACACGATGGCTTACACCTGTAATCTCAGCACTTGGAGAGACTGAGGCAGGAGGATCACCCTTAGGAGTTCAAGACCAGCCTGTACAACATAGACCCCACCTCTACAGGAAATAATTATTTTTTAATTAGCCGGGCATGGTGGCACATGCCTATAGTCCCAGCTACTTGGGAGGCTGAGGTGGGAGGATCGCTTGAGCCCAGTAGTTCAAGACTGCAGTGAGCTATGTTCATACCATGCTCTCCAGCCTGGACAAGAGAGCCTGACTGTCTCTAAACACACACACACACACACACACACACACACACACGCATGCACACATGTGCATTGTGCAACTGTATAGAAAGATTTTCTTGCTGTACATCCTTATTCTATAATCTTTTTCCTAATTTCTTTAACGTTTTAATTTTTGATTAAGAAAGACACACACACACATTAGTCTAGCCTGCACAGAGTCAGGATCGTCAAGATCCTTCTCTTCTAACTCCGTATCTTGTCCCCCTAGAAGGTCTTCAGGGGCAGTGACATACATGGGGCTGTCTTCTTCTATGACAACGGTTCTTCTGGGTTCCTCCAGAAGGACCTGCCTGAGGCTGCTCTACAATTAATCGGTTTTTTTTTTTTTGTAAGTAGGAGTATGCTCTAAAATAACGTTTAAAAATTATAGTATACCCAGGGGCCGTGGCTGACAATTATAATCCCAGCACTTTGGGAGGCTGAGGCGGGCAGATCACTTGAGCTCAGGAGCTCAAGACTAGCCTGGGCAACATAGTGAGACCCATCTCTACCAAAAATACAAAAAAATTAGCCGGGTGTGGTGGTATGTGCCTGTGGTCCCAGCTACTCAGGAGACTGAGGTTGGGGGATCGCTTGAACCTGAGACGCAGAGGCTGCAGTGAGCCAAGATTGCGCCACTGCACTCCAGCCTGGGTGACAAGGCAAGACTCCATCTCAAAAAAAAAAAAGTATAGTAAATACATGAACCAGTAACATAGTCATTTATTACCATTATCAAGTACTAAGTGCTGTACATAATTATATGTGCAATGGCGTGATCTTGGCTCACTGCAACCTCTGCCTTCCAGGTTGAAGCGATTCTCCTGCCTCAGCCTCCCGAGCAGAATAGCTGAGACTACAGGTGTGCACCACCATGCGCGGCTAATTTTTTGTTTGTTAGTTTTGTGTGTTTTTGTTGTTGTTGTTTTTTGAGACAGAATCTTGCTCTGTCTCCTAGGCTGGAGTGCAGTGACAGGATCTCAGCTCATTGCAGTCTCTGCCTCCTGGGTTCAAGCAATCCTGCCTCAGCCTCCTGAGTAGCTGGGATTACAGGCACGTGCCACCATGCCCAGCTAATTTTTTTATCTTTGGTAGAGATGGGGTTTCACCATGTTGGTCAGGCTGGTCTCGAACTCCTGACCTCAGGTGATCCGTCTGCCTCAGCCTCCCAAAGTGCTGGGATTACAGGTGTGAGCCACCATGCCCAGCTAATTTTTTTATTTTTAGTAGAGACGGGATTTCACCTTGTTGGTCAGGCTGGTATGTGCCCAACTTTTATACCATTGGCAGCACAGTTGGCCTGTTTACCACATCACCACACGCATGTGAGTTGTGCATTGCACTGTGATGTTACAAGGCCTATGACAGCACCAGGTCGAAGACATTTTCCAGCAGCATAATCTTATGCGACCATCATGGTCCGTGCAGCCCATTGTTTGGAATGTCATGCAGCACATGACTACACGCACACATACAGAATATTGATTCTGCTTCTCGAAGAACCCTAATGCATTTTCCACACTGGCAGATTGTCTGTCTTCTAAGCTACAGCAGCAACCAAATATCATGAATGCTTTTTGGGTTCCTAACTCTAGTTGGGAGTCCCAAGTGACTTACTGTGGTTAAGCCCCCAGAATGAGTTGTCAAGGTTCAGGCTCTGTTGATGATGAGGAAGAAGAACCAGGACCACCTACCAGTTACCTCTATTTGACAGTCACTTGGCTCAGTTCTTTGGCTTGGGGGTGTGTGTGTGTGTGTTTGAGACAGTCTTGATCTGTTGCCCAGGCTGGAGTGCAGTGGTGTGATCTTGGCTCACTGCAACCTCCGCCTCCCAGGTTCAAGCGATTCTCCTGCCTCAGCCTCCCGAGTAGCTGTGATTACAGGTGCATGCCACCACGCCCGGCTAACTTTTGTATTTTTAGTAAAGACAGCATTTTGCTGTGTTGGCCAGGCTGGTCTTGAACTCCTGACCTCAGGTGATCTGCCCGCCTTGACCTCTCAAAGTGCTGGGATTACAGGCGTGAGCCACCGCACCTGGCCTTTGCTCAGTTCTTTGCGTAAGTTATCTCCTTCAATCTTCAAAGTAAATATGCGAGATAAACATCATTTACCATCTTTAAAGGACGAAAAAGCTGGAGCTCAGAAAGGTTGGTCTCTTGAACAGGATGGTAAGACTCGTACGTTGCTGACCAGGACCCTAAAGTTTTTCCCCTACCACCACCATATACTCTTCATGAGCCATCCTTTCCCAAATAACCTAAACACACACACACATAAGGAAACAGCACTTGCTATACAAGCAAGTCCAGCTTCAAGACAAGCCCCAGGCTCCGCTCACCATGCAGAATGCTGGGCCTAAGCTCCTCCTGTGTGGAATGCTGAAGAAATCACCACCCTTGATGCAAAACGAGGCCTGTCTCAAATCAGCTTGTGGTGACTGAGGCAAAGGTGGGAATGGGGAGTGACTGTCTAATGGATACAAGGTCTCCTTTTTGGATGACAAAAATGTTTTGGAACTAGACAGAAATGATGGTTCTACAACACTGTAAATGTACCAAATGCTAACTGAATTGTGCACTTTAAAATGGGTTCATTTTGTTATGTGACTTTTACCAGATGAACAAAAACACTGTCTATCTAACACAGATCCATGCCTTTACATGGTATGTTATATAATAACACTTTACCGTCCTTTATCCAGGACCACGACTTCATTTCACAGACACTGCAGTTCTCAAGAATCCAGGTGGTGGCAGCAGAGAGCTGAGAGAAACCAGCACTTCCCTACCGGCCCTAAGGAAGGTCCGGAATAAGAATATTGACCTTGCCCAGTTGCAGTGAGCATTTCTGTATTGCACCAGTCACAGTGGCGAATGCAGCTAAGGAGAGGCAGGTAGATGGAGCCACAGAACCAGATGTGGTCTGGGCAGTGTTTCATCCCACCAGGAATGACAGTGCATCTGCAGCTCCCAGAGGGCTCTCTGACACCCTACCTCCAACTGTGAGCAATCATCTTTACCTCCTCATCCAGAGGAAGGAGGCCAGCGGGATGCAGAGCCTCAGCAGCTTCAGCCCAGGCTCAGGGCTGAAGTGGAGAAGCATCCAGGCCAGTTCTGGCATTGGTGGAACCAGCTGGGCCGGGGGTTGCCCCAGGTAAAAGGAACAGGACCCATCACTGAGACCACAGGACAGAGAACACTGAGAATATAGACTCAGGTGAGATGCACGGTTGAGGCTCGTTTGGTTTCTGAGAACCAGCATGTTGGATTATACCCAGAATAACTAATCCTTTGCCCAATTTTCCCATTTTCCCTCCCAGACACAAAATAGGACTTACTTTCCGGCTCCCTGAAAGCTGGGCATGGCCATGTGCCTTGCTGTGGGGGATGAACCCAGAGCAGAAGAAGTGTGTGTCGCTTCTGGCTGGAGACTTCAAGAGCAGTACACGATTTGCCAAGTCTCTCTGCCTGGCCACGGCAAATGGTGAGTCCCAGAGAGTTGACAACGTGGAGCAGAGCTCCCCGCAACCCATGGCAGGCACGGAACACAAACAAGATAAAATGTTGAGTGTTGTGAGCCCCTGACATGGGGGCTGTTTGCTTGCAGCATAACCGGTCCTATCCTGACACACGCTTGGGGTTGGGGGTCACAAACTCAAATGCCAGGCAGGCGATGTGAGGGACCACGTGGGAAAGAGTGGGTGAGGACTTGTTCAAACACAGGTGACAGGCTGGGTGTAGCGGCTCACGCCTGTGATCCCAGCCCTTTGGGAGGCCGAGGCGGGCAGATCACCTGAGGTCAGAAGTTCGAGACCAGCCTGGCCAACATGGCGAAACCTCATCTCTACTAAAAATACAAAAATTAGGCCAGATGCAGTGGCTCACACCTGTAATCCTAGCACTTTGGGAGGCTGAGGTGGGCGGATCACCTGAAGTCAGGAGTTCAAGACCAGCCTGGCCAACGTGGTGAAACCCCATCATCTCTACTAAAAATACAAAAAATTAGCCGGGCGTGGTGGCTGGAGCCTGTAATCCCAGCGACTCGGGAGGCTGAGGCAGGAAAATCACTTGAACCCGGGAGGCAGAGGTTGCAGTGAGCCGAGATCACACCACTTCACTCCAGCCTGGGTGAAAGAAGCTCCATCTCAAAAATAAAAATTTAAATTAAGGCAGATGCCGGGCTGTTTACCAGTCCAGCTTTTCTGTACCTCACCTCCGATTTCTGTACATCTTTCCCTTTTTTATGTCTACAGATCTTGCACCACATGGTCGCGCTGGAGTCTCTGTGAATCGGCTGTGATTCTGGGGGCTGCGTGATTCGCGAATCATTCATTGCTCCATTAAACTCCTTTAAATTTAATTCGGCTGAAGTTTTTCTTTTATCAGAGAGGAGACATGTGAGACATGTTCCTTCTCTCTCTGCCCAATTTTCCTGTTTTCCTTCCCAGGAGGACACAGGGAGAAGGCCACCGTCCGCACGCTGGGAAGCAGCCCTCACCAGACACCAGACATGCCAGCACCCTGATCTTGGACTTCCATCCTCCAGAACTGTGAGAAATTAGTGTCTGTTGTTTAAGACACACACACTACGTATTCTCTTAGAGCAGCCTGAACAGACTAAGCAGGGGTGTCCAAGGTAGAGAATACAGTCATAGGTTCTCAGTTTCTGTTTGCGGTTGGACCAGTAAAGACCCTTCCTCATCCCTCTTTTCCACTTATCACTAGAGACAGAAACTAAAATCCATGATTTCAGGCTGCTAAAAGCCTAAAACAGAACAGCAACAAAATAAGGTGGGTTGGACGAGCTTGGTCTACAGCAGTATGTTTTATTTGGTTCTCATGGAGGTATTCCACTGTTTTTCTTTCAACATACTGTTGCTGGCTTGAATCATGGAGATATTAAGGAAGAAAGTCTAATAATTATGATGTTACATGTTACTAAATCTGTCTTGCCAGCTTCTCTATTTAAAAAAATATATATATCAGGCCAGGTGCGGTGGCTCACGCCTATAATCCCAGCACTTTGGGAGACTGACGGGGGCAGATCACTTGAAGCCAAGAGTTTGAGACCAGCCTGGCCAACATGGTAAAACCCCATCTCCAAGAAAAATAAAAATTAGCCAGGGTGGTGGCGCACACGTGTGGTCCCAGCTACTCAGGAGGCTGAGGCACAAGAATCACTTGAACCTGGGAGGTGGAGGTTGCAGTGAGCCAAGATCATGCCACTGCACTGCAGTGTGGGTGACAGAGCAAGACTCTGCCTCAAGAAAAAATAAATAAAAAATGAAGGCCGGGCGCGGTGGCTCACGCCTGTAATCCCAGCACTTCGAGAGGCCGAGATGGGCAGATCACGAGGTCAAGAGATCAAGACCATCCTGGCTAACACGGTGAAACCCCGTCTCTAAAAATACAAAAAATTAGCCCGGCATGGTGGTGGGCACCTGTAGTCCCAGCTATTCGGGAGGCTGAGGCAGGAGAATGGCGTGAACCCGGGAGGCGGAGCTTGCAGTGAACTGAGATCATGCCACTGCACTCCACCCTGGACAACAGAGCAAGACTCCATCTCAAAAAAAAAAAATGAAAGCTCTGGCATCGTTAGGTCTGACTTCCTACTGGTGACCACAGTCAGTGTAAGCTGGAAACGGAGCTCCTTTCTCCTGGGCTACAGTGCTCTGGTTTCCCCACTCTACCATCTCACACTGGCTCCCTTATTAGCCTGGTGCTCTCTCCAGCCCCGTAGGATGCACTTGTAACCCTGAATCCACCCCATGCACGGAGCTGGATGGTTTGGGCACAACTCCCTCTTTTGGCTTTAGTTGAAACACTCATTCCAGGCTCTTGGTTTTACAAATGAGAAAATGGGGTTTAGCAAAGAGAAATGAGTTTTCAAACCAGAGGCCAGTGGTTAGGCTGTGCAGCCACCTCTGCTCTCCTCCCCTCCCTGTGTCAGCAGGGATATTCCGGAGCCTGGTCTGAAACTGCTGAGCTCGAAGGGCTTGGATCCAACAGTGCTGATCATGACCACGGAGGTATGGCCTGGTCACTAGGGAGAGAGCTGAGCTCGAGGGGCTTGTGTCCAACAGTGCTGATGACCACAGCGGTGTGTCCTGGTCACTGGGAGCGGCTGGGCTCTAGGGGCTTGTGTCCAACAGTGCTGATGACCACAGCGGTGTGTCCTGGTCACTGGGAGCGGCTGGGCTCGAGGGGCTTGTGTCCAACAGTGCTGATGACCACAGCGGTGTGTCCTGGTCACTGGGAGCGGCTGGGCTCGAGGGGCTGGTGTCCAACAGTGCTGATGACCACAGCGGTGTGGCCTGGTCACTGGGAGCGGCTGGGCTCGAGGGGCTGGTGTCCAACAGTGCTGATGACCACAGCGGTGTGTCCTGGTCACTGGGAGCGGCTGGGCTCGAGGGGCTTGTGTCCAACAGTGCTGATGACCACAGCGGTGTGGCCTGGTCACTGGGAGCGGCTGGGCTCGAGGGGCTTGTGTCCAACAGTGCTGATGACCACAGCGGTGTGTCCTGGTCACTGGGAGCGGCTGGGCTCGAGGGGCTTGTGTCCAACAGTGCTGATGACCACAGCGGTGTGTCCTGGTCACTGGGAGCGGCTGGGCTCGAGGGGCTTGTGTCCAACAGTGCTGATGACCACAGCGGTGTGTCCTGGTCACTGGGAGCGGCTGGGCTCGAGGGGCTTGTGTCCAACAGTGCTGATGACCACAGCGGTGTGGCCTGGTCACTGGGAGCGGCTGGGCTCGAGGGGCTTGTGTCCAACAGTGCTGATGACCACAGCGGTGTGGCCTGGTCACTGGGAGCGGCTGGGCTCGAGGGGCTGGTGTCTTAACAGTGCTGATCATGACCACAGATGGGACATGGTCACAAGGGGGCGCCACATCCCACTTTCCTACCCTAACCGCCTCCTCCCCCCTCAACTTTCTTCCAGCTGGGGCGCTTTGCATTTGTGGCTATTGGTGCGTGTGAACAAGCGCTCCTTGCGCCCCACAGGGCCTCTCCCCTGCTGTGGCGCCGCCTGGACCACGCTTCCTGAACTGCCCTTGGAAGTTCCCCTCTTTCCTCGCGGCTCAGCTTTTCCGTCCACTTACTCGCCCGTGTTTATCGGGCACGCACTTCCTGCCAGTGGCTCTGCTAAGCAAGGGGACACGGCGGTGACCTCGACAGGCACAATCTCTGCCCTCACGGGGAGTGGGAGTGGTTGCGGGGGGGGACACACACAGATGATGACTGAAGAGACAAAAAGAGACCCCTGGGGGTGAGACATGGAGGAAGTCCTGGGCATGGGCAGGTGTGACAGGCAGCTGTGTGGGAGGCGGGTCCCAGGGGAGTGAGATCCAGACAGACCTGGGCAAGAGGAAGGGGACCCTCCACCCAGCTCACTTCCTGCTCTGAAGGCCGCAGTCTGTATCCCTGAGGGCAGGGACTAGCGTGTCTGCCCCGCTGCATCCCCAGTGCCTGGAGCGGACGACGAGTCGAGGGTGACTCCACCAGGCGGCTACGGTGTCAAAGCAGCTCCGGCGTGGGGTCCGACTGTCCTGAGTTTGAATCGGGTTCTCCATTTACTGAGCGTGTGATCTAAAGTGAGTGGCTTCACTTCTCTGAGCTGGCTGGCTTCTCTGTGACCAGCGACATCCAGCCATGTCTAAACAGTGTGGGCAAAGCCAGGCAGCTGAAACCAACTTTGCTGTGTCTTGTTTTAAGTCCTGGAGAAGTCCCTTCCCTCTGAGCCTGCTTTCCCGTCTGTAGAGTGGAGGGTTAAAAGAGGTTGTTTTGTTTTGTTTTGTTCTGTTTTGTTTTTTGAGATGGAGTCTCACTCTTTTGCCCAGGCCGGAGCGCGGTGGCACTATCTCGAATCACTGCAACCTGTGCCTCCCGGATTCAAGCAATTTCCTGCCTCAGCCTCCCGAGTAGCTGGGATTACAGGCGCCCACCCCCACGCCCAGCTAATTTTCATATTTGTAGTAGAGACGGGGTTTCGTCATGTTGGCCAGGCTGGTCTCAAACTCCTGACCTCAAGTGATCGGCCCGCCTTGGCCTCCCAAAGTGCTGGGATTACAGGCGTGAGCCACCACGCCCGGTCTAAACAAGGTATTAGTGAAGCACCTGACACACAGTGGTGCACATTGAACCGTCACCTTGCTCCCCAGGGTCCCAGCTATCAGCCATATCCAAGCCCTCACTGCGGAGAGTAGATAGGAGACAGTCACTTCATACATTCTTGGGGACATGATAAGCGTCTGACCTCTGGGGAGGGTGATACAGCTGGATCTGTTGGGATCCAAACGCACATTCCCCTTCATCTTACAGTTCCTGTCAGGACAAGCAGCACAGGGTATGGGTCGGATTTGGTCCGATTCTTCCTGCTGCATTGGTACAGTAGCAGAAGACTAGAAACAGGCAGACTGCACGTCAGTCAGGAATTAAACACTGTGTCTGCACAAAGGAACGCTTTGAAAGTGTTTTTTAAAATAAGAAATGTAGATAGGGCTCTTTGGAACAATCATAGGTAGATACATAAATAGGTATAGTTGATAGATACATAGATAGCTAAAGATAGATGACAGATAACAGATAGGGTACACAAATAGATTATTGAGAGATAATAGATGGTGAAGATAGGAAGATCACAGATATGTACTATGGAGGTAGATGATAAATTGACACATATCTATGTAAGTAGATAACAGATGATATACATGTATGATATAGATTATAGATGATAGACACATGGATGGTGTAATGATAATAGATGACAGATGACTGATACATAAATGATAGCTACATATAGATGACAGATATAGATAATTGATGCATAGAGGGAATAATAGAAGACAATGGATTGGTATATAAATGATAATATATGTAGATAGATGATGTATAGTGGATATATACATGATACATGATGATGATAGAGATACATATGTAAGGGGCAGAATAATATGCAAGGAATGCTTTCATTTGATAAATTTATTTTATTTATTTATTGAGACAGAGTTTCGCTCTTGTTGCCCAGGCTGGAGCACACTTGTTTGTGTTTATTTATTTTAGTTTTTGAGACAGAGTTTCACTCTTGTTGCCCAGGCTGGAGCACATTTGTTTGTTTGTGTTTGTTTATTTATTGAGATAGAGTTTTGCTTTTGTTGCCCAGGCTGGAGTGCAATGGTATGATCTCAGCTCACCGCAACCTCTGCCTCCCAGGTTCAAGCAATTCTCCTGCCTCAGCCCCCCGAGTGGATGGGATTATAGCCATGTACCACCATGTCCAGCTAATTTTTTGTATTTTTATTAGAGACAGGGTTTCTCCATGTTGTTCAGGCTGGTCTCCAACTCCCAACCTTAGGGATCTGCCTGCCTCGGCCTCCCAAAGTGCTGGGATTACAGGCATGAGCCACCGCACCCAGCCTGATAAATTTACGTTTTAAACCCACTTGTAGATTCACTGAGTATTTCAAGGGATAATGCAGGAAGAAGAATGAGGAATTTGGGAGTTGAGATTTGGTAAGTAATCTCTTCCTCAAAGTATCCATTACTTTTTTTAAAAAAATCTTATTTGTGACCAAACATCAATTGCTGATCCAAATCCCCCTGCCAGAGTCCCCACCAGCCTGAATGAGGCTGTCCGTCCACAGTCTACTTGCTGTCATGGCTAGTGGCCACCCCACTTCACAAGCATCCCATAAGGTACAGATAGACTGATCTAAGTGTTGGCATTAGATTCTGACTATTAAGCTCTGCTACTTATCAGCTGTGAGAGCCTGGAGGACTATTTAACCTCCCCAAAGCCTCTGTTCCCTTATCTGTAAAATAGGAACAATACCCTCTTCGAACTGATCGGGAGGCGTTAAAAGGGAACGCGTATGGATTAAACTGAGCTCCATCATCCCAGACTCAGCTGTGGGGGTGGGGGTGGGGGGTGGGGTGGGGGGGGGGGGGGAATCTCTGTCCATGGTGCTGAAAGACCGGCGCCAGAAAATAGGGAATTTCTGGATAGACTTGTCCATCAAGGCAGGAGAGGAGGCAAAATCAATGGTGCCAGAGGCAACTCCGTCCCCACCCACAGCCTCTTTGAGTGGTAGATATGAGGGGAAGGAGGGTGGATGTATACCACAGACACACACATACCCACATGCGCACAGACATACATATGCACAAAGATACAGATGCACCATCCACACAGACATGCATTCATACATGCAGAGACACACACAATTCACATGCATGCACTTCTCTAAGGATGGCCTGGAGTACACCAGCCCAAGATGCTCTATAAATGGAAGGTTTTCTGACAGAACAAGTTCAGAAAATGCTGCATGTTTTCACCTACCCCTGCCCTGGCCCCCAGCCCCACCCGGGTATACAGAATCATAGTGGAAAGTTCTGAGCCGGGTGGGTGTGGGGGGCTAGTTTTATAATTCATCCAGTCGACTAAATCTTGGCTCAGCACCTTCCACCTGCCAAGTACTGTTCTGTGTATGAGAAAATTTCAATCCGGCAGGGTGCAGTGGCTCACACCTGTAATCCCTGCACTTTGGGAGGCCAAGGTGGGTGGACTACTTGAGGTCAGGAGTTCAAGATGAGCCTGACCAATATGGTGAAACCCCATCTCTACTAAAAATACAAAAGTGAGCCGGGTGTGGTGCTGGGTGCCTGTATTCCCAGCTACTTGGGAGGCTGAGACAGAATTGCTTGAACCCAGGAGGCAGAGGTTGCAGTGAGTCCAGATTGCACCACTGCACTCCAGCCTGGGTGACACAGCGAAACTCCGTCTCAAAAAAAAAAAAAAAGAAAACTTGAATCCAGCATTTTCCCAGGTTATTTGAATACAAGATCCTGTTTTCTCCAAACATCTTAACAATATTCCCTGGAACCTACACTCTCCAGGCTACCCTTAGGGAAACGGGGCTGTATGGAATAAAATCATTTCCAGATCAACACTGCCTTCAGGCTGGGGAGTAAGCTGGGTGGAGGGTCCCTTTCCACTCACCTGTCTGGCCCTCACTCCCCCTGGGATTGCCTGTCACACCTGCCCCCTGCCCAGGACTCCTCCACCTCCTGCCTCCTGAGAGCCTCTTTTTGTCCCTTCAGCCCTTAGCTGTGTGTATCCCCTCCCAGCCCCCATGACAGCAGAGATTTGTGCCTGTTGAGGTCACTGCTGTGCCCCCATGCTTAGCAGAGTCCCTCACAGGAAAGAAGTGCCCGATAAACACCTAAGATTAAGTGGATTATCAACTCAGCAGGGGGCCGGGGGTGGGGGGCATGGGTGTCAGGACTTTAGATCCAGATTAAGGTTCTACCACTTTACAAACCAGTAGCCTGGGCAGGCTGCTTCCTCTCCTCGTACCAGCTTCAGCAGCAGCAGCCGAGGAATGATGGCAACCACACAGGGCCTTTGTGAGGACTGGACTCCGTAAGGGGCGTGAACGAGTCTGGGCGTGCCCTCCACCAAAGTGAGCATGAGAGGAATGGGGGCCGAAGGAACTTCTGCGGTCACTGCCAGGGTGGGTTTGTGAGCATGGAGCGGCCGCCTAGCCTCACCTTGCCGTGGGTGAGCAGCTCCAATGCAGGTGAACTACAGGGCCGACGGCAAGTGCCACAAGAACCCATGTTCCTTTCTTTACCTGGGACCCACGCCGTGCCTACTGGGCACGGAGCTGCTGCCCAAAACACATTTGTAGAATGAGTGAGTGAGGGGTGGGCAATGACTACCTGAGTGCATGAATCAGTAACGGACAGCGTGTGACACCAAAGCACAGGTCAGGTGTTGGGTCCGGTGCAGGCTGATGTCAAGGTGGTCATGTGAGCTCGCTCAGTTCTGTATTACAAAGTGGGATGAGTAGTGCAGAGCTGGGATTTGAGCCTGGCTCCTCGCCCCTGCATCTTTGCTCATGCCTGGGAGGGCAGCTCCAGTGAGTTAACACATGGCTTGGGGATTCCCCCCTCCACACACAGTCATACAAGGCAGGCAGGCAAGCTCTCCTTTCCACAGGGCAGGAAGCCAAGGGTCAGAGAGGTTAGTCCACTTGCCCAGGGTCACACAGCCTTAAGGGGCAGGGTGGAAACTTGCCCTGAATCTTTCTTGCTATAGGTGTCAGCTCCTGCCACCATATACTGGAGCAGGTAGAAGAGGCTGACCCGAGACTCAGTGTGCCCGACTTATGGGGCACCGAGCTGCCAATTCTACCAGACAGGGCACCTCCCATCCTCCCAGGCCTCCAGAAGTGCCCAAGGCCAGAGCTCCACAGAAGGACCCTAGGAGAAGTGAGCAATGCTTCCTCAGTCTTTGCTAACCCAGCCCACTCTGAACTGCCAAGGTTCACCCCCTCCTTTCGAGTGACCTGAAATTTCAAAAACTGACATGCAATACCAATTATCTAAGCAAGGCTCTGGCCACTTGAGAACACGCTTTTTTGATCCACAATCACTCCCTAGTCCTCTAACAAATCCTCCAGGATCTGTAGACCATCAGTGGCCCTGGTTTCTAAACCCCCTGCCTCCAGATGAGGCCCCAGGACCCTCCTCAAGCACATCAGGGTGTGAAAGGGCAGATTAAGGGCTCTAACTGGAAATCCGAATTTCTCCTTCAAGTCCCCCTCTACTATGAAACCCCCAAGTCAAAGACGCCTGCAGCTTGCCGCCTCCAATCGCTCCTGAGTAATCGCAGCCTTCAGCCAGGTTGAAAATACCCCTTTGGGACCCTCACTGCGGCCTCCCAAGGCCCCAGGAACATGGGTCCTCAGGACCTGGGCTGTGGGTCCAGGAAACCAGTCGCCATGGTCGAGCCCCCTTCTGATCATGAACAACAGCGCTCACCTGGCAGGGCGGCTGCAGCGGCTCTACCGGACCAAGCCCCTCGGGCACGCGCACTGCCTGAAATGCCCTAAGCGCTCGGCTGGACTGTGGCATACCCGCCCTCTCCCCCAGCCCCTGGCTGGCTCGTCTGCCTGGCCCCTGCAGCAGAGACAGCTGAGCGCACCATCCTCCTCCCGTAGGGGGCGGGGGGTCCTGTCCCCGGAGCGGCAGCCGCCGGGACCTCATCTCCCAGCCTCCTTCGCAGGGAGCCGCAACCACGGGACCAGCCCCGTGAACGACCCAGGTAGGGGGACGTGCGCCCTTTGCAGTCAGAGTCTCCCCCAGAAGCTGGAGGCAGGAGGAGGGTGCTTTTGGGGTTAGGGGCGGGGGCCACACGATAGGAGTGGAGGAAGCCAGCCGCCCCTGTGAGAGGGTGGTAGAAGCCGTGGGGGCTCCTTCCCCTGCAGCGGGCAGGCCTGGCCCTGACCAGTCCGCCCTGCCCCATCTACAAGCAGCTCCCAGGCCCTGTGAGTGCCCGCACCATAGTGAGGATATCCGCGGACAGGCCCCCCTGCCTAGAGCCCTCCGCGGGCGACCCAACGGGCCACTCCCGGGGCGCGGCTGACGCTCTGCTGATGCCCCGGCGAGAGCCTCCGTTTACCCCTCTTGCCCTTCTCCCTCCCGGACTCAAGAACCACGCAGAGGGGGACATTTGGATAGTGCCGTTTATTGTTCCAGCACCCCTTCCTCCACCACGCCCAGGCCTGGGACAAACGGGCACCCGCCTCCTGCGGCGCTGCCTCTGCTACCCGGAATCCAGGAGGGGAAGGAACGACTCGAGCTCTAAGGATGGGACCCGGAAGGCAGAAAAAAATAATGGATTGGGGCGGGCGGGGAGTCAAAAGGTGGGCTGATTAAAAGAAAATTCTAAAAGAGAAAAGGGCCCCTGGTTCTCTTCCCTCTCTGGGATCCTCTAAAGGGCCTGGTTTCTCCATTCCTCGCAGCACCCCCCACCCCCGCCCCGGACAACTGAGGAAGAGCAGGGAAAATGGCCTTCCGCTTGGGGCCTGGTCGCCACTCGGCCTCTGCAGTTCTCTCCATTGTCTCTCCGGCTCGCAGGCCGATAACTTAGGAAGGGCGGGCCAGGCTGAGGGGGCAGAGTCTCGAGGCGGAGAAGTGAACGGGCCCTAATACGCCCCAGTGCCCCCCCACGGACGGCGCAGGGACAGAGGAGGGCGGGGAGCCGGGGATGCCGCGGGGTCCATCGCACCCCGTCCGCTTCTCCCTGGGTCTCTTGGTCTTGCACGTCGTCGCTCCCGCCAAGCCCGAGGGGCCCTGCCCGCCCCCCCCCCCGGGCCCCTCCCCTACCGGCCCTCCCCACCGCGGCACTCGGGGCACCGCCCGCCCGCGGCCTCGTCGTCGTCGTCCTCCTCCTCCCCGCCCGCGCGGTAGTAGCTCTGTCCGCAGCTGCTGCAGACCGAGGGCGCGCCCACCGCGTGGATCTTCTTGTGTCTCCGGAGCGCGGCGCCCTGCACGAAGCCCTCCCCGCACTCCACGCAGATGTGGGCCGGCTCCTCGCCCCCCGCCGCCCCGAGCCCGTCCCCGTGCTGGGCCCGCTGGTGCGCCAGGAGCCCGGCCCCGTGCCCGAAGCCCTTCCCGCACTCCAGACACACGTACGGCTTGGGGGCCGGGGCGCGCCGCGACCGGGGCCCCGCGGCCTTTGCCCCCGCGCCCGCCATGGCTGCCGCGGCCGCGGCCCCCTCGCCCGGCGCGCCCACCACGATGATGCCCTCGCCATCGCCCACGGGGATGGCGATCTCGCCGTCCGCCGCCACCGCCTCTTCGGGCCCCTTGGCCCGCCGGACGCTAGCCGCCAGCACCTTGGCCGCCACGCCAGGCCCCGACAGCTCCGGGTGCAGCCGCAGGTGACGCGCGAGGCTCTTGGGCTGGCTGAAGCCGCGGCCGCAGCGCGGGCACACGAAGGGCTTGAGGCCGCTGTGCGAGCGCCGGTGCTTGGCCAGGCTCTTGCTCTGAGTGAAGCTGCGGCCGCAGTCGGGGCAGGTGTAGGGCTTCTCGCCCGTGTGGATGCGCTGGTGCTGCATGAGGTTGGAGCTCCAGCTGAAGCGCTTGCCGCACTCCAAGCAGGCGTAGGGCTTCTCGCCCGTGTGGATGCGCCGGTGCTGCACCAGGTGCGAGCTCTGCGAGAAGGTCTTGCCGCAGTCGGCGCAGGCGTTGGGCCGCTCGCCGGTGTGCGTGCGCTGGTGCCGCGTCAGCTTGGACCAGTGGCTAAAGCTCTTGCCACACTCGTTGCAGATGTAGGGGGCGGGCGGCCGCGGCCGGGGAGGCGGGCCGGCTGGGGGCGCAGACTGGGGCGGGGACAGCTTGGTGGGAGGCCAGCTGGGGACGTCGTCATCATCCATGATGAGGATGTCCACTGGAAAGCAAGAGGGTAGGGGGAGGTGAGTCAAGAGAGGCAAGGGCTCCACGCCTGCCTTGGCTGCTACGCTGGCCTCGGGTGCCTCGCTCCCCCTGGCGCAGGACCTGCCCTGGTGTCCTCAGAGTGTGCATCACTCCCTGCATTTTACTAAGTATTTATTACCCCTCTCCCCAGCTAAGACCTCAGCTCTGTGTGAGTTAAGACCCTCAGTTTACCCCCAACCTCTAGAACAATGCCCCAGACACAGAAGGCCTGGTCTGTAAACAACCAGGCAACATAAGAGGCATGGGCGAGGGGCGGGATCCACGGAAGGCTCCCAGAAAAGGACCCCGAAACCCAAAACACCAGCCTGGACGCCGGGGGCAGAGGATGAGGAAGGCTCACGGGCAAAGGTTCCACTAGGCAGAGGGGCCGCAGGGCTTGAATGCAGCCCTGGACACCTGGTCCTGAGCCAGGGAGTGGGTTTGGCACCCTGAAGACGTGCCCGCCAGGGAGCGATGGTGTCACATTCGGGCTCCAGGAAGACAATCCTGGCTGCAGACAGGTAATGGGATTGGAGATGAGCATGAAAGCCCCACCTCCGAACCTGGGAGTAAAACCTGGCTCAACGCCACCTCCATTACAGAGGCTATGGTCAGCCCCTGGTGTGGGGGCTCCTGTCTGCTCAGTGAGGACAATTCGGGCACACAGGGCTTTGCCTGCACATCTTTACACTGAGGACGCCCTTCCAGCAGTCAACGAGGCCTTTCACACTTCTGCACCAGGCCTGCCCCTGGGGGCTCTCCCGGGAGGGATGGGCTTGCCTCCTCCCCAGCTCATTCACTCCTGAGAAGGGTCCGTGTGCAGCTTCTACATTTGCTCTCCCTTGGGGCCTGGTCCAGAGCAACAGAATCAGGTGGGAGGGCCTCAGCAAGTGCATCTCTGACCCCCGTGGACACCCCAGGTGCACCCCACAGGGTTTTTTCAAAGCCATGAATCACAATTACAACGTTCTCACTCCTGACCTTACTAGACTGTAAGCTCCTAAGTCTCTATCCCAACACCTGGCACGGTGGTGCCCAGCACACAGAGCCCAAACACCCTCCCAGATGCCACGCTGGCAAACACGCAAGGAAGGGCCATGACGCCCCCCTGCGCTACACACTTCAGCGTCAGGTCCTCATAAGCTGGGAGCACAAAACTGAGCCTTTACAAGGGAGAAACTGAGGCACTAGGGAGTCGAGTCACAGCCCACAGCTACACGACTACAAAGTGGCAATGCCCAGAAGCGCATTAGTAGACTGGGTCCAAGAAACAGCCATCTACCACTAACTGCGGCCGCCCACCGCTAAATCCCCCACCCACAGGCAGCACACCCTACACGCTAAGGGAGTGCTCCACAAAGTGGGATCCTGCGACCAGTAGCATCGGCGCCACAGAGAACATATTAAAAACATTTATGCACTGCCCGGAGCGGTGGCTCACGCCTGTAATCCCAGCACTTTAGGAGGCCGAGGTGGGCAGATCACTTGAGGTCAGGAGTTCAAGACTATCCTGGCCAACATGGCAAAACCCCATCTCTACTAAAAACACAAAAATTAGCCGGGCGTGGTGGCGCATGCCTGTAGTCCCAGCTACTTGGAAGGCTGAGGCAGGAGAATGACTTGAACCCGGGAGGCAGAGGTTGCAGTGAGCTGAGATCACACCACTGCATTCCAGCCTGGGCGACAGAGCAAGACTCCATCTCAAAACAAAACAAAAACGCTTATGCTCAGGCCTCCCTCCAGACGCACTGTATGAGAAAGTGCCGGGCCGGGCCTGTGCTTCAGCAAGCCCCCCAGGTGATTCTGATGCCAGCTCCAGTGTGAGAATCACTATTCCAAGGCAGAGAGTATTCGAATATGGCTCTTGAACCTGCGGCAGAAGAAAACACTCCAGGTGAAGTCAGGAAGGGGGGAGCCTTCTGGAGAGATGGCATGGAGCCCACTGCGTTGTCAACATAAATCAAAAAATGTTGTAAGTTATAAGCACATTACTTAAAGATGTAGAGAGAATTAAAAACAAACATCAGAAGCTATTTGCCCCGGGGCAGTGTGACTGAAGGGGACAGAAAGGGACGGGCAGGAAAGAGATTTGTTGTCACCGTAAACCGAGCCATACTATCTGAACCTTACAAGTGCTTCTACGCCTTTAATTAAAATAACTGCTTTGTTTTCGAAGCTGTGAAGAAAGAAAGTGTAGCAATGCTCCCTGTGACTCAGCTATGAATAGCATTTATTCATGACGACATGAATTCTGAACACAAAACTTGTGACACAGTGGCAGCTAAGACAGGGGCACTGGGGCGGGTGTGCAGTACGTGGAGAGCGCAGTGAGTGGAGAGTGGGGAGAGGATGTGGGAGCCATGTCCTCACCTCCCATTAGATTTGCAACTATCAAAGCAATTTCATGAGCTCTTTACCTAGAACCAGGGAGAACCCCAAAGAGTGCATGGAGGGGCTCCTTCCTCTAGAGGCAAACTGGGAGTGGGGAAGGCAGGAGGTGGGAGCTGTTTTCTGCTTTAGGCCGTAGGCGATCTGGCTTCTCTACAGGCATCTCTGCACTACTTTTTCTAAGTACGAGTTAAGCACTGTTAAATGGACAGGGTTTAATTACTTAAAAGGCAGGGCTCTTTTACATCTTGCAGATTCCTGGGCTCTGCGCAAACCTTCCCGTGCTGCATCTCAGTAAGGCCCAGGAAACCGCGCTTCACAGGCACAGACTGGTTTCTGACAAGAGGCTGCGTCTGCACCGCGCATGGGCCAAGATGAGCCGCTCCACTTGCCGCAGCCGCAGCCGCAGCCGCAGCCGAAGCCGAAGCCGAAGCCAAAGCCAAAGCCGAAACCGAAACCGAAGCCAAAGCCGAAGGCGAAACCGAAGCCAAACGGAAGCCAAAGCCGAAACCGAAGCCGAAGCCGAAGCCGAAGCCGAAGCCTCACCCTCACCCTCACCCTCACCCTCACAGGAGCAATGAGGCTAACAGCCTTCTCCACCTCACAGCACCATCTTTAAAGGGATTCAACGAATTCCCAGCAAGAGAAGAGCACGGTGAGGAGCACAAGAGTTCTCATTCAATTAAAAAAATAAGAAACAATGAGGGCCGGGGCCACTCTGATGGTGGCAGCAGTTACCCTTGGGGGAGGGCAGTGTCCCCAGACGCCTGGCCCTGGGCTAAATGTGTTCCGTGGATTACCACATTTAATCCATGGCCAACACTATCACTGTCCTCTCACTGAAGGACTCAGCTGAGGTCCCGAGGGGATGGGCTGGGGGGCGGTCCTCCACTCCAGATCCCCTACGCCCCAGGCTCTACCTCTACGCCTCCTGCCCCACCTGCAGCACCACTACTCCAGGAAGCCCAGGTTTCCCCTCCACGGGAGATAAATGTTTCTAGAGCAAAATCTGGAAATGCTTTTTTTTTTTTTTTTAAGATAAAATTCCTGAGTTCACACTGATACTTCCCATAGAAATTCAGGACTAAAGTTTTCATTCATCCTTTTCTTTGTGACATCTGCACCTCCCTTCAGCCCCACGGAGAATCCTGGTTCTCAAGGACATAGGGGATGACAGAACTGGAATATCCCACAGACGCAGGGGATGGCGGGAGTGGGATACCCCACAGACACAGGGGATGACAGAGCTGGAATATCCTACAGACACATGAGATGGCGGAACTGGGATACCCCATAGACGCAGGGGGTGGCGGAAGTGGAATATCCATAGACACAAGGGGTGGCGGAAGTGGGATCCCCATAGACACAGGGGATGGCGTAAGTGGGATACCCCATAGACACAGGGGGTGGCGGAAGTGGGATCCCCATAGACACAGGGCATGACGCAACTGGGATACCCCATAGACACGAGATGGCGGAAGTGGGATACCCCATAGACACAGGAGGTGGCGGAAGTGGGCTACCCCATAGACACGGGATGGTGGAAGTGGGCTACCCCATAGACACGGGGTAGCGGAAGTGGAATATTCCATAGACACAGGGGATGGCGGAAGTGGGATATTCCATAGACACAGGGGATGGCGGAACTGGGATATTCCATAGACACGGGGATGGCGGAAGTGGGATATCCCAGACACAGGGGTTGGCAGAAGTGGGATATTCCATAGACACAGGGGATGACAGAATTGAGATATTCCATAGATACAGGGGATGGCGAAAGTGGGATATTCCATAGACACAGGGGATGGCGGAAGTGGAATATTCCATAGACGCAGGAGATGGCGGAACTGGGATGCCCTATATTACAACCCTCTTGCTGGGTGCACACGCGATCTCAGGGTAACAATGCTACTGCTACCACTGCCAGGCACAACTCCTGGACTGTGCTGCACGCACCGTCCTCCTTCCCCTCAGTGTTTTCTCGGCTGCATCCCCTCCGTCAGGTGCAGGTCTTGGCCGACTGAGACATGTTCGGGCTCAGGAGACTGACCTGCTCACACCCTCCTCCCATCCCTTTCCCTGGTCAGTTGTCTGAGGCTCATTCGCTTTTAGGTTCCTCAGGAAGGGCACAGAGGAACGGGGTTCACAGGGCTGTTGCTGGGTAGCCTGTCTGTACCCTTCCCATCTGAAGGTCCCTTTTCCGTGAGTCATAATGCCATTTTCTCCTGGCATAAAGTGCTAAGTCCGAGCATAGTCATGTTGACTTTCCAAGTCTTCCACGCTTTCTGCCACGAAGGATCGGTGACTTCCTTTAGCGTCCAGCAATTCTAACGCAACCATCTGTGATTTGCTCTTTCAATGCGCAGCTTTCATGTGTTAAGGGGTGTTCCTTGAATGAGTTTTTACTATCCGCTCTATTCTTTTGCTTTGGGTCTCTTCTTCAGGGACTCTGCCTATCCATATGTTGGATTTTCTTTTCCTAACTTGTTTCCTTTAAAACTGTTTTAATCTTTTTTCATTTTATTTATTTATTTTGAGACGCAGTCTCACTTTGTCACCCAGGCTGGAGTGCAGTGACATGATCTCGGCTCACTGCAACCTTCGCCTCTCAGGTTCAAGTGATTCTCATGCCTCAGCCTCCCGAGTAGCAGGGATTACAGGCATGAGCCATCATGCCCGGCTTTTTTTTTTTTTTTTTTTTCATTTTCAGTAGAGGCAAGGTTTCATGTTGGCCAGGCTGGTCTTGAACCTCTGCCCTCAAGTGATCCACCCGCCTTGGCCTCCCAAAGTGCTGGGATTACAGGCATGAGCCACCATACCTGGCTAATTTTGTGTGTGTGTGCTCTTAGTAGAGACAGGGTTTCTCCATGTTGGCCAGGCTGGTCTCAAACTCCTGGCCTCAAGTGATCCACCAGCCTTGGCCTCCCAAAGTGCTGGGATTACAAGCATGAGCCACCACGCCCCGCCTTTTTTTTTTTTCTCATTTTAAAATGATCCTCCTTCTTGCCTTCAATTTTTTTAAAGAACGATGTTTTTATTCTTGAGTTCCTTCTACATTAGTCTTCATTCTGAAAGGTTTTTGTTCTTATTTGCAAATCTTTGCCGAGGCTGCCCCCTCGTTTCTGAGTTTGTGATTATGCTGTTCTTTCACACGCTGCACTGCCTCAGCTCGTTCACAATCAGCGGCCCCCAACCTTTTTGGCACTAGGGACTGGTTTTGTGGAAGACAATTTTTCCACGGACAGGGTGGGGAGGTAGCAGGGGATGGTTCAGGGATGAAACTGTTCCACTTCAGATCACCAGGCATTAGATTCTCATAAGGGACCAGGCTCAGTGGCTCACACCTGTAATCCCAGCACTTTGGGAGGCCGAGGCAGGCGGATGACCTGAGGTCAGGAGTTCGAGACCAGCCTGGCCAATGTGGTGAAACCCCATCTTAACTTAAAAAAATACAAAAATTAGCTGAGTGTGGTGGTGTGTGCCCGTAATCCCAACTACTCGGGAGGTTGAGGCAGGAGAATCACTTGAACCCGAGAGGTGGAGGTTGCAGTGAGCCAATATCGCACCATCGCACTCCAGCCTCAGTGATAGAGCGAGACTCCATCTCAAAAAATAAGATTCTCATAAGGAACACACAACCTAGACCCCTCATATGTGCAGTTCCCGCTCCTGTGAAAATCTCATGCCGCCGCTGACCTGGCAGAAGGCGGAGCTCAGGTGGTAATGCTCGCTCATGCGCCACTCACCTCCCCAAGTGTGGCCCAGTTCCTAACAGGCCACGGAGCAGCACCAGTACCAAGGACTGGGGACCCTGTACTAAATGATCTTGATCTTGTTGGGATGCACTTCCGGCCTGCCTATCTGTAGAAATGCCATCCTGTCCCTTATCTTTTTTATTATAATCACTTTTGGGAAGGTTGAACTCAGTATTTTTCTGTTGCTCATTTTATGTATAAGTTTCCTTGAATTTCTAGGAGGCGGCTTGGTTCAGGGTAGCTGTTCTAACTTCTCAGAGGTTCTCACACAGCAGGTAAAAACGCTGCAACCAGCCTGCACAGATGCACACACTCCAGCCGCTGTCCCCACTGTCATCAGGACCTTCTCCTGCCTTCCTCTGTTGCCAAGGACAGGGGCCCTGCTCGATTCTGATTCCTCACATGAGGTTCTGCCCTGCACAGCACTTTACCTGGTTGCTTAGAGAGCTGCAGGGCCTGAGCTGCCCCAGCCCCTTTTGGGCCTTCCCACCAGCCTCTCTCCCCACTACCCTGGTTTGGACAAAACAGCTCCTACTTCAGCTGCTGGTCCTAAAGTGACCCCGACTCCCCTGCCCAGCTTTGCAGTGAAGACCTGCAGGCTGTCTGTGGCTCTCCTCTGCTTCCCTCCTCCCAGTCAGATGCTAACACCACACAGGCCTCGGTGGTTTATCCTCATCCAGCTGTATTTTGCAACTCATGGGGATAACTTAGGACCTAGTAACTTTGCAACTGTGATCCAGGGAACTTGAGTTTTGCTACCTGGTTGCCGTGTTTTTATGCAGGGATACAGGAGATTCAAGGGCCACGCTGTGGCTGCTCTGCCATCACCCAACACTCAGAACTGTCATCTGGCCGGGCACGGTGGCTCACACTCGTAGTCCCAACTACTTAGGAGGCCAAAGCAGGAGGTTAACTTGAGCTCAGGAAATTGAGACCAGCCTGGGAAACATAGTGAGACCCCGTCTCTAAAAAAATAAAAAAAATAAAAAAATAAAAAAAATAAAAAAACTAGCTGGGTGTGGTGGCGTGTGCCTGGAGTCCCAGCTACTCAGGAGGCTGAGGTGGAAGGACAGCTTGAGCCCAGGGGGTCAAGGCTGCAGTGAGCAGAGATGGCACCACTGCACTCCAGCCTGGGCAACAGAGCAAGACCCTGTCTCCAAAAAATAAAAAGAGATAGGCTGGGCCGCTCATGCCTGTAATCACAACACTTTGGGAGGCCGAGGCGGGTGGATCACGAGGGCAGCAATTTGAGACCAGCCTGACCAACATGGTGAAACCCCGTTTCTACTAAAACTACAAAAATTAGCCGGGCATGGTGGCGGGTGCCTGTAATCCCAGCTACTCAGGAGGCTGAGGCAGGAGAATCGCTTGAACCCGGGAGGCAGAGGTTGCAGTGAGCCGAGATCGTGCCGTTGCACTCCAGCCTGGGCAACAGAGTGAGACTCCGTCTCAGAAAATAAATAAATAAATAAAAATAAAACAAAATAAAATAAAGAGAGATGAGGGTGCACTGAAACATGGAGCCCGTGCTCACCCGAGGGCAGCCAGAACTCCAGCTGTAAGACACCGGCTGAAGCTTTCCTGTTGGCACCGCTCCCTCCTCAGAAGCGGAATGTCTTTATTTCGTTATCTGAACAGCTCTGAGGCTGCCTGAGCTGTCGCTGCCCGGTCCCACACCCCTCACCCTCTCAACATCGGGAACTCCATCTGGGGTCATCAGGAGAAAAGGCCCCAGGAGGCAGGTTAGGAAGCGCCAGTCAGCCTAGAGCCATGGGTCTCACCCTCCTGAGATCTTCAGGAGCCCCGGCCTCAGCCTGCAGGAGGCTGCATGCCACCCACCAGCCCCCAGCTCCACGGCCCAGGCAGGTGTCTCGGCCCTTTTTTCCCAGCACCCAGACCTCATGGGGTTTTGTGCAAATCCAACAAGGTAACCACCTAAGGGGGCTGCACTGACTGCAGGCACACAGGACGTGATTATGAAGTGCCGGCCATTATTCCTACCAGTATTAGCTCAGAGGATCTGAACACACCTCCCAGAAATACTCAAATACAGAAAAAAATCACAAAATTTCTAAGGTTTCAAAAACGCCCCAGGTCAATCTATCTAACCAGAAAGAACACTGGCTTTGTGGCTTTTCCAATCTCACATGCAGTTCTTCACCGTGCTACACGTGGGAAACGCCGTGCTGTGAACTTCACGCCCACCACAGGCCACGCCTCGCGTCTCCACTGCGGGCCTCAGCCCGGCAGGCAGTAGGATGGACTGCGTGGACGGCGGCCAGCATGTAAATGAAACGGAATGGAGGCAGGAGGAGGAAACACCCGCACGTGCTGCTAGCACAGGAAGAACTGTTCTGTGGAACTTTTATTTTGGTCTCCTATAAAATCCGTACGTTTCTTTTTATCTGGCTGTGTTCCTGCGTGCAGGCACGGCGCGAGGGATCAACTACCCCCGGCCCTGACGGCAAAGGCGCTGCAGAGCCAGTTTACTAAAATGAAGGAAGCCGAGACCCCAGGGACAAAGCCACCTGGCCCAGGGGACACACAGCACCCTGCTGTGCCACGTCTCTCAGGGGCCTTCTGGTCATCAGCAGGGGCAACCCTACTGGAGTGACCTCCAGTAAGAGATGGGGTGGGGAGGTTCAAACCTTTGGAATTTCGGGAGGCTTGGGGGAGAAGAGGCATGGAGACTTTTGTTCAGACAACCTCATGCTGAAGCCCGGCCTGCTAAGCCCAGCAAGGGCACCCCCGGTCAGCACCCGAGGCCCCACCCCCGACCCAGGTCTCCAGGGACACTGAGGCAAAGCCATGGGCCTGGGTGAAGGAGCCTGGGGCCCATACAGCTCCATGGAAGGAACATGTGCCAGGGGTTCCTGGCACGCTGCTCTCCCCACAACAGCCACAGAAAGCTTTCCAACCACCCAAGCCTCCCTGGGGACACCTCTGAACAGGGGACATGGCCGGGAGCTACCCACAGTCCAACTCCTTTCCTCTTCACAAGAAGGTCCCAAGTGTGGGCTGCCTGGGATTCCTCTGGATCGTGGGGACCCACCTGCCCTGGCCAGTGAGGCCTGCCTGGGAGCTTCAGAACCCATTCTCCTCTCACACTCCTCAGAAGGAGAGGCCCAAAGACAGGCAACCCCATGCTGCAGGGTGATGCCACCCAGGTAATACGGCCGCAGGGTGATACGGCCGCAGGGTGATTACGGCCGCAAGGTGATGCCGCCCGGGTGATTACGGCCGCAGGGTGATACAGCCGCAGGGTGATGCCACCAGGGTGATATGGCCGCCGGGTGATGGAGCCTAGGTGATACGGCCACCAGGTGATTACGGCCGCAGGGTGATGCCGCCCGGGTGATTACGGCCGCAGGGTGATACAGCCGCAGGGTGATGCCACCAGGGTGATATGGCCGCCGGGTGATGGAGCCTAGGTGATACGGCCACCAGGTGATTACGGCCGCAGGGTGATGCCGCCAGGGTGATACGGCCGCTGGGTGATGGAGCCTAGGTGATATGGCCACCGGGTGATTACGGCCGCAGGGTGATGCTGCCCGGGTGATTACGGCCGCAGGGTGATACGGCCGCAGGGTGATATGGCCACCCGGGTGATACGGCCGCAGGGTGATGGAGCCTAGGTGATAAGGCGGCACCAGAGAGAAGTGGCACAGCAGGACACTGCCGGAGCTTCCTGGGGACCCACCACCTGGGGCTGAGGCACTGCCTCGGTGTGGCCAGGACGTCACAGCAAGGGGCCCAGAGACAAGCGGCTCTCAGGAGAGAGGCCACCCTGGATCTGTCCCGCCTGCAGGCCAGCTGCCCGAGAACATATCAAGTCCTTCTGGGCTAGGCCACTGCTGTCCGGGTTCCCTGTAATCAGCAGCTGAGAGCGTCCCCACTGCCCAGTGGCTTCCCAGGGCCCTCGAGCCACACTGCCACATCCCCTGCAGGGCAGCCCAAAGCCCCTTCCTCCGTGAACGAAGCCTTGCCTGGCCCCCAAGACGGGACCCTCTGGTTGAACAGTCTGCACCCTGAGCGACCTGGTGCCCCAGGGAGTGATCTCCAGGAAGCTGAAGGACAGGCACGCAGGGGAGGGGACATGGGGACATTTCTGCTGAGACAGCATTTCATGGAGCAGAGAGCTGGCGGAAGGGGACAGAAAGGGGGAGTCACACCAGGTGCGGTGGCTCATGCCTGTAATCCCAACACTGGGAGGCCGAGGCGGGCAGATCACCTGAGGTCAGGAGTTCAAGACCATCCTGGCCAACACGGTGAAACCCAGTCTCTACCAAAAATACAAAAATCAGCCAGGCATGGTGGCGGGTGCCTGTAATCCCAGCTATTTGGGAGGCTGAGGCAGGAGAATCGCTTGAACCTGGGAGGTGGAAGTTGCAGTGAGCCGAGATCGTACCACTGCACTCCAGCCTGGGAGACAGAGTGAGGCTCCGTCTCAAAAAAAAAAAAAAAGAAAAGAGAGAGAGAGAAAGGACGAGTCACACAACACCCTCTGGGGAAGAAAACTGCAGCAGGGCCACGCAGGCTGGGGGCCGTGTCAGGGGTCCAAGACCAGCTGGGAGGCAGACGGGGAGACAGTGTGTAGGGCTGGGAGGCTGGACAGGCGGCGGATTCTCGCTCCCGTCAAGCCAGGACACCTTCACAGGGTTCTGAGCACGGCGCCGGGATCTCGCCTCCTCCCCAAGAGGCTCAGGAGGGGACAAGGATAGGGACAGAGGTCGCAGGAAGGCCAGTGCGCCGTGACTGTGTGTAAGGCCACAGGGCTGGGGCCGTGGTGGGAAGAAGCGACCATACTCGGGATGTATTCCCAGAGCAGGTGCCGGGACACACGGAAGTCAGGAGCTGAGGAAGGGTCCGGGGTGAGGGCCCGCTGGTCCACGGCATCTACCCCAAGGCCTCTCTGTGCTGAGTGCCTGCAGCCTGGCTCGGGTGGCACCCTCCCTCTTTGGCACTCCAACCAGCATCTCCTGCCTCCAACACAGGACATAGACACCCTGCCCCATGACCCAGCACTGCAGGGCTGGGGTTGGCAAGTGCTCAGGCTGACACCTCCTGCTGCTGGTTCTCTCTGCCTCCTTCTCAACCTTCCCTAGGCCACTGCTCACATGCAGGATGGTGAAAGTTGCCTCCTCCCTGTCTGAGGACCCCACAAGGTAGGCTGAGGGCCTGGACGCTAATTCCGCAGAAGAGGCTGGGGCCAGGTGGGCTGCGAGCCCTGCTGGTTCCCTTTTCTCTGCCTGGCGGGCATGCTCCCCTGCCCCTCCAGGGTATGCTCCTCTCCAGATGCCTGCCCCATGGGCCCCCATATCCCTCAGCAATAGGCTAGAGGAAAAGGGACCACACACGCCATGGCCAGGCCAACACCCGCCACCCCACCCCCACCTACGATGTCTGTCACTGTCACATAGGAGGGACGCACATAAGCGGGACCCCACATGCTATGGCCAGGCTAACCCCCGCCACTCCACCCCCACCTACGATGTCTGTCACTGTCACACAGGAGGAATGCACGTAAGCGGGACCCCACATGCTATGGCCAGGCCAACCCCCGCCACTCCACCCCCACCTACGATGTCTGTCACTGTCACATAGGAGGGACGCATGTAGGCGGGACTCCATACGCCATGGCCAGGCCAACCCCCACCACTCCACCCCCACGAACGATGTCTGTCACTGTCACATAGGAGGGACGCACGTAGGCGGGACTCCACACGCCATGGCCAGGCCAACCCCCGCCACTCCACCCCCACCTACGAAGTCTGTCACTGTCACATAGGAGGGACGCACGTAAGTGGGACCCCACATGCTATGGCCAGGCCAACCCCCGCCTACGATGTCTGTCACTGTCACATAGGAGGGACGCATGTAGGCGGGACTCCACACGCCATGGCCAGGCCAACCCCCGCCACTCCACCCCCACCTACGATGTCTGTCACTGTCACATAGGGGGGACGCATGTAGGCGGGACCCCACACGGGAGTTACGCGAACGCCGGACACCAGAGCAGCTTGGGAGCGTGCGCAGCCCATCTTTGACAGCCGAGCAAGGGCGTCACGCAGGGGTGATGCTCCAGAGGCGGCGCCAAGCGCAGGCCCTCCCCGGAGCCAGCTGCCTGGTGGGGGACAGGACTCCCACAGACGCAGGGCCAGGGCTGGGCAGGGCAGCGGGCTGGACAAGGGGACCTGACACCTACCTTCTACAAAGAGAGTGAGTGTATGAGTGACTTGTAAAATTAAAGATGAACTTACTCAAAGACAAGCATTTTGGAGACAACGAAGTATTTTAAAAAGGACCGGGTGCTAGATTAGATGAAGTTCCTGAAAAATGACATTTTGTTAGATGAGATCAGCTTCCTGTAGGGCTTTTTCTTTTTTTCAAGGAGTCCTTACATGTTGGAGAATTTACAGACAAAATGATGTGATGGATATTTTCTCTAAAACGCTGTGGAAAGAGAACCACAGTGGGCAGAAAGGGACCAGCAGTGCCGCGAATCGCTGGCGCAGGAAGAGGGATTCATCACACTGCGTCCACACACTTGAGATTTCCACAGAATTAATTTTCGAAAAGGTTCGAAGGCCAAGGATGTATGCGAGGGAGAAGGCAGGGGCAGCCCTCGAGGGCTGTGGCGGTGCGGGATGGCAACCACCCACTGAGACGCGGGGCAGCCTGGGGCCGGGGTGTGGGCCCCCTGGGCATGCGGTCCTGGCAACGCACTCAAAACCCCCATCATAGTTTCTACCCCGGGACCAAGGCTGCCACAGCCCCGCCCACAGGGAGCTTCTGTTCATGCTCCATCCACAGATCTCAGAAATCACTCAAAAAGGGGCTGAGGTGCTTTACAAAATCGATCCCAAACTTCACCCCGGTCTTTGTATGGGACGACTCAGCTATGCCAGCCTGAGCTGGCAAGCTCTGCCGGCCTTTCTGCATCAAGTGTGCCCACGCATTTCCGTGTGGACTGTGGCTGCGTGGTATCTGTGAGGCCCGCAGCCTGCAAGATGAACAGTATTTCCTCTCTGGCTCTCTGCAGAAAAGGTCTGCTGAGCCCCGGCCAGCGTGGGGCCAGCGTGGGCCTGGGACCTGGGGCCTGACATGCAGACACAGCAAGGAGAGAAGCTGCCGCACCTTATTCCTCAGGTCTGAGGCAGGGAGGCGGCCTCCGTGGAGGGGAGGGAGGCCATGAGGTGTCAGGGGCCACAGTGAGGTCACCATGGGGCCTTCGCAAGCAAACCTGGGCCCCACGTAGCCCACAAATGAGTTTTGCTCAACCCCAATAATGCTTTATTAAACAAACAAAACACATTGCCAATGTCCAAAAAGTGAAGGATTTCACATAAAAACCCAAACTGACAACTTTCCCTGAAAAGTCTGCGTCAGCCTGCGGGTTCCCTGCACTCCTGAGCTTTCCCTGAAAAGTCGGCATCAGCCTGCGGGTTCCCTGCGCTCCTGGGCCACCCCTGGTGTAAGGAGTTTCCTGCCAGGGAGGGCCACAGGCCCGCCTGGAATCATAGCAGAGGGTCCAGGATGTGGAGGCGGGGCTGTGGGGAGAGGAAGGGGGCACCCTCAACAGACGGGGGTGCTGCCCAGGCTGGAGGGGCAAGGACAGAGGAAGTCAGGCAGAGAAGGTGGCCCCCAGGGGTCCCCAAGATCATCCAGCAGAAAGGAAACTTGGAGCCACAACACTAGCCCTCCCTCTACAGCCAGGAGTGCAAGGCCCAGGGCGGGAGGGGAGGCCAGGGTCGGGTGGTCCCAGGGCCCCAAGAGGGGAAAACAGGGAAGGGGGGTTTCCTCCCACCCAGAGGCAAAGGAAGCCAGGGTCAGGTGGGAGGCAGCGGGGTCGGCTGGGAAGGCCTCTGGCTGCTCACCTGGGTTCTCGTGACTGGCCATCTGCTGGTCCTCAGAATCCAGCGGCCCCGGAGACCAGGCTTCTTCCCGCAGCTCCATGTCTGGGTCCCTGTTAGAAGGGGATGAGACAGAAGGACAGAGTTTATGGGGTGCCAGGCTGCACCGAGGGCCCTGCAGGGAGGCAGCCTGCAGACCCCGGCGTGACAGGCACAGCGCCCGGCAGACAAGGCACACAGCACCTACCCCAGGACACCGAGAACTGGCCTGGAGCTAGCCTGGCCGCTCCCCACTGCAGGGGCCAGCCAAGGCCTCACACAGCCGCAGGAAGGACTCAAGGACCCTCAAGGGCTACAACCACCGCCAGTTCCCATCCCAGCCCCACCACTCCCCAGCTGGACCTGGGGCAAGCAACCCCACCTCGCGCCTCCTCGCGCCTCAGCTTCCTCACTGGCAAGATGGAGAACATGTTACTGTCAAGCGTACACAAGACAGTGTACATGTGGTGCTCATGCCAAACAGGGACTGGAGTTCCCACACCCCTGGCAGATACTTACCCATCACAGCAGAAACAGGGCAACAGGCGCCTAAGGGTCTCTGCACACGACACTCCCAACCCGTGCCACACACCGTGAGGGTCTCTGCGCACGACACCACCGACCCGTGCCACGCACCAGGAGGGTCTCTACGCACGACACCACCGACCCGTGCCACGCACCGGGAGGGTCTCTACGCACGACACCGCCGACCCGTGCCACGCACCGGGAGGGTCCCTACGCACGCCGCCGACCCGTGCCACGCACCGGGAGGGTCCCTACGCACGCCGCCGACCCGTGCCACGCACCGGGAGGGTCCCTACGCACGACACCGCCGACCCGTGCCACGCACCGGGAGGGTCCCTACGCACGACACCGCCGACCCGTGCCACGCACCGGGAGGGTCCCTACGCACGACACCGCCGACCCGTGCCACGCACCGGGAGGGTCCCTACGCACGACACCGCCGACCCGTGCCACGCACCGGGAGGGTCCCTACGCACGCCGCCGACCCGTGCCACGCACCGGGAGGGTCCCTACGCACGACACCGCCGACCCGTGCCACGCACCGGGAGGGTCCCTACGCACGACACCGCCGACCCGTGCCACGCACCGGGAGGGTCCCTACGCACGCCGCCGACCCGTGCCACGCACCGGGAGGGTCCCTACGCACGCCGCCGACCCGTGCCACGCACCGGGAGGGTCCCTACGCACGCCGCCGACCCGTGCCACGCACCGGGAGGGTCCCTACGCACGCCGCCGACCCGTGCCACGCACCGGGAGGGTCCCTACGCACGCCGCCGACCCGTGCCACGCACCGGGAGGGTCCCTACGCACGCCGACCCGTGCCACGCACAGTGAGGGTCTCTACACACGCCACTGATCCGTGCCACGCACCAGGAAGGTCTCTACGCACACCACCCACCCGTGCCACGTACCATGAGGGTCTCTACACATGACACCACCAAACCGTGCCATGCACCAAGAGGATCTCTACACACACCACCAACCCGTGACTGTGAAAGTCTCTACGCACACCAACACCAACCTGTGCCATGCACTGTGAGGGTTCTCTACGCACACCACCAAGCGGTGCCACGCACACACACAGCTAAAGTGGAGAGCAGAGCCTTTGCCACGCGCCCGAGTTGTTGAAGGGTTCATACCCAGATCTCTCTTTTAAAACAGGCTCCCTGGCTGGATGCGGTGGCTCCCACCTGTAATCCCAGCACTTTGAGAGGCCAAAGCAGGTGGATCAGTGGAGGTCTGGAGTTCGAGACCAGCCTGGCCAGCATGGCGAAACCCCATCTCTACCAAAACACAAAAATTAGCCAGGCCTGGTGGCAGGGGCCTGTAATCCCAGCTACTCAGGAGGCTAAGGCAGGAGAATTGCTGAAACCCAGGAGGCAGAGGTTGCAGTGAGGAGAGATCACACTCCAGCCTGGGCGACAGAGCAAGACTCTGTCTCAAAAATTAAATTTAAAATAAAATAAAATAAATAAATAATAAAAAAATAAAATGAAACAGGCTCTGAGGCAGCCCTCCCAGCCCTTCTCCCACCCTCCTGCAGGCGCGGCTGGAACCTGAACCCTCGCACAGATCAGGGAAGGGCAGGGCCGCCAGGTGGAGCTGTGGCAAACGTGCCCTCCCAGCTTTCCACATGCTGGGGTTTCATAAACCAGGAGCGCCTCAGCGAAACTCCACGGGGAGGACACAGGGCTGCCAACTTCGACAGCCGAATAAGGGCAATTTAAAAAAACGTCCTGCCGGCCTGAGTGCAGCGGTGTTTACAACTAACTGCCAGTTACGGATCTCTTTGTTCCTTCTCCATGCCAACTGCTTCACTTGACTAGCCTTAGAACAAAAAAACCTCCTACCTCCCACGGTAGAGATTTGGGGCTTGGCTCCCCGAATCCCCCGGCACCTGCAGGAGGCAGGGGCTGTAACCACCCAGCTTCTCGGGGGAAGCCTCCAGCAGGAGCCACGAGAAACCTGCCCGAGGAGGCACAGCCTCCCACTGCCGGGCCAGGGCTCCAGGGCTCACACCCCAGGGCCCACACTTCTTTATTAAAACAGCTTCATTAAGATGTGATCCCCTCACCACAACATTCCCCCATGTAAAGTGTACGATGCAATGATATTTAGTGTATTCAGTTTTGCGACCCTCACCACAATCAACTTTACAACAACTCCAAAAAGCCCGCGCGCCCACGGCAGTCACCGCGCATTCCCCCGGCCGCGCCCACGGCAGTCACCGCGCATTCCGCCCTCCGCGCCCACGGCAGTCACCGCGCATTCCCCCCTCCGCGCCCACGGCAGTCACCGCGCATTCCCCCCTCCGCGCCCACGGCAGTCACCGCGCATTCCGCATTCCCCCCTCCGCGCCCACGGCAGTCACCGCGCATTCCGCCCTCCGCGCCCACGGCAGTCACCGCGCATTCCCCCTTCCGCGCCCACGGCAGTCACCGCGCATTCCCCCGCCGCGCCCTGCAGCCTCTGAACTCCTTTCCGTCCCTCTGGACTTGCTGCCGTGTGCTCTGCACAGGAGAGGGACAGCATCTGTTCCTGCGTGTCTGACTCTTCCACACAGCATGGTGCTGCGGCGTGCCAGCGTGTCGCTCCTCTCTCGGGCTGAACCCCACTCCACTGTACGGCGGCCACAGTGGTCCATGCACCCACCCATCGCTGGAGGACAACTGTGAGCTGCTTCCACAGCGGGCATTGTGTATACTCCAGCTTCAACGCCGCGTCCATCCATTTATTTCTGTGGACGTTCGCGTTCATCTCTCTGGGAAGGAGAAGCCTGCGCAGGCCCCAGCCCGCCCGCGAGTCTTCAATTCTGTGTCTTATCAGAGTTGCCTACTGAGGTGGAGGCGGGCACAACCCTCGACCAACCATTAGCAAAGCCCATGCTCCGGCCGTCTGGCCCCAGTTCCTGGTGTGACCTCACCCCCAGGTGGGTAGGACTCCTGGTGAGACACAGCGGCGCCACCCCACCTCGTTCCCCAACAACCTCAACACCGGAAGAGAAAACCCAGGCGAGGCCCCCTTGGGCTGAATGCACTCGGCTCTGAGGAAACCTCCGGCATCCAGCACCTCATTCCAGGCCGGGGTCTGCAGACCAGCACGTGGGAACGGCGGCATCCAGCACCTCATTCCAGGCGGAAGTCTGCAGACCAGCACGCGGAACAGTGGGGCTTCCACCTGAGCACCACACACCTCCTTGGCACAACCCCTCTGAACCGATTTTCCCGAGTCCCTCCAGTGACAAGAAGCTCACCACTATCCAGGTACAGAACGGAGCCAGCCCCACTGCAGGGTGCTGTCAACCTGCCCTCACGAAGGGCCTGAGAGTCTGAGGAGAACTCGGGACGTGCCTGTTTAAATAAATTCATGTGCACAGATATGCCATGTGGGTCACTGGGCAGCCCCTGGCCACCCCACCCCACGGTTCCAGGCACTGCTCTAAACGGCTGACGAACTGTGAGTAGATTGGGGTCCATGATAGCCCTCTGGGTAGGTCTGACTGCTGTCCCCATTATGCAGATGAGGAAACAGAGGCCCAAGGTCTCTCCGTGGGGAAGGGGAGAAGGGAAAGGCTGGAGGAGTACAGAAACAGTTCACACACAGACCATCAGGCCCCAAGTCTATGCCCAGTACCACCCACCACTACGCTCGCCTCAGAAACTGTGTTCAAATCCCACGTGGGAACATGAAGGCCGCGCTCTCCAGGGTCCTCATTTACTGAGCACCTGCGAGGACCAGCAGACATGGGGTCACCAGAAGACATAAGGGTCACTGGGAGAAACGAGGGTCACCGGGAGACACGGGGTCACCGGGAGACACGGGGTCACTGTGAGACAATGGGGTCACTGGGAGAAACGAGTCACCAGGAGACACGGGGTCACAGGGAGGGACAAGGGTCACCAGGAGAAAGAGGGTCACCAGGAGGGCCGAGGTCCTGCCCCCAAGGCTCACAGACAGCAGGAAGGAAGCACACGGGGAGGGGGGCCTAGGGGCAGAAAAGGGAGGGGGGTCTAGGGGGAGAAAGTGACGGGCAGCTCTGTTGGGGAGGCTGGGGTGGGCCCTCAGAAAGAAGGCACCACAGGAGCATTCCCTGGATGGGCAGCGTGGAGGGGAGGGGACAGGCAGCAGCTTGAAGGCCGGGCATGCTGGGGGCTGCGGGAGAGGCCGCTCGAAGGCCGGGCATGCTGGGGGCTGCGGAAGAGAGAGCTTGAAGGCCGGGCATGCTGGGGGCTGCGGGAGGGGCTGCAGGTGTGTGGGGCAGTACCTGCCGGGAGGACTGCGAGTCACCTGAAGCGCAGGGGACCCTTAGAGGTGGGCACTGTTCTGACGCTTGTCTTATGGATGTGGAACATGAGGCCGGCAGGGCGAGACCCTCGGGTCCCCTGCAACACGTGAAGGGCAGCACTGGCGGCAGCAGCCAGGAGCAGTGTCTGTGCCAGGCACAGAGCCACAGAGACTCCCAGGAGACTCTCTCAGCTCCAGAAGCGGGAGGCACTGAAGGCAGCCCTGCCAGGAGGCGCCGCTCCCCGCTCTCTCCACCCAGCCCCTGCCCAGTGCTCCCTCCACCTCGCCCCTGCCCAGCACTCCCTGGCTCCCTCCACCCCGCCCCTGCCCAGAACTCCCAGCTCCCACCACCCAGCCCCTGCCCAGAGCTCCCCGGCTCCCTCCACCCCGCCCCTGCCCAGCACTCCCTGGCTCCCTCCACCCAACCCCTGCCCAGAGCTCCCCAGCTCCCTCCACCCTGCCCCTGCCCAGAGCTCTCCTCCAGTCCTCCCAGCTGCCTCCTCTGGACTCCAGGTGAGGGCCACCTCCTCAGGGTCCCCACTTGCTCCACCTGCCTGCCTTTCTCTTCCTAACGCCTGCTACTCTGCCACTCTCCGTGTCTCTGCTTAGCTGGCCTGTCCTCCCGGCACCCTGTCATGTCAGGGCCCGCTCTGACACCCATGTGGTCCCTAGCACCCAGGGCAGCGCCAGGCACAGCTGGGTGAGCACACAAACAGGTAGGTCTGGACAAAGCACAGGCTTAAGACCAGACACAGCAAATCCCAACACTCAGCCCCTCGCCGGACCTGTCTCAGGAAGAGGTGAGACCCACGCGGAAGGACAGGCAGACCTCCCCTCGGACAGACCCCCGTGGGCTCTGGGTGCCTCGGATGGAAGAGTTCAGGCTAAACTGCCATGAACATGCTTGCAGCCCGACCAGGCTAGCTCTACCTCTCCAGAGGCTACCGACAGGAAAGCCCAAATCTCAGGAAATGCTTCTTGCAGAGACAGCCTCCATCACAGTGAGGTTCCGAATGGGGAAACCGGGAGGAACTCAAGAGACCCACGCCGGGGAGGTGGGTGGAGTCACCCCTCCTCCACGGGAGCAAGGGAGCCGGCCAAGGAATGACGGCTGGCACCCCTCCCACGCCCAACATCAAGAGTGAGAGTGATCTCAACGTTTTTCTTATGTTCATTTTCCTAATATTTTAATAACAGGTAATTACGTCTGTATTAAGGGAAAAAGCCTAAAGGGGTGTCTTGGACAGCGGCTGGGGCTACGTATCGGAACTGGTAGATGGCTGGGTGCTGGGGGCCAGCAGTGAAGGCGACGGCACAGAACAGGCCACCCCAGTGCAGCCCCAAAGGCACGGGGGCAGCAGCAGATGCGAGAAGGGTGCTCTAGCCTCCCCTTTCTTCCTGCAAGCAGATGAAACCCCACGTGAAACACGCCCTCCTCGTAGAGGAAGAGGACGTGCTCATCACCAGCACCGGGAGCTGAGGCTGAGAGACAGCTGCACACACCAACCCTTATCTCCCTCAGCCTCCCCAAGGATTTTAGTTACTTTTTCACAGTTGCTATTCTTGGGCATAGAAGCCCTCAGGTCTAACTGCTTCAGGAGGCCTTCACTTTCTGAAGTCTCCCATGTACCTGTAAAAATAACATTTGTGGCCGTGCGCAGCGGCTCACACCTGTAATCCCAGCACACTGGGAGGCCGAGGCGGGTGGATCACGAGATCGAGACCATCCTGGCTAACACAGTGAAACCCCATCTCTACTAAAAATACAAAAATTAGCCGGGAGTGGTGGCGGGCGCCTGTAGTCCCAGCTACTCGGGAGGCTGAGGCAGGAGAATGGCGTGAACCCGGGAGGCGGAGCTTGCAGTGAGCCGAGATCACGCCACTGCACTCCAGCCTGGGCGACAAAGTGAGACTCCGTCTCAAAAAAATAAAATAACATTCGTAAGCTTTTCTCCTGTTATTCTATGTCAACCTAATTCTCAGACTCTGCCAGAGACCCAAGGAGGGAAGCCACTGCACGCAGCCTAATGTTCAGGAATTACATAGTGGTGATGATTACACAACTTTGTGAATATATTAAAAACCAGTGAATTGTACATTTTAAAAAAGCAAATGTTGGCCGGGCACGGTGGCTCACGCCTGTAATCCCAACACTTTGGGAGGCCAAGGCAGGCGGATCACGAGGTCAGAAATTCAAGACCAGCCCGGCCAATATGGTGAAATCTTGTCTCTACTAATAATACAAAACTTAGCCAGGCATGGTGGCTCGTGCCTGTAGTCCCAGCTACTGGGGACGCTGAGGCAGGAGAATCGCTTGAACCCCGGAGGCAGAGGTTGCAGTGAGCTGAGATCACACGCCACTGCACTCCAGCCTGGGCAACAGAGCGAGACTCCGTCTCAAAAAAAAAAAAAGAAAGAAAAAGAAAAACGAAATGTTGTAATACATTAATTGCACCTCTATTAGAAAGTAAACAAACTTTTAAAAATTGTACAGGCTTTCTAATTACAACACCCTAGACATTAAAAATGCGTAAGACTCAGCACTGTAGGAAAGGTTAAAAAAAAAAAAAGCACAGGAAAAAAAGGGAAGAGAGCAGTTTGCAACTTGGGGCTGAGGAGGTGGTGGGGGCTGCTCCTCACCTCCTCTTCTTGGCTGAAACCTGTTTGCCAAGTGGTGATAATGTACTTCCAGTGAAACTCTATCACATAACTCAATAAAAGCAGGGACTTCCCAGCTCAGAGCCTTCCCCTGGCCTCCACCTCCGGCCAGCTTCCTGCAGGGTGAAGGCCTTGACCAGGCTATGGATGGGGGAGGCGGGAGAGTCCACCCTCCACACCCCTCCTCTCCACCGCACAGCAGCCTGCCCAGAGGCCAGCAGAGATCACCTCTCACTCAGCAGGGATCTGCCGCGAGCCAGGAGGCCTGCACTGCCCAGCTAGGCACAAGGCATGATTCCTGCTGTGGTTATAGCTGGGTAGGGGGGTAGTGAGGCAGCCTATAGAGGTGGAGGGGCTGACCCCGGGCGGGGAGCGCTGGGCCTCAAACTGCCCCCCAGATACTAATACCTTTTACATGTTTTCAATAGACAGCCATATACCTACATGAAAAGTAGCCTTGATTTCCCCTCTTGTTCCTAAAGCCTAAAATGTTTACTATGTGGCCCACTGCAGAGAGTCTGCTGACCCTGATGTAAATAAAGGAATGAGGGTGCCGGCGTTTGGGGTGCACACTTTCCAGGCCACAGCCAGGCCAAGGAGGCACAGCAGAGGGGCTGAGCACCTGGAATGGCGCCAGGAGGGAGGGGCAGGCAGGGACCTGGGGCAAGGCCTGGGCAGCTGGGAGGGAGGCCCAGCCTGGGGCTCCGTGCTCAGCAGCTGCTGCCCTGGAATTCCTGGTCACTTCACCTTTGACCCATATTTTGTAAGTGGGGTCCAAGGGCACAAGGGCTTGGTGCTGGGGGCTCCTAGCCTGGGCTTGGGGGTCTCTGCACCCACCCGTGGGTGAAATGCCAAACACAAAACACCCTGGCCGACCCAGAGACCTCCAGGAAAGGAAGATGCTTTTTTCCTGCCTTTTAGCATAAGGGTCCACAAATTCCATAGCCAGAGGGGCCGGGGGCAGCAGAGGAGGGGTAAGGGGTGAGGGGCCAGAGCTCAGGGTCTGGTCGCTCTTCTAAGAGGGAGGCGGGAAGGAACTCCGCACCGTGGCGACCTGGGACAGGGCCCACACTGCTCTGCATCCCAACTTCCTCTCCGAGAAGAGGGAGGGGCCGACACCTACCAGGGAGATGTGAAACAACCAGCCTGGGTGACAGCACTGTGCCCCTGTGAGCAACGGGCAGCCGCGGTACCAGTCCTTGGCGTCATCACCGGCTCTGCCACCCGCGGAAATGGCTGAGCCTCAGCTGCCTCCTCTGCAAAGCAGGGACGGGAAGGGCAGGTGCCTTGCTGAGCTGTGTGGGGACTGAGTGGAGGCTTCTGAGGACTCACCAGGGTTAAGACGGGTGTTCATTCAATGCTCCCCAGTTCTCTTCTTCTCCCGTCCCTCCAGGCATGCTCTCAGCCCCTGCTGAAGCCTGTGTCCTAATCCATCAGGCCCTACCCCCAGGACCTCATGGCGGGGGCATGGGACCCTCACCCGCAGAGGTGAACGATGGGAGAGGCGGGGGCACCAGGAGCTGCGGGGGCCTGAGGCAGCTCCTGACCCAGCTCTCAGGGTCCAGGCCAGCTCCCTAGGAGAAGGCCCCCCACTTGCTCTCAAGAAAACCCTGGGCTATTCAAGGAATCTACCAGAAAGCTGGGAATTGCACATCTTCTGAAACGAGGGTCCCGGCCTCCCTTACCAGCCTCCGTTTCTCAGTCGGGGTCTCAGGCTCTCCCAGCCTCTGCAGGTGCTTACTCACCTGGCTCTGACCTCCGCTGCAGAGAGGAAGCACCTGGAGCACGGGCAGGGGTGCGTTCCCCTCGCCCCAGCCCTTGAGAGATCCAATTAGCACAAATGATTGTTATTATTGTTGTTATTAAGTCCCGCCCACCCCTCTGGAGGCCTGCCTGCCAATTATCCCCTTTCTTCTGCTGCCAATCTCACCTCCTCCTCCCCCCGCACTCTCGGAAGCAACTCCTCCTGGCCCTCCGTGGCCCTCCCTGCCCAGAAACTTCTCTGGCACCCACCTGCTTTCTTCCTCCCCCCAGTCTCTTATTCCTTCCCCTCTACTTGCAGCCTGGAGCAGCCACCTCCCTTCCTTCCCCCCAAGTCATCCTCCAACCACTGGGCTAACACCCTCTCTGACTTTTCACCAAATCCTGTGGCTCCTTCTCAGCCTGACTCCACAACCTCTTTGGAGCCACCATGCACCCCATGTGGCCCTGCCTTTGTGGGGCGGGGGAGGAGCTCTGGGGTGCCCAGACCAGCCGTTCCCCCCACCCCACCCCCTCCAGCACGGAGGGCTCTGGCCCTTTCCTCCCTCCCACCCTCACTCTCTTCTCCCCATTCCCCTTCCCTTGGGGCTTTCGCTCCCTCCCACCACGATCCTGGCTCCCACCCTGCCTCTTGGAAGTGCCCTCCTCACACCACACACCAACTCATCTTCCTGAAGTCACTCAGTTCAAACAACCCAATTAGAACCCGGGCAAAGGATCCGAGAAAGCATTCCTCCAAAGAAAGACAAATATCTGATAGGCACATGCAAGGATGTCCTCATGAGCCGTCTGGGAGAGGCAGACCAAACCCACAGGGAGGCAGCACCTCACACCCACTGCCAGCCTCAGAAAACAAGTGCTGGTGAGGACCAGGAGAAGTGGGGAGACCCCCATTGCTGGTGCGGGCGCCATAGGAAACACCTGGCAGTTAGTTCCTCAAAAGGTTAAGCCCAGAACTCCCATAAGAACCCGCAATTCCACTCCTTAGTATAGACCCGAGAGAAAACATGCGTCCGTCCACGCAAAAATCTGCACACGAATGTTCACAGAAGCATCAGGCATAACAGCCGAAATGTAGAGACAACCCAAATGTCCATATGGATGAACTAACTGTGGTCCATCCATGACCGTAATGGAACACGACCATAACCAGGTGTGAAGTTCAGCTGTGACAGGGATGACCCTCGAACACGGCACGCTTGGTAAAACAAGCCCGATGCAGAACAGCACGATTCTATTTATGCGCCTGCCCACAAGAGGCACACCCCGGGAAAGAAAGCAGATCAGCACTTCCCAGGAACCGGGACGCAGGGAGGCAGGGAGGCAGGGAGGGAGGGACTGCTGAAGATGCACGGCGTTTCTTTTGGGATGAAGAACAGGTTCTAAAATCGACTGTGGTGATGGCTGCGTAAATCAGTGAATACACTAAAAACCTTACTGAACTGTATATTATTTATTTATTTATTGAAACAGAGTCTCGCTTTCTCGCCCAGGCTGGAGGGCAATCGCACCATCTCGGCTCACTGCAACCTTCGCCTCCCGGGTTCAAGGGATTCTCCTGCCTCTGCCTCCCGAGTAGCTGGGACTACAAGCGCTGAACTGTGTACTTTAAAAGGGCAAATTGTACACTATGGGAATCATATCATAATAAAACTGTTCTCAACAAAAAGCAACTCAGTTCATCACCTCCTTGCCCAAACTGCTGCCACTGCACGTGCCGGCTGCCCCTCAATCCAAAATCCAAGTTCCTCCCCAGGCACCACAGGGTTCCATCTGGCTCCGGCACCTCTGCAAACCCCCTCCCTTCCAGCTGGCCCGGATCTCGCTGTGCAGTGCACTGCTCCTGATGCACCGACAGGCTCAGTCCTGGCCAGGCCCGGTCTTTCACCCTTAAGGACCGGCCCCACTCCTCCACTTGCCCCGGCCAGGCCTGGTCTTTCTCTCTGAGGGGCCGGGCTCAGTCCTCCACTTGCCCCGGCCAGGCCTGGTCTCTCTCTCTGAGGGGCCGGGCTCAGTCCTCCACCTGCCCTGGCCAGGCCTGGTCTCTCTGAGGGGCCGGGCTCAGTCCTCCACTTGCCCCGGCCAGGCCTGGTCTTTCTCTCTGAGGGGCCGGGCTCATTCCTCCACCTGCCCCGGCCAGGCCTGGTCTCTCTCTCTGAGGGGCCGGGCTCAGTCCTCCACCTGCCTGGCTCAGTCTCACCTTTCAAGGGTCTACTCAAATGTCAGCTTCTCCCTGAGGCCCACACCCCACCTTTCCCATGGCAGGGCTGACTTCCTGGCTGGTCAGCACCTTCTGTCACCATGTCACGAGCGTGGTGATATCACTTCTATTGGTATTTCCTTCCTGGGACTCTGCATCTGCTCCTGGGCACAATGCTCCCTGAGGGCAGGTGCCAGGGGTGTCCAGCACCTGCTGCCCTGGTACCCATGGCTGCTTCCGGAACCAACACTGCTGCCCGGCCCCGCCGCAGAGCCCTCTCCTGCTCACCTTCCCGCTCTGCTCCCAGCTCAAGAAGCCCACAGCGCCACCCCTCCACTCCCCCACCAGCTCTTTCACTGCCCTTTTCTGTGGCCACTTCGCTCCCTCACTCCTGGCCTGAAAACCTCATTCTTGTTCCCTCCTGCACCTCCGCCTGGATCTGCAGGCTAGGTGGGGTGACATCTACCTGGCATCTTGCATGGGGCCCTCATTTCCTCAGCCCCGGGACATCTCTGTGACACCACGGAGATCCCAGGCCTGCCCTCCCTGAGGGTGGTGGGGAAAGCTCTACACACCCTTTCCTGTTCATTCTACAGTGACTGGTCTGCGTAGACCTTCCCTCTCGTCTGAGCCGGTTTTGGCAGATCACATTCTCCTAGAGCACAGCCTGCACGTCCCTCTGGCGGGGTTCAGGACGCAGAGGGAAGCCGTTGTCCCGTGCTCTGGCCCCTCTCCCTCTCTAGAGGCCGGCCGCGGCACGTTGATTTCGCTGCTTTTTTTTTTTTTTTTTTTTTTGAGACGGAGTCTTGCTCTGTCGCCCAGGCTGGAGTGCAGTGGCGCGATCTCGGCTCACTGCAAGCTCCGCCTCCCGGGTTCACGCCATTCTCCTGCCTCAGCCTCCCGAGTAGCTGGGACTACAGGCGCCCACCACCACGCCCGGCTAACTTTTTGTATTTTCAGTAGAGACGGGGATTCACCATGTTAGCCAGGATGGTCGCTGCTCTATTCTTTTCCAGCCACTTCACACCTGGACTCGCGCAGCAGCCTCCCAAAGGTTTCCCGCATGCCTCCCACCCGCACCACCCACACCCTCCCCGTCAGAGCCGTCTTCCTCGGGGGCATCAGCACAGCGACGGCAGAGACAGCTCACGGCCCCAGCCACCACACTCAACTACTTTCCGAGAGGGCGAGAGAGAGGGACTTCATCTACTGTCAGGGTGCAGTGTGTTGTGGAGACAGCGGGGCACAGCCCGCAGGACTTGGTGCCTGCAGATCTTCAGATCCTTATGCGAAGGCTTCCGGGTCTTAGGGCAGCCGAGTAACTGAGAATTGTTTAAAAGACAAAACAGTCTTGAGGCCAAAAGCCCCACACACCTACAAAGTACACTATGGACTCTGGGTGATCATCAGGTGTCCGTGTAGGTTCATACATTGTCACAAAACGCGCTGCCCTGGAGTGGGAGTTGACAGTGCGGGGGCTGTGTCGGGGGAGGGTGCAGGCGGATATGGGAAATCTGTGCATCTTCCTCTCAATTTTGTTGCGAACCTAAAACTGCTCTAAAAAAAAATAAAGCCCCTGGCTGGGCGCGGTGGCTCACACCTGTAATCCCAGCACTCTGGGAGGCCGAGGTGGGCGGATCACAGGGTCAGGAGATCGAGACCATCCTGGCTAACACGGTGAAACCCCATCTCTACTAAAAAATACAAAAAATTAGCCAGGCATGGTGGCGGGCGCCTGTAGTCCCAGCTACCGGGGAGGCTGAGGCAGGAGAATGGCATAAACCCAGGAGGCGGAGCTTGCAGTGAGCCAAGATCACGCCACTGCACTCCAGCCTGGGCGACGGAGTGAGATTCTGTCTCAAAATAAATAAATAAATAAATAAAGCCCCTGGTCACCACTCAGGTGGCTGAGGAGGCAGGATCAATTAAGCCCAGGAGTTTGAGACCAGCCTGGGCAACACAGCAAAATCCTATCTCTTAAAATATATACATATATGAAATAAAACACTAAAAATAAAGCCTTTATATTAAAAAAAAAGACACACACACACACAAAACCACACCTGCGGACCACCTTACATTCTGTGACCCCTCTGCTGGGCCAACAGGGCAGGCTGGCCATTTTCCAGATGGTGTGGATTCTCCCCCGGGGCCTTTGCACAGTCCCTTCCTCCCACCTCACCTGCCCTCTCAGTATACATCTGCTTAGCCCATCTGCCACGGCTCAGCATCAACAGCACCTCCCCCAGGAAGCTTTCCCAGACTGCTCCCTTCCCTCAGCTCTATCCTCTCTTATCCAGCGACAAAAGATCACACTCATCAAGCACGGATTAAATCCCAGGTCCTGGGTGCAGGGTGCCCTAAGCACATAAGCTCTGATCCTGGGCCCCACAATCAGTGGGAGACAGTGCGAGGCCATGAGGCCAGCACAGGGACAAGAGGACAGCCGTTCTGGGCAGGGCAGGGTGGGATCTGGCCCCCCAGGAACCAGCCACATGACCTGGGCAAGGTGCTTGGGCTACCCGTCCCTCCTGATTAAATGAGATGTGTGTCAAGTGCTCACCCAAAAGCCGTGGAGATGCCCAGTAAACACAGCCTATCACTGTGGTCCTTGTTGTATAGACAAGGAAACTGAGGCTTCCACAAGCAGAGTGGCTAGTACAGTATCACAGAGCCACAGCGAGGCTTTCAAAAGCGGAGTGGCTAGTACAATCTCACAGAGCCACAGCGAGGCTTCCACAAGCAGAGTGGCTAGTACAACCTCACAGAGCCACAGCGAGGCTTCCACAAGCGGAGTGGCTAGTACAACCTCACAGAGCCACAGCGAGGCTTCCACAAGCGGAGTGGCTAGTACAATCTCACACAGCCACAGCGAGGCTTCCACAAGCGGAGTGGCTAGTACAATCTCACACAGCCACAGCGAGGCTTCCACTAGCGGAGTGGCTGGAGCAATGTCACAGAGCCACAACGTAGGAGGCTGGAGCCACACCTGAGTCGGCCAGCTGCCAAAGACAGCTTGCTTCCTTCTAACTCTTGGACAACGGCATTTGTCCCCTTTAACGTCCACCATTGAGGATGGTCCTGTGTCCCGCAGGGGGATCTGTGTCTTACTCCGTGTCTTATTCACCTCTGCGACACCTACTATAGGTCCCCATCAGTCCCACAGTGCATCCAGCAGACTGTGCACTTGAGGGCGGGGCTATTTCCAGCAAAGACCCTGCACACAGCAGCCTCAGGAATCCATGGCTCTGACTGGCTGGACCCTGGGCTGAGGCAAGGACCACTTCTGATGCATCTCTGGGTCCCAACACTATCCACTGCAAGGCCTCGAAACAGGGGGGCCAGATGGGACCCCCATTTAGCACAAGAGAGACGTCCACACTCTGTGAGCCCAAAGGGAGAAGGCTCAGGCCACGGCAGAGACGGAACCAGGAAAACGTCACGAAAAACAGCCTCAAGTTGCCAGGTCCCTTGCAGGAACAGACAGGCCTGGGGCCGCCCCACCTGGGCTCAGAGCTTGGGCTGGTTTCTCTGCAGCTGTAAGGTGACAGCTCTGGGCTCCTGGGACAGGGCCACTGACACTGGAGGTGTGACTGCTCGAACTCCACACCTGCCTTGCTCTCCCTGATGCTGGGTGAGTGAGGCCTCCTTGGGGGTTGCATGGATCTCAGCACTCAACTTCCGAGCCACTTGTGCTTCTCCCACTATGCTGGGGTTCCCCTGAACCAGCCAGCAGCCCTGCGTGTAGGAGTCCTCGTGGACAGTACACCCCACTAGGCAGGGAGTCCAGCGTCTCCAAGCCAATGACTAACACCTAGAGGACTTCGGAACAGCCTTTGTCCCCCTAGACCCCAACCTGGGGGCGGAAGGGGGCGGTTGTGATGGTCAAGGGTCTGGGCTCTGGAATCGCAGTAGACACAGGTTCTGAAGCTGCTGGGGGCCTTGGGCTAACAAGTGCCATCCAGAGCCTCCATCCCATACCCCTAAAATGGAGGTGACCACCTCCATCCCAGAGCCTTGAGAATTTAGGACAGTGAGGACCAGGCACTGGGCCAGGTTCCTGCAAAGTGTGCACCAGCAAGTGTTGTCGAATCTGCAGTTTCTCACACCACAGAGGCCCCAGCACCTGGCACAGTCCTCACTAGGCTGGAGGCCTCAGGATGCACCAGAGGACACACGAACGAGGTTTGGAAAGGCCTGTGAAACATGTCTGAGGATGGGTGTCCTGAGAGCTGTGTATGCCTAGTAACAAAAGACCTCCCAGGGCAGCCAGGCAGTTGCTGGTGGCCTTGAGCTGTGACCCCTGCCATTCCCTGCCCAGAGCCCACTGTCATCCTCCCTTAAGTACCAGGTTCCTGGTAGCCAATCCTTCCTCTCTATCTTTCAAGACACAATACCTCCCCTGCACCACACACCCCTCCCTCAAGGTCAGAGCTCCCGGGAGCACTCTGGCAAATCTCCCCACCCCTCTGCCCAGTGTGAATGGGTCTCAGCTGCTCTGGGACAGGGACTGTATGATTCCTGCCAGGCTGCCCAGCACGGAGCACCACTCTACCTTGTGCTTGCACAGAAGGGCCTTGAGATCCCTCTCTTCACCCAGGCTGGGCCAGGCACCTCATCTGGGCCCTCACAGGACAGTGCTGTGCCAAGACCATGTGTGACCTCATGCCCAGCACAGGGCCTGGCCTGTGCAGCCGCCTGGATGGATTACATTTACTCAGGGAATTGTGAACTTGCTCTCGTTTTTAGACAACTGAAGGGAAATTGAACCTGGGAAAAGGGAAGTGACATGTCCAAGGTCACAGAAGTGGAAGAGACAGTGCCAAGGCCAAGGCCCAGGAAAGGGCCTGGCTCCAGAGCCCTTTCCATTTACTTTACACCCATCTGTTGAGGTCTGCTCTGGCTCTAAAATGAAAGCATTAAGAGCCTTCCCGCTGAGGTCAATACTATTATTACCACTCCCACTCTGTCCTGGTGGAAAGTAAGGCACTGAAGTTACTCGTCTAAGGCCACGAAGGTGAGTGGTGGGGCTGGGACTTGAACCCAGGCCTGCCCAGTCCCAGAGCTCTTGGGGAATACAACCCAGTGCCTGCACACACTCTGGCAGTGCACCAGGGAGGGGCCAGGCCGGGTGCCCGGATGGATGGATAAGACATGAGATAAGCAAGCAGGAATCTGATCTGGATGTTCTCTGAGGCCGTGCGTGGCCGGAGGACCACAGGGACTGCGCAGAGGCAGGCAGGTGAATGTCAGCAGCGTTTAGCCAAAGAGGCTTACGGTCTTCAGAGGAGCTAAGCCAGGATCAACGCAACTGTGCTTCCCGGCGCTGGGGTCAATCGGATCCCCAGATGGGTTCTAAGCACTGCGCAACATGGGACCTGGGAGCAGGACACCGCAAAGAGCAGACCAAGCCATTCCTTCCCTAAAGCCCTGACCATCCCCCGGACTGGGCTGGGTCAAAATGCCTTCCCTGGCTCCCACAGCCCCCAGACCTCTCCATCAGGGGTCTGGTCACCTTGGATGGCGACTCTGTCGCCCGGGTCTCAGTCTCTGCCTTCCACCCAGACTCCAAGCCCTTGTTCATCTCCCTGCTCCCTGTCTCTAGTGCCCGGCACAGGGCCTGGCACTGGAAAAACTTCTGCCTCCACTCACTCCTGCCTTCTGTGTCTGTGGGTCACTTTTCTGTGCGACTCTGCAGGTCCCAGAGCACTCATCCACATGAATTGGGGTCAGCTCCCTGGACTGGGGGTCGGGGTGGGGTGTCAGGAGGGCGGGGCTCCACTCTGATCCACTCGGCACAGGGGAGGGAGGCCTCAGGAGTCGCCACCCGATCCAGTCCCCGCCTTCGCCCTGCCCCGTGGGCCACGCGGTGGCTGACCTTGGCCCAGTCACTTCCCCCGCTGGGGACGCGCTTCCTCCCCGCCTGCCGAGCAAGGACGAATGAATGGGCCTCCTGCCGGCCAGAATCCCCGTAATTACCCGCCTGATCAAAGGCCACGCGCAGCCCGCCCGGGGCAGCAACGGGACCCGGGCTGACTCGAAAAGGGGAAGGAAGGGCTGGGGGGGCCGAGGGCTGAGACCGTGCCCTCGGGGCCGCGGTATCCGGCCAGGCCAGCCCAACCGCGCGGCCCCTTCCCCCACCTGGGCCTCAACTTCCCCCCGAAGTCGCCACCACTTCCGGCCACGACCGGCGGAGTTGGAACTTCGGGGGGACGGACAGCGGCCCCACCCCCGACGGCCCGCAGCAGAGGGACCCCCACCGAGGCCCCCGCTCCTGCCCCCGCCACGCGCACGCGCGCGCCCTGGACCCGGACCCGCGCACGCGCACCCCCCCTCCAGCCCCGCTCGCCGCCCGCGGGCCGCCCGGGCGCGCGTCCCCTCCCACAGCTCTTCGGCGCGCACGCGCACTCCCCCCGCCCGCGTCACCCCGGCCGCGCGCCCACTCACGCCCCCCCAGCAGCGCGCACGCGCGCCCGCCGCCCAGTCGCGCTCGCCCTCCAGTCTCCCCACCCACCCCCAGCCCAAGCCCAGCTTCCCGAAGCGCGCGCCCACCTGGCCCCCAGCGCACGGCCCCCGCCCCCACCCCTCACCTCCTTGGTCCCGGGGCCGCCGCGCCGCACTCCTCCTCCTCTCTCCTGCCTCGCGGATGGTGGCAGCGGCGGCAGCGGCGACTCAGACCCTGGGGTCAGGGGGACGGGCGCCCAGGCCGGAAGTGACCTTCCCGGCCGCTTCCGCCCGCGCCGCTCCCCCCCTTCTCCCTACTCCCTGCCCCCCGGGCCGCCACCCTGTCCTCGCCGCTCTAGGAAGGCGAGCCCGCTATCCCGGCCACCGCCCCCAGCTCTGTGGTGCCCGGCGGGCGCCTGAGGGAGCCACTTCCGGAAGTGTCTAGGACGCAGGTCCTCCGTCCATGCTCTATGGCGCCCCGCGCCGAGGGGCTTCGGCCCCGCCCCCTTCCCGGACAGGAGGTGCGGGCTGGGCCCGTTAGGCGGAGACTTCCGGGTGTCTAGGGCGGTGCCCCCCCGACAACCCGGGCTCCTCGCGCCTGCGCGGCCGGGTCCCCGGGCCCGCCGTGAGGAGAGTGAAGTGGTGGAGAGGGACGCTCGTGCCACCCCGGGTCCTCCTACCGTCTCTATCATGGTAACCCCTTCTCTGCCGCTGCACCTCCCAGTGGCCCGAGTCCAGGTGCCTTAGTTACTGGACAGAGACCCCGGGTTCCTTAGTTACTGGACAGAGAGTGCTGCGCTTCAGGTGCCATGGCCTCAGTTTCCTCCTTTCTGAAGTGATGAAAATACATTGTGCGCCTCCAAGTGCTTCACACGCACTAGGTCCTAGTCCTAACTAGGGCCTCATGGTAGGTCCTATCCCTATGTTGCAGGTGAGGAGTCAAATCACCTACCAAAAGTCACACACCCGGAATGCCAGAGCCTCGGCCCGAACCCATGGAGTTTGGCTCTAAATTCGTGTATTTAACCCTTGACTGTACACACTGCCTCGTGTCATAGCCCTGAGAATCCACTACTTCCCCCGCGTTAGGTAGGCACCTAGTAAGGACGCACTGGGTGTTAGCTGTTACTGTTGGTATTCTTGCAAAAAACACATATTTTAAAATAATTGTCCAAACCATAGTGTCCTTGTAGGCTGGTCCTTCTGGTCCTTCCTCTGTTCTGTACTTGGCTGACTCTCACCTAAGTGGCAGATGACTTATCGCTTATAATTGTTATCATCCTCACTGGTAGTCAGAAAAGATAAGAAGCTATAATTCACTGGTGGAATAACACCTTTCTCAGCCTCAATTTCTCATCTGTGGAATGGGAAAAAATAAGATAACCTGCAAGGTAATATGTGTAAGAGCTGCTTAGTTCAATACCTGGCCCATAGTAAGTTCACAAAAATGATGGTGGTTATTATTACCTATTAGCAGTGTTACATATAAGTCTATTGTTGTGGCCACTGTATACCCTCAAAGCTCAGTGAGCATCAATCATAAGATGTATATTATTGATTTAATAACATCTTTCCATGGGGTGGGGTGAACAGTGCTGTGTTAACTGTGTGTGTCAATAGGAGGATATCTGTGTCCCTCCTTCAGAAATATCACAAAGGTAAATTTTTAAATATATCTTAGAACAGAAGGAAGTGTGGCCGGGTGCAGTGGCTGACACCTGTAAATCTCAACACTTTGGGAGGCAGAGGCAGACGTCAGGAGGTCAGGAATTCGAGACTACCCTGGCCAACATAGTGAAACCCCATATCTATTAAAAATACAAAAATTAGCTGGGCGTGGTGGCGGACACCTGTAATCCCAGCTACTCGGGAGGCTGAGGCAGGAGAATGGCTTGAACCTGGGAGGCAGAGGTTGCAGTGAGCTGAGATCGCACCACTGCACTCTTGCCTGGGCGATGGAATGGGACTCCGTCTCAAAAAAAAAAAAAAAAAAAAGAGAGTGAAGTGCTATCATAACAGCAATAGAAACAAATTATTAGGGTACAAACTCTACACGAGGAAACCTGTTTATAAGAAAAGTCATGTGCTTGTGCTCCTCTGAATCAGATCATTCAGTGGGTGTCCTGCAGTGACCTGGTTGTTGGGAGGGACAGCCTCCTCCCTCTCCAGCCCATTCCCCTTCTTCGCTGGTCAAATTGACAACGGCAAGATCGAGAACAGCTCATTGGCACACCAGATGGAAGCCAACACTGAGGATGGAGGAGAAACAAGACACAGGGAGCCAGCTAGACACTGGATGGCTTCGTGAAAGAGGCTCCGTGCCAGCTGAGATTTTATGTGAGAGAAATCACTTTCTAACTCACTGAAACCATTGGTAATTCTGAGTCTCTCCCTTAAGGCAACCCAACCAATACCAGGATGTTTCCCAAACATGGGATGGGTTGCAGCCGACATGGCTTAATTGACAATTAACATCTGTTCTTCCCTTCCGCAGTACAAAATCACTCTTGGGATGCTGCTTCCCATCGATGGATTCTGTTTTCCACTCCTCTTGGCATCTAAGTGTGGCCTTGTGATTGGTTCTCACCAATGGGATGGGATGGAAGCGATACAGGCCTCTTCCGAGCCAATGCTCTTAAGAAACATGTATGTTGGCCAGGCACGGTGGCTCACGCCTATAATCACAGCACTTTGGGAGGCCGAGACGGGAGGATCAGCTGAGTCCAGGAGTTCGAGACCAGCCTGGCCAACATGGCGAAACTCCATCTCTACTAAAAGTACAAAAATTAGCCAGGCGTGGTGGGCGCTTATAATCCCAGCTACTCCGGAGGCTGAGGCAGGAGAATTGCTTGAACCTAGGAGGCAAAGGTTGCAGTGAGCCGAGATCCCACCACTGCACTTCAGTATGGGCAAAAGAGTGAGACTCCATCTCAAAAAAAAAAAAGAAACATCTGCCTGCTTCCTGCTCTTTCAAGGCCCTAAAGAAAGAGGGGAGCCCCAAGAAACCTGGGTCCCTGAATGACCACCTTGTGGAAATACATCCTGTCACCTAACATCTATCCTAGATTGCTACATGATCAAGAAATACACATCTAACTTGTACACCCAATGCTCATAGCAGCATTATTCACAATAGCCAAGAGGTGGAAGCAACCCAGTGTCCATTGACAGATGAGCGAATAAACAAAATGTGGCACATAAATGCAATGGAATAGACCAGACGCGGTGGCTCACATCTGTAATCCCAGCACTTTGGGAGGCCAAGGCGGGCGAATCACCTGAGGTCAAGAGTTTGAAACCAGCCTGGCCAACATAGTGAAACCCTGTCTCTACTAAAAATACAAAAAATTAGCCAGGCGTGGTGGCGGGCGCCTGTAGTCCCAGCTACTTGGGAGGCTGAGGCAGGAGAATCACTTGAACCCAGAGGCGCAGGCTGCATTGAGCCAAGATCATGCCACTGCACTGCAGCCTGGTAAACAGAGCCAGACTCCGTCTCAAAAAATAAAAATAAATAAATAAATACAATGGAATATTTTTTAGCCTTAAAAAGAGAGAAAATTCTGACACAGGCTACAACATGGATGAACCTTGAGGACATTATGCTAAGAGAAGCAAGCCAGTCACACAAGAACACATACTTTATGATTCCACTTATATGAGGGACCTAGAGAAGTCAAATTCATAGAGACAGGAAGTAGAATGGGGGGTGCCAGGGGCTGGGGGGAGGGGAATGGGGTGTTAGTGTTTATTGGAGACAGAGTTTCGGTTTTGCAAGATGAAAAGAGTTCTGGAAATGGATGGGGGTGATGGGTGCACAAGACGTCAATAGGTTTAACACTACTGAACTGCACAGTTACAAATAGTTAAGACGTAGCCAGGCGAGGTAGCTCATGCCTGTAATCCCTGCACTTTGGGAGGCCAAGGCCTCCTGGCTGAGGTCAGTAGGTCAAGACCAGTCTGGCCAACATGGTGAAACCCTGTTTCTACTAAAAATACAAAAATTAGCCGGGCGTGGTGGTGCATGCCTGTAATCCCAGCTACTCGGGAGGCTGAGGCAGGAGAATCGCTTGAACTCGGAACGCAGAGTTTGCAGTGAGCCGAGATCAGGCCACTGCACTCCAGCCTGGGCAACAAGAGTGAAACTCCGTCCCTCCCAGACACACACAAAAATAGTTAAGACGTTAAATTTTATGTTATATATAGCTACAATTTGAAATGTGTTTAGAGGAAAAAGTACCCTTCTAACGTGATGTGCCATTACAATGTGTGCGTTTCTTTATTACAGCAGCTTCACCCTTCCCTAATACAGAGTTTTCAGATGCCAGGCAGTAAAAATGGTAAAGCTCCCTTTCAGGGGTGCATCAGCATCTAGATGGAATTTACAGCCTCGAGTCTGAATAAAATTGGGGTTAGGGGGCAATGGTGAGTACGGAGAGAATTGCAAATGGCTATAACAGCATCATTTCACCCAAGTTGGCCCATCAGTGGCTTTCTCTGGATCCTTCTCTTTGGAGAGTCCCTCTCTGGCATAGATGCCGGGATGTGAGAGGCTGGAAAGCTCAAGGCAGTCTTGCTTCCCACCGTGTGGAGGAAGCCAGTCTGCAGGAGGAGAAAATGAAGCCTCACAGAGAGGTGAGAGTTGGAGGGAGACAATGTCCCAGCTGAGTTGAGTGCCTAGGCCATAGGTTCAGGTGCTTCTACTCTGCCTAACCTTCCTGAGGGCTGGACGTTCCACTCTTCCTTCCCTTGAGTGAATGAGTCTAGACTTCTTCCAGGAAAGCCCTGTTTTGGGTTCCTGCCACTTGTAACCAAAAGAGCCCCAAGTCTCCCCCCAGCACTCTGGGCATCGCAAGCCTCCATCTACGTGGAATGAGTGGTGGACGACCGGAATAGCCACACATCTCTGTAGTGATATGGAAGGTCAGAGGTCCCCAGTGCAGAGGCACGGGCGGCAGCTCCTGCTGGGGAGCCCTTTATAACCTCCTCACGGTTTTCTCCTGAGGGTGTGGCCCTAGGCCGAGTGACAGGAACAGCTGCAGCTGGCAGATTGGAGAGGGAGAGTTTGCAGCTGTTGAAGTACAATTGCTTCGAAGTCCTTGATACACAGAGAAACGCACACAATCACACTTTTCAAATGATCCTCCTTACAGTGATAATTAACAAACACTTCTTGAGTTTTCATCATGTACCGGACACACTCCTGGGTGCTTTGCTTAGGTGAACATGCTCAATCTTCATCTCTACTCCCAGACACAGTTAGGCCCCGGCAGGCAGCATTGACAGCACCCACAGACCCATGAGAAATGTAGAATCCCAGGCCCTACTCCAAACCTACAGAGTCAGAATCTGCATTTTAACCCAATCCTCAAGGGATTCTTAGCCATGGGAAAGTCTGAGAAGTATTGATGCCAGGCAGACTCCAGGATGCCCAGTTAAATGTGAACTCCAAATCAAAGATGAGTAATTTTTTAGTGTAAAAATTTCCCAATACCGTCTGGGCACGGTGGCTTATTCCCGTAATCCCAGCACTTTGGGAGTCCGAGGTGGGCAGATCACCTGAGGTCAGGAGTTCGAGACTAGCCTGGCCAACACAGTGAAACCCTGTCTCTCCTAAAAATACAAAAATTAGCTACGTGTGATGGCCCAGGCCTGTAATCCCAGCTACTCGGGAGGCTGAGGCAGGAGAATTGCTTGAACCCAGGAGGAGGAGGTTGCAATGAGCCGAGATCTGCACTCCAGCCTGGGATACAGAGCAAGTCTCTGTCTCAAAAAAATAATTAAAAAAAAAAAAGTCCCAGTACTTATCCAATCTATATATATAGGATGTATATATACATCCGTTGTTTATTTGAAATAAATGCAACTGAACATTGCATTTTAAATGCATCCTGCATTTTAATTTGCTAAATATGGCAAACCTATGTGGAGAACCCTGTGGCCGCCTCCTATAACGTTCTTCACCCATCTTCCTAGATTTGCACATCTCCTCCGTGTGCCAGCTGCTGCAGCTGGGGCGCAGAGGGAGGGGCTTTGAGGAAGCAGAGCGACCCTGCCTCAGACCAACCATTCCGGCCTGTGCCCCATGCACACCGATGGGACAGAGACGGGCTGAGTGGGGCTCTGGGGAATTCTGGATGGCAGGATGTGGGACGTGATGATTGCAGCGGTGGCACGTTTCAGGTTGCATGAGACAAATGCAGCTCAAACGGATTGGAGGTTAAAAAAAGAGAAAGAAAACTTTATTGGCTTGGGTAACTGAAAAGAAACAGCAGCAATAAACACCAGAAGCTGAAGCTGGACACCTTGGGGCGTGGTTGGTTGGATCCGGGAGCACAGGGGCCCCAGGCCTGGCCCGCTGTCTGGGCTTCGCGGACCTCTTTGGTTTCCATCCCTCCACTGTGGGGAATAAAGGCCACTGCAAGGCCAAGGCCACCCTCACTTCCTCACCCTGCTATTATTTCCCTGAATCTGATTGGCTCACCTGAACCAATCACAGGGGCCGGGCAGGGGTGGGAGTTCTGATTGGCCAGTCCAGAGTCACATGTCCACTCCTGGAGCAGGGCGGAACCAGCTCTCATAAAGCACGTGGAAGGAGAGGACGGAAGGGGTGCTCTATTCTCCCTTCAGGACAGACTGGGTACAGTGACTGCAGACAAGGGTGGGTGCCCAGAGCCAAAATAAGAGGTCTGGAGGAAGGGTCCAGGTAGCCACAGGCATTCCCTCATGCTGTGTTCACCACTGTCCAGAGAATAAGATAACCCAAATTTCTCCAGCTTCAATTACCATATCGCATTTAACCCTCACATGAATCTCATAGGGTAGGTGCTGGAAATGGAAGATAGACACATATGTAAATGTGTGTACATGCTTCCAAGAGGATATACGAATGCATAAATATGCATTTCTTCTCTAAGAATGAAATGTTGGCTGGGCGTGGTGGCTCACATCTGTAATCCCAGCACTTTGGGAGGCCAAGGCAGGAGGATCACTTGAGGCCATGAGTTGGAGACCAGCCTAGGCAACATAGCAAGACTCCATCTCTACAAAAAAAAATTAGGTGTGGTGGCGCAAGCCTGAGGTCCCAGCTATTCAGGAGGCTGAGACAGGAGGATTGCTTGAGCCCAGGAGGTTGAGGCTGCAGTGAGCCATGGTGGTGCCACTGCACTCCAGCCTTGGTGACAGAGCAAGACCCTGTTTCAAAAATAATAATGATAATAATCATCAAATGTTTATCTCACTGAAATGCATTTCCAAATACATTTATTAAAGAATAAATCCTCAACTTAAATGGAATTGTCCATCCATTGCACTTTGTCCTGTAAAACTTTTTTTTTTTTTTTGAGACCGAGTTTTACTCTTTCCCCCAGGTTGGAGGGCAGTGGTGTGATCTCCGCTCACCGCAACGTCCCCCTCCCAGTTTCAAGTGATTCTCCCGCCTCAGCCCCCCGAGTAGCTGGGATTACAGGAGTCCGCCACCACACCCAGCTAATTTTTGTATTTTTAGTAGAGACTGGGTTTCAACATGTTGGCCAGGCTGGCCTCGAACTCCTGACCTCATGATCCACCTGCCTCAGCCTCCCAAAGTGCTGGGATTACAGGTGTGAGCCACTGCACTCAGCCTGTCCTCTAAAACTCGTGATGCCAAGGCGAAAAACATTGACCAATCCAAACACCCAAAGACCTCCTTAACTATAAAGCTTATTTTCATTTAATGAGAAAAATATATTATGACCCTTTAGGCATCAGTTCATTTCAAGCGAATCCTTCTGTGGTAAAGACAAAATGAGATGAAAAATTAACGAGAGCTCTTAAATAAATCGTAAAACCTGTTAAACTTTCTCTCCAGGTGGTGGGTTGTTCCCAGTGCTATAAAAGTTCAGTATAAATTCCAAGCGGTTTTGAGGAACACTTCCACCTGGTTTCTTCTTGTTGCTACAGGAGTTTATTTATCCGGGACAGTTTTTCCTGACATTATTGCACACAGTAAAATGTCTGAGGCTGCTGGTTATTTTATTTTATTTTATTTTATTTTATTTTATTTTATTTTATTTTATTTTATTTTATTTTTCGAGATGGAGTCTCGCTCTGTCACCCAGGCTGGAGTGCAGTGGCGCGTTCTCGGCTCACTGCAAGCTCCGCCTCCCGGGTTCACACCATTCTCCTGCCTCAGCCTCCTGAGTAGCTGGGACTGCAGGCGCCCGCCACCACGTCCGGCTAATTTTTTGTATTTTTAGTAGAGATGGGGTTTCACCGTGTTAGCCAGGATGGTCTCGATCTCCTGACCTCGTGATCCGCCCGCCTCGGCCTCCCAAAGTGCTGGGATTACAGGCGTGAGCCACTGTGCCTGGCCGAGGTTGCTGGTTAGAGCTCACAGACCCCTGCCTATCCAAAGGGGCTGCTTGGAGAAGTGGCACCAGTCTTCGTGAAGGTCAGACAGCCTGGGCCATAATTCTCAGCCCCGTCTCCTGAAGGCTGTGCAGTGTGGTGAGGAGAGAGAGACAGGCTTTGGACCCCTCCGATCCTCTGTGGAATGGCCAGAAATAGCACAGGAGGTCCTCAATGTCCCAGAGTAACTGGCACTGGGAAAAGAGCACTTAATACAGCAGCCCGTATTTTATATTTATGCAAGACAGTTATTTCCATGTTTGTTTGGGATTCTCGACAAATGAAACAACAACAAAAAAACACATCATTTTAAGAAAATACAGGCTGAGCCGGGTGCAGTGGCTCATGCCTGTAATCCCAGCACTTTGGGAAGCCAAGGTGGGTGGATCACGAGGTCAGGAGTTCAAGACTAGCCTGGCCAAGATGGTGAAACCCCATCTCTACTAAAAATACAAAAAAATTAGCCGGGTGTGGTGGCGAGCACCTGTTATCCCAGCTACTCGGGAGGCTGGCGCAGAGAATTGCTTGAACCCAGGAGGTGGAGGTTGCAGTGAGCTGAGACTGCGCCACTGCACTCCAGCCTGGGCAACAGAGTGAGACTCCATCTCAAAAAACAAAACAAAACAAAAAACAAAATGAAACAAAAAAAAAAACAGAAAACAATGTATCAACAAAGATATGTTTAAATAAAAACATACGTAAAATAAGGCTTGTGTTGACAAACATGTGGCCAGAGGCTCACAGGAAGCCAACGCAGTGTTTCCCTAGGAGCGTTGATTCAGTGTTCCCTGATGAGATGTTCATGGTGGCTTGACAGAATTACCAGGAATGCTGAGAATCGACTCCTGGTTGATTTTGTTGTATATTTAACAAAATGTAAGCAACAACTGCAGTGATGAATGTATGCCCCGATTCTTAGAAAAATCAAAACATGAATGAGGTGCGGATTTGTACAGTTTCCCCGATGTGACTTTCACAGCACAGTTATAAAGAGGGGACATTTGCACTTTGTGGGTCTCACCAGTGGATGTTTTTACTGCTGTGATAACTTCATTCCTGGCAGCAATCAGATGATGACTTTTTGTTTTTTGTTTTTGTTTTTGTTTTTGTTTTGAGATGGAGTCCCGCTCTGTCGCCCAGGCTGGAATGCAGTGGTGCGATCTTGGCTCACTGCAACCTCCGCCTCCAGTGTTCAAGCAATTCTCCTGCCTCAGCCTCCTGAGTAGCTGGGATTACACGTGTGCACCACCACACCTGGCTAATTTTTGTATTTTTAGTGGAGACGGGGTTTCACCATGTTGGCCAGGCTGGCCTCGAACTCCTGACCTCAGGTGATCTGCCTGCCTTGGCCTCCCAAAGTGCTGGGATTACAGGCATGGGCCATCACGCCTGGCCGGAAGATGACTCTTTGGATAATGTACCCTATATTGTCTGACCCTGTTAGGGCAAACACCTCACAGGTGTGGCCAGTGCTAAATGAGATGCATGAAGCCGCTAAACCCAGTGCTCAGACACATAAGAAGTGCTCACAACCGTGAGTAGTTATTACCATTATGGCGATTGTCTAAAGTGGAATGGAGAAGTGTCTCAGTCTGGGTTCGAGAGAGGAAACAGGTAAATAGACCCCACGCCAGGTATTTTATCTACCAAAGGGTTTAATGTAGGGAATTAAATGTTCACAAAATTATTGAATGGGCTGAGCCTCCTGCGATAACTCAGAGAACCACACGGAACTGTCCCAGCAAGGAGCCACCGCCTTTGAGGACTCATCTGTAGCTCTGAGTTCCAGAACATATCCCCAGAGCTGTGATCCAGGGGCCAAAAGCTGCCACCTGAGGTCCGGGAAGTCAGAGAATGGCCCTGACTGCCTGCCGTGGAGACACCTCATATTCCACTGTTATACTTGCCAGGAGGAACAGTGCAAGAGGGGCAAGAGAAGCGGGGGAATGAAAATGGGCCCTGCTGGCAGCCAAGTCATGATGTTCCAAGCAAGCAAGAATAGGGTTGTGGGCTGGGCGTGGTGGCTCACGCCTGTAATCCCAGCACTTTGGGAGGCCGAGGCGGGTGGATCACAAGGTCAGGAGTTCAAGACCAGCCTGGCCAACATGGTGAAACCCCGTCTCTAATAAAATACAAAAATTAGCCAGGCGTGGTGGCGGGCGCCTGTAATCCCAGCTACTCAGGAGGCTGAGGCAGGAGAATCGCTTGAGCCTGGGAGGTGGAGGTTGCAGTGAGCCAAGATGGGGCCATTGCACTCCAGCCTGAGTGACAGAGCGAGACTCGTTCTCAAAAAAAAAAAAAATTGTGTTCTGTACAAAGAGTCACACCACAACAGCAAAAAATTCAACACCTTCCTTCCTCTGACAACATCACATTCTTTACTGCTACTTCCTTACCATTGAAAACGCAACCCTGCGCTATCTTCCTGCCTTCAGGGCAAAAATTAAAGAGAAGAGCTGGGCATGGTCGCTCACGCCTGTAATCCCAGCCACTTGGGAGGCTGAAGCAGGAGGATCACTTGAGGCCAGGAGTTCAAGATCAGCTTGGGCAACATAACAAGACCCTATCTCTGTAATTAGAAAAAAAATTGAAGCCGGGTGCGGTGGCTCACACCTGTAATCCCAGCACTTATGGGAGGCCAAGGCGGGTGGATCACAAGAGGCCAGGAGTTCGAGACTAGCTTGGCCAACATTGCGAAATCCTGTCTCTACTAAACATACAAAAATTAGCTGGGCATGGTGGCCTGTGTCTATAATTCCAGCTACTCAGGAGGCTGAGGCATGAGAATCCCTTGTACCTGAGAGGCTGAGGTTGCAGTGAGCCAAGATCGCGCCACTGCACTCCAGCCTGGGCGACAGAGCAAGACTGTCTCAAAAAAAAAAAAAAAAAAATTATGGAGGAATCCAATCAGTGCATTGCCCGGCTTCTTAAGCCTTCATTAGAACTGCTCTCCACTTCCCCCAACCCCCGGCAGAGCCCTCTAGCACAAGCCCTAACGCTCTGAAAGGCCTCTTCTGACTCTTTGTACAGGGATCCCCTGGAATGCGTCCTCCCTTGCTGAACCAAGATAAATAAACCTCACTGCCAGTGGTTCTTTTGGCCCTTGATCGGCTTTCCGCATCTTACTCGAGTGCACTTAATTAGCAAAGCCCAGTTCAGCCCAGAACTCTAGCTCTCCAGAGGTCTGGGAAATGCAGCTTCAATCTCCAACCGGAGAGATTTCTCTCCAGAGAGTAAAGGGCTGGAAGTGGGGGCGAGACGGAAGCCACAGTATCAACCTCTGAGAAGCCGCGTTCATTCCTGCCAGACATTGCGAGATACAGTTGGGAAGAATTTCCAAGGAATTCTTCTCTGCCTTGGCAGTGAGGGTAAGGTGAGCTTGACTCGCTCCTCCTGTAGGCCCTGCTCACTCTCTGAACATCTAAGGAAGAGGATATATCTGGCCGGTGGAAAACCTGCTGCCGGAGCTGGGTGGACACCTCAGAATGCCCTTCTTTTTTTTCTTTTTCTTTCTTTCTTTCTTTCTTTTTTTTTTTTTTTTTTTTGAGACAGAGTCTCACACTGTTGCCCAGGCTGGAGTGCAGTGGTGCGATCTTGGCTCACTGCAACCTCCACCTCTTAGGTTCAAGCAATTCTTCTGCCTCAGCCTCCCAAGTAGCTGGGATTACAGGCATGGGCCACCATGCCCGGCTTATTTTTGTATTTTTAGTAGAGATGTGGTTTCACCATGTTGGCCAGACTGGTCTCAAACTCCTGACCTCAGGTGATCCACCCACCTCGGCCTCCCAAAGTGTTGGGATTACAGGCGCACACCACCATGCCCGGCTAATTTTTGTATTTTTAGTAGAGACTTGGTTTCACCATGTTGGCTAGACTGGTCTCAAACTCCTGACCTCAGGTGATCCACCCACCTCAGCCTCCCAAAGTGCTGGGATCACAGGCATGAGCCACCGCACCTGGCTAGAATGCCCTTCTTGAGCCTCAGTTTCCTCATCTGTGAGAGAGACTCAGGACACCTGCTGCTGGCCTTAAAACCCGGGTCTCTTGCTGTGTCACCTGGGAAAGTACACCTGCTCCACTGAGCCTCGATTATCCCAACCGTAAAATGGGGTGATTCTCAGGCCGGGCGCGATGGCTCACGCCTGTAATCCCAGCACTTCGGGAGGCCGAGATGGGTGGATCACAAGGTCAGGAGATCAAGACCATCCTGGCTAACATGGTGAAACCCCGTCTCTACTAAAAATACAAAAAAATTAGCCGGGCGTGGTGGCGGGCACCTGTAGTCCCAGCTACTCGGGAGGCTGAGGCAGGAGAATGGCGTGAACCCGGAAGGCGGAGCTTGCAGTGAGCCAAGATCGCGCCACTGCACTCCAGCCTGGGCGACAGAGCAAGACTCCATCTCAAAAAAAAAAAAAAATGGGGTGATTCCTGATGAGCTCTGCTGCCTCGCCGGGGGAGCATGAGGGGGAAGTCAGATAATGGGCAATGTGATCCATCATTAAGCAATTCGTTCATTAATTTCATTATCCTTTCTCAAACGTTTCCTGTTGCCTGGGAAGCCAAAGATGACTCAGGTTCAGATCCAGCCCCCTGGGAGCCTGCACTGCTAGACACAGACTGACATCCATACGCCATCCCCCCTTCTGCTGGTTCTTCCCCTTTCTGCTGGTTCTCCCCCTCACACGCTCACTCAGCTCACTCATGCGTCCATCATCCACTCACCCATAAACCCAACCCGAGCCTCCAGAGATGAACCAAACCCCATCCCTGCCCTGGGGGATCTTAGTGCTTCAAAGCACCATACAAAGAGAAAAACCTTAATTATTATTTGGGGTAATAATTATAGCAGAGCTACAAAGGAGCCGAGAAGCTAGAAGGTATGAGCTAAATTTGCTGTCAAAGGAATTCTCGCCCTCAGGCCTGGGAAGCAGGGTAAGAACCACTTGCCTTCACTCTTATTTACTCATTCACAGGCAGGCCCCAAGCCAGGAGCTGGGTACAGCAGGCAAGGAGGGTTGGTCTCTGTTGCTGAGTCGCTCAGCATGAGGTGGGCGGAGCAGTCACCCAAAAATAGTATATGAAATGGAGAAAGAGGGGGCTCTGCGGAAGCTCCAGTGAGGCACTTGGTCCAGACTTACAGGTGTGGGGGTGGTCTGGGAAGGCTTCCTGGAGGAGGGGACGTCTGATCACAGAGTATTATATGATGTTACCAGATGAAGAAGTGGAGGAAGGACATTTCCAGGAAGTCGTTCCTTCATTTCATTCCTCACCAAGATTTATGGCCCACTTACCATACATTAGGACCTGTCCTAAACGCTGGTGTGCCAACATTGCACAGATCGTCAAGGTGATATTTATGTAAACAGGACCCAGGACAAAATTAAAATGCAGAGCCCTGTGTTTAAAAAAAAAAAAAGTATTAAGAATTTCAAGCTGGGTGTGGTAGCTGTAATCCCAGCTACTCAGGAGGCTGACGCAGGAGGATCTCGTGAGGCCAGGAGTTTGTGAGACCTTATTTCTTTAAAAAAAAAAAATGTCAGGCCGGGCACGGTGCCTCATGCCTGTAATCCCAGCACTTTGGGAGGCCGAGGTGGGTGGATCACGAGGTCAGGAGATCGAGACCATCCTGGCTAACACGGTGAAACCCCGTCTCTACTAAAAATACAAAAAATCAGCCAGGCATGGTGGCAGGCGCCTGTAGTCCCAGCTACTGGGGAGGCTGAGGCAGGAGAATGGCATGAACCCAGGAGGTGGAGCTTGCTGTGAGCCGAGATCGCGCCACTGCACTCCAGCCTGGGTGACAGGGCGAGACTCTGTCTCAAAAAAAAGAAAAAAATGTCAAGATAGCCACAGCTGGGCATTCAACCAAGTGCAGGGCAGCCTGCAACCACACAGGTTGCATCCCATGAAGCTGGCCCCGGATATGTGTGACTTGCTGTCACTTTTGGCTTCAACAACAGACAACTTGACTCAAAATGGCTTGAGGGGACTTACTACTTCATGCCAAGAGAAGCCTGGAGGTAGGGCAGGTCCAGCCACGGTTGGTTAAAATTCAGCTGCCAAACCATGCCATGAAGGATCCAGGTTCCTCCGTCTCACCTCCCTTCCATCCTAAGTGAGGAGCTCCCACTACCAGCCCTCATGGTACCCAGGTGGCTGCCACAGCTTGAAGTGTCACCTGCAGACAGGGCAGGGCTCCAGGGCAACTGTTTCTTCCTGCTTATCAGTTGCTTAAGAGTTGGGAAAACCTTTCCCAGCAGTGCCCCAGCAAATCTGCCTTCAGGTTTCATTAGCCAGAATAGTGTCACATATGTGAGCGTCAACCAATTGCTGGCAAGGAGAAGGGGCACAGCAAAATTGGCTTACACCAATAAGGACCTGCTCCTGGTCAGGCAGGGTGGCTCACACTGGTAATCCCAGCACTTCGGGAGGCTGAGGTGGGTGGGCCTCACTTGAGATCAGAAGATCGACCAGCCTGGCCAACATGGTGAAACCCCGTCTCTACTAAAAATACAAAAAATATTAGCCGGGTGTGGTGGTGCGTGCCTGTAATCCCAGCCACTTGGGAGGCTGAGGCAGGAGAATCGCTTCAACCCAGGAGACAGAGGTTGCAGTGAGCCAAGATCTCACCACTGCACTCCAGCCTGGGTGACAGAGCGAGATTCCGTCTCAAAAAAAAAAAAAAAAAAAAGCTAAAAAAAAAGGACCCGCTCCTTATTGGGCCCTTGGGCCCTTATTAACCACGCTCACCCCCAATCCCAACTCTCTGAGTGTGTTATGACCTCCATTCAAGTGAAGACGCCGATGAGCTGAGATCCCCAGGCTCTCTCGGCTGGGGCATGTTGGGTGGGTTTGGAGCCCTGCCCTCACCCACTGTGCTAGGCCCTCAACTCTGGCTGGACACTGATTCTGTGTACTCTGTCCACCCTCGGATCCTTTGTGCCCATACAACATTTCATCTGTCTCATTATAGGTGTCCAGTTTGTATGAAGTGAACAAATGCTGAGCAGACAATAGCCAGTAGTGAAACAAGCTGTTTTTGTTGCACGGATGTGGGGAGGGAGGGAAGAGTCAACTTTGCATTTGAGCTGGGCTTGCTTTTATCAGCGACTCCACTGGAGTTAAGTAAGAATAGCAAGTGTTTATTGAACTCGTACTCCCTGCCAGGTAGCCTTCCGAGTGCTTTGCGTGTATTAACTCATGAATCCTCCCAAGCACCCTGTGAAGCGGCGACTATTCTAGAGTGCAGGTAGAAGGTACCGATGCATAGGAGTGCGCCTTTGCATCCCCTGGAGGCCTTGTTGAAGTAAATCGCTGGGCCCCCTGCTAGAGTTGCTGATTCAGTCTGAGGCAGAGACCGAGAATCTGCATTTCTTTTTTTCTTTTTTTAGACGGAGTTTCACTCTTGTTGCCCAGGCTGGAGTGCAATGGCACGATCTTGGCTCACCGCAACCTCTGCCTCCCGGTTCAAGTGATTCTCCCGCCTCAGCCTCCTTAGTAGCTGGGATTACAGGGATGCACCACTACACCCAGCTAATTTTTTTGTATTTTTAGTGGAGATGGGGTTTCTCCATGTTGGTCAGGCTGGTCTCAAGCTCCCGACCTCAGGTAATCCACCTGCCTCGGCCTCCCAAAGTGCTGGGATTACAGGCGTGAGCCACTGTGCCCAGCCGAGAATCTGCATTTCTAACAAGCTCCCAGGTGATGTTGTGCAGCTGGTCTGGGGACTACACTTTGAGAACTGCTGTGTTAGAGGAACTTAAAAGAGTGACCCATGAGGCCTGGCGCGGTGGCTCACGCCTGTCATCCCAGCACTTTGGGAGGCCGAGGCGGGCGGATTACCTGAGGTCAGGAGTTTGAGACCAGCCTGGCCAACATGGCAAAACCCCGTCTCTATTAAAAATACAAAAATTAACTGGTGTGGTGGTGGGTGCCTGTTGTCCCAACTATTCAGGAGTCTGAGGTGGAAGAATCGCTTAAGCCTGGGAGAAGGGGGTTGCAATGAGCCAAGATCAAGCTACTACACTCCAGCCTGGGTGACAGAGCGAGACTCAGCCTCAAAAAAGAAAAAGAAAAAGAAAAAAAAAGTGGCCAATGAGTTGAAACATAGTGATGAAGAAGGAAACGGTGTTGGATCGAGAGCCTGTGTGAACCCTGTATATGACATGCAGGCACCTGGCCAACCAGGAAGAGGTGGCTGGAATATTCCTCCGGATCTGCCTGCCAAGCTGTGTGCCCCGGCTCAGTTCTGCAGTGCTTCTGAGGGCCATGCTTTTCTAACACACACAAAGGCACTCTATAAGCTAAAGGAGCTCTGGGTCTGAAGGCACATCATGTGGGACTGTGCAGGCTAGCGACAAGGGTTTGCAATGGAGGGTTTTAAGCAAAAGTGACATGACCCTATTTAAGTTTAAATAAGATCCCTCTGGGACCAGTTTCGGTGGCTCACGCCTGTAATCCCAGCACTTTGGGAGGCCGAGGCGGGTGGATGACCTGAGGTCAGGAGTTTGTGACCAGCCTGGCCAACATGGTGAAACCCCGTCTCTATTAAAATTACAAAAAAATTAGCTGGGTGTGGTGGCGGGCGCCTGTAATCCCAGCTACTTAGGAGGCTGAGGTAGGAGAATCGCTTGAACCCTCGAGGTGGAGGTTGCAGTGAGCTGAGATGGAACCATTGCACTCCAGCCTGGGTGACGAGAAGGAAAACTCCATCTTAAAAAACAAAATTCCTCTGATAAATGGGTAAACAAAATATGGTCTGTGTATGCAACAGAATATTAGGCAATCTTTAAAAGGAAGGAGATTTTGACATACACTACAACATGGATTAACCTTGAGGACATTCTGCCAAGTTAAATAAGTCAGTCACAAAAAACAAATACGGTATGATTCCACTTACATGAAGTATTAATGTGGTCAAAATCACAGAAACTGGGCTGGGCATGGTGGCTCACACCTGTAATCCCAACACTTTGGGAGGCTGAGGCAGGTGGATCACTTGAGACCAGGAGTTTAAACCCAGCCTGGGTAACATGGCAAAACGCTGTCCCTACAAAAAAAAGAAAAAAAAAAATTAGCTGGGCGTGGTTGTGTGCACCTGTAGTCTCAGCTACTCGGGAGGCCAATGTGGGAGAATCCCTTGAGCCTGGGAAGCAGAAGTCACAGTGAGCCAAGACTGAGCCACTGGACTCCAGTCTGGCCAACAGATTCAGACCCTGTCTCAAATAAATAAATTACAGAAACTGATAACAGAATGGTGGTTGGCCAGGAGCTCGGGGGAGAGAGGAATGGGTGGTTCACATTTAATGGGTACAATTTCAATTTGGGAAGATGAAAAATTCGGGAAATGGACAGTAGTGATGATTGCACAGCTTGAATGTACTTTTTTTTTTTTTTTTTTTTTTGAGACAGAGTCTGACTCTGTTGCCCGGACTGAAGTGCAGCGGTGCAATCTTAGCTCACTGCAACCTCCACCTTCCAGGTTCAAGAGATTCTCTGGCCTCACCCTCCCGAGTAGCTGGGATTACAGGTGCCCGCCACCATGCCCAGCTAATTTTTGTATTTTTAGTAGAGACGGGGTTTCACCATGTTGGCCAGGGTGGTCTCGAACTCCTAACTTCTGATCCGCACGCCTCGGTCTCCCAAAGTGCTGGGATTACAGGCGTGAGCCACCACACCCGGCCTAGCTTGAATGTACTTAATGCTACTGAACTGTACCTTAAAAATGATTAAGATGGTAATTTTTATCTTGTATATATTTTACCACAATTAAAAAAAAAAGATCCCTTTGGCGCTGTGTGGAGCAGGAACTGAGGGGCAGGAGGCAGAAGAGGCGAGAGTGGAAGCATGACAGTGTCTAAAGAGGCCATGGGGACTTAAACCAGGTGGTAGCCATAGACGGGAGAGCTGTGGACAGATTCTGCATCTATTTTGAAGACAGAGCCAATAGGACCTGATGATAGATTGCATGTGGATGGTGATGAAAAAGAGGAATTGGCTGGGCATGGTGGTTCACGCTTGCAATCACAGCATTTTGGGAGGCCGAGGAGGCAGATCACTTGAGGCCAGGAGTTCGAGACCAGCCTGGCCAACATGGCAAACCCCATCTCTATTAAAAATACAAAAATTAGCTGGGCATGGTGGTGCACGCCTGTAGTCCTGGCTACTCAGGAGGATGCAGCATGAGAATCACTTGAGACTGGGAGTCGGAGGTTGCAGTGAGCTGTGATCGCACCACTGCACTCCAGCCTGGGCAACACAGCCAGACCCTGTATCAAAAAACAAAACAAAACAAAACAAAAAACCAAAAAAAAAAAAAGAAAAAAGAATCAAGGGCTGCTTTTCTATTTTTGGCCTCAACATTTGGGTGAAGATGGACTTGCTTTCTAAGATGGTGGAGTAATGGGAAGGAACAAATTTCTTCGCAAGGTGGGGGAGAGAGTGAAAAATTATCTACTGCCCACCTTAGGTTTGAGATGCCTATTAAGAAATCCAAGAGGAGATGTCAAGTAGGCCATCGGATATGAGTGGGAAGAAGATCAGCGTGCTCTAGGAGCAGAAAGGAGGCATGACTGGAACTCATTAAACACGAGGAGAAGACAGTGGTAGACAGGTGGGCCAGGGCAGATTAGGCCACCGTGGGCAAACTGGTCACAAAGTTCTGAGTCAGCCACTCATCGCTTGTGAAACCTGGGGAAAGTTGTTCATTTATGAATATAAGACGAACAACTTCCATGTAATGAATGCTTGTTATGGGTAAGCCACTGTCTTCGTTTTTATGGCGCGGAGTCTTCAGATCAGCCGGGGAGGTGGAGGATGGGAGGGGGATTCTCTTATCCTTGTTGTACGGAGGAGGAAATACGCTGCGGGCTGGGGTAGGGCTTGTATGAGCCATAATCAGGTCTGGAACTGTCTAGATAAAAACTTCAGCTGATCTCTTAGGATGTCTGTCTGCTCTAAAATCCAAATATGCTTCTTCACAGTTCTGAGATGCAGAAACTGAGGCCTCAGGACGGGGCAGTAGTCTGTCCAATAGGGGCACAGCGAGGACGCGTGGCAGGTAGCGCTGTCCCCCAATTCACCCCAGGGGAAACTGAGGCTAAAGAGAGGGCGGTGTCCTGTCCAGGTTCACACACAGGAAGAGCCAAACCGAGGCCCCCGCGCTGGCCCCCTCCTGAGCCACTGCCCACCCCGGAACAGGAGGGCAGCCTGCTCACGTCCTGATTCCTGGCACCGACATCGGCCCTTAAGTTCTGCCCGGGTGGAGAGGGAGGACAAAAAAAAATGCGATCCGTAGTCAAGGAGACGTAGCCTGCACTCCTGATTGGCGCAGAACTCTAGCCTGGTCTCCTCCTCCTCCTCCTCTTCGCTTGCCAGCTTCTAGAGCTCCGGAGGCCCCACCTCCCAAATGCCCGGCGGTGCCCGGCCTCCCCTGATCTCCACAACAACGCCGCCATGGCTCCTCCTCCTCCTCCCTCTTTTTTTCCCGGCACTTCTGCGCATGTCCAGGGCCCGCGCGCAGACCACTGGGAAGCCTCCTCGTGCATTCTGGGAAATGTAGTCCAAAGCCTGTCGCGCTCAGACAGCCCGCGACATTTGCGCCGTCAAGGCCAAATAGGCTGCAGACGACGCTTTCGCGTATCTTGGGAAATGTAGTTCCAGTGTTGGCGAAGACGCCACGCGGTGACAAACAGGAGTAAGGCGGTCCCCAGGCGAGGGCCAATTGGCAGCCGCCTTTGCCGCGATGCTTCCTGGGAGTTGTAGTTCGGGGTGAGGCCGGGGCTTCATGGGGAGTTGTTGGGCTGAACGAGCGGCTCGGAGTATGGGATTGGGGGAGGGGGACGGGGGAGTTTGGCGCAAAGCCTGCTGGGGCATGGAGTCCCGGCGAGCTTTGTGCGCATGTGCGGGGAGGTGAGGGGGCTTGGGGGGCCTCGCCTGAGAGAGTGAGGTGAGCGAGGGGGGAAGGAGGGAGGGATTGGGTGGGGGCGGTTGGACGAGGGAGGGACCAGAGGTTGGATGGGAAGAGGGGCGCCGGGGGCCTCAGGAGGGAAAGATGGGAGACTTGCGGGGAGGGGAGGAGAAGGGGGCTGAGTGATGGGGAAGGGGCTGGGAGAGGGAACTAGAGGGGGAGGGACTTGGAGAGGGGGAGGGGTGGATAGTGGGAGGGGGTCGTGGATCCTCGAGGTCCTGAACGCGGGAGAGAAATGCTGAGGGAGAGGACGGGGGAGGGGCGCCTGGGGGAGGGGGAGGGGCGGGACGGGGGAGGGACAGGTGGGGGAGGGGAAGGGGACCCTAGCAGAGGGTGGGCTGTGAGATGAAAGCTGAGTGGGAAGCTGGACCCTACAAAGGAGTCTGGGGGCGCCGGGACCGGACCCCTTCGGAAAGGTTTGCGGGAAGGGGCTTCCGGGGACGATGGTTATTGTTGTAACGTAGATACGGCGCAGGTGGCTCGTTTTGCGCGCTGCTTCTACAAGTGCAACTTTTACAGAGTTGTGAGATTCCTGAAGATAAGAATCGTTGCTCTGTTTTGCTGCTTTCTCAGTGCGGAGCATCTGCCTTTTTAGCTTGTTGCAAGGCATTATTACCTTCGGTAATATGTGTAAAGTGCTTAGAAACTCTGTTTATTGTCAAATGAAGTTGACCCCCGCCACCTCTACCCCAGTCAGGATGGAGTCACCCTCCTCTATATCCGATTTTAACGCCTATTCCAATGTATACTTAGTATTTTAATCTGCGTGCGTGTTCATAGCAGTGTCCCCTGGGCACCTCGCAGGGAAACTTCGACAAAGTAACCCTAAGTCTGACTGGACACTTACTAGCCAGGTGTGGTTCTCAGCATTTTTGTTCTCCTTCTATCACTTTACAGTCAACGAAATGGAGATACAGGGTATTACAAAAGGTGCCTTGTACCTCGTCCAAGGACACAGAGCTGGTAGGAGGCAGAGCTGGAATTTGCCCCAGAGCCTTTGTGCCGTAGGTAAATATTTGTCCAGTGGGCCAGCGGCTCTCAACCAGGAGTGGTTTTGTCCCCCAGGGGACATGTGGCAATGTCTGGAGACTTTTTTTTTGGTTTTTCCAACTTGGGAAGTGCTACTGGCATCTCATGAAAAGAGGCAGAGATGCTGGTAGACATCGTATGTTGCACAGGATAGCCCGCCACGACACAAGTGCCATTAATGTCGAGGTTGGGAACCTAGAGTAGACAAACCGGTCTTTGTCGAGCACTTAGCCTTTGGAGGCTGCTTCTAACTCCTGCTCCCAGCAGCCTCTTGAGAGGAAGGAGCTCTTGTTAGTCCTGTGTCTCAGGTGGAGAAATGAAGCACAGAGGGGGTAAGTCACACGTCCACAGTCACACTGCTGATGAGTGGCAGAGCTGGAAGTTGAAGCCAGGCAGCCAGACTCCACAGCCTCTTAGCCATGATATTAACCCAGCATATGTGGGTGCTGGTGCCGGGGTACTAGGTGGAACTGGTGTGGACTCTGGAGTCACATCTGGGTCCCATTTGTGGCTCCTTCACTCTCTGAGCATCTCCCTATGGTAAGAGGGGACCCATCTCCCCAGCTCACAGGTCTGTTGGGAAGGTTGGGTGGGGCAGTATAAGACACTAGCCACTCAGTGGCTGTCTTCAAGGCATCCAGGGTGCCTGGCTCTGGACTGGACTGTGCTTTGCGGACACAGACAGCTAGACAGCAGGGTTACAGCTGTTGAATGCACATAGCACAGGGCGCTCATTGGATGGTAGGGTGGATTGACATGGTGGAAGGCCCTTACTTAACAGCATGTGCTTTCTTGGGAGCAGGCCTTGTGCTGGATGGCCCCACCGACCCAGTGAAGAGCTGGACTTGGTCACTGCCCCAGAGAGCTCACTTTCTGGACAGCCCAGGGTGTAGTGACCTGTGATCACCTCTGAGATTGCAAACAGGGTCAGCTTGATGGCCTGTGGCATTGCTCTCTGGCGGAAATTCCTCCTTAGTCCCAGAGGGATCTTTTTTATAGCAGAGCAGGCATCTGTGTGGCTTTTGAGACTTGGATCTGGCCTGGGTCTTCCGATAAGTCTTTCTGCCTGCTCCCAGGTTCATCAGCCCTTAAACTGATGGATGGGTGGGGTGGGAGGTGATGCTGTGGCCTGGCTGTGGATGTGCAAGTCCAGGCTCTGCCACGTGTTAGCTGAGTGACTTTAGGTAAGACATCTCCCCTTGCTCCTGCTGCAACTTGGGGGTAGTAACACCAACCTCATGGGATTGATCAGCCTGTAAAGTTTATTTGAGTGCTAGCCAGAATGCTGGGGTTGGAATATGGAGTCTCTCGCCCACATGAATTGTAGTGAAGAAAGTCAGCACACAGATATCGTAACACTAGATCTTGTTAAATGCTGAAAGAAAACTAATAAGGGTGACGTCTTAGCAACTGGGGGAAGGGCACGTGGGTGCAGCATCGGAGGGGGTGATCTGGGGAGGCTCTCCAAGGGGGTAATAATTGCATGGAGGCCTCAGTCATGAGAAGGAGTCAGGTAAGCAAAGATTGGGGGGAAAGAGTGATCCAGCGGGAGGCAGCACAGGTGCAGAGGCCCTGTGGTGGGCACTGGCCTTCGGTCCAAGAAGATAGAAAGTGAGCCAGACCGGGCACAGTGGCTCACTCCTGTAATCCCAGCACTTTGAGAGGCTGAGGTGGGAGGATCACTTGAGTCCAGCAGTTTGAGACCAGCCTGGGCAATATAGTGAGACCCTGTCTCTACAAAAAATATAAAAATTAGCTGGGTGTGTTGGTGCCTGCCTGTGGTCCCAGCTGCTCAGGAGGCTGAGCCAGGAGGATGGTTTGAGCCCAGGAGGTCGGGGCTGCAATGAGCCGAGAGGTCATGCCACCGCTCCAGCCTGGGCGACAGAGAGAGACCCTGTCTTAAAAAAAAGAAAAAAGAAAAAAAGGGATCCATTGTGGCTGGAGTATAGAGAATCTGGGAGCAGGCAGAGATGAGAAAGTAGGGCTGGGCTGCATGGTCTCATGGCCATAGTAAGCAATTTGGGTTTTGAGCATCACAGGAAGCAGTTGGAGGGCACTGAGCAAGGAAGTGACAGGGATTTACAGTGAAAAAGTTTTTGTGATCACTGTGGAGTGATTTGGCTCTAGGTGGCGAGAGTAGGCATACACGGGTCTTGTGGCAGCCGTCCCAGCAATGAGATGACGTTTGTGGTTAGTGACATGGCGGTCAGGAGCCCAGGCTTTGGTTGTATCAGGAGGAAAATTGTCTGAACACAGACTTCCTCTCAGACCTCACCGGCTAGAAGCAGATTATGTGCCCACCCTCTGCCTTGTGGTCAAGGGGACTTTGCTATATAGTTCCTTATGATACAGTCCAAGCTGCTGTAATGAAGAGACCCCAAGTACAGGGCTCCACATAGGACAGAACTGATTCTTTTCTCCCATAATACTCCAGAGGTGTTCTGGGGCGGGCTGGCGCCTGAGCCCCATGGGGTCATCAGGGTCCCTTCTGTCTTGATCTTCCAGTGTCCTTGAGGTCAGGGGCCGGCAGTCTTGTCCTGTAAAGAGCCAGCGAGTGACTATCTTTGGCTCTGTGGACAGCCTTACAGGCCACCCAGGCCCTGTCACAGCCACTCGGTAGCTCCAAGGCGGCCGTGGACAGCGCGTGAGCAAGTGGGCGTGGATGTGCGCCAGTGAGACTTAAGTAAAACAGGCTGCAGGCCAGATTCGGCCCACCAGCTCAGAGACCACCATTTCTCAAATGCTTTGAAGTCAGGACTCCTTTCTGCCTTCAAAATTACTGAAGACCCTAACATGCTTTTATTGATGGGAGTCATATCTATTGTTACGTATCATAGTAGAAACCAAAACAGAAAATTGTAAAGTATTTATTAATGCATTTAAAAATGGCAATCACGGCTGGGCGTGGTGGCTCATGCCGGTAATCCCAGCACTTTCGGAGGCCAAGGCAGGTGGATCACCTGAGGTCAGGAGTTTGAGACCAGTCTGGCCAACCTGGCGAAACCCCGTCTCTACTAAAAATACAAAAATTATCCGGACGTGGTAACGCACGTCTATAATCCCAGCTACTTGGGAGGATGAGGCAGGAGAATCGCTTGACCCTGGGAGGCGGAGGTTGCAGTGAACCAAGATCGCACCATTGCACTCCATCCTGGGCAACAGAGCGAGACTCCATCTCAAAACAAAAATTAAAAAAAAAAATAGAGACAGGAGAGCTCGCTGCCTCTCTCTATTCTACGCCATGGGAGGACACAAAAGGAGGCCGTCGGCAGCCTGGAAGAGGTGCTCACCAGAACCCGACAGTGCTGGCACCCAGATCGCAAATTCCCAGCGGAAGGGACTGGGACAGGCCGTCATAGCTGTCATAGCGGAGCACCGTGGACTGAACTGCTATGAGCTTATTTCTCAGTTCTGGGAGCGGGAAGCTCAGAATGCCATCATGGTCAGTTCCTGGTGAGGGCCTCTGCCAGGCTGCAGGTGGCCTCCTTGCTGTGTGCTCCTGCTGGCAGAGATGGACAGAGTCCCGGTGTCCCTTTCTCTTATAAGGCCACAGCCCTATTAGGCCCAGCCCTTGTGACCTCAGTTAACTTTCATTACCAGTTAAAAGCTTCGTCTCCAAATACGGTCACACTGGGGTGAGAGCTTCCACATGTGAATTTTGGGAGACAAATTCAGGCCACAGCAGTTAGTTGGGGTGGCTTCTGAGTAGGCTGCAAAGTGTCTGCTCCCAGGGTGTGGGGTGCACGGCCCCACAAGTCCAGTGAGGGTGGTGCTGATGGTGACCTGCTGCTGCCAGGCCTGCTGCAAGCTCTTTCTGTGTTTTCTGGTTGAATCCTCAGGACAGGCTGCGGGAGGAGCTGCAGGACTGAGGTACAGAGGCCAGGGGCCCAGGGCAGGACCCAGCCTGGACTTGACTCCCTGGGATCCCAGGAAGGGCACACCCTTTCCTCACCACCCGAGTGAGCGCTGCCCCCTCACAGAGACCTCTTTGCCCCCTGGGCCAGGCAGAGCAGGTGAGTGCTTTATCTTACAGGGGAAACCGAGGCACAGAGGCCGGGCCTATCCTGGGTATGTGGGCGGCTCAGAAGCGCGGGTCCCAGGCCGGGTGCAGTGGCTCACGCCTGTAATTCCCAGCACTTTGGGAGGCCGAGGTGGGCGGATCACCTGGGGTCAGGAGTTTGAGATCAGCCTGGCCAACATGGTGAAACCCCATCTCTACTAAAAATATAAAAATTAGCAGGCGTGGTGGCGGATGCCTGTAATTCCCGCTACTCAGGAAGCCAAGGCAGGAGAATCGCCTGAACCCGGGAGCTGAGGTTGCAGTAAGCTGAGATCCGCCACTGCACTCCAACCTGGGGGAAAGAGCGAAACTCCGTCTCAAAAAATAAAAAGTAAAAAAAAAGAGCGTTGGTCCCATTGTGAGTCTGGGCACCGCGGGCAGGGTCTCGGCGGGCAGGGGTCTCACCGGCTTGTTCCCTGCAGGCGCTGCGGTCCGGGAGGCCCCATGGAGGTGGCGGTGCCCGTGAAGCAGGAGGCCGAGGGCCTGGCGCTGGACTCCCCGTGGCACCGCTTCCGCCGCTTCCACCTGGGCGACGCGCCGGGCCCGCGGGAGGCGCTGGGGCTGCTCCGCGCCCTGTGCCGGGACTGGCTGCGGCCCGAGGTGCACACCAAGGAGCAGATGTTGGAGCTGCTGGTGCTGGAACAGTTCCTGAGCGCGCTGCCCGCCGACACGCAGGCCTGGGTGTGCAGCCGGCAGCCGCAGAGCGGGGAGGAGGCGGTGGCCCTGCTGGAGGAGCTCTGGGTGAGCCTGGCGGGACTGCAAGCGGGGAAGGGAGAGGGGAAGGTGCCAGGGAAGCCACCAGGAAGCCCAGGGAGGAGCACCACTGAACCCCTGAAAACCAGTGTGACTCGCGGTGGGGAGGCTGCGGTACAGGCTGCGGTACAGCGTGGAGGGACAGTCCACGTGCGGCACCCTCCATCCCCACACCAGCTGCAAGTCAGGAGGGCCCCAAGACCCTGGCATACTTGCGAGTTCTCTAGGACTCACAGCCGTGTTCACGGTCACGGCTTATCAGAGAAGGACGTGCTGGAAGCAGCTGGGAAGAAGGCCACGAAGGCTCCAGGGAGCGCAGTTACCAGCTGTCCTCTCCCCGCACCCCGCCCGCACGCAGGGGGTCTTGCCGGCCAGGAATTCTCCTCAGACCGTGGTGTCCTGGGTTCTTACTGGGGACTCCTCCCCGTTCTGTGTGGCTGACCTCAGCCTCCCGCCCCCTGAAAGTCAAGGATACCCCCTGGTCCAAACTCTACCCCAAATTCATCTTGCTTTTGGGCTGGCCTGAGTCCCCCGGGGCAGGCAGACCCTCCTTATCATGCGTGAGGCTCCAAGGGCTCAGAGATGACTTCCCAGGGGCAGAGGGCAAAGCCAGGCCTCTCTGGGCAGGTTTGGTTTCTTGACCACACAGCAGGCAAGGGCCGACTCACGTTCTGGGTGAAGTCTTGGTGCACAGCCACACCCACCCACTCATGTCACCTGGGGCTGACACTTGCCACCGTGATGACCACAGAGGGCCCGAGGAGCTGGAAGTGTTGACTGCCTGGCCCCGTCAGGGAAGTTGCCAGCCTGGCTTAGAGTCCTGTCGGGGGATGTGTTATGTGAGCTGCACATGCCATCTTAAGTGTTCTAGTCAGCACGTTAAAAAAAGGCAAATTTACTTCATGGACCCCAATGTGTTCAAAATACCATCCTTTCAGTAGTGGCACTCTCCCATGGCTGGTGGCTGCTGTGTGGGGCCTGGGTGATGAGCGGTGGGCAGCCACGCAGAGACCTCTGAGAAGAGTGGTCCAGGCCACGAGAGCAGCCAGTGCAAAGGCCCTGAGCCACCTCGAGCGGCACAGGGGCCCTGAGTGAGGGGGTGTTTGCGGCCAGGCCTGAGTCCCCAGTGGCAGGAGGGTGAAGAGTCAGAGCAGTCGCGTGTTCCTCATAAGTGCGTACCGAGTGCCTGCTGGGTGCTGAGATGTAGCAGCAGAGAGGGGGCATCTCGGTGAGGCAAAGCGAGCAAAGCCTTCAGTCCATGGCAGCCGGGCGGCCTTCCTTCCTTCCAGAGGGAGCAGCTCCCGTCAAGGCTGCCAGTGGCCTCATCCGTCTCCCTTCTCATGCGGCCCGACCAGCCCCCAGACACTCCCCCCTCTTATTGTCTGGGATACAGCTCGCCCCTCCTCTGCTCCTGCCTCCTGGCACCTCTGTGCTGGCTCTGGCTTCTCTATCCTCGCCCTCCTTCCGGGTCATTGTTCCCAAAAGTGGGTTGTAACAAATCACAAACGCAGCGGCTTACAAATCACAAACGCAGCGGCTTAGAAATCACACAAGTCTGTTACAGTTCTGGAGGTCAGAAGTCCAAAATGGTTTGGTCTCATGGCCCAAAATCGAGGTGTCTGCAGGGCCACGTCCCTTCTCAAGTCTCCAAAATCAAGGTGTCATCTGCAGAGCCACGTCCCTTCTCAAGGCTCTAGGAGAGAATCCGTTTCCGGCCTTTTCCAGCTCCTAGAGGCTGCCCGCATTCCTCGGCTCATGGCCCTTCCTCCGTCCTCAGAGTGCTGCACTCCGACCTCTGCTTCCATCCCCCATCACTCCTCCGACCTTGACCTCTGCTTCCATCCCCATCACTCCTCCGACCTTGACCTCTGCTTCCATCCCCCATCACTCCTCTGACCTTGACCTCTGCTTCCATCCCCATCACTCCTCCGACCTTGACCTCTGCTTTCATCCCCATCACTCCTCCGACCTTGACCTCTGCTTCCATCCCCCATCACTCCTCTGACCTTGACCTCTGCTTCCATCCCCCATCACTCCTCCGACCTTGACCTCTGCTTTCATCCCCATCACTCCTCCGACCTTGACCTCTGCTTCCATCCCCCATCACTCCTCTGACCTTGACCTCTGCTTCCATCCCCCATCACTCCTCTGACCTTGACCTCTGCTTCCATCCCCCATCACTCCTCTGACCTTGACCTCTGCTTCCATCCCCCATCACTCCTCTGACCTTGACCCACTTAGGTCCTGTGGTCACTTATTTATTTATTTATTTATTTTACTTTAAGTTCTGGGATACATGTGCTGAACGTGCAGGTTTGTTACATGTGCCATGAAGGTTTGCTGCACATACCAACCTGTCATCTAGGTTTTAAGCCCCACATGCCTTAGGTGTTTGTCCTAATGCTCTCCCTCCCCTTCCCCCACCCCCCGACAGGCCCTGGTGTGTGATGTTCTCCTCCCTGTGTCCATGTGTTCTCATTGTTCAACTCCCACTTCTGAGTGAGAACACATGGTGTTTGGTTTTCTGTTCCTGTGTTAGTTTGCCAAGGATGATGGCGTCCAGTTCATCCATGTCCCTGCAAAGGACATGAACTCATTCTTTTTCATTGGTGCATAGTATTCCATGGTGTACTGTGGTCACGTCTTAGGTCACCTGTGATGACATTCGGCCCGTCAGGATAGTTCAGGAGAGTTTCCCCATGTCAGTGCTTAACTCCCTCCCATCCACAGAGTCCTTGTTGCCCTGAGACAGCAGATGACAGGTTCTGGGGATCAGACCGTGTACATCTTTGGGGCCATTATTCTGTCTGCCACAGAGGCGAGGTGAATGCAAGGTGAAGTGGGGGTGGAACAGAACCAACGTGGAATCTGTGAGCCTCGGGGTTTCGCCCTTTCCAGTTTCCATGACTCCTCAGAACAGGACCTGGCACATGGGTGCTGTCTAGGTAGATTTCAGCCACTGTTACCACTCTGAGCTCATGCCATCTGTTTTGTTGGCATTAAAATGTTCTTTTAGGAAAAGATGGTAAAAGTAGGTGGTGGTTATTGTTGCTTTTAATGTATATATCTTGCAAAATAAAAAAAAATCTTCCATTCGGGGATGCAGTGAGAGTTCTGTTGGTTCAGTGAATCTAAAAGTCGGGAAATCACCAGGCTCCAGGCCGTCGGGACTCTCCTGCGTTCTCTGCTTGCTCCGAGGCGAACCTCTCACTGTGGCTCTGGGATGTCTTTAGCATCTCTCTTGTATCTGTTACTCTCTCTTTTTAATAAGGGCAGATCTCAGGTTCAGAGCCTTCTCCTATCAGTGTCCACACAGACGGGAATAACACTGCCGTGAGTGATGGAATTTCCCATGACCTCTCTCTCTGGCACATGATACTGGCTTTCCATTTCCAGCAATGATACAACATGGTCTTAAGTCAGTGTTATTTTAGTTTTAGGTAAAAGTAAAGAAGAGTAATAAGAGCCTGGGCGATAGCCATTGTAGCTGACGGTGGTGTATAGACAGCTGACATCTGGGGGCGCTGCTGTGGATTGGGGTTTCTTGGCATCTGGTCTGTGGGAGCTGACGGTGACGCATAGACAGCTGACATCTGGGGGCGCTGCTGTGGATTGGGGTTTCTTGGCATCTGGTCTGTGGGAGCTGACGGTGGCGCATAGACAGCTGACATCTGGGGGCGCTGCTGTGGATTGGGGTTTCTTGGCATCTGGTCTGTGGGAGCTGACGGTGGCGTATAGACAGCTGACATCTGGGGGCGCTGCTGTGGATTGGGGTTTCTTGGCATCTGGTCTGTGGGAGCTGACGGTGGCACATAGACAGCTGACATCTGGGGGCGCTGCTGTGGATTGGGGTTTCTTGGCATCTGGTCTGTGGGAGCTGACGGTGGCGCATAGACAGCTGACATCTGGGGGCGCTGCTGTGGATTGGGGTTTCTTGGCATCTGGTCTGTGGGAGCTGACGGTGACGCATAGACAGCTGACATCTGGGGGCGCTGCTGTGGATTGGGGTTTCTTGGCATCTGGTCTGTGGGAGCTGACGGTGGCGCATAGACAGCTGACATCTGGAGGCGCTGCTGTGGATTGGGGTTTCTTGGCATCTGGTCTGTGGGAGCTGACGGTGGCGCATAGACAGCTGACATCTGGGGGCGCTGCTGTGGATTGGGGTTTCTTGGCATCTGGTCTGTGGGAGCTGACGGTGGCGCATAGACAGCTGACATCTGGGGGCGCTGCTGTGGATTGGGGTTTCTTGGCATCTGGTCTGTGGGAGCTGACGGTGGCGTATAGACAGCTGACATCTGGGGGCGCTGCTGTGGATTGGGGTTTCTTGGCATCTGGTCTGTGGGAGCTGACGGTGGCGTATAGACAGCTGACATCTGGGGGCGCTGCTGTGGATTGGGGTTTCTTGGCATCTGGTCTGTGGGAGCTGACGGTGGTGTATAGACAGCTGACATCTGGGGGCGCTGCTGTGCATTGGGGTTTCTTGGCATCTGGTCTGTGGGAGCTGACGGTGGTGTATAGACAGCTGACATCTGGGGGCATCTAGTGGGAGCTGACCGTGGTGTATAGACAGCTGACATCTGGGGGCGCTGCTGTGGATTGGGGTTTCTTGGCATCTGGTGTGTGGAAACTGACGGTGGTGTATAGACAGCTGACATCTGGGGGCGCTACTGTGGATTGGGGTTTCTTGGCATCTGGTGTGTGGGTCCTCGCCTGTCCTCAGAGTTTTCACCGAGACATTGCCGGATGAGAAGGAGAGGACAGCCGAGGAGAGGCTCCTGTACTGGTAGAAAGCAGTAGAGCTCACCTGGAAACTTTTAAAAAATACTGTCGGCCGGGCATGGTGGCTCACGCCTGTCATCCCAGCACTTTGGGAGGCCAAGGTGGGCAGATCACCTGAGGTCAGGAGTTCGAGACCAGCCTGGCCAACATGGCAAAACTGCGTCTCTACTAAAAATACAAAAATCAGCTGGGCATGGTGGCACATGCCTGTAATCCCAGCTACTCAGGAAGCTGAGGCAGGAGAATCGCTTGAACCCAGGAGCTGGAGATTGCAGTGAACCAGGACTGCACCACCGCACTCCAGCCTGGGCGACAGAGTGAGACTCTGTCTCAAAAAAAAAAAAAAAAAATACCGTTGCCGGGATTTTACTCTTAGATTTGAAGTTGCGGTTATGAGGTGATTCGGGCCTCAGCTTCAGTAATTTTTTAACTGAATGTCTCCATTCTCCTGTTGAAGGACATTTGGGTTGATTCCAGGGTTTTGTTTTTTTTTTTTTTTTAATAGAGCTGGTTTACGTCTCTGAATAGGTTTCTGTGTGAATACACGTTTACATTTATCTAGGGTAAGCGCCCAGGAGTGCAGTTGCTGGGTTGCGTGACGTCTTAGTCTGTTTGGGCTGCTGTAACAAGGTACCATAGGCTGCTGGCTGAAAACAACGGGAATGTATTTCTCACAGTTCTGCAGGCTGGGGAGTTTGAGATCAAGGCCAACTCAGTGTTTGGTGAGGGTCTCCTGCTGGTTCACAGATGGTGGCTTCCTGCTGTGTCCTCACAGGGCAGAAGGGGTGAAGGGGTCTCTCTGGGGTCTCTTGTAGAAGGGCACTAATCCCATTCATGAGGGCTCCCCCTTCATGACCTAATCACCTCCCAAAGGCCCCACGTAATCTCATTACCTTCAGGGTTAGGATTTCAACATAGAATTTGAGAGGCACACAGACATTTGGTCTGCAGCAGTCTTCTGTCCATTTTCAGACTGGGTTGTTTTCTTGCCCTGGAGATTCCTTCATGTTAGTCTGGATGCATCCTCTGCCAGCTAGTAGACTTTCACATTTTTTTTAAAAGTGCCTCATGACCTGTGTGAGCCACTGGAGTTGGGGACCACCAATAAGAGAGAGCCCGTCATCCAGGAGGGGGCAGGCTCTTCCATTTGGGGGAGAACAGGGGACATTTGGGAATCACAGCCTCCATGGTTCTAAGGACTGTTCCCATCTCCTCAGAGTCTAGGGGACTTAGAGAAATATATAGCCTTCTTGGCTACGTTGGCCTTGTCGAGTTTGTTTATGACTTTTTTATGGTATGTCTAGCCCCAGCTGGAATGTAGTCTCATATAGTCTCCTGTGGGTTGGGGCCTTGTCTTTTGTTCAGTGATGTGTCCCTGGAGCTCAGGATGGTGCTGGGCACATAGTAGGTGCTACAAAAATACTCGTTGAGGGAATGGCTAACCCTTCCCAGCCTCCTCTTCTCCTGCTGTGGAGGGAATGGCTAACCGTTCCCAGCCTCCTCTTGTCCTGCTTTGATATACAGGATTTGACAGGAAGACCAGGGTATGGTCAGCTTCCTCACTTCTGTGGAGAGAGAATCTGATCTGTCCAGAAAGATCGAATGACCTGGCTGTAGTCACTCAGCATCTGGCCTCAGGCACACAATAGGGAAAGGGGATAGTTTAAGACGGATGGGGGCAGGGCGTCTGCCAATCGGGGAAGTGCAGAGAAAAGCCAGTGGGGTAGGCCTGGGAGGTGGGGAGAGGCAGCTCCAGCCAGTACCTGGTTAGCTTGACAGGAAATGCCCCAGTCAGCCTGCGTCTCAGGTCGGAATTGAAGGGGAGGCCCTGGGGCTCCAGAGGCAGCTGGGAGCACAGGAAAATAGCACAGGGTAGCTGTTCAATGTAGAAGCCAAACTCAGAAGATTAGCAGAGGACAGGTTGATAATCAAGGTCCAAACTCAATATTTGAAAAGAATAGTAGAATAGTGCAAACCTTCAGCAAGTTGACTAGGAGGAAAACAAGAAACAGCACAAACACTGATGGTGGAAGCAAGCAAAGCCGGGGATGGAGCGGATTTGACAACCGTTGAGAACACCGTGTTCAACGTACACAATGCATTCGAAGTCCTAGATGAAATGGACAGTTTTCTAGGAAAATATAAATCACCAACATATGCTCATGATGTAGTGGCAGATGTGAGAGTCTGGAAACCAGAGGGGGGAGATCAAAAGGTGATGAAAGACCTTCGCGTATAGAAGGCACTGGATTCCAGCACTTTATGTGTAAGTTCTACCAGGCCTCCAAGGAACTGATCATTCTCATCTGTTCTTTTTTTTGAGGCGGAGTCTCACTCTGTCGCCCAGGCTGGAGTGCAGTGGCGTGGTCTCGGCTCACTGCAACCTCCGCCTCCCATGCTCAAGCAATTCTCCTGCCTCAGCCTCCCAAGTAGCTGGGATTACAGGTGCATGTCACCATGCCTGGCTAATTTTTTTGTATTTTTAGGAGAGACGGGGTTTCACCATGTTGGCCAGGCTGGTCCCTTTTACACAAACTTCCAGAACACAGGGAAGGTGTTCCTCAGCTCACTGGCAAGGCTGCCACCCCCACCCCCACCCCCAACCACCTAACAGGACAAGGACAGCACAGGAAAAGAAGGTTGCAGCCAGTCTCATGGGACCCTCAACAGAACATCGGCAGCTTGATTCCGCAGTGGGTGGACAGACCTATGTGCTGGGGCAGGTGGAGCTTAGCCCAGATACACGAGGATGCTTCATCCTTAGGGGATCCTCAGCAGAACATCAGCAGCTTGATCCCACAGTGGGTGGACAGGCCTATGCACTGGGGCAGGTGGAGCTTAGCCCAGATACACGAGGATGCTGCATCCTTAGGAAGTCTCTCAGTTAGTACACAGACTTCAAAGCCGACCAGAGTCTCTCAGTTAAAGTACACAGACTTCAAAGCTGGATATGAGTCCTGCCTCCACCTTTTCCAAGCTGGGTGACCTTGGACGCATGTCTGGGACTCTCAGAGCCTTGGCTTCCTCAGCTGCAATTTTGGAATCTCGATTCCTGAGCCCTCCAGGGATGGGTGTAAGGAGGGCTCCATCAGGCAGTGTGTTCCTGGCTGTGCCAAATTGGCTCAGTCAGTCACACACAGGGTCACAGCTTATTACAGAGAAAGGACACAGATGACAACCAGCCAAGGGAAGAGATGAGTGGAATGGGTGGAGGAAGGCTCTGTGCTCGGAGCTCCCAACTGTCCTCCTGCCGTGGAGTGTGGACGGCGCTAACTCCTCCCGGCAACAACGTGTGACAACCTGCAGGGGGTGCTGCTGGCCAGGAACGCTTCCCCGAGCTCGGCACTCGGTCTCTGTTGGGGTTGTGTGTAGATATGCTGACCTTCACCTCCATCCCTGGCAGAGGCCGAGCTGATGCACATGGCCCAGACCCCCAACCCTGAGTCACGCTGTGGGCTCAGCCCACCCGGGTGGCCCAGGGCCCCAGGTGAGCAGACCCTGCCATCAGGCAGTGTGTTCTGGGGGCATAGAGGTGACCCTCCCTGGAGCCAAGGGCAGAGGCCAGACCTCTCTGGACAGGGCTGAGCCTCACTGCACAGCAGCAGCATCTCGTCAGTCTCCACGCAGCCTGCAGGGTCCGTCCTGGGTACTGGTGTCATCTCAGGGAAGGAAAGCAGCTTGCCCGAGGTGACACAGCTGGTTCAGGGGCAGGGGGGGATCTGTGGAAAAAACGTACTCAAAGTATCTTTTTCTATTCTCAGCATCAGTGACCACAGAAGACGTCTGTGACCAAATGTTGGAGGGGGTGTCCCCTCACATACCGAACAAGCAATCAACTCTGCAGCAGACACAAGCTGGGTGTCCTCTAATGCATTTCCAACATGGTCTCCCTGGAGACAGTGCCAGATCCCACAGGTTGAGGGCTCACATCCCAAGACTGACCCCCCATTTCTGATGCCAGTCACAAGCCCCAGGTTATTTCATCTGTGCTTCCAACTGACAGGCTGTACATCGGGCTCCCACAGCCCTTCCTCTGGTTCCGTTAATTTGCTAGTGTGCTCACAGAACCAGGGAAACATGTTTACCGATTTATTGTAAAGGAGATTTTAAAGGATACCAGTGAACAGCCAGATGGAGAGCCACGTATGGTGAGGTCTGGAAGGGTTCCGAGCGCAGGGGCCTCTGTCCCTGTGGACTTGGGATGCACCATCCTCCTGGCATGTGGGTGAGGTCTAGTTTACCTTGCTGTCCACCTCCACGAGTTCAGCTCTCTGGAAGCTCCCTGAACCCTGTCCTTTTGGCCTTTTATGGAGACTTGGTTGAGAGGCATAACTGAAGCATGGACAGCCATGTAGAAATGTGATTAGATAAAACGGGTGTGATCGAATCCGAGTAGACCGAGCGGGGAAACCTCGCAAGGCCTGTGTGTTCAGACCCTTCTTGGCCTCCTTTGGCTTTCTTTCCTCCAGGGTAGGGGCAGGACCCCTTCTGAAGGGGGGTGTTATGGCCCACAATCAGACAAATTAGGTCAGAAAAATTTTTTATGGCCAGAGGTGGGGGAAGATTTAAGGATATTTTTAGTTTTTAAGGCCTGCCTTGTGGAGAAAGAAGAGCAGGTGAAAGTAGGGCAGAAGGTCAGGGAGAGACTCTTTTTCTGAGGCCTAAAGCTTCCCATCGTTAGAACAAGACCGTAACAAGGGCTGTGGGAGTCATGAGCCAGGAGCCGTGGACAGAGCCCAATGTATACGTATCATAAAATCACAGGGAGGGTTAGGACCCCGGGGCTGCTCCATGCTCCCCCCTTCTGTGTGCCTGGCCCCACAAGGCGCGCCTGTCCCCGCATGGGTGTGCCCTGGATGTCTCTTCCTGTGGACAATGCCTGGCCAGCGTCCCCTGTCTCTGGGGCCTCAAACCAGGAAGTTCCCCGAGGAATGGGTGGATCTCAGGCTTTTCTGTGCCCAAGATCTCTGGGAGAACCGTCTGCTGGCACGGCTTCCCAGGCTCCACTCTCAGGTGTGTCAACCCCGGTGCCCTTGAGCTGAGGCCAGGACAGCACCCCTGCCCAGCCTCTGCCTGTGGCTGACACCACACAAGGGTCATGGGAGCCCCGCCAAGGGCCAAGGAGCTGGAGGGTGGTCCAGGGTGGTGCTCTGGGCCCGAGTGAGACTGTGCTCTTCTGACTCTCTCCGATGGGCCCCAGAGCCCATCACGGTCCCACAGCCAGGTTGCGAGGCACCTAGGATCTAGTCAGCGTTGTGCCAAGCCCCCATCCTCATGCCTCAGCTGCCTGAGTCACTGGGATTACAGTCATGAGCCACCAGGCCCACGCTCTTGTATTTTGACCCCCTTATTTAGGAAACGTTTTCTTGTCTGTCAGAGTGAGGGCAGGTGGTTTGCCCCTGCCGCTTTGCTTTTTTTTTTGGAGACAGAGTCTCACTCTGTTGCCCAGGCTGGAGTACAGTGGTGTGATCTCGGCTCACTGCAACCTCCGCCTCCCGGGTTCAAGTGATTCTCCTGCCTCGGCGTCCCGAGTAGCTTTGATTACAGGTACGTGGCACCACGCCCAGCTAATTTGTTGTATCTTTAGTAGAGTTAGGATTTCACCATGTTGGCCAAGCTGGTCTCAAGCTCCTCACCTTGTGATCTGCCCGCCTCAGCCTCCCAAAGTGCTGGGATTACAGGTGTGAGCCACCTCGCCTGGCCTAGGCATTGCTAATTTTCACACCAGTGATTGCTTTGTGATCCACGTACTCCTCTGGCCAAAAATATTTGAAACGGGGAAAAGGTGTGGTGCGTGACTTAGCTGTCATAGGCACCAGAAGAATTCTCATCCCTTTCCCTTGGGGACGTGGTTTTGAGGAATTATGTAGTAGGGCGAAGAAACCACAACGAGTTGGACTGAAACTTTTTAAATTTTTGGTCTTCCTGGTTGGTGCCGTCCTGCTTGGCAGCTGTTCTGCTGTTTCACACCAAGAAAAGTTGTTTCTGAACTTAGTTTACTTTTTTCCCAAGTTAAAAGTAGCTTATATATTCTGCATTTTGTTAAGGAGCTTGCACTTTATCCAAAGGGCAGGACGAAGCTGATCTGAGACAGGTGTATTAGTTATTTCTTGCTTCCTGACAAGTCACCCCACACTCAGGGGTGTAAACAGTAACATCTGTCAGCTCAGAAAGCCTCTGTGGGTCCGGAGTCTGTGAGTGGCTTGGGCACGCGGACCTGGCCCAGGGTCTCCTGTGAGGTCACAGTGCAGTGTTGGCCAGGCTGTCATCTGAAGGTTGGTGGCTTCAAGATGGCTCCCTGGCAGGGGGTTGGCAGGAGGCCTTGGTTCCTCACCTGGGGGCCTCTCTGTGGGGCAGCTTCAGTGTCGCCCAGCATGACTGTGGCTTCCTCCCAGCAGGGATGGGATTGCACAGCTGGTCGACGGTGGTTGGGAGAGGGAGAAATAGAGGCCCTTGCTCAGGTTTCTGAGTTCAAAACTGTGCTCTCATTTCAGGGGCCAGCAGCCTCCCCCGATGGGTCGTCAGCAACGAGGGTGCCTCAGGATGTGACGCAGGGCCCTGGGGCCACAGGTGGAAAGGAGGACAGTGGGATGATTCCCTTAGGTGAGCTGCTGGCCTCTCTGGTTCTCCCCGCCAGCCCCCAGCACCGGGGAGGGGGTTCAGTGAACGATCCTGGCACCAGGACCCAGGACAAGGACAGACTTGGACCCCAGCCCTTGAGGAGCCCCGGGGTTCGGACCCAAGGGGCGGGCATTGGGGGTATGGGTGGGCCTCGGGGTTGGAGGTTCATCCATCCATCTATCCATCCATGCACCCATCTAGCCATCATCCACCCTCCACCTATCCATTCCTCTATCATATACCCACCCATTCACCCATCCATCCCTCTATCATTCTCCCAGGCATCCATCCATCCTTCACATGTTCCCCCTCACACCAATCCCACCATCCCTCTGTCATCCATCATCATCACCCATCTATCCATGACCCACCCATCCATCCATCTACTCATCCACCCATGCACCCACCCATCCATCATCTGTACATTCATCCACCCATCATCCGTCCATCCATCCACCCATCATCCACCCATGCATTCATCATCTACCCATCCATCACCCATCCGTCCATCTAGTCATCCACCCACCCATCCATCATCTGTACATTCATCCACCCATCATCCACCCATGCATTCATCATCTACCCATCCATCACCCATCCGTCCATCTAGTTATCCACCCACCCATCCATCATCTAGACATTCATCCACCCCTCATCCACCCACGCATTCTTCATCTACCCATCCATCATCTGTACATTCATCCATCCATCATCGGTCCATTCATCACCCATCATCCACCCACGCATTCTTCATCTACCCACGCATTCATCTACCCATCCATCATCCAGCCAGCCATCATCTATTATGTATTGGGCATTGACTGTATGCCAGGCACTACTAGGTACCGGGACACAGGTATGAATAAGAAGCCCACAGCCCAGCCCTCTTCCCACCCCAATGGTTTCTGCCTTTAAGCGTTCCCTCCCTGCCTCCACCCCAGCCTGTGCTGTCCTTGCCCCGCCCTCGTGCCGACCCAGATGCTGACTCTCTTTCTTTTCCCAGCAGGCACCGCCCCTGGGGCTGAGGGGCCGGCGCCTGGGGACTCCCAGGCTGTGCGCCCCTACAAGCAGGAGCCCAGCAGCCCCCCGCTGGCGCCTGGCCTGCCCGCCTTCCTAGCGGCCCCGGGCACCACGTCCTGCCCCGAGTGCGGCAAAACGTCCCTGAAACCAGCTCACCTGCTGCGCCACCGGCAGAGCCACTCGGGCGAGAAGCCGCACGCCTGCCCTGAGTGCGGGAAGGCCTTTCGGCGCAAGGAGCACCTGCGGCGCCACCGCGACACGCACCCCGGCAGCCCCGGCAGCCCCGGGCCCGCGCTGCGCCCTCTGCCCGCCCGTGAGAAGCCCCACGCGTGCTGCGAGTGTGGCAAGACCTTCTACTGGCGCGAGCACCTGGTGCGCCACCGCAAGACGCACTCGGGAGCGCGGCCCTTTGCCTGCTGGGAGTGTGGCAAGGGCTTCGGGCGCCGCGAGCACGTGCTGCGCCACCAGCGCATCCACGGCCGGGCAGCGGCCAGCGCGCAGGGGGCGGTAGCTCCGGGCCCGGATGGTGGAGGCCCCTTCCCGCCCTGGCCCTTGGGTTAGCCGCCTCCCGGCCAGCGCCATCTCCCGCCCTTGGTGCTGCCCCCGGGCGGTACCTGCTCTCTCCCAGCGCCACTTGGCCTCTTCCTCTCCTCCTTCCCTCCCATCGTCCTCCTCCACCTGCGCCTCCCTTGTCTGAACTTCCCAACGCCTTCCTATTCCTTTCCAACTCCTTTTCCCCCAAATTTCACTTTCCTTCTCAGGTCTCACCTCAGCCCCCCCCTTCTCCCTGATTTCTCGGCCTCTCTCTCTGTGTGAAGGGGCCTCTCCCTAATGTCTCCTCCTTCCCCCCTCTTCTCTCTCCTGCGGCCCAGCCTCCCTCTCCCTCCTCCATTCCTCTCTCCCTGCCCTTTTCCTGCCTGAAGAGCAGAGGTGAGGACCTGGGACCCCTGAGGGGCAGGCCAGGAGGAGCTCGGGCGCAGGCCAGGCCCCCTTGGTGAAGCAGAGGCTGAAGGAAAGGGGTCTGGGTCTTGTCCCTAGGAATTCTCCTCCCTCAGGAGATTGGGGGTTGGGGGAGGCAGCGGGTGATGGCTCTGAAGCTGAACCCAGGGCCTGGCTGTGGTCTTCTTGGTCTTGCTGCCCCCTGTGACCCAAAGGCATGGGATGGACAGAGATGCCTGCCCCCGTGAAGCTGGTTGGGGAGGGCAGTTCACCAGCATCCATAGAGTAATAAAGTCACTGTGTGTAGACCCGGAGTCTGAGCTCTGTCTGGAGTCTGTCCGGCACAGCCACCCTCCCAGGGCCGAGCGTCTGGGGTGCCCGGGGCTTCTGGGGTCAGCTGTCTTGGCTCCCACCACAGACTCTCTTGGCATGAGAGAGGCTCTGGGAGTCTGGGCACAGCTGTGGGAGGCAGTGCAGGAAATGTGTCCTCAGGAGGGCTGTCCCCACCTCCATCCTACGGAGGCAGGGATGAGGCTCCTGGAAGGGACCTGCCGAGTGCCACACTGAGTCAGGTTCGCATCTGAGCCCTTCAGCTTCCTGGCTGGGAACCTACAGGTTGGTCATACCCTCTGGGCATGAGTTCCACATCCGCAAGTGATGATAATGGCACCCACCTCCCTTGCTAAGGCCACTCTGTTTGACTGGGGTCCTGAGTGTCAGTGTTGGTAGGTCTTGGGTGGCCCATTCTGCCACGCAAGGAATTCTCTCACCTTTAGCTGGAGCCATTGGCCGAGGGGGGGACTCCGTATGGAGGGCAGGCTTTGGCCAGCTGCATCTTTCCAGGATGCCACCTCTTGTCAGCTCAGCGAGCAACCCCGGTTCCTTCTCTCCAGAGAGGAAATCTGTAGCCTCTGCCGGGTGGATGAAGGGCAGTTGCCGGGCTTTGGAAAGCGTAGGATGAGAGCGCTGGTCTGACCACTCCCCTGCCGCCCAGTCTTGGGGCTGGCTTCACCCTGGTCCTTTTGGTTCCTGTGTGCCCAGCGCCTGAGCCTGGGAGGGGTTCTATGTCAAACCCTCCATGGTTGCCGCCTTGTGGCTGAGCCCGCCACGGTACCACCTTGCGTCCAAGCCCCCCCACGGTCACTGCCTTGCTCTCTGCTTCAGCTTCTGGCTCAGTGTCAAGGGCTGGGGCAGGTACAGCCTGTGCCGGGCTGCGAGGGCATCTGGAAACAGCCACCTGGACGGTCCAGTGCACATCACTGGAGTCTAGGTCTGCCTTCAAGACTCAACAGTGCAGGGAAGGGTTTAGGTGCCAGGCTATCCAGGAAGGGCAAGTGACCACAGGCCTCAGCACCCACCTCCTAAGACAGGACTGGTAGTAATGCCCCTCCTGAAAAGGGACTGTTTTTGAAAATTAAATAAGGCTGGGTGCAGTGGCTCATACCTGTAATCGCAACACTTTAGGAGGCTCGGGTGGGTGGATCACTTGAGCTCAGGAGTTCAAGACCAGCTCGGCTAACATGCTGAAACCCCGACTCTACTGAAAACACAAAAATTAGCCAGGCATGATGGTGGACACCTGTAATCCCAGCTACTCCGGAGGCTGAGGTGGGAGGATCACTTGAACCCAGGAGGCAGAGGTTGCAGTGAGCTGAGATCGCACCACTGCCCTACTCCAGCCTGGGCAACAGAGCGAGACTTCGTCTCAAAAGAAAAATAAGGTAATGAATGCAGAATACTTACGGGAACTTGGTGTGTGATCTCAGCCTGCTGCTTTCACACTGACAGGTGCATGTTAAGGACGTTACCATGCCCACCGTGTGGGGAAGAAGACGGGCTGGGAGAAGCCGTGTCGTCTGCTGCAGACTTTCAGGAAGTGACTAAGAGGCATGAGAGGGAGTATGAGGTGGTGTCAGGCCAGGGTCTGAGGACAGGGTTCTGATAACAGCAAACACAGAGTGAGTCTGCTGGGCCAGACCTTTTTAAAATCCAGTTTGTTTATCATCATAACCAACCGATGAGGCATGCACTGTTGTTATCCCCATGGTACAGATGGGGAAACTGAGGCACCAAAAGAGTAAGGGACCGGGCCACATCTGTGGATCTCATCCCAGGTGTCTGGGCTCACAGTATTCACTCCAGCTCCTAACAGCACAGCTGCTGCTTTTGCCCATTCAGGCTCCATCTCTTCTCTTCTGAAAAGCCTCCCGGGACTTCTGTGCCCCTTTGGGGACCCCTCCAACACACACACACACACACACACACACACACACACACCCCGTGTCTGGTCTCGGAGGGACAGTCGGCCAGGCTGTCCTGCCCCACTCTTTTGTGTCACTCAAGATGGACAGTCCCGGATGGATTGGAGGATGCTGGAAGAACACCCCTGCAAAGGACTAGAAACAAGGCGAGACCAGATAGATGGAGATCTGACTCCCGCACCCTCCTGCACCCACACCTGCTAAGCCTGGGGGAGCTTTGGTTTGACATCCGATGACGAGTGGTGTCTGCCTCCGAGGCTGTATAACGGAGTGGAGGATGATCCCCCCCAAACAGGAGGGAAATTCTGGAAGGCCGAAACAAAACTTGAATATTCTCCGCATGGGCAACAGAAAACTTTCCAGAGAGACAACCTAGCAGTCCTTCCTCAGAGTGGGCGGTACTTCCACGAGAGTGCGCAGCCTTTCCTCAGACTGCGCAGTCCTTCCTCAGAGTGCACGGTCCTTCCTCAGAGTGGGCGGTACTTCCACAAGAGTGCTCAGCCCTTCCTCAGACTGCGCAGTCCTTCCTCAGAGTGCACAGTCCTTTCTCGGAGTGTGCAGGCCCCAGCCAGACAGACTGGCACAGGTGCATCCGCAGAAGGTCCTGCATAGCGCTGTTCCTCATGGTGCTGCTTGGGATGGCAGAGAATCAGAGCAACGTAAATGTCCGTTACTAGGAGAGGGGGAACGAAGAAACATTGTTCAGGAAAAGTACCGAAACGTGGAAGTAGGCAAAATGTCAATTGTGCAGCCTTCTAAAATCATGCTCAATTGTCTTAAAAATAGTCCTGCCTGGGCCGGGCACTGTAATCCCAGCACTTTGGGAGGCCGAGGTGGGTGCATCACTTGAGGTCAGGAGCTCGAGACCATCCTGGTTAACATGGTGAAACCCCTTCTCTACTAAAAAAAAAATACAAAAATTAGCCGGGTGTGGTGGCGAGCACCTGTAATCCCAGCTACTTGGGAGGCTGAGGCAGGAAGATGGCTTGAACCTGGGAGGTGGAGGTTGCAGTGAGCTGAGATCGCACCACTGCACTCCAGCCTGGATGAAAGAGCGAGACTCCGTCTCAAAAAAAAAAAAAAAAAAAAGGAAAGAATAGTAAGGAAATAAACCCAACAGCTCTCCCCACCAATATCCACTCTGATGGAGCAGGTGCCATGAGGGCTGTCCTGTGACTGATACCCACCATGTCTGTTGGACACTATCACATCTACGATCTTTATCCATCAACCCCAATACCACAGACCAGAGAACATCTGAATTGTGGTTTTGGATGCTGGCCTTGACTTTCTTGCTTCCGTCTTTATTGCTTGAGGGGTGAGATTGTTTTAAGAACCTGCTGGTGGCATGAGGTGATTTTTTTTTCTGCTTCCTCTCCTGGGGGCCCTGGCACCAGGGGCTCTGCCAGGACCCAGCAGGGGTTAGTTAATTCTACTCAATTTCCCTGGGTGACTGCCCCTCCCCTCACCCCTTCCTCTCCCCTGCTAAAGGGTTCCGGCTCTGGGGTTCCATACACCAGGTTCAAACCTCAACTCTGCTTCTTCCTTGCTGTGGGAGGAGGTCGATGATAGGAGTATCCTGGTCCAAGCCGCTCCAGTCCTGGTCTCTCTCACAGGTGATTGCTAACTGGGTCCCCAATCCATAAAAGTTAGCTGGGTGTGGTGGCACATGTCTGTAATCCCAGCTGCTCAGGAGGCTTGAGTCAGGAGAATCGCTTGAACCCGGGAGGTGGAGGTTGCAGTGAGCCAAGATTGCACCACTGCACTCCAACCTGGGCGATAGAGTGAGATCCTGTCTCAAAAAAAAAAAAAAAAAACAACTAGAAGTTTCCTGATGGGGTGGTCCCTGTCTACCTCGTACCCTCCACCCTCCCCAGTTAGTCTGCATTCCAGGTCCAGCTCATCACCCAGTTCCTTCAGCCCTTCCTTCCTCCACCCCACTACAGGACTTTTGCACAGGCCATTGGCTCCACATATTAATAAAATGTTGTTCTTTCTTCCTGCATTTGCCTAGTGAACACAAGAGCAAAACTCCATCTCAAAAAAAAAATAAATAAAAAATAAATAAAATAAGGGCATGAATCCCATTCACAAGGATGAAGCCCTCATGATGTGATCATGTCCCAAAAGTCCTACCTATTTACTATCTATTGTCTATCTATCTATCTATCTATCTATCTATCTATCTATCTATCGTTATATCTCCATCTGTCCATCCATCCATCCATCCCTAGACTGCTCAACAGACACGCTACCTCTTAATATTCTCACGTTGGGTATTAGTTTTCATCATATGAATCTTCAGGGGACTCTAACATTCAATCCATAACATGGGGGTTACAGTGAGGGCTAAATGGGGGGAGTCCACAAGTCATGCTCACGCCTGTAATCCCAGTGCTTAGGAGGCCGCTGCAGGCTGATCACTTGAGGTCAGGAGTTTGAGGCCAGCCAGGCCAACATGGTAAAACCTCATATCTACTAAAAATACAAAAATTAGCTGGTGTGGTGGTGCTCAACTGTAGTCTCAGCTACTAAGAAGGCCGAGGCAGGAGAATGGCTTGAACCCGGGAGGCGGAGGTTGCTGTGAGCCAAGATGGCACCACTACACTCCAGGCTTGGGTGACACACAGCAAGACTCCATCTCAAAAAAAAAGAAAAGAAAAGAAAAAGAAAAAAAAGAAAAGTTCCGGGCGTATTGGCTCACGCCTGTAATCCCAGCACTTTGGGAGGCCAAGGGGGGCAGGTCACTTGAGATCAAGAGCTCTAGACCAGCCTAACAAACATGGTGAAACCCTGTCTTTACTAGAAATACAAAAATTAGCCGGGCATGGTGGCGGGCGCCTGTAATCCCAGCTACTCGGGAGGCTGAGGCAGGAGAATCACTTGAACCGGGAAGCTGAGATTACAGTGAGCCAAGATCACGCCACTGCACTCCAGCCCGGGCAACACAGCCAGACTCTGTCTCAAAAAAAAACAATAAAAAAAAACCCCAAAAAATCATTAAATATTCACGATTTTGGGGGGGCAGTGGTGAGCCAGTTGTTAAACTGTTGGTATGTTGAAATTGGCCCTAATGGAATATTTACACTATGGGAATTGGCTAACAGTACAAATGCAGGCATTTATTTTATTTTATTTTAAAAAGCTGACATTGGCTGGGTGAGGTGGCTCACACCTGTAATCCCAGCACTTTGGGAGGCTGAGGTGGATGGATCATCTGAGACTGGGAGTTCGAGACCAGCCTGACCAACGTGGAGAAACCCCATCTCTACTAAAAACACAAAATTAGCCAGGTGTGGTGGTACATGCCTGCAATCCCCAGCTACTTGGGAGGCTGAGGCGGGAGAATCGCTTGAACCTGGGAGGCAGAGGTTGCAGTGAGCCGAGATCGCGCCATTACACTACAGTTACTTGAATGACAGTGACTCTGTCTCAGAAAACAAACAAACAAACAAATAGAAAAACACAGAAATCTAGATCTTTATGTAAAAGTTTTGAAACCCTATATGCTCGTGATTCGATTTGCAATTTTCAAAACACTGTGTGGAAGTTTAGCCCAGTGTGGCAAGCACACGCCTGTAGTCCCAGCTACCCAGGAGGCTGAGGTTGGAGGATTGTTTGAGCCTGGGCAGTCAAGGCTGCAGTGAACCAAGATAGTGCCACCGCACTCCAGCCTGAGCAACAGAGCGAGACCCCATCTCAATAAAAATAAAATAAAATAAATAAATAAATAAAGCAAGCAAGCAAGCACTGTGTGAGCTACAATATGAAGGAACCAAAACAAACAAAAATCATAATGCAAACAAACAAACCCAAAGCACGTCTGAGGGTCTGGTTTTGGCTGCCCGTTTGCAAGTTCTGAGCTGGTTCCTCAGTTTACCAAAGAGGAGATGGAGGCCCAGAAGTCTGTAGTGAATTCCCTGCAGCCCCATAGCGGGCCAGTGAAATGTGAGGTTGTTTCCTCATTGCTCTGAGAGTTGGCATTGAGTGAAGATGAGTCCCCAACCCCTCCTCTCTGGGGGATGAAGTGGTAGAAATGGCTGGCAGGGAGGCTGAGGTTGGAGCAACACTGACCTTTGGAATTATGGGCAGGAAATGTGTGGGGCTTTTTTTTTTTTTTAGATGAAGTCTTGCTCTGTCCCCCAGGTTGGAGTTCAATGGTACAACCTCAGCTCCCTACAACCTCTGCCTTCCAGTTTCAAGCAATTCTCCTGCCTCAGCCTCCTGAGCAGCTGGAATTACAGGCATCCACCACCATTCCCAGCTAATTTTTATATTTTTAGTAGAGACAGGGTCTCACCATGTTGGCCAGGCTGGTCTTGAACTCCTGACCTCAAGTGATCCTCCCGCCTTGGCCTCTGAAAGTGCTGGGGTTAAAGACATGAGCCACCACGCCTGGCCCGGGGTCTTAATCCTAACTAAATACCCAACCTTAAGCAACAGCATACCCATGTCCTTTAGAGGGTTAACTGTAACCCCTTAATTTGGGTTCATGGTAAGGAAGAACTGATCCAGGGAGACGATGGAATATTCAGCACAATGGACAGAGACATTTCCTCCAAGCTGAGTTAGGGGAAAGAAAGGTGCAGACTTCCCCGCCCCCAGTGCTGACCTCCCATCTCAGGTGGGGAAGAGAAATAAAGCTTTTGTACACGTTTTTTTTGTTTTGTTTTGTTTTGAGATAGAGTCTTTCTCTGTCGCTCAGGCTGGAGTGCAATGGTGAGATCTTGGCTCACTGCAACCTCTGTCTCCCTGGTTCAAGCGATTCTCCTGCCTCAGCCTCCTGAGTAGCTGGGATTACAGGTTTGTGCCACCATGCCCGGCTAATTTTTGTATTTTTAGTAGAGACAGGGTTTCACCATGTTGGCCAGGCTGGTCTCGAACTCCTGACCTCTTGATCCGCCCGCCTCGGCCTCCCAAAGTGCTGGGATTACAGGCGTGAGCCGCCGCGCCCGGCCCTGTACGGATTGCTTTTAACTTGCACAAGGACTATCCCCTCCCACTTTTCATTGTTTCGTTTAGTGTATAGATGGGGAATTCTTTGGTGAGATGCAAAGACAAATATAGGTTTACATTTTGACATCTTAGGAGTTTTTTGTTTTTGTTTTTCTGAGACAGGATCTCCCTCTGTCTCCCAGACTGGAGTGCAGTGGTGGCATCAAGGCTCACTGTAGCCTCAACCTCCCAGGCTCAAGCGATCCTCCCACCTCAGCCTCTGGAGTAGCTGGGACTACGGGCACATGTCACTACACACAACTAATTTTTGTATTTTTTTGTACATGGGGTCTCGCTAGGTTGCCAAGGCTGGTCTCAAACTCCTGAGCTCAGGCAATTTGCCTGCCTTGAACTCCCAAAGTGCTGGGATTACAGGTGTGGACCACTGCACCTGGCTGTTTTTTATGAATGGCGAACTGCTGGATGACACAGAATGTGGGCATGGATTTTTAAAGCCTGCCTAGCTCACAAGGGGTAAAATGTGTCTATTTAGGAAGATATGCCCATTGACATCTGAACACCGAAAAACACCTCCATGCTGTAGCCCTTCCTCAAACCATTATGATACCCAGAGTTATTAAGAAAGATGCAGCCTCCCACAGTTACATCAACATCCTACTCCAACTTTCCATGGAGCTCATTTTATTTTACTTTTCATTTTTTCCAAACCTACTGTGTTGCAGGTTCTTTTTTTTTTTTTTTTTTTTTTGCGACGGAGTCTCACTCTGTTGCCCAGGCTGGAGTGCTGTGGCATGATCTCGGCTCACTGCAACCTCCGCCTCCTGGGTTCAAGCTATTCTCCTGCCTCAGCCTCCCAAGTAGCTGGAATTACAGATGTGCCACCATGCCCGGTTAATTTTTTTTATTTTTAGTAGAGATGAGGGTTCGCCATGTTGAGCAGGCTAGTCCCGAACTCCTGACCTCAAGTGATCCCACGCCTCGGCCTCCCAAAGTACTGGGATTACAGGTATGAGCCTCTGCACCCCATGAGAGTAGATTTTAAATGCTTTCAGTACAAAACGATGTCTACGAGCTGGTGGATGTGTTAATTAGCCCAATTTAATAATTTTACAGTGTATACATAGATCAAAACATTATGCTGTATGCCATAAATAGATTCAATTTGTATTTGTAAATTTAAAAAAATTTTAAGAAAAAAATAAGCAAATACATAAATAAGTAAATAGACATATTTTTAAATGGTGGTCATAATAAATGTCCCTGAGAAGAGGATAGGAAGTCATCCACACGTAGCTGGCAAGAACATTCCAGGCAGAGACAATGGCAGAATGCACTCTCTTTTCCCACTCTTGTCAACATTCTACCTGCTTTTCAATTTAACTAATATCATCTGTGCACCTACAGAAAAAACAAAAGCCAGCTGGGCACGGTGGCTCACACCTGTAATCCCAGCACTTTGGGAGGCCGAGGCAGGTGGATCACGAGGTCAGGAAATCAAGACCATCCTGGCTAACACGGTGAAACCCCGTCTCTACTAGAAATACAAAAAAAAATTAGCCGGGCGCCGTGGCGGGCACCAGTAGTCCCAGCTACTCAGGAGGCTGAGGCAGGAGAATGGCGTGAACCCGGGAAGCAGAACTTGCAGTGAGTTGAGATCGTGCCACTGCAGTCCAGCCTAGGAGAAAGAGTGAGACTCCATCTCAAAAAAAAAAAAAAGAAAAAACAAAAGCCAGCTGGGCACAGTGGCTCACACCTGTAATCCCAGCACTTTGGGAGGCCAAGGCTGGCGGATCACCTGAGGTCAGGAGTTTGAGACCAGCATGGTCACCATGGTGAAAGCCTGTCTCTACTAAAAATACAAAAATTAGCCAGGCGTGGTGGTGCACACCTGTTATCCCAGCTACTCGGGAGGCTGAGGCACAGGAATCGCTTGAACCTGGGAGGTGGGGGTTGCAGTGAGCCGAGATCGAGCCACTGCACTCCCAGCCTGGGCGACAGTGTGAAACTGTGTCTCAAAAAAAGAAAAAAAAAAAAGAAAAAGAAAAAACAAAAGCCATAAAGATACAACTCAGGCTGGGCGCGGTGGCTCATGCCTGTAATGCCAGCACTTTGGGAGGCCGAGGCAGACGGATCATGAGGTCAGGAGATCAAGACCATCCTGGCTAACATGGTGAAAAACCCTGTCTCTATTACACACACACACACACAATTAGCCAGGCGTGGTGGTGGGTGCCTGTAGTCCCAGCTACTCGGGAGGCCGAGGCAGGAGAATTACTTGAACTCGGGAGGCAGGTGTTGCAGTGAGCCGAGATCCAGCCATTGCACTCCCAGCCTGGGCAACAGAGTGAAACTGTGTCTCAAGAAAAAAAAAAAAAGAGAAGAAGAAGAAAGAAAAAACAAAAGCCAGAAAGACACAACTCAGCCCACCAACATGGGAGAGCATGTCATTTCCCACCTGGGCGCCTCCGGTGTACACTGTTTCCCGCTTTCCTTCTGATTCAAGGTCACGGGAGGCTGCTGGCTGCTTCTGCACTCTTGTTTTTGTAACTGGATGTCCGGGACCTTTGGAAGGCGAAGGCACCTGCTTATTTCATCTCCTCCCCACCGTTGTCATGGGCCAAACTCCAGGATGTCCTTCCGCCCTGGTTAGCTCCCGCCATGAGTCAGCCCTCTCCTCTCCACGTGCCCCCACTTGAACCACTCCTGTGAATGCAGCGTCAGCATCGATGATGTATTTCACATGCAGCTCTCAGCTTTGGACATTGCGTTGGCTCCCCTTCACTCTGACTCACCTTGACTCTGCACAGAAATGCTCCTGGGAGAGAACGCTGACACTTCTCTTCCTGACTGCAGATTCCCGTCCTGTGGCCGCTTCCACATCTGAATCTTTCCAATAGTGGGATTTTCAGCCTCACCCACCCATGCCTCTTTGAAAAGCTAAGAATGCAACCCCTCTTGTTCAATAATTCAGTTAGGTGTTTCTAGCACATGACCAATACTTAGGTCTTTTCCAGCCCCTCCCATGAACTTTCCCTAAAAAATGTAACTTTCTCAAGTAAAATGGGAATCTTTCTGTGGTGCTGGTGGGACTGAAAACTGGTATGTGATTGTCGAAAGGCAATCTGGATGTGTATACTAAGAATCCCAGAGGCTGGGCGTGGTGGCTCACACCTGTAATCCCAGCATTTTGAGAGGCCGAGGCAGGTGCATCACCTGAGGTCAGGAGTTCAAGACCAGCCTGGCCAACATGGTGAAACCCCATCTCTACTAAAATACAAACAAATTAGCTGGGCATGGTGGCAGGTGCCTGTAATCCCAGCTACTCAGGAGGCTGAGGCAGGAGAATTGCTTGAACCTGGGAGGCAGAGGTTGCAGTGAGCTGAGATTGTACCATTGTACTCCAGCCTAGGGAACAGAGCAAGACTCCGTCTGAAAAAAAAAAAAAAAAAAAGAATCCCAGAATGGTTATACCTTTTGACTGAGTTGCTTTTCTTCTAGGACTTAAACCTAAAGGATTCGTCAGAAATTTGTAGGAATGGCACTAAAAAGGAGTGAACTGTTGACACACACCACAGCGTGGATGAATCTCATGCACTAAGTAAAAGAAGTCAGACTGAAAAGGCTGCACACTGTAGGATCCAGTTTGTATAACATTCTGGTAAAAGCAAAACTTTGTTTTTATTTTATTTTTACTTTTGAGATGGAGTCTCGCTCTGTCACCCAGGCTGGAATGCAGTGGCATGATCTCGGCTCACTGCAATCTCCACCTCCTGGGTTCAAGCGATTCTTCTGCCTCAGCCTCCCAAGTAGCTGGGATTACAGGTGCACACCACCACGCCCAGCTAATTTTTGTATTTTTAGTAGAGACGGGGCTTCACCATGTTGGCCAGGCTGGTCTTGAACTCCTGACCTCAGGTGGTCCACTCGCCTTGGCCTCCCAAAGTGCTGGGGTTACAGGCGTGAGCCACCGTGTCTGGCCTATCACAAACATTTTTTAAATAACAAATTAGAAAAACACAACCACAAGGAAACTGTGGGATGTGGTGATGGTGTCAGGGACGTTTGTGTCCACACTCGTCACATGGTAACATTACGTGCGTTTTTGGTACACCAATTATACCTCAATAATGTGGTTTTGAAAATAAATCTAACTCAAATGGCTTAAGTGTGGCAGGGAGCAGGAAGCGCAGAGGTGGGGGCCGCCAGGCTCCCAGGCCCAGCTCCCGGTGTTTCCCAATGCCTGGGGCTCAGCTGCGGCCTGGGCTTTACGCCCCCTCCTGGCGACAGAAGACATAGCGGCTCCCCGACTTCAGGCTTCTCCCACAACATCCAGGAAGGGAGGAAGAGAGAGGAGGGGGAGAAGGAATGGGGGCAAAGGGAGAGGGGAAGCGGGAGACAGACCAGAGAAATGAAATGTGGTGAAATGTAAGCATTTGGAAAATCAGAGTATCTGGGAATTCTTTGGGCAACTTTCCTGTAAGTCTGAAATTACTTCAAAATTAAAAAAAAAATTAAGGGTTGGGCGCAGTGGCTCACACCTGTAATCCCAGCATTTTGGGAGGCCGAAGCTGGAGGATCACCTGAGGTCAGGAGTTCAAGACCAGCCTGACCAACATGGTGAAACCCTGTCTCTACTAAAATATAAAAATTAGCCGGCCATGATGGTGGGTGCCTGTAATCCCAGCTACTCGGGAGGGTGAGACGGGAAAATCGTTTGAACCCGGGAGGTGGAGGTTGCAGTGAGCTGAGATCACACCACTGCACTCCCGCCTGGGCAGCTGAGCAAGACTCCGTCTCAAAAAAAAAAAAAAAAATTAAGGGCCAGGTGCGGTGGCTCATGCCTGTAATCCTAGTACTTTGGGAGGTCTCGACAGGAAGATCACTTGAGTCCAGGAGTTCTAGACCAGCCTGGGAAACATAGCAAGACTCGATCTCTATAAACAAACAGAAAAACAAAAATTAACCGGTTGTGGTGGCACATGCCGGCAGTACCAGTTACTCGGGAGGCTGAGGTGGGAGGATTGCTTGAGCCCAGGAGGTCGAGGCTGCAGTGAGTTATGATTGTGCCACTGCACTCCAGACTGGGTGGCAGAACAGGACCCTGTCTCAAAAAAAAAAAAAAAAAGAATAAATTTTTAAAATAAATAAAAACAAAAAGTAAAAAAATTGAAAGGAAACTCCAAGGGGAAAAAATAAGTTTAAAAAGAACAAGGAGGCCAGGCACGGTGGCTCATGCCTGTAATCCCAGAACTTTGGGAGGCCAAGGTGGGAGGATCGCTTGAGGTCAGTAGTTCCAGACCAGTCTGGCTAACATGGTGAAACCGTGTCTCTACTAAAAATACAAAAATCAGCTGGATGTGGCGGCACACGCCTGTAGTTCCAGCTACTTGGGAGGCTGAGGCAGGAGTATCGCTTGAACCTGGGAGGCAGAGGTTGCAGTGAGACTCCATCTTAAAAATAAACAAATAAATAAAAGAGCAAGGAAGCTTTGTTTTTAGTTTCTTTTCAGAAGTTCCCCAGCAAATGTCTTTTCTACTCTCCCTGGCTGGAATGGATTGTACACAGGAACCTGGTACATGTGGGCGCCAAGGTACCTACCCACACTGAAGGAAAGAGAGAGGGAAGGATCTGTTCAGATCCCAGTCTCCTTCTCACCCCTAGGCCAGGCATAGAGTCCACACCCTCATGGCATGTGGGGCGCCTGGAGGAGCTGCAGGCATTTAACTAAAAGCCAGCCAGATTCATCTCCAGCCAGAGCCAGGTGGATGCTGGGTCAGAAACTGCAGCGTCCTCTGAAGGAAAGGGTGCTCGTGTCTGTAGCTTGCATTTACTAAGAGGGACACAGACTCAGTTACAGAAATGAGAAGAAAGATGGCCGGGTGAGGTGGCTCACACCTGTAATACCAGCATTTTGGGAGGCCGAGGAGGGCAAATCACCTGAGGTCAGGAATTCGAGACCAGTCTGAACAACATGGTGAAACCCCATCTCTACTAAAAATACAAAATTAGCCAGGCTTGGTGGCACACACCTGTAGTCCTAGCTACTGGGGAGGCTGAGGCAGGAGTATTGCTTGAACCCAGGAGGTGGAGGCTACAGTGACAAGAGATTGTGCCACTGCACTCCAGCCTGGGTGACGGAGTGAGACTCCATCTCAATAAAAAAAAAAAAAAGAAAGAAATGAGAAGAAAGTGACATTGTGACATTTCTTGCACCACATTTGAGTTTTGCGTGTGTGTGTGTGTGTGTGTGTGTGTGTGTGTGTGTAAGAGAGATAGAGCAAGCTTTGGACCTACCCCGTTTACTTTTCACAAACTAGCTAATGGGCAGTGAGGCAAGGACTTCCCACTGTTTCTCTGACCCTCCATTGGGCTCCAGGTAACCCAGCTTCAAGCTCTCAGCGTCGCCTCCTCAGTCCTGTCTCCCGTGCAGTGGGCGTCACTCCCTCCTCCTTTCTCCTTCCCAGCAAAGCCATTCACACCTTCTTGTCAGTTTGTCTTCTATAAAAGCTTCCCCCTCCTCCTCCTCCCCTGCCCACTCCTCCTCCTCCTCCTCCTCCTCCTCCTCGTTGTTGTCATCCTCTGGATGAGAAGTGAGGGACTTGGAGAAACAGCGGAGGGGGCTCAGGAGCCCACCAGGGTGTCTGTAATCCCCCACGTCGTCTTCTCACTCCATCCCTCTCCTGGGGTCTCCCTTTCCCCTTGGGATGAGAAAGGATGGGGTAAGGGCTGATGGGGATGTGTAAAGACAGGACAGAGATACAAGTGCCAGCCACAAACCGACAGAATGCTGGAAGGACCTTGGAGGCAATGTGTCCTCCACGGTGGAGAGGAGGAGACAGAACCCAGCCAGGACCAGGGCGTCCCCTCTGTCCCTTAGACAGCAAAGGGCAACAGCAAGAGTAAAACCTCTTCCAAGGTTCTTTCCTCTGGAAAGCAGGTGACGTCAGGGCAAAGAGAGAGCGTGCTGCAGAGACAGATAGATCAACACACATGACAGGAGAGAGACGCAGCAACGACACACTCCTTATTCGTTCACCCAACAAGTATTGAGTGAGCTCCGGGCACTGTTTTAGGGGCTGCTGTGAGGTTTCTCATCTTTGGAGCTATTGACTTTCGGGGCTGGGTCCTTCCCATCGGGGAGGCCTTTCCTGAGCACTGTGGGAGGCTGAGCCGCGTCCCTGGCTTCCACCCACGAGATGCCGGGAGTCCCTCCCAAGTCCCAAGTAAAGATGTCTCCAGCCGGGCGCGGTGGCTCACGCCTGTAATCCCAGCACTTTGAGAGGCTGAGGCGGGAAGATCACGAGGTCAGGAGTTCAAGACTAGCCTGGCCAACATAGTAAAACTCCGTCTGTCTCTACTAAAAATACAAAAAATTAGCCGGGCGTGGTGGCGGGCGCCTGTCGTCCCAGCTACTCGGGAGGCTGAGGCAGGAGAATGGCGTGAACCCGGGAGGCACAGCTTGTAGTGAGCCGAGATCACAGCACTGCACTCCAGCCTGGGCGACAGTGCGAGACTCCGTCTCAAAACAAAAACAAAAAAAACGAACAAACAAAACTGTCTCCAGACTTGGTCACATGTCCTGGGGTGAGGCTGGGGCAGCATCGGGGCAGAGTCACTCCTGGTTGAGAGCTTCCGGCCTAGGGACGCAGCCATGAACAAGACACAGTTGACACCCCTCATGGGGTCTCCTTTAGCCAGGGTGGTAGGTGGGGGGCGGGGAGATAGACAGCTCACAAGTAAACAAATAAACAGGGTCTACCGTGCAAGACAGAAGAAATGCAACTCAGTGAGGGAGCTGCGGAGGCTTGGAGGGATTGATGGGGGCAGAGGGGACAGGGCTACGGAGACACCAGTGGCAGGTGGAGACAACCAAGGAAGACACAGGTCAAGGCCCAGACGCAGATAAGAGGGAGGGAGGGAGCCCTCGAATAGCTGCAAAGTCTGGAACAGGACAGCTGGAAGATAAAGGGGCACAGAAGGAGGGGGAAGGGCAGGGTCTACCAGGGGAAACCAAGGCACAGCAGCATTTCCCGCGATGAAGTGTGTGTTTTGACCTCACAGACCAGCGTTTGAAAGCCCCTGGAGTGGATGACTGTTCCCCCACCTCCATCCTCTTCACTCCCTCTCCCTTCTTCTAATCCCCTCCCTTTCCCCCCTCCCTTCTATTGTCTCCTCAGAAGGCATAAAAGCTCAGGGGGCGTGAAAGAGTCCAGGCGCTGGAGCGAGGAGCCAGAGAGAGCTGCGGAGAGCTGCCAGCTGCAGCGGGGTGAGAGCCTAGGCCAGGAGGGCAGAGGGGCGGATCCCAGCTGCACCGGGGTGAGAGCCTAGGCCAGGAGGGCACAGGGTCGGCTGCCAGCTGCAGCGGGGTGAGAGCCTAGGCCAGGAGGGCAGAGGGGCGGATGCCAGCTGCAGCGGGGTGAGAGCCTAGGCCAGGAGGGCACAGGGGCGGATGCCAGCTGCAGCGGGGTGAGAGCCTAGGCCAGGAGGGCAGAGGGGCGGATCCCAGCTGCACCGGGGTGAGAGCCTAGGCCAGGAGGGCAGAGGGGCGGATCCCAGCTGCACCGGGGTGAGAGCCTAGGCCAGGAGGGCAGAGGGGCGGATCCCAGCTGCACCGGGGTGAGAGCCTAGGCCAGGAGGGCAGAGGGGCGGATGCCAGCTGCAGCGGGGTGAGAGCCTAGGCCAGGAGGGCAGAGGGGCGGATCCCAGCTGCACGGGGGTGAGAGCCTAGGCCAGGAGGGCAGAGGGGCGGATGCCAGCTGCAGCGGGGTGAGAGCCTAGGCCAGGAGGGCAGAGGGGTGGATGCCAGCTGCACCGGGGTGAGAGCCTAGGCCAGGAGGGCAGAGGGGTGGATCCAAGCTGCACTGGGGTGAGAGCCTAGGCCAGGAGGGCAGAGGGGTGGAGGGAGTGAGGGGCTCCTGGGAGAGTGATGGGGGGCTTGAAGGGATGGGGATAACAGGAGAAACCCCAGCATTGGTGGCAGGGAAAAGGTGAGGGGCAGGTAAGGGGACGGAAAGGTTTGAAGATGGAGTGGTGGAGGCAGTGGGGCAGAAGGCATGGGCGCTGGGGGACCAGGTCGGCCTGATCCGATGATGGGGGAAGGAGAGGCTTAATTGCTTGCACACGTCCAAACTCCTCAAGATGTGTACATTAAATGTGCGCCATTTTTGTATCTCGATGATGCCTCCATAAAGCTAAAAAATAAATTCCTCTGTCCTTATCGGAAATGCACCTGGCCCCCGCTTCGGAAAATGACTGGCCGCTCTCTCCTTGCAGCGTGTTCCGCAGCTGTAGGCACCTGTCGTCCTGCCTTCGATGGCTCCTCCCTCCGTCCCCCTGGTCCTCCTCCTCGTCCTCTTGCTGAGCCTGGCAGAGACTCCAGCATCCGCACCTGCCCACCGGGTAACGCCTCCCTAAGTTCCTCGGAAACAACAGTGTCCCCAAATCCCTGCCCTCTGGGAAGAGTTTTTAAAAATGCTTCTGGCTTGTGTCAAGGGTCCTGGGGAAGAAGCTCAAATCCTGAAAATATGAGAAGAAATATTGCGTGTCTCTACTAAAAACACAAAAATTAGCCGGGCATGGTGGCACGTGCCTGTAGTCCCAGCTACTCAGGAGGCTGAGGCAGGAGAATCGCTTGAACCTGGCAGGCGGAGGTTGCAGCGAGCCGAGATTGTGCCACTGCACTCCAGCCTGGGTGACAGAGCGAGACTCCATCTCAAAAAAAAAAAAAAAAAAGAAGAAATGGGGTTTCACCATGTTGGCTAGGCTGGTCTTGAACTCCTGACCTCCTGGCTTCAAGTGATCCACCCGCCTTGGCCTCCCAAAGTACTGGGATCACAGGTGTCAGCCACGGCACCCAGTCTGGGACGACACTTTGAAAACCTTTGATCACACACCTCCACAGCATGGGCTGTAGAGGCTGGGTTGAGTTTGAAATCCGGGATCTGCGACTTTCTAGCTGTGTGACTTCAGTCACATTGCCTAACCTCTCTGGTCTCTGAGTGGATCTTCTTTGTCCAATTCCAGCACTGTGAGAGTTAACAGTTAACTCGGATGGCAGGCAGCTCTCATTATTTAGCCAAGAGGATTAAATAATTAAGAGATGTTGGTCCAGGGATACACAGTTTCAGTTAGACAGGGGAAATAAACTAGATCTCTGGTACAGCATGGTGGCTGTTGTTCATAACAATGTGTTGTATACTTGAAAATTGCTAAGAGAGTAGATGGATGTTAGGTGTTCTCACCACAAAAAAGCTAAGCACATGACGTAATGTAGAGGGTAATTACCTTGATGGAGTCACTCCGCAGTGTAGCCGTATTTCCACACGTGTTGTGCACCACGCCTGCATTTAAAATGCAGTTTTTTTCTAACAAAAAAAAAAAAAAGAGGCCAGTCCCAGTGGCTCACTCCTGTAATCCCAGTACTTTGAGAGGCCAAGATTAGAGAATTGCTTGAGCTCAGGAGTTCGAGACCAGCCTGGGCAACATAGTGAGAACCTCCATCTCTTAAAAAAAAAAAATTAACTAGGTATGGTCTTGCGTGACTGTAGTCCGAGCTACTTGGGAGGCTGAGGCATGAGAATTGCTTGAACCCAGGAGGCTGAGTTTGCAATGAGCTGAGATGGTGCCAGTGCACTCCAGCCTGGGCGAAAGAGCAATAACCCATCTCAAACAAAAACAAAAACAAGAAAAGAAAAGAAAAAGAAAAGAAATGCTAACAACAACAACAAAAAAAAAAAAAAAAAAAAAGAGACGCCGGCTTGGCATTCAGCTGCCCTGAGTTGGGATAGCAGCTCTCCTCCAGGTTCTGGCTTGGTCTTTGGCAAGCTATTTGTTTCTTTGAGCCTCCTTTTTTTCTATATAACTAAGGGATAACGGAATCCATCCTATAGGGATGTTCGAGGAGTTTTGACAAGAGCTAATGGCTGTGGAGGGTTTTCTCAGCGCTTGGCGTTGTGTGAAACCCGTGATGTGAATTAGCTAATTCTACCCCACAATCCTTTGCAGTTGGTTCTATTTTGCTACTTCCCACCTTACACAGTGGAACACTCTGGCTTAAATATTCAGTGCACATCCTCCTTAAGAGTCTGGAATCTACCGGCCGGGCACGGTGGCTCACGCCTGCAATCCCAGCACTTTGGGAGGCCGAGGAGGGCGGATCACCTGAGGTCAGGAGTTTGAGACCAGCTTGGCCAACATGGCGAAACCCCCTGTCTCTATTAAAAATACAAAAATTAGCTGGGCCTTGTGGCAGGTGCCTGTAAGCCCAGCTGCTCAGGAGGCTGAGGCAGGAGAATCGCTTGAATCCAGGAGGCGGAGGTTGCGGTGAGCCAAGATGGCACCACTGCGCTTCAGCCTGGGTGGCAGAGTGAGACGCGAGACTCCATCTCAAAATAAATAAATAAATAAATAAAGAGTCTGGGATCCACCTGGGTTTGAGTCCCAGCTGTTCTTCTTAGTGTGTTGCAATTTGTTGCAATTTGCAGAATCTTTCTGGGCCTCAAGAGCCTCTTTCTTTCTTTTTTTTTTTTTGAGACGGAATTTCGCTCTGTGGCCCAGGCTAGAGTGCAGTGGCGCAATGTCAGCTCACTGCAAGCTCTGCCTCCCAGGTTCACGCCATTCTCGTGCCTCAGCCTCCCGAGTAGCTGGGACTACAGGCACCCGCCACCACGCCCGGCTATTATATATATATATATTTTGTATTTTTAGTAGAGATGGGGTTTCACGTGTTAGCCAGGATGGTCTCGATCTCCTGACCTCGTGATCCGCCAGCCTTGGCCAAGAGCCTCTTTCTAATGAAGCTAATAGCAAGTTTACCTACTAGGGTTGTTGGAGGAAGAGCCTCTCTTTTTTTTTTTTTTTTTCTTTGAGACAGAGTCTCGCTCTGTCACCCAGGCTGGAGTGCAGGGATGAGATCATAGCTCACTGTAGCCTCAAACTCCTGGGCTAAAGTGATCCTCCCACCTACAGGTGTGCGCCACCATGCCTGGCTAATTTTTGTATTTTTTGTTTTGTTTTGTTTTATTGAGACGGAGTCTCACTCTGTTGCCCAGGCTGGAGCGCAGTGGTGCAATCCCCGCTCACTGCAATCTCCACCTCCCAGGTTCAAGCGGTTCTCCTGCCTCAGCCTCCCAAGTAGCTGGGATTATGCCCAGCTAATTTTTTTTATTTTTAGTAGAGACGAGGTTGGCCAGGCTGGTCTTGAACTCCTGACCTCAGGTGATCCGCCCACCTCAGCCTCCCAAAGTGCTGAGATTACAGGCGAGAGCCACCACGCCCGGCCTAATTTTTGTATTTTTTGTAGAGGCGAGATTTCGCCATGTTGGCCAGGCTGGCCTTGAACTCCTGTTCTCAAGCCATCCTTCTGCTTCGGCCTCCCCAAATGCTGGGATTACAGCATGAGCACCACCCCCAGGCTTAACATATCTTTAAAGTGTGCAACACCGTATTGCTGGCTGTGGGCACGATGTTGTGCCATAGAGCTCTAGGACTTCTTCATCCTGCATAACTGAAATTATACCTGTTGAAGAACAATTCCCCATTTCTCCTTCCCCCCAGCCCCCAATAACCACCTTTCTCCTCTCACAACAGAACGCTTTAAGCTTTCTTTCCAGGCCAGTTGGCTTTGTCTCAGGAAGTCCTCAATTTCCTCATCGGTGCAATGGGGATTGAAATGAACCTGCTCCACAGGCCAGTGGGAAAGTCGTATGACGACCCACATCACCCCGGACCTGTGGGACGCCTGCCCCGCTTTCTGTCTGCTTGAGTCTTGATTTCTGCATCTCTATCCAGGGACGAGGAGGCTGGACCCTCAATAGTGCTGGCTACCTTCTGGGTCCCGGTGAGTGAGGCTGCGCTCAGCTCTCCATCCCTGGCCCGAGTCTGCCTGGTTGCTGCAGGCAGTGAGTTTGTGGCTTGTAAAGACCCTCACCCACATTCACTGAGGCCCATGGATTTATTTGCAGATCTGTCTGGAGGGTTAGTCTAAGCAGAGCGATGGGTGTGTGGACTCTGGAGCCAGAGCCTTGGGCCCAAATCCCAGCTCTGCCCCTTGCTTGGTTTGCAACCTTGATCTCTCTCTCTCTCGCTCTCTCACTCTTTCTTTCTTTCTTTCTTTCTTTCTTTTTTTTTTTTTTTTTTTTTTGACAGAGTCTCGCTCTGTTGCCCAGGCTGGAGTGCAATGGTGAATGGTGCGATCTCAGCTCACTGCAACCTCCGCCGCCCGAGTAGTTTAAGCGATTCTCCTCCCTCAGCCTCCTGAGTAGCTGGGATTATAGGTGCCCAACAGCACGCCCGGCTAATTTTTGCATTTTTAGTAGAGATGGGGTTTCACCATGTTGGCCAGTCTGGTCTCGAACTCCTGACCTCAGGTGATCCACTTACTTTTGGCCTCCCAAAATGCTGGGATTACAGGCATGAGCCACCACACCTGGCTGCAACCTTGATCTCCCTATGCCTCAGTTTCCTCATCTGTGACAGTGGGTGTAATGATGGCCCTTACATCCGAGAATGTTGTGAGGATTGAGTTATTAATAGAACAATAGCTGGTGTGTAGTGGGTGCTGTATAATGATTAGCTGCTATTCTTTGTCTCTCTCTCTCCTTTTTTTTTTTTTTTTTTTTTTTTTTGAGATGGAGTTTCGCCTTGTTATCTAGGCTGGAGTGCAGTGGCGCCAATCTTGGCTCACAGCAACCTCTGCTTCCCGGATTCAAGCAATTCTCCTGCCTCATCCTCCCAAGTAGCTGGGATTACACGCATGCACCACAATGCCCCACCGGCTAATTTTGTATTTTTAGTGGAGACGGGGTTTCTCCATGTTGGTCAGACTGGTCTTGAACTCCCAACCTCAGGTGATCCGCCCGCCTCAGCCTCCCAAACTGCTGGGATTATAGGCGTGAGCCACTGCTCCTGGCAACTTTTTTCTCTTTTCCTCCATTTGTCTCTCCCCATTTCTCCAGTTGCATCTTCCCTGGGCAATAGGTGTGCCCATGGCCACGTGCTGCATAGTGAGCATTACATCCATAAAATACCGAGATTCCCGTGGTGCTCAAGGTTGGTTTCAGTTTGAGCTTCATTCAGGGAAACCCAGGCTGCAGAGACAGTGTGGCAGGAGCAGAAAGAACGTGAGATGTGGACCCAGACCTAGGTGGGTTCAAGCCCCAGTCCTGCCATTAGCAGCAGGGTAATTTCGAGCAAGTGACCGCTTGCAGCTGCACGATTTCCCCACCGGTAGGTAGGGACGGTCAACACGCACCCCGTCCGACAGACTTGGTGGAGGCGCTGCGTCCGGTGAGCCATGCTGTTGAATTGATGGACGATGTGTTTCTTCAGTTCTACTTAACCGACCACCTGCTCTTGCTCTCTCCCTCCCTACCCAGTCCTCCACCTTCCCCAAATGGGTGACCAAGACGGAAAGAGGGAGACAGCCCTTGAGATCCTAGACCTGTGGAAGGCCATCGGTGAGTGAGCGGGGAGTTAGACGTCTTCTCCTGCGTCCTCCCCTGCGGGCTCTCTCCTGGCTTTGGAAACTGGTAGATGTGAGCTCCAGCCCTCACCCTGCCGCTTACTATTTGGGGGGCCCTGGGCAAGTGATGCGTTTCCTTCAAGCTTCTGGGCCGTCACCTGGAGCCCCAGCTTGCTTTAATGTTCTTTTGTTACCAACGTGAAATTCCGAATCCTGTTTGAACCATGGGCCCCGTGTTTTCTCTGCATCAGACCTCACAGAATCCCTCCACTTTGAAATGACATAAATGGAATAATCCCATGATTTAGTTGTATGACTCAGTGAGAAAATGCACGTTAATTTCCTAGAAGTGTCTGGCATATGGTAGAAATGGAATGGTTTGGCTGGGCATGGTGGCTCACGCCTGTCATCCATACTCAAGCCTCCGAGTAGCTGGGATTACAGGCACCTGACACCACACCCAGCAAATTTTGCATTTTTAGTAGAGATGGGGTTTCACCATGTTGGCCAGGCTGGTCTTGAATTCCTGACCTCAGGAGATCTGCCCCCATCAGTCTCCCAAAGTGCTGGGATGAGCCGTCGCGCCCGGCCTTATTTATTTTTTAAACTTTTATTTTAGGTTTGGGGGTACATGTGCAGGTTTGTTATATAGGAAAACTTGTGTCACGGGCGTTTGTTGTACAGACTACTTCATCACCCAGGTACTAAGCCGAGTACCCAGTGGTTATTCTCTCTGCTCCTCTCCCTCCTCCCCCTGCTCCACCCTCGGGAAGGACCCAGTGTCTCTTGCTCCCGTCTTTGTGTCTGTGTGTTCTCATCGTTTAGCTCCCACTTGTAACTACGAACGTGTGTGTGAATGTTGTATTTTTGTTTCTAGACGGGCTCCCCTACTCCCACCCTCCACAGCCCTCCAAGAGGAATGTGATGGAGACGTTTGCCAAACCAGAGATTGGAGGTAAAGCCAGGAAACACAGAAGAGAGACACCGACAGGAGAGGGGGAACAAGGAAGTGGCAGGCAGAGCTTAGAGGGTAAAGGAAGAAAGGAAGGAAACTGGAACCAACCAGGGACCTCCTCACCTGTAACCACAGCCACTACCCCGACCACTCAGCCTCGACTGTGAATCCCCATCCTGGCCTCGACTGCTCCCTTCACCTCGATTCCTTCACTGCGAATCCCACCTCATGTTCCAACTCTCATTTCCCAGCCTGAATCTAGCACTTTTGCAATTAGGACCCCACACCCAACCTTGATCTCCCCCAGTATCACTCCCTCAAGCTTAGCCTCAGCTACAACATTGACGTCAAACCTCTCACTTTGACCTCATGGTTCAATTTCATTTATTTATTTATTTTTTGGGGATGAAGTTTTGCTCTTGTCGCCCAGGTTGGAGTGCAATGGTGCGATCTTGGCTGACTGCAACCTCCACCTTCCGTGTTCAAGCGATTCTTCTGCCTCAGCCTCCCGAGTAGCTGGGATTACAGGCACGCGCCACCATGTCCGGCTAATTTTTGTATTTTTAGTAGAGACGGGGTTTCACCATGTTGGCCAGGCTGGTCCTGAACTCCTGACTTCAGGTAATCCACCTGCCTCGGCCTCCCAAAGTGTTGGGATTACAGGCGTGAGCCACTGCGCCTGGCCTCATGGTTCAATTTTAACATCAACCTCTCTCCTAAATAAGATCTTTATTTCCAGCATTCATTCTATTTTTTTTTTTCTTAAGGAGTCCCTCTCTATTGCCCAGGCTGGCGTGAAGTGGTGTGATCTTGGCTCACTGCAACCTCTGCCTCCTGCATTCAAGCGATTCTCCTGCCTCAGCCTTCTGAGTAGCTGGGATTACAGGCGCCCGCCACCACATCCGGCTAATTTTGGTATTTTTAGTAGAGACGGGGTTTTGCCATGTTAGCCAGGCTGGTATCCAACTCCTGATCTCAGGTGATCTGCCCGCCTTGGCCTCCCAAAGTGCTAGGATTACAGGCATGAGCCACCACGCCAGGGACCGTTGTATTGTTCACTGCCTAGCACAATGCATGACGCATAGTAGGTACTTGGTAAATATTTGTTAAATGAATGAATTAAACTATCCAAACACAGCCTTCAGCTGCCACCTTCCCACCCAATCATGAGCTCAGCAGATGCCCAAACCCCAGCTTGTCCCACCTTCCTTTAGTTGGATGTTCGCCCCAACCCCATCTCCTTCTTCAATCCTTTTTTTTCTTTTCTTTTTCTTTTTTTTTTTTTTTTTGAGACGGAGTCTCGCTCTGTCTCCCAGGCTGGAGTGCAGTGGCGCGATCTCGGCTCACTGCAAGCTCTGCCTCCTGGGTTCTCGCCATTCTCCTGCCTCAGCCTCCTGAGTAGCTGGGACTACAGGTGCCCACCACCACGCCTGGCTAATTTTTTGTATTTTTAGTAGAGACGGGGTTTCACCATGTTAGCCAGGATGGTCTCGATCTCCTGACCTCGTGATCTGCCTGCCTCGGCCTCCCCAAGTGCTGGGATTACAGGCATGAGCCACTGCGCCCAGCTCCTTCTTCAATCCTAACTCAATTCCTGGAGACGCCATGTCCTTATTTCAACAGCACTAATTCATTTCAAAAGCATGTACTGGACAATACTGGGTATGATACGCTCCCTGAATTCACTAATTTCCATCCTCACCTCGATTACATTCTGACTCTTGAAAACACCCACCATCACCATGTGCCTTCTTAAAATGTGGGCGGAAAGGGAGAATATGTGGGCAGATGAAAGTAGAGAGAAGGGGCCAGGCACGGTGGCTCACGCCTGTAATCCCAGCACTTTGGGAGGCTGAGGTGGGCAGATCACCTGAGGTCAGGAGTTCAAGACCAGCCTGGCCAACATGGTGAAACCCAATCTCTACTAAACATACAAAAATTAGCTGGGTGGGGAGTGATAGTGAGAAAAACCATTCAAAGTTTACCTCTTTCTTTCCCACAGATCTGGGCATGCTCAGCATGAAAATTCCCAAGGAGGAAGATGTCCTGAAGTCATAGATGTCTTCAAATCCCTGTTCCTATCCTTCTTCTCCAGCTCCTCCTGCTCCCTCTGAAACCTTTTCTAGGTACCCTATGCTGAGACTAAGATCCTGAAGTTAAATACCCAGGTCTCATGAAGACATTGTAAAGCATTTGAATTATTCTAAAAAATTTCTGGAGTTTCTTAGGTTTTATTGATTCATCCTTGAAATCAGTATAATGTGCTATTAATGGAACCAATAGTAATTCGAGGACTAGTTGGGAGATTCTGGGGTAATCAGGGAATATTCCTGCAACACATTTAAAGGAATTGTGTTCTTTTGGAATCATCCCAATTATAACACGAGCTATTGCATAATACAAATAACCCTCTTAAGTCTGAGAGTCTGTGTCTTTATTTGAAAAGATTCTTCAAATTGCGTACTTACTCCTCCATATTCTTTCAACCCACATGAGTCTCCTCGAGAAGTGAGGAGAGGCAGTTTGGAGCAGAATGGAGAGAATAAAATGTTTCTTGTCAAACACTCCATTTTTTCCCTTTTAATTAGTCTGGGAATTTTTTTAGGGGTAGCAGAATCCAGGATGATGGGGTCAGGTGTGGGACTGGGAAATCCAGGATGACAGAATCAGGTGAGGGACTGGGGAAAATATAACCTATTGGAGGCAATCCATTTTGGATTATTGTTTTGCTGAAAGTTTTACTTTCATTTTGGGTTTGAGGAGTCACAGGAAAAAGAAACCACAGTGTTACACTGAGGCAGGGGAATCGCTTGAACCCGGGAGGCAGAGGTTGCAGCGAGCCGAGATTGTGCCATTGCACTCCAGCCTGGGCAACAAAGTGAGACTCAAAGTAATTAATGACCAAAATGAGTGACTGAGACACTGTCAGTCTCCATCCATCGAGGTTTATGAAATCGGCTGTGGGGCACGTCCAGGGAAAGGTGAGCCACAGACACCTCTGTGGCTGTTTTTCTGAAGTTTTCAGGATATTTACTATTTATACATTTCCTTAGACGGGGGCAGGCATAGAGGCAGAGGGGTGGGTAGGTGGTGAGCTGAATGGTTAAATTCCTATCAGTCTTTAGTTAGTGCCCAGTAAATCTACATTTAAAAAAAATATATGTTTCTATTTTTTATTTATTTATTTATTTTAATTTTTTTTTTTTTTTTGAGACGGAGTCTCGCTCTGTCGCCCAGGCTGGAATGCAGTGGCGTGATATCGGCTCACTGCAAGCTCCGCCTCTCGGGTTCACACCATTCTCCTGTCTCAGCCTCCCGAGTAGCTGGGACTACAGGCACCCGACAACATGCCTGGCTAATTTTTTGTATTTTTAGTAGAGACGGGGTCTCACCGTGTTAGCCAGGGTGGCCTCGATCTCCTGACCTCGTGATCTGCCTGCCTCGGCCTCCCAAAGTGCTGGGATTACAGGCATGAGCCACTGTGCCCGGCCTATGTTTTTATTTTTATTTTTTTGGAGACAGAGTCTTACCCTGTCACCCAGGCTGGAGTACAGTGGCGCAATCTCAGCTCACTGCAACCTCTGCCTCCCGGGTTCAAGCAATTCTCTTGCCTCAGCCTCCTGAGTAGCTGGGATTACAGGCGCCTTCCACCATGGCCGGTGAATTTTTGTATTTTTAGTAGAGACAGGGTTTCACCACTTTGGCCAGGCTGGTCTTGAACTTCCGACCTCAAGTGATCCGCCCGCCTTGGGCTCCCAAAGTGCAACGTTTTACATAAGATAAAGTGCATGTTTGAAGGCAAAAAAGGGCGTAAAGGGAGTAAAGGAAGCACCAATTACTTAGACATCTTTGGGTAGGTGGAGGAATGACTGAGCTCATCTTATCTTTGTTCCACGCCTCAGAAGATAAGCTAGTAATGGACATTGTCAGTGTGGAATAAAACAGACCTGAGTTTTAGGAGCTAGACTTACATTGTAGACCTGAAGTTACAAAGGGTGAGTTCTTGTTTATGGGAAGTCAGCAAAGAATTTCCTTATGAATGATTTGCGGGGGCATTCGTGGATGCCCGGGGCCTCTTCCCTTTCCGTGGGGATCTGGCTGATGCCAAATGCCAGCAACTGCTGTCCAATTGGAAGAGGGCGCTGCCTGACTCAGCCACCAGGCTGACCTCTCCTTTTGCATAAGGAGTTTGGGGAATCCTGAGGTTTTTCTTCGCATAATGAATAAGTATTAATATTGTTAATACTTATTCATTAATATTGTAATTAATTATAATTATTACAATAAATTACAATAAATAATTAATAAGTAATTAATATTAATTAATTACTATTCATGGCATGGTGGCTCACGCCTGTAATCCCAGCAGTTTGGGAGGTCGAGGCGGGAGGATCACTTGAGGTCAGGAGTTCGAGACCAGCCTGGCCAACATGGTGAAACCCCATCTCTACTAAAAATACAAAATTTGCTGGGTGTGGTGTCAGGTGCCTGTAATCCCAGCTACTCGGAGGCTTGAGACGTGAAAATTGCTTGAACCCAGGAGGCAGAGGCTACAGTGAGCTGAGATTGTGCCACTGCACCCCATCCAGCCTGGGTGATAGAACGAGACTCAGACTAAAAAAATAATAATAATAAAAATAATAATTATACAGAGTCAAATGTCGGGGATTCAAGGAGGCAGAAAGCAGATGAGTTCTCGCCCTGCTGGAGACTCACGTCCCTGGGAGAAGCAATCACTTAAAGTGATTAAGTTAATACGAGAGGCTGCAGTGAGATTTTTTTTTAGACAGGGTCTCACTCTATTGCCTGGGCTGGAGTGCAGTTGGGAGATCTTGGCTCACTGCAGCCTTGACCTCCTGGGTTCAAGTGATTCTCCCACCTGAGCCTGCTGAGTAGCTGGGACTACAGACATGCACCGCCATACCCAGCTAATTTTTGTGTTTTCAGTAAAGATGGGGTTTTGCCATGTTGCCCAGGCTGGTTTCTAACTCCTGGGCTCAAGTGATCCGCCTGCCTGGGCCTCCCAAAGTCCCGGGATTATAGGTGTGAGCCACCACACCCAGCTTTGCAGTGAGGTTTTGAAGCAGTGTTATGTGATGGGATTCTTTTTTCTTATCAAAAAATAATTTACTGGGCAAGTACGGTGATTCACGCTTGTAATCCCAGCACTTTGGGAGGCCAAGGTGGGCAGATCACTTGAAGTCGGGAGTTCAAGACCAGCCTGGCCAACATGGTGAAACCCCATCTCTATCAAAAAAATTTCTACTACATCTCTACTACAAAAATTGCCAGGCGCGGTGGCTCACACCTGTAATCCCAGCACTTTGGGAGGCCGAGGCATGTGGATCACCTGAGGTCAGGAGTTCGAGACCAGCCTGGCCAACATGGTGAAATCCTATCTCTACTGAAAATACAAAACTCAGCCTGCTACAGTGGCAGGCGCCTGTAATCCCAGCTACTCGAGAGGCTGAGGCAGGAGAATCGCTTGGACCCGGGAGGCAGAGGTTGCTATGAGCCGAGATCTGACACTGCACTCCGGCCTGGGTGACAAAGCTAGACTCTGTCTCAAAAATAAATAAATAAATAAATAAATAAATAAATAAATAAATAAATTATTGCCTTCTAATATTTTTTTAGCAGCCCAAGTCCAATGATTGCATTAAAAAAATTTGTTGCATCTATGCCATGAATACAATATTTAGGCAGTCATGTCAGCTTTTCTTTTATTTTTCTCTTTAGGATAGGGCCTTACTGTCACCCAGTCTGGAGTACAGTGATGCAATCATGGCTCACTGCAGCCTCAACCTCCTGGGCTCAAGCAATCCTCCCACTTCAGCCTCCCCAGTAGCTTGGATTACAGGTGTGCCATCATACCCGGCTAATTTTTATTTTTATTTTTGTAGAGATGGGGGTCTCACTGTTACCCAGGCTGGTCTCGAACTCCTGGCCTTAAGTGATCTTCCTGCCTCAGCCTCCCAATGTGTTGGGATTACAAGCATTAGCCACTAGGCCCAGCCTTACTTCTAATTTTTATTCTTATTTTTAATACATCTCCTTTTGTTTAAGGATATATACCAAGTGCCTAGAATATCAGCTGATAAGTGTTCCATAAATGTCTGTGGAATATTTGTTAGACTTATTATTATTTTTTGTTATTTTTTAAAGTTATTTATTTTATAGAGACAAGGTCTCACTCGCTTGAGCCCAGGTTGGTCTTGAACTTTTTCTTTACTTATTTTTGGGGTGGAGTCTCACTGTGTTGCCCAGGCTGGACTTAAACTCCTGGACTCAAGCAAACCTCCTGCCTCAGCCTCCCCAGTAGCCGGGATTACACATGCGTGCCACTGTGCTTAGTTTTTTTCTTATGAGATATTGGAAAATGATGAGACTTTGCTCATTGGAAGAGAAACAGCAACAGACACTAAAATAAATCTGTAAGAAAGCAACAGACATAATCAAACAGAAAACAAAACTCATGGGGGAGGATAAATATTTATTCAAACATCCGGGCAATTCCTACCAAGTGCTTTATGTGTATATGTCATCTGGTAACATTGGAGAAAAACCATCATTCACTGTCTCTTGGGGTGGAGGATGTGGACCTGACTCTGGAATCACTGGGAGGTGGTTTCCCGGTGTGTTTTCAGGTGACGCTTGAATGTCCCCAGCTGACGGAAGGCCTTTTGACAGGTGGGACATTTGTAGGGCTTCTCTCCGGAGTGGGTGCGCTGGTGAACGTTCAGGTTCCCCTTGTGGCTGAAAACTTTGCTGCAGTATTTACATTTAAACGGCCTCTCCCCGGTGTGGATCCTCTTGTGGCCCTGTAAGGTGGACTCGTGGGCGAACCGCTTTTGGCAGACGTCACACATGTAGGGCCTCTCGCCAGTGTGGACTCGCTGGTGAACTCGGAGGTCTGAGGGCTGCAAGAAGCGCTTCCGACAGAGATCACATTGAAAGGGTCTGTCTCCTGTGTGTGACCTCCTGTGGATGCTTAGCTGGGAAAAATACTTAAATGATTTATTGCACACGTCACATGCAAAGGGCGGCAGGGCCTTGGCTTCTTGGCCATCTGGGTGACTGACCGGGCCCGCAGGGCCTGGGGAATGAACTGGATTGATCTCAGCTTGTCCTGGGGATTCTCTGTTGCCCACAGGTGTGGCTTCTCCTTGAGGCTCTTCTTGGGAAATGGAGGAGGCATCTGGTTTGCTTCTTTTGGGACTGCTCAGATTCAGAGCATCTCCTCTGTTCCCGCTGTGAGTCAAAGCTTCTCTCTCCACAACGCAGGCAGAAGGTGTGTCAGCATCCACATTTTCCACAGAGGCTCTTTTCTGGGGTTCCTTCCCCTCCTTTGCTCTCACCAGATCTGGTGGAAGAAGGGATTCCACACACAACAGTTAACAAAGCCGATTTTCAATACACCAAACTCATTGCAACCAAACACTGACCTTGGCTGAGAACTTCCCCTCAACCTCAAGCCTAAGACATTGGACTGTAGGTCTCTGGAAAGTGGAGGAGAGATTTTGGCAGCTGATCGCCAGCCCCAGGGGATGATAATGCTGGGCCCCCAGCCCCGCACCCCAGAAGAGAGGGACTAACCCCTGTGGATCCAAGTCTTCATACTCACTGGGACTCTTTGGAAGCTGAGGCTCTGGGGATGACAGTCCTGGGTTCTCTTCCCTGTTTTCCTTCAGATCCTTCTCCAAGGTCTGCTTGGGTCTCGGAGAGTTTGGGTCACCTGTTACGTCAATACTCTTGTGTAGCAGAAAGTCCTCTCCCTGAAGAGGAAAAACCAAGAGCAATGACTGCCGTGTCTATACTGGTGGAAGTAGGGACATGTCTGTCCCCTCCTGACTGGACACACCAGACTTCCCATGGACCACCCCATCACCCCAAGTAAACATCACCACCTCATTTCTGCGTCTGTCCCTAATCTGCACCCTCCATATTCTAAATCAGCTCCTTTGCCTGGCGGTTTTCACTGTTTGGTTCTCTGAGAATATTTCTCCCCGCCGTGCCAATGTCTCCCTGCCCCTGACGCTGGAAGAAGCATGACTCTAGGTGGAGGCCCCTAACCCCTGGCACCATTGGCATTGGGGCTGCATCATCCTCCTGGAGGGGGCGCTCCTGTGCAGAGCAGAGACCCCGCCTCCACCCTCTAGATGCTATCAACACCCCACCACCCCTGAGAATGCCAAACAAAAATGTCCTCAGACATTGCCAAATGTGTCCTTAAAGGCAAAATCACCAGTTGAGAAACACTCCTCAAATTAAGAAATCAACAGTCTGAGAAAGTGGGTTCCTTGCTGAATGACTTCATGAAATGTCTTTGCGGAAACTGGATGGGGTAGGGACCTTCAGTTCATTCATCTGTGCCAACTGCCTCCCTCACTTCACTGAGACCATTTCTTACCCACCCCCCCACCCTAAATGCTAAAAGCTCTCATGGTGGAGAGAAAAGTAGATGAGGCTTCCCTCTCTGTGATGGCTCAGGAATGAATGTTTGGGGATGTATCATGTCCATGGGGAATGGCTCTAATCTTGTCCTGTGCCAAATCTCTCAATCAGTTCTGCAGCCACACGATTTCCTCCTGTTCCTTCTCCCACCTCTGCCCAGACACCAAGGCCTCACACACTCACCTGCCTCCTGGACAGTGCAGCGACCCTGGGCAGGATCTGCTGCTCTCGGCGGGCCTGGCCTGTCCCCGGATGCATCTGGTTCACAGAGGAGGCCCACTGGCTGGACACGTCTCTCGGATCATCTCTGACACTGGCGGGGGCTTCAGCCATCTCGACATCTGAGTTCAGCATAAGATATTCTTTGCCGAGCAAGTTGACTATAGACTGTAGAGAGAAAAAAGACAATCAGACACTATGAGAACCTGAAAGTAGCTCTCATATTTCCTGGGTCCTGCCATAATGCTCACACTTTACTGTAATTAATGTTCAAATCTACCTTCCTGATGCAGAATCAGCTCTGTGGACACAGCAATCTGTCTGAATTTTTTTCTTCACTAGATAAGTACATAAATATGAGTCATTTAGATGAAAGGGTCTCTAACCAAAGAGAAGACAAGGAGAAATATTCTGGGTGAATCCAACTCAATTGGCCAATGGCAGCTCACCTTGTGTTAGAACTTAGGGGCTCATTTGGGGACCTGGAGGCAGATCCCTGCATCTGATACCAACCACTTTCCCTGCCTCAGGATGGGACTTCTGGGCCCCCCTTCAGTTCACTCTAATGCCTCCTTCCCTACGTTCCATCAGGCCTAATATTTTACCAATGTCTTTCTTTCAGGTTGGCCTCACACAGTGTGTGGGTTCCTGTATCCCCTCTGCCTGTCCATCTCCTAGGTCAGGTATTTGCAATATTAGCTGTGCTGATATTTGAGACTGGAGAATTCTTTGGCCCCCATCCCAGCTCCCCTTCCCTGCACCAATCACGAGGTTCCCACTCACCCATTTCTTGGGTCTTCTGTTATTTCGTAGCAGGTCCTCCAGGTCTTTGCAGCTCTGCACACCGTTCACCTTGACTAAGACCTGGAGCTCCTGGGGCATGGAGATCATGAACTGCTCCATCACCAGCATGTCCAGGATCTGCTCTTTGGTGTGGAGGTCGGGCCTCAGCCACAGATGGCACAGCTCAGTGAGTTTCCTCAGAGCCTGGATGGGGTCCGACTCCTCTGGGCAGCTGAACATCCTGAAATTCATGTGCCAAGTCTCAGGGTTCCTGTCGTGATTTCCAAGTTGAGTTTCTGGGGACGCCACAGACCGTGGAGTGTCTGACCCAGGGCTGTTGCAGGGTCCTCCCTGACCCCATGAGAGTGTCCAATTTGCAGCCATATCTACTGGAGAATATTTCAATCAGCCTCTGAGCAAGCTCTTCCAGTAGCCAGTATCAAATTGAGACCTATTTACACAGGCTGCCCCTGTTTCTTCTCAGTAATATATTCACAGTTTGTTCAGAAGTCTGCAGGAAAAAAGCATGAGCCCGATTATTTTAACTTTCTACTCCACACACCCCTCCCTTCCAAATCCCTCATCCCAATCCTGGACCCCACTTGTCCATGGGCATCGGACTCAGCCCTGTGGAAATGAATCCACTCTGTTCTTCTCTGACTACATGTTCTGGGGTAAAATCTGAATGCTCCCCTGGATTCTGATCTCTAGGGGATCATTGTGCAGAGGTGGAACTGGTTTTCCTTTCAACTGGAACAACACTGCTCTTGACTGTAAATTAAATCGGATATGTATGTGAAGCTCCTAGAATCTGATGTAACAATAATGTCAGTTCTTTATGTTTTCCCGTCAAGACAAGATCCAAGGCAAAGCCCTTAGTCATAATTATGTAAAAAGCTAGAGAAAAATATTAATAGTTACAACCTACGATTGTCCCCAACACATTTTTCCTGTTAACCCCAGGATATTTATTTGCTGCAGGGAAGAGGTGTCACTAAAAAATCCTATGAGAGGCCGGGCGCGGTGGCCCAGGCCTGTAATCCCAGCACTTTGGGAGGCCGAGGCGGGTGGATCACGAGGTCAGGAGATCGAGACCATCCTGGCTAACATGGTGAAACCCCGTCTCTACTAAAAATACAAAAAATTAGCTGGGCATGGTGGCGGGCGTCTGTAGTCCCAGCTACTCGGGAGGCTGAGGCAGGAGAATGGCGTGAACCCGGGAGGCAGAGCTTGCAGTGAGATCATGCCACTGCACTCCAGCCTGGGTGACAGAGTAAGACTCCATCTCAAAAAAAAAAAAAAAAAAATCCTATGAGAATTAAGCTCCTGCACAGATATGTGGTTGTTTCGGTAAAACACACATTTATGAAATTCATCACTTTTACTAAGAACATGCGCTATGTTGTGCAACCATCACCACTTTCTAATTCCAGAATCACTGCATCACCCCAAAAGAGAACGCCATCCCCATCAGGAATTACCTCCTGCCCCAACCCCCTCCCCCAGCCCCTGGCCATCACTAATCTGCTTATTGTCTCTGGGAGTTTCTCTGTTCCTTATCTCATTCCATAAAATGGATTAAAGTCTTATGAAATTTCCAGGTAGTGGGATCATACCATAGAGCGGTTTTTTCTTTTTTCTTTTTGAGACAGGGTCTTGCTCTGTCATCCAGGCTGGAGGGAAATTTGCAGTCATGGTTCCCTCGGCCTCAACCTGGGCTCCAGTGATCCTCCCACCTCAGCTTCCCAAGTAGCTGGGACTACAAGTGCATCACCACGCCCGGCTAATTTTTATAGGTTATTTTTGTAATAGAGATGGGGTTTCGCCATGTTGCCCAGGCTGGTCTCAAACTCTGGGCTCAAGCGATGCGCTTGCTTTGGCCTCCCAAAATTCGGGGATTACAGGCGTGATTGCATTGCAGCTGGCCTACATTTTTAAAAAATTTTATTTTTTTATTTATGTTTTTTGAGGTGGAGTTTCGCACTGTTGCCCAGGCTGGAGTGCAGTGGTGCAATCTCAGCTCACTGCAACCTCTGCTGCCCAGGTTCATATGGCTCTCCTTCTTCAGCCTAAGTAGCTGGGATTACAGGCCCCCGCCCAGCTAATTTTTATATTTTTAGTACAGACAGGGTTTCACCATGTTGAACAGGCTGGTCTCAAACTCCTGACCTCGGGTGACATGCCTCGGCCTCCCAAAGTGCTAGGATTATAGGCGTGAGCCATCGCGCACAGCCCAATTTTTTTTTCTTTTTAAATTTGGTTCTAAACATAGCTTCAAAAGGCAAAAGCCACTGTATGATACTCTCCAGGCATCAATTATCACCCAAGTTCAACAGCTATGAGAACACAGCCCTGCTTTCCTAGACACAGGTGGGGGAAGCAACCTGAAGGTCTGCAGAGGGGAGAAAAAACTGGCAGGAGGGTCTCAGGAAAGGTCACTGGAAGCCTGGAGGGCGAGTACCCCACACTTCCTGGAAGGACTCTGAGCAAGTGCAGAACAGAGAGACAGCCAGGGAGACAATCGGCAGAGGCGGGAGACAACCCAGAGGAGGAGACAATATTTACACACCACACATCTCACAGGGCTCCTGTGCAAAACATAAGCAACTCAAACTCCTCCAGAGCGAGAAAACACATAACCCACTAGAAGGGCTTAAGGCGCCTGTGTGGACATCTCAGATGAAGACATGTGAATGGCCAGCAGGTCTAGGAAAAGGTGCTCGTCATCACTCATCATCAGGGACATGCAAATCCAAACCACAAGGCACCCCTCACGCCTGCTAGAGTGGCTGTTCCCAAAAAGACACATGGAACGAGTGTTGGTGAGGATTCGGGGGAAAGGGGTCCTCTGCGCCCTGTGCTGGGATGTAAATTAGAGCAGCCGATATGGGAGACAGTATAGAAGCTCCTCAGAAAATTGAAAGTCCAACAACTGCATGAGCCGGCAATCCCGCTCCGGGGCAGGTACACAGAGGAAAGGAAATCAGGACGTGGACTCCAAAACAGTGAAGCTCTGAAGTGACAGACGGTGGGAAGGTGGAAAAACTACCTACTGGGTACTATCCTCATATCCTGGGTGACAGGTTCAGTGATACCCAAAACCTCAGCATCACTCAGTACACTCACGTAACAAATCTGCACAGGCACCCACCGAACCTAAAATAAAAGTGGAATTTTTTTTTAAAGTTATCTATTTTTGTTTTTAAACTTGCAGCAGTGTCTTGCTCTGTCACCCAGGCTGGAATGCAGTGGTGCATCCTGGCTTGCTGCAGCCTTGACTTCTTGGGTCCAAGTGATCCTCCTGCCTCTGCTTCCCAAAATTCTGGGATTACGTGTGAGCCACTATACCTGGCCTACTTAAAATTATTTTTATTTTTATTTCGTTTTATTGATTTATTTTTTGAGACAGAATCTCACTCTATCCCCCAGGCTGCAGTGCAGTGGCCGATCTGGGCTCACTGCCACCTCTGCCTCCCGGGTTCAAGCGATTCTCCTGCCTCAGCCTCCCGAGTAGCTGGGATTATAGGCGTGAGCCACCCCTCTCGGCTAAATTTTGTATTTTTAGTAGAGATGGGGTCTCGCCATGTAGGCCAGGCTGGTCTCAAACTCCTGAACTCAAGTGATCCCTATGCCTCGGCCTCCCAGAGTGCTGGGATTACAGGTGTGAGCCACCGCACCTGGCCATTAAAACTTTTTTTTAAAAAAATAAAAGAAATAAAGTTAAATAGGTCTACTGCACAGCATGGTGACTATAGTTCACAGCAATGTACCGTATACTTGGAAATTGCTAAGGGAGTCGATTTCAAGTGTTGTCCAAAAATGATAAGACAGTGAGGTAGAGCCTATGGCAGTTTGCTCGATTTAGCCGTTGCACAATGCGTACACACCTTGACACACTATGCTGTGCACCGGACATATACACCATTATATATTTATATTTCTCAATTTGAAAGTAAATTAGGCCTGGTGCGATGGCTCACTCCTGTCACCCCAGTGCTCTGGGAGGCGGAGGTGGCAGGATCACTTCAGCCCAGCAGTGAACCGCGATTGTGCCACTGTGCTCCAGCCTGGGAGACACATCCAGCGGCCATCTCGTTTTGTTTATTTATTAAGTAAATCGATACATTTTTTAAAAGCATACAGATATGAGAAAAGGCAGCCTGAAATTCTGGGAATTAAAGAGGTTTTCCCGCCAGGTTCCCTAAGCGCCCCTGCTCAGAAAGCGGAGATCGAGGCTGAGGCGGGCAGATTGCTTGAGCCGAGGAGTTCGAGACCAGACTGGGCAAAGCAGCGAGACCACGTCTCTATAGTAAATAAAAAAATGCACTCGGGCGGTGTGGTGGTGTGCTCCTGCAGCCCCAGCTAGGTGGAGGCCGAGGAGGGCACATAGCTTGAGCCTGGGAGTTCCAGGCCAGCCTGGGAAATGAGCGAGACCCCGTCTCTGAAAAATAAAATGAAACAAAACCTAACCATGATGAGAAAGTTAACATTATTACTTTATTTTTCTCCTTTTTTTTTTTTTGAGACGGAGTTTTGCTTTGTTACCCAGGCTGGAGTGCAATGGCGCGACCTCGGCTCACTGCAACCTCTGCCTCCTGGGTTCAAATGACTCTCCTGACTCAGTCTCCCGAATAGCGGGTATTACCCTAACCTCTGCCTCCTGGGTTCAAACGACTCTCCTGACTCAGTCTCCTGAATAGCGGGTATTACGGGCGCCCGCCACCACGCCCGGCTAATTTTTGTATTTTTGTTAGAGTCGGGGTTTCACCATGTTGGTCAGACTGGTCTTGAACTCCTGATCCCGTGATCTGCCCACCTCGGCCTCCAGAGTAGCTGGGATTACAGGCGTGCGCCACTGGGCCCGACCGAGAAAGTTAATATTATTCCTAGTTTACAGAAGCACTTCATCGCCAGTCAGAGTTAATCATGGGGTGCAAAGGAGACCCGCTGCCTTCACAAAGTCTCCGAGAAAATAAATGCATGAGAAAATAAACCCAAACTTTCTGAAACCAACCCCCCGCATGCCAGCTCCGAAACCCCACAGCCATCGCCGCTGGACACTCACCTCCTTCCCGGCTTCTGCCTCCGACCTTCTCGGTCTGGGATGCGCTCTCCAACCGGCCTGGAGCTGAACTGCGTCTATTTATGGAGAAGCGGGACTCCAGGCCGCGTTTCCGGTTCCCTGCGCCGCGCCGTGATTGGTTTAGGGCCACAGAGTCCATTTTCGTAATCGGCGTTGATTACATTTCCCACTGAAACCCCACCCACAGGAAATTAATGTATTAAACGTGCCTACTGTGCAAATAATACAGGTTTTCCCGCTCTACTGAGTTGTCATATTGCTGAAGTATGTGGAGGCCTCAGAAAATATAGATCTGCAAGTTTTAACCACTTTGGGTCCCCTCATGCCACAGACAGTAATATCCTAACAAGTAAAGGACGTGTTAAGAGCTGGTTGACTTCGCTTATTAAAACAAAACGGAAAAAGAAAAAAAAAAGAAAAATTCAAAATAGAGTTGGTTGATTAATATCAAACCAGTGATTTAATCTCATTTTTAATCTCATTTGAGCGAAGCTTTCACACGCGAATTCCAAGATGTTGAAAATTGTGGACACTCGTTGATATGTAATGAATGTTTGTGATAATTTTTTACTTTTTTATTTTTTTCAAAATCTTGGAATTGGCATGTGAAAGCTTTGTTCAAACTAAACTAAATCACTGATTTGATATCAGCCTTATATAAAAGCAGTGGGAACCAGAGAAAGGCACATGGTCCCCACTCTGCATTCATTCCAGGACGGTGATAGGGTGGTTTATAGATACACTGAGGGTCCTACGGGGTTCCCTAGTTCTCAGCCCCCTCAGTTAGGGCTCTCAAGCAAGAAAAGCCTTAACGGTGGGTGTGAATTTTACTGTGTGGATCATGGAGTTAATGTGGAATGATAATTAAGTGCTAGGCAGGATTAGATTACAATTTGGGAAGTTCACACCATCAGTTGGATGACACTAATCCATTCAAGTAGTGACTCATTCATTTTAATTTCAGAGGAAACCTTCTCGTCTAACCTTTAGGACAAATTGGAGGGCTGTTAATTTTACACTGATTCTGGTTTAAATCCTTGGAAAATCTTAAGCCGCTTCACTCTGGGAACTTCAAACTTCTTGTGACTAGAACCTTCCTGATGTGTTGTTTTGAAGATGCAATAAGACTGGGTCAATAAAGTGCTCGATACAAGGTCATTTTGCCAAACAGTTGTGACAATTATTTTCTGGTGCATTTTCTCATACTTTGTGATATTTTCCCTTCTTAACCACTGAGGTGTTGACAATGGGTTGGAGTTAAGAATGGAATTAATGGCCGGGCGCGGAGGCTCACGCCTGTAATCCCAGCACTTTGGGAGGCCGAGGCGGGCGGATCACGAGGTCAGGAGATCGAGACCACCCTGGCTAACACGGTGAAACCCCGTCTCTACGAAAAATACAAAAAAGTAGCCAGGCGTGGTGGCAGGTGCCTGTAGTCCCAGCTACTCGGGAGGCTGAGACAGGAGAATGGCATGAACCCGGGAGGCGAAACTTGCAGTGAGCGGAGATCACACCACTGCACTCCAGCCTGGGCGACAGACCGAGACAGCGTCTCAAAAAAAAAAAAAAGGAATTATTCACTGGAATTAACTGGGAGCTGCCTAAACCACCATCTTCCTATCTGCTTCCCCCGAATCCTCCCCTCTGGAAACTCACAGTCTATTTCTGTGAAGTATGTTGTTGGTATTTTGGTAGGGATCGCATTGAATCTGTAGATGTCTATTAATAGTATGGTCTTTTTCACAATGTTGATTCTTCCCCCTACGAACATGTCTTCCCATTTTCTGGGGTCCGCTTTAATATTTTTCATTAGTGTTTAACAGTTTTCCTTGTGGAAATCTTTCACCTCCTTAGTTAAATTTACTTCCAGGGTTTTGGGGTGTCTTTTGCTCTTGTAAATGAGATTGCTTTCTTGATTTTTTTCTTGCCACTAGTTCGTTGTTGGTGTATAAAAACACTACTGATTTTTGCATATCGACTTAGTATCTGGCCACCTTACTGAATTGGTTTATCAATTCTAAGAGTTTTACTGGTGGAGGTTTCAGGGATTCTTATAGATGACATCATGTTGTTGGCAAAGAGAGACAATTCGACTTCCTCCTTCTGAATTTGGATGCCCTTTGTTCGTTGCTCTGGTTGAGACTTTCCCAACACATTATTATTAACGAAGGTCACCAGGCTGAAGTTTGGAAACAGGTATATATTGTGATGCAATCGCCAGGACCAAGCTAGTTAACATCTCCCTCAACTCACATAGATACCACGTTCTTTCCTTCTTCTTATTTGTTTAATTCTCAATTATTGGGCTCAAGCAATCCTGCTTCAGCCTCCCTAGCAGCTAAGACTACAGGCACGAGCCACATCTGGCTTTCTTTTGATATCGTTTTTTTTTTTTCTTTTTGAGATGGAGTCTCATTCCATCACCCAGGCTGCAGTTGCAGTGGTGCGATCTTGGCTCACTGCAACCTCTGGCAGGAGGATTGCTTGACCCAGGAATTATGGACATAAATAGATAATGAAAAGAAAATAGTCACTATGTGAGTTGACGAATACATTAATTAGCTTGATTGTAGTGATAATTACACCATGAATAGGGATATGTAAACACCAGCATGGTGACCTTAGTCACCAAGGACGGATAGAGGCCAGGAATTGGAGAGCAGCCTGGGCAACATAGCGATACCCCCATCTTTACAAAAAAGTTTGTTAATTAGCCCAGTGTGGTGGTGCTTGCCTGTAACTCCAGATACTCAGGAGGCTGGAGCAGGAGGCTCTCTTGAGCCCAGGGGTTCAAGGCTGCAGTGAGCTATGAGTTTTCCATTGCACCCAGCCAAGGTGACACAGTGAGACCTTGGCTCTAAAAATAAATCAATCAATAAACAAATTTATCCACACAGGTAGGAGATCTCTACAAGAAAAACTATAAAATACTGATGAGAGGAAATGAAGAGGGCACACAAATGGAAAGATAGTCCATCTTCATAAATCGGAAGAATTCACATTGTGAAAATGACCACACTATTAAATAGAGATCTACAGATCCAACTCAATCCCTACCAAAATGTCAAGGACATTCCTCATGAGAACATGACATGTTTCAAGAGGAGAGGATTGGAGGGAATTGGGTAGGTAGATGGTGGTTTTAGGCAGATTCTAGTTCATTCCACTTAATAACTCCATCTGAACTCTGACTCACTATCAATACCTCAATTCTTAACAAGGAAAAACATCACAGAGTATGAGAAAATGCATCAGAAAATAAGTGTCAGAACTTTTTGGCAAAATGACCTTGTATCGGGCACTTTACTGACATAATCTGGTTTTTTGTTTGTTTGCTTTTTGAGATGGAGTTTTGCTCTTGTTGTCCAGGCTGGAGTGCAATGGCATGATCTCAGCTCACTGTAACCTCCGCCTCCCGGGTTCAAGTGATTCTCCTGCCTGAGCCTCCCGAGTAACTGGGATTACAGGCATGCGCCACCACGCCTGGCTAATTTTGTATTTTTAGTAGAGATGGGGTTTCTCCATGTTGGTCAGGCTGGTCTCAAACTCCTGACCTTGTGATCCACCCGCCTCAGCCTCCCAAAGTGCTGGGATTATAGGCGGGAGCCACCACTTCCGGCCAACATAATCTTATTTAATCTTCAAAACAACATGTCAGGAAGGTAATAATTCCCTGGTTCTAGTCACAGGGAGTTTGAAGTTTCCAGAATTCAGTGGGTTAAGATTTCCTAAGGATTGAAACCAGAATCAGTATAAAGTGCACTTAATTGTCATTCCACATGGTCTCCATGATCCACACAGTAAAATTCATACCACCATTAAGGCTTTTCTTGCTTGAGAGGCCTAACTGAGGGGGTTGAGAACTAGGGAGCACTCAGTATGTCTATAAACCACCTCCCATCATCCTAAAGTGAATGCAGAGTGGGGACCATGTGCCTTCCTCTGGTTCCCACTGTTTTTACCTAAGAGTAGGTTGGCTGATATCAAAGCAGTGATTTAGCCTAGTTCAAGCACAGCTTTCCCATGTCAATTCCCAGATTTTGAAAAGTGAAAAATTATCACTACTACTCATTATGTATCAACAATGACTGTCCCTTTTTTTTTCAATATCTTGACATTCACATGTGAAAGCTTTCCTTAAACTAGAGCAAATCACTGGTTTGATATTATTCAACCAACTCTTAACATGTCCTTTACTCATTAGGATATTACTGTCTGTGCCATGAGGGGACGCAAAGTGGTTAAAACTTGCAGATCTATAGTCCCTGAAGCCTCCAAATACTTCAGAAATATGAAATGTAATTCAGTAGAGCGGGAAAACCTATGTTATTTGCATGGTAGGCATGTTTAATACATTAATTTCCTGTGGGTGGGGTTTCATTGAGAAATGTAATCAATGCTAATCACCTTCAATGGATTCTATGGCCCTAAACCAATCATGTGGGGGCCCAGGGGACTGGAAGAGAGGCCTGGAGTCCCGGGGGTTCTCTATAAATAGACAGTTCAGCTCCAGAGCAGTTGGAGAGCACATCCTAGAAGAGAGGAGGCTGGAGGCAGAAGTCAGGAAGGAGGTAAGTGTCCACTGGGGATGTCTGTGGGGTTTTGGAGTTGGCCTGCAGGGGTTGGTTTCAGAAAGATTTGGATTGAGGGGTTGGTTTCAGAAAGATTTGGGTTGGGGTGTTGGTTTCAGAAAGATTTGGGTTTATTTTTTCATGCATTTGCCCGGACACCTTGTGAAGGCAGTGGGTCTGCTTTGCACCCTATTATTTATTCTGACTTGTTATATAACTCTCCCTTAAAATAGGAATAATATTAACTTTCTCATCGTGGTTAGGCTACATTTTATTTTTTAGAGATGAGATCTCTCTCATTGCCCAGACTAGACTGGAATTCCCGGACTCAAACGATCCGCCTGCCTCTGCTTCCCAAGTAGCAGGAACTACAGGCACTTGCCACCATGCCTGAATAAATGTTTAATTTTTTTTGTACAGATGGGGTCTCAGTACATTGCCCAGGCTGGTCCTGAACTCCTGGGATCAAGCATGCTCCCATCTTGGTCTTCCAAACTGTTGGAATTACAGGTGTGAGCCACCTTGCTGGCCACACACCACTTGTTAAAAAGCATCGCTGGATTCTCCCTTTCCACAGGGTAAAATCAGCCATTGATGAATGGGCATCAACCTACTAGGCCAATGAGAATCTGCACTAAGTGTCCCTACCTGGGGGTCCTGTGTGCTGTATACTCCCAGAATTGAATACTAACCCGCGTACCTGCCTTTATTTTTTCCCATGTCCCATTGCTTGTTTTAATGGGAAATGAACTGACAGCGAATACAAAGTGGTTTCTAGGAACATGAACCCCTTTTTTTAGAGACAGGCTCTCACTATGTTGCCCAGGTGGTTGTCAAACTCCTGGGCTCGAGGGATCCTCCCTCCTCAGCCTCCTGAGCAGCAGCAGGTGCCCTGTGGCAAAATCATTTTTAATTCCAGAATTTCAGGCTGCCTTTTCTCTCTCATATCCATATGCTTTTTCAAAAAAAAAAATTTACTTTTAAATTGAAAAACAAGAAAGATACGTATTTATGGTGTACAGCATAATGTGCTTTGCAGGATAGAAACAATGTAAAATGGGTAAATTGAGCTGATATTCACATGCCTTACTTTATGGACTAATCATTTTTGGTCATGAGGATGCTTAAAGTCTACTCTTTAAGCAATTTCCAATTATACAATACATTGTTATGAACTGAAGTCACCATGTTGGACAATTGCTCTCTTGAACTGATCTCTTCAACTGAAATTCATACCCTTAAACCTATATCTCCCCAACCCTCACCATAGCCCTGTTAACCACCATTCTACTCACTGCTACTATGAGTCTACTGGGAATTTTTTTTTTTTTTTTTTTTTTTTTGGTGACAGAGTTTTGCTCTTGTTGCCCAGGCTGGAGTGCAATGGCGCGATCTCTGTTCACCACAACCTCTGGCTCCCGGGTTGAAGTGATTCTCCTGCCTCAGCTTCCCAAGTAGCTGGGATTACAGGCATGTGCCACCAAGCCTGGCTAATTTTGTATTTTTAGTACAGACGGGGTTTCTCCATGTTGGTCAGGCTGGTCTTGAACTCCCGACCTCAGGTGATCCGCCCATCTCAGCCGTCCAACGTGCTGGGATTACAGGCGTGAGCCACCACACTCAGCCTGAGTCCACTAGGTTTTTAATTATTGTTTACATTACCTACTTCTTTTATTTTAAAAACTATTTTATAATTTCAAGTTTTATTTTAAATTTGGGGTGTACCTGTGCAGATGTGTTACATGAGTATATTGAGTGATGCTGAGGTTTGAGGTATGACTCTACCCATCACCCAGGATGTGAGGATAGCAACCAATAGGTAGTTTTTCAACCCTCCCTCCCTCTATCCCTCCAGAGTTTCACTGTTTTGGAGTCCACGTCCTGATTTCCTTTCCTCTGTGTACCTGCCCCAGAGCGGGATTGCCGGCTCATGCAGTTGTTGGACTTTCAATTTTCTGAGGAGCTTCTATACTGTCTCCCATATCGGCTGCTCTAATTTACATCCCAGCACAGGGCGCAGAGGACCCCTTTCCCCCGAATCCTCACCAACACTCGTTCCATGTGTCTTTTTGGGAACAGCCACTCTAGCAGGCGTGAGGGGTGCCTTGTGGTTTGGATTTGCATGTCCCTGATGATGAGTGATGACGAGCACCTTTTCCTAGACCTGCTGGCCATTCACATGTCTTCATCTGAGATGTCCACACGGGCGCCTTAAGCCCCTCTAGTGGGTTGTTTTCTCGCTCTGGAGGAGTTTGAGTTGCTTATGTTTTGCACAGGAGCCCCGTGAGATGTGTGGTGTGTAAATATTGTCTCCTCCTCTGGGTTGTCTCCCGCCTCTGCCGATTGTCTCCCTGGCTGTCTCTCTGTTCTGCACTTGCTCAAAGTCCTTCCAGGAAGTGTGGGGCACTCGCCCTCCAGGCTACCAGTGACTTTTCCCAAGACCCTCCTGCCAGTTTTTTCTCCCCTCTGCAGACCTTCAGGTTGCTTCCCCCACCTGTGTCTAGGAAAGCAGGGCTGTGTTCTCATAGCTGTTGAACTTGGGTGATAATTGATGCCTGGAGAGTATTACTCAGTGGCTCTTGCCTAATGAAGCTAGGTTTAGGAATTAATTTTTAAAAATCTTATTATTGTATCAACCCACTTCTTTAAAATATCAAAGAGCACTAGACTTTAAATCCATTTTCTGAGATGAGATTAGGAATAGAGAAACCCTTAGAGACAGAAGGTAGATTAGTGATTGCCAGGGGCTGGGGTGGGTGGGCAGGCGGTGATCACTGATGAGGATGGGGTTCCTTTTAGGGTGATGAGATAATTCTGGAGCTAGAAACTAGACAGTGGTAATGGTTGCACAACATGGTGCATGTCTTAGTCCCATGAAATTGTTCACCTGAAGAGGGTAAAAATGATGAAATTATGAATGTGCATTTCACCAAAATAACAAAATATCTGTGTAGGAGCTTAATCCTCATAGGATTCTTTAGTGCTGTCCCTTCTCTGGAGCGAATAATTCTGGGATTAAGAGGGTTTGTTGTGGGACAATATCTTACGTTGTAACTATTTTTATTTGTCTTATTGCATAATTATGACTAAGGATTTGCCTTGGATCTTATCTTGATAAGAAAACATAAAGAATTGACATGATTGTTATATCAGATTTTAGGCGCTTCACATTCCTGTCCTATTTTATTTACAGTCAAAAACAATGTTGTTCGATGGGCAGGAAAACCAATTCAGCCTTTGCACAATGATCCCCTAGAGATCAGAATCCAGGGGAGTATTCAGATTTTACTCCAGAACATGTGGTCAGGTGTAGACACTGGAAGAATAACAGAGTGGATTGATTTCCACGGTGCTGAGTCCAATGCTAGAGGGGAAGTGGGGTCTGGGATTGGGATGAGGGATTTGGAAGGATGGGGTGGGTAGAGTAGAAACTTTAACAGAGCTCATGCTTTTTTTCCCTGCAGACTTCTGAATGAACAGTGAATCTATTACTGAGAAAAACCAGGGGTGGCCTGTGTATATAGGTCGCAATTAGACACCGGCTTCTGGAAGAGCTTTCCCAGAGACAGATTGAAATATTCCCCAGTAGACATGGCTGCAAATTGCACATCCTCATGGAGTCTAGGAGAATCCTGCAACAGCCCTGGGTCAGAGCCACCACAGTCCATGCCATCCCCAGCAACTCAACTTGGAAATCATGACAGTGATCCTGAGACTTGTCACGTGAACTTCAGGATGTTCAGCTGCCCGAAGGAGTCGGACCCCATCCAGGCTCTGAGGAAACTCACTGAGCTGTGCCATCTGTGGCTGAGGCCCGACCTCCACACCAAAGAGCAGATCCTGGACATGCTGGTGATGGAGCAGTTCATGATCTCCATGCCCCAGGAGCTCCAGGTCTTAGTCATGATGAACGGTGTGCAGAGCTGCAAAGACCTGGAGGACCTGCTACGAAATAACAGAAGACCCAAGAAATGGGTGAGTGGGACCCTCGTGATTGGTGCAGGGAAGGGGAGCTGGGATGGGGGCTGCATGGTGCAGCTGGACTCGAGAGGACCCGAGGGGCTGCTCTAGGTCAGGGCTTCCAAGTAGAGGAGAGTTTGCCCATCAGGGACACATGGCAGTGTCTGGGGACAGTTTTTATTGTCACAAGGGGGAGGACAGGAGACGCTGCTAAGCATTCTCCAAAGCTCAGGACAACCCATCATGACAAATAATCTTCCAGATTCCAATATCAGCTGTGCTGAGACGGCAAGTTCCTGGTGTAGGAGATGGACAGGCAGAGGGGGTACAGGGACCCACACACTGTGTGAGGCCAACATGAAAGAAAGACATTGGTGAAATATTAGGCCTGATGGAATGTAGGGAAGGAGGCATTAGAGTGAACTGAAGGGGGGCCCAGAAATACCATCCTGAGGCAGGGAAAGTGGCTGGTATCAGAGATTCAGGGATCTGCCTCCAGGTCCGCACATGAGCCCGCCATCAGCCAATTGAGTTGGATTCACCCAGAATATTTCTCCCTCTTTTCTCTTTGGTTTAGAGACCCTTTCATCTAAAGGACTCATATTTATATACTTATCTAGAAAAGAAAAAAGTTCACACAGAGCTGATTCTGCATCGGGAAGGCAGATTTGAACATTAATTACAGTAAAGTGTGAGCATTATGGCAGGACCCAGGGAATATGAGAGCTACTTTCAGGTTCTCATAGTTAGTCTGATTGCTTTTTTTCTCTCTATAGTCTGTAGTCAGTTTTCTTGGCAAGGAATATCTTATGCAGGAATCAGATGTGGAGATGGCTGAAGCCCCCGCCAGTGTCAGAGATGATCCGAGACACGTGTCCAGCCAGCGGACCTCCTCTGTGAACCAGATGTGTCCGGAGGAAGGCCAGGCCAGCCAAGAGCTGCAGACCCTGCCCAGGGTCCCTGCACTGTTCAGGAGGCAGGTGGGTGTGTGAGGCCTTGGTGTCTGGGCAGAGGTGGGAGAAGGAACGGGAGGAAATCGTGTGGCCACTGGACTGATTGAGAGATTTGGCACAGGACAAGATTACAGCCATTCCCCATGGACATGGTACATCCCCAAACATTCATTCCTGAGCCATCACAGAGAGGGAAGCTTCATCTACTTTTCTCTCCACCATGAGAGCTTTTAGCATGTAGGGTGGGGGGTAAGAAATGGTCTCGGTGAAATAACGGAGGCAGTTGGCACAGATGAATGAACTGAAGGTCCCATCCCCATCCAGTTTCCTCAAAGACATTTAATGTAATAATTCAGCAGGGAACTCACCTCCTACAGATTGTCAATTTCTTAATTTGAGGAGTGTTTCTCAACTGGGGTGATTCTGCCTTTCCGGACACATGGCCATGTCTAGAGACATTTTTGTTGTCATTGTAGGGGGTGGTGGGGTGTTGATAGCATCTAGAGGGTGGAGGCGGGGTCTCTGCTCTGCACAGGAGCGCCCCCTCCAGGAGGGTGATGCAGCCCCAATGCCAGTGGTGCCAGGGGTTAGGGGCCTCCACCTAGAGTCATGCTCCTTCCAGCGTCAGGGGCAAGGAGATGCTGGCACAGCGGGGAGAAATATGCCCAGAGAACCAAACAGTGAAAACCACCACACCTGTGTCATTAGAAGAGTTGGTGCATCCAGTCAGGAAAAAGCAGACATGTCCTTCCACCGGTTTAGGCATGGCAGTCATTGCTGTTGGTTTTCCATTCTCAGGAAGAGGACTTCCTGCTGCCAGAGACTACTGTCATGAAAGGTGACCCAAAGGCTCTGAGACCCAAGCCGACCTTGGAGAAGGACCTGGAGGAAGACAGGGAGGAGAACCCAGGACTTACATCCCCAGAGCCTCAGCTTCCAAACAGTCCCAGTAAGTATGAAGACTTACACCTGTGTGGAGATAGCCCCTCTCTTCTGGGGTGTGGGGCTGGGGTCCCAGCATTATCATGTCTGGGGGAGTTGGCACTCAGCTGCCAAAGCCTCTCCATCCCTTACTCTCCAGAGACCTACAGTCCAATGTCTTAGGTTTAAGGTTGAGGGGAAGTTGTCAGCCAACATCAGTGTTTGGTTGCAATGAGTTTGGTGTATTGAAAATGCACCTTATTAACTGTGTGTGTGGAATCCCTTCTTCCAGCAGGGGTGGTGGGAGCAAAGGAGGGGAAGGAACCCCAAAAAAGAGCCTCTGTGGAAAATGTGGATGCTGACACACCTTCTGCCTGCGTTGTGGAGAGAGAAGCTTCGACTCACAGCGGGAGCAGAGGAGACGCTCTGAATCTGAGAGGTCTCAAAAGAAGCAAACCAGACGCCACCTCCATTTCCCAAGAAGAGCCTCAAGGAGAAGCCACACCTGTGGGCAACAGAGAATCCCCGGGACAAGCTGAGATCAATCCAGTTCATTCCCCAGGCCCTGCGGGCCCAGTCAGTCACCCCAGTGGCCAAGAAGTCAAGGAACTGCTGCCCTTTGCATGTGAGGTGTGCGGCAAGAGGTTTAAGTATCGCGGCAAGTTAGCCGTCCACACGAGATCACACACAGGCGAGAGACTCTTTCAGTGTAATCTCTGCGGGAAGCGCTTCATGCAGCGCATAGGCCTGCAATTTCACCAGCGAACCCACACTGGCGAGAGGCCCTACACGTGTGACATCTGCCAGAAGCAGTTCACCCAGAAGTCCTACTTGAAGTGTCACAAGAGAAGCCACACAGGGGAGAAGCCCTTCGAATGTAAAGACTGCAAGAAAGTTTTCACCTACAAGGCAAATCTGAAGGAGCACCAGCGCATCCACTCTGGAGAGAAACCCCACAAATGTTCCAAGTGTCCAAGAGCCTTCGGTCGGCCGGCGACCTTAAGACGCCACCAGAAAACACATCGAGAAGCCACTTCACAGTGACTTCACCATCGGGTCTGTCTTCTGCACCAAGAAAGTGTGAATGAAGATTTTTCACCGATGTTGTCAGATGACGTTTGACAGATGAAGGGCGCCTGGCACGCAGAGGAGTGCCCTAGATAGGAATTCCTAGGATGTTTGTTTAAATCTTTTTCCTCCCCGGGGGAATTTTGGTTTTTGTTTCATTATTTCTATTGTTTTAGGTTTATTTTGGTTTGTGTTGCTGTTCTTTCAATAAACATCTTATTAGTTTTCAATATTTTGTAACAAAAAACAGTCTCCTGATTGACATGCTGTTGTTATGCACTGTTTTGCTATAAAGTACAATTGTCCAAGGAGGGTGTCCGGATTAAATACACGATATGCCTCGGGAAATCTGGGTTTCAGATAAACGTTTTTTGTTTTTTTAGTATCAGCTTGTTCTAAATTATTCATTATTTATCTGAAACTCAGCTTTTATTAGGTATCCTAAATAGTTTTCTTTTTTATTTTTTTTTCTATTCTTTTTTTTGAGATGGGGTCTCCCTCTGTCAACCAGGCTGGATTGCAGTAGCAGGATCATCGCCCACTGCAGCCTCGACCTTCCAGGCTCAGGCAGTCCTTCCGTCTAAGCCTCCCAAGTAGCTGGGACTACAGGATCATACCACCACTTCGGCCAATTTTTGTGTTTTTTTGTGGAGATGAAGATTTGCCTTGTTGCCCAGGCTGGTCTTGAACTCAGAAGTACAAGTGGTCCAACTGCCTCAGCCTCCTTAAGTGCTGGCATTACAGGCATGAGCCGCTGTGCCCTGTATTGTTTTTATTAGACTTTATTATAATTATGATATTCAAATTTTTGGAAATAATTTTTTGTAGTGATGGGATTTTTTGTTGCCCAGGCTGGTGTGGGGTGAGCCACCACGCCTGGCTAACGACTTTCTTTTTCAGAGCTGTCTTAGGTTCACAGGGAAATTCAGTGGACAGCGCAGAGTCCCCGTAGACTCCCACCCCACACAGCACAGCCCCTCCCCGCCCAGCATCCCCAGCAGAGCGGTGCACCTGTTCCATCAGTGAGCCTGCCTGGACATATCACCACCACCCAGAGTCCATGGTGTTCATTAGGGCTCGCTCTGGGTGTTGTACATCCTGTGGGTTTGGACAAAGGCCTCATGAGTACCCACCACTGGAGTATTGTGGGGGGGGTATTTTCACTGCCCCCCCCGAATCCTCTCTGCTCTGCCTATTTATCTCCCCGCCCCAGATGGTGTATTTTGTGGCCTAAATTTGGCAACCTCTAAATTCCTGATTTGACTCTTGAACTACGGAGGCATTGGGAGTCTCTGGTGACTAGTTGGTCTTAGTGATAGTACCATCCCCTGAAGCCTTTGTTGATCCAGAGATGGGTGGACCCCAAACTCAGAGCTTCTGATTTAGTAGGCCGGGGGTGGGGCCTGAGAGTGTGCATTAAAACAGAATTCGTAGGCCGGGTGCGGTGGCTCTCGCCTGTAATCCCAGCACTTTGGGAGGCTGAGGTGGGCAGATCACTTGAAGTCAGGAGTTCAAAACCAGCCTGGCCAACATGGCAAAACCCCATCTCTACTAAAATACAAAAATTAGCCAGGCGCAGTGGCACGTGCCTGTAGTCCCAGCTACTTGGGAGGCTGAGGCAGGAGAATTGCTTCAGCCCGGGAGGCAGAAGTTGCAGTGAGCCAAGTTTGTGCCACTGCACTCCAGCCTGGGCAACAGAGCCAGACTCAGTCTCAAAATTAAAAAAAAAAAAAGAATTTGTTTTAGAATAGCTTTCTAAAGTCCATTGAGCTCCCTACTGTCCCCACACCATTTCCTCTATTATTTTTTGTTTGTTTGTTTGTTTGTTTGTTTTGAGATGGAGTCTCACTCAGTCACCCAGGCTGGATTGCAGAGGCACGATCTTGGCTCACTGCAACTTCCACCTCCTGTGTTCAAGCGATTCTCCTACCTCAGCCTCCCATGTACTGGGACTACAGGCATGTGCCACCACACCCAGCTAATTTTTGTATTTTTTTAGTAGAGATGCGGTTTCACCACGTTACCCAAGCTGGTCTCGAATTCCTGACCTCAAGTCATCCGCCCATCTGGGCCTCCCAAAGAGCTGGGATTACAGGTGTGAGCCACTGCGCCTGGCCTCCCCTATTGTTAACATGGTACGTTAGTATGGCACATTTGCCACAAGCGATGAACTGACTGGATATATTGCCGTGATCTAAGGCCCATACCTTATTGAGGCCTCCTTAGTGTTTACACAATGACCTCCTCTTCCTTCCTCCCCATCCAGGATGCCACATTGCCTTGAGTTGTCACGTCTCCCTAGGATCCTCTTGGTGACAATTTCTTAGATTTTACTTGTTTGGGATCACCTGAGAATGTGCATTTTAGGTGGTGCTGATGCTGCTGGTCTTGGGAGAACATTTTATGGATGAGCTGACAGGCAGAGTCCTGCAGTCTGCAGAGGTCTGGAAAGGTCCCTTCCCGAATAGGCTGGATTCATTTATTAAAGGCCACTTTTGTAAGACTTTGGTTCTTGTCATCTTAATTTAAAGGAAATTTATCAAGAGACACACAGCAAAGAGATGCATCATAGAGTAACTATTGCAAAGGAAATAGAGTATTTTGAAAGTTAAGGGCAGAATAGACAGGACATCCTGGGAGCAAGGATTCAGGGCCAACTGCTCCTAAGGATGAGACAGCAAAGACCCGCTAGAGGGAGACTCCCCTTTATGGGAGTCTCGGATCATTACACAAGGGGGTGGGAAGAGGTGTTACTAGTAAGCATGTTCTGGGTGGTCCCCTGGGCACACAGGTGCAGTAGCTGTGCACACGTCTCTTTAGCATCTTAAGTCTCCACCCAGGGGTGTGTTTTTTACTATTATAACGAGCAAAGGGTCAGTTTGTGAACAGGTAAAATCACAATGCTCATGTTCTCTACAGGGAAAACTCCCTTTTGTAGATGGTTTTGTGTGAATGAACTCAATTAGAAAGTGAAGGCTGGGGCTGATTGTGTTGGCTGTACGGTCCCCATGGGTGCTGCGTTTGGAGGACATGGTCACCTTCTTGACTACCTATCCTGACTCACCCAGGTCCATTTAGGAGAAAGAGTCCTTGAGGTAGAAACCTGAATCCGCCATCAAATGTACACAGACTCCCGTTTAATTCAAGAAGTGGATGTTTGGTGGGTAGTGGTTCTCCATTTAGATATTGGGTCCAACATCCTTCTCCAGACACAGAAAATGTGTTGATGATACCACCTGCCCACTTAATTTAAATCATGTTTCTCTATGATCCATTAACCACATCCGACATTTCTTTAGAGCTTCATTTCCCAATTTTCCTACATGTTGGACTCACTTGAGGTGTTTTTTCAATATTTTTTTAAAAAGCAATGCCTGGGGTCCAGCCCCAAGGTAATGATGTGATTGGTTGAGGATGTGGCCCCTGTGTTGAGAGTTTATAAAACTCCTCAGGTGATCAAATGTGTGGCTGAGTCTGGCAGGTCGGTTTTCTGATTGTCTGGTCACTCCAATTCCTGTTCTCTCATGGGGATCAGTGAGTTCATTTCCACGGAGAGTCATGCACCTCCATTCCCAGTCTAAAGAAGGTAGACTCCACAGCTGGCTCCCACCCACCCTGCACGGGGGTCCCTCCCACTGTGGCTGGCTACATGCACCACTCCAGGGACTGCCCCTCATGGCTCTGGGCACATGTGGCACTGGGTGGCCTTTGCACTGCTGCTCCTTATCCACCTATGTGCTCTGAGCCAAGAGCTTGATTTACCTGATGTGACAATGAAAACAGGATACCCACTGCAACCTCAAAAAAGCCCAGTGCGGCTGGGCGCAGTGGCTCATGCCTGTAATCCTAGTATTTTGGGAGGCCGAGGTGGGTGGATCACCTGAGGTCAGGAGTTTGAGACCAGACTGGCCAACATGGTGAAACCCCATTTCTACTAAAAATAAAAATTAGCTGAGCATGGTGGTGCACGCCTGTAATCCCAGCATTGCATTCCAGCCTCGGTGACAGGGCAAGACTCAGTCTCAAAAAAAGCGCCATGCTAGGGATGACTGAATTGAATTTAGAAGGTGCCCTTGCTTTCAGAAAAACAACAACCCAACACTGCTTAATCTACCCAACCCGGAGCCAAATCTGCACCAACCAACCACCTGGCCCACCTGGTGGCTTTTCAGACTCTGACCTTGACGATGGGACATGAGGTGGGGAAGGAGGTGGAAGCACAGCTAGGGAAGAAGGGGCAAGAGACCCACTCCCCTGGCATGATCCCTGGGGTCTTGGAGGCTGGGCCGGTCAACATGGCTGCAGTTATTTCTAGCTTTCTGGATTCCCAGAAAAAAACAGCTGTACTTCAAAGAAAATGCAGAACAAGGTGAGGTCGACGTGGAAAATCATCCCAACATCAGCCAAACGGAACTGGGCTCTGCTATCCGAGTGCACTCAGGCCAAACACCCACGTGAAGCTTTTACAGTGAGAGAAAGGAAGACATTTATTTGCAGGGCACCAAGCAAGGAGAATCGGGCAGCTAATGTTTAAGACCTGAACTCCCCCCATGGCTTAGGAGTAAGGGTTTTTTTTTTTGTTTTTTTGTTTTTTTTTGTTTTGTTTTTGAGACGGAGTCTCGCTCTGTTGCCCAGGCTGGACTGCAGTGGCACGATCTCCGCTCACTGCAAGCTCCGCCCCCCGGGTTCATGCCATTGTCCTGCCTCAGCCTCCTGAGTAGCTGGGACTACAGGCGCCATTTTTATGTATAAATTTATAAAGTTAATATTGATAATGACAGACAGAAAATAATGCCTTCTCTAAGAATGTGTGACCAACCACCATCCTTCCCTCATGGGGATGTGGAGTTTCCCTTGTCTTGGATGCCTAACAGAGCTGTCAATCACCACACATCCTAGACCGACCACATCTTTCCCCACCTCACGTAAGGGTGGCTCCAGCCCCCTTGATGTGCAATCCACAAGATTTGTGGGGTTATCCTTGATTCCTGCATTTCCCTCACATGACACACTCAGTCTCTCAACAAATCCTATACCTTAATTAATGTGTTTACTGACATGAATTTCACGCGACATAAAATTAACTGTTTTATCTGTACAGTTTAGTGGCATTTGGTGCATTTACACTGCTGTGCGGCAGCTCCTCTAGCTGGTTCCTGTGCCTGCATGTCCAGAGTCCAAGTTCTGACATTTGTACATACTCATGAAGTCATTGCCGTCATCAAGAAGCTGAACATCCCCACCATCCTCCAACGCTTCCCCAGGCTCTTCATCATCTGTCCCTCCCACAACTCCATCCCTGGACAACCACTGGTGTTCTCTGTGTCATTACAGATCACTGACAGAATTTCCTTATTTTTGCCTTTTTTTTCTTTTTTCTTTCTTTTTCTTTTTTTTTTTTTTTGAGACAGTGTCTTGCTCTGTTGCCCAGGCTGGAGTGCAGTGGCACAATCATAGCGCACTGTAGCCTCAGCTTCTCAGGCTTAACTGATCCTCCCACATCACCCTCCCAAGTCGCTGGGACCACAGGCACACATCACCATGCTCGGCTAATTGTTTCTATTTTTTTGTAGAGCTGGGGTCTCACTATGTTGCCCAGGCTGATCCTGAACTCCTGGGCTCAAGCGATCTGCCTGCCTGGGCCTCCCAAAAAGTGCTGGGATTACATGCATGAGCCAGTGTGCCCAGCCTAGGGGTAGAATTTTCTAGCGATGGAATCATACCTTATGTACTCCTTTTCTATCTGCCCTCCTTCACCTTCATAATTATTTTGAAATTCACTCATGTTCTTGGGTGTAATCAATGATTCCTTTTTACTGCTGAGTAGTATTCTCAACTTCATTGAATTGTACCCTTTGCATATGTGTGATTTATTGTATATCAACTATACCTCAGTAAAACTATACGAAAAAGATAAGGGGTTCTCTGTTTTTTGTTTTGTTTTGTTTTTGAGATGGATTCTCACTCTGTCGCCAGGCTGGAGTGCAGCAGCATGATCTCGGCTCACTGCAACCTCTGCCTCCCGGGTTCAAGCAATTCTCCTGCCTCAGCCTCCTGAGTAACTGGGACTACAGGCGCACACCACCATGCCCAGCTAATTTTTGTATTTTTAGTAGAGACGGGGTTTCACCACATTGGCCAGGATGGTCTCGATCTCTTGACCTAGTGATCTGCCTGCCTCAGCCGCCCAAAGCGCTGGGATTACAGGCGTGAGCCACCATGCCTGGCCAGGATTTTCTTAAAACTTAAAAACAAATTCAGCATTTGACCAGTTCTCCCCATTTCAACTTTCAGTATTCATGGTCAAGCCAACAGCCATCAACCTGGATGACTCTGTTGCCATCCTCACTGAGCTCCTGGTTCCTTCCCTTCCCCTATATGGGCTGTTATCTTTTTTCTCTTTTTTCTTATTTTGTTCTTTTTTTTTTTTTTTTTTTGAGACAGGGTCTTGCTCTGTCACCCAGGCTTGAGTGCAGTGACACAATCATAATGCCCTGCAGCCTCAACCTCTCAGGCTCAAACAATCCTCCCACCTCAGCCTCCCCAGTACCTGAGACTACAGGTGTGCACAACCAGGCCTTACAATTTTTTTTTTTTTGTATATTTTGTAGAGATGGGGTTTCATCATGTTGCCCAGGCTGGTCTTTAACTCCTGAACCCAAGCTATCCACCTGCCTCAGCTTCTCACAGTGCTGAGATTACAGGCATGAGCCACCGCGGTTGGCTGTATGGGCTATTTTCAAGGCATCTTCTGAGAAAACGCTAAAGAGAAGTCAGAAAGCTACTCTATGAAGGCAGAGGCATTCGTTGGAGCTCTGAGTGATGTACCTGCAATGTCTAGATTCTAGTTTTAGGAGTCGGCAGAGTCAGCCCAATTCTATGTGTCAGACCAATTCAATGACTGAAATAGTGGCAGCTCCACCTACTAGTACAATGGGTCAAGTTTTCACATTTCACTTGTTCCTACAGGATGGGGCCTGGCAGGCTTGAGTTGAGATTTATGCTTGTTTCTATGTAGCTTTGGATCGTTGTGAAAGCCAGGTCATTTCAATCATTTTGTGCAAACATCATTGTGTGTAAAAACGGTGTCCACGTTTTGTCTTTGAAATGGTCCCCGCCCTCCGCTCGTTATCGTGTTGAGAATGAAATGAGAGGACATGCTTGGCACCTGGAGATGATTGGATATTACAGCTGTGCGCCATAAGGGCAAATGGTTCCATTGTTTGATGAGCCGTCCTGGCGGTGGGTGGGTCGGTCACTTCTAAACAGATAAGGAATGGCTAGAAAGCTCTTGTACCAAACCAGCTTGAAGCAACCTCACCCACACCGAATCCCTCCACGTTTCTTTTCTTTTTTCTTTCTTCCTTTTTTTTTTTTTTTTTTTTTTTTTTTTTGAGATAGAGTCTCGCTCTGTCGCCCGGGCTGGAGGGCCGTGGTGCGACCTCGGGTCACTGCAAGCTCCGCCCCCCGGGTTCAAGCAATTCTCCTGCCTCAGCCTCCGGAGTAGCCGGGATTACAGGCACCCGCCACCATGCCCGGCTAATTTGTGTATTTTAGTAGAGACAGGGAGGGTTTCACTGTATTGTCCAGGCTGGTCTTGAACTCCTGAGCTCAGGCAATGCGCCCGCCTCGGCCTCCCAAAGTGATAGGATTACGGGCGTGAGCCACCGTGCCCAGCAAATCCGTCTACTTTTCTTTTTTCTTTCTTTCTTTCTTTTCTTTCTTTTCTCCCAACCCCCCTCCCCCCGTCAAACAACCAACAGTTTTTTAACACAGAAAGTAAGGCATAATCCAGGGCTTGGACTGTCTTTCAAGAAAACCCCAAACCCGCTGCCAGGAAGTCACAGCCACTAAGTCCCATCCCAGGCCCAGTTGCTGCCAGGAAACACACCGCGTGGAGACCCAGCATGACTGCTGACTGATTGCAAGTCCCCAGGAGGGCTTTATTTTTGCTTTTCAACATCCTGTTCTGCAGGTTCCTTGGCTCTTTTTGCCCGTATGCCGAAGAGCCGGGCATTGGGACGGGCCATGCGGAGACTAGCGAAGGCTTTGAAATTCTTCTCCTCGATGATGACTCCAGCTTTCTCCTTCTAGGCATTCCGGTTGGGCATGACCGGTCCTGTCAGCCGAGCGGCCAGTTTCAGTTCTTCAGCAGAACTGTCTCCCTTCTCGGAGGCCGAGGGCTTCCCGGGGAAGCGGATGCGTTTGGAGCGGGGCTCCTTCAGCCGCCGCACGTTGGCCTGCAGGGACTGCGCCTCCTCGGATCCGCAGAAATGCCGGCGTCCGGGCCCCCTTCTTCGCGTGCCGGCCACCCTGAGCTCCTCCAGGCGGAGGCCGCGGCCGTGCGCACCTTCGTGTGGTACCGAACCGTGGGGCAGCGCACGATGGGCCGGATGGGCCCCGACGCGGGGCAGGGGCGAGGCGGCGCGCCTTGGCTTGCCCGGCCTGGCGCCTGCGGATCTTCTGGGCCGGCTGGTTGAACCGCTTGGCCACGCGCCGCTGCAGTCCTTGGGGAAGCGGGGCTTCGAGATCGTGCCGTTCCGGCTGGGCGCCGTGGCTGCCTACGGCCCTGCGGCTGCAGACCAGAGGGGAGCCACCGAGGGGAAGGTCCCTGCGCGCGCGCACCCCATCCCCGGCCTCCGCCTCTAACCTCCCAGCCTGGGCCGGAGGCCGCCCCTAGAGCCCGGGCCCCGGTCCAATGCTGTCTGCGAAGAAGGGGCCCATCCATGCCCGCGTTGGCGGCAGCGCCAGGCCGATGGCGCTGGATGGAGCCCGAAGGCCGAGACCCCAAATCCCTCTGCTTTTCTAAGAAATCGCCCTCCAGTCTTTTTTTTTTTTTCAGATCTGTAACTTGTTTTCACCCCTGATTTAAAACAATACCACTGTTCTCCCCCAAATTTTCCTTTGATACAGTAGGTGAACAAAATAGATTTTTTTCCCCACAAATATCAGCAGACACTTCTTGGCACCCCACACTGTATTGGCATGGGTGTTAACAGTCCCAGTTCAGGTGTGCAGCCTTTCAGGTGGATGCACTGTAACAAGGATGTAAATGCGGAGCCATCCTAAGAATCACATTCAGTCATGGGGTTGCCCTTCCAAGCTGGCAGAAAAGGAACCCGGGCCAGGCACCGTGAACACACACAGTAACTCATGCCTGTAATCCCAGCACTTTGGGAGGCTGAGGCGGGTGGATCACGAGGTCAGGAGATCGAGACCATCCTGGCTAACATGGTGAAACCCCGTCTCTACTAAAAATACAAAAAATTAGCTGGGCGTGGTGGCGGGCGCCTGTAGTCCCAGCTACTCGGGAGGTTGAGGCAGGAGAATGGCATGAACCCGGGAGGCGGAGCTTGCAGTGAGCCGAGATCGCGCCACTGCACTCCAGCCTGGGCAACAGAGCAAGACTCTGTCTCAAAAAAAAAGAAAAAAAAAAAAAAGAAAATCGACCTGCCAGACTCAGCCACACGTTAGATCACCTGCGGAGTTTTATAAACTCTCAACACAGGGGCCACATCCTCAGCCAATCACATCATTACCTTAGGGCTGGACCCCAGGCATTGCTTTTAAAAAAAATATTAAAAACTCCTCAAGTGACTCCAACATGTAGCCAAATTAGAAAATGAAGCTCTAAAGAAACATTGGATGTCATTAATGGATCATAGAGCACCATGATTGAAATTAAACGGGCAGGTGGTATTATCAACACATTTTCTACGTCTGTGAAGAAGGTTGGACCCAATCACCAAAAGGGAGAACCACCACCCACCCCTACCTCCACTTCTTGAATGAAAGGGGAGTCTATGTACATTTTATGGTGGATTCCAGGTCCCTGCCTCAAAGAATGCTACTCCGAAACGGACCTGGGTGAGGCAGGATAGGCAGTCAAGGAAATGACCACGTCCTCAGGATGCTGCACGCGTGGTGACTGTACAGTCAACACAGTAAGCCTCAGCGTTCACATTGGAATTGAGTTCATTCAAGCAAGGCCATCTCCAGTAGGGTATTTCCACTGTAGTATTTCCACTGTAGAGAGAATGTGCACGTTGATCTTACCCATCCACAAACCGACACATTTCTTGTTATGATAGTAAAAAACACACACCTGGGCGGGCAGTTAAGACGCTAATGAGACATGTGCACAGCTACTGCACCTGTGTGCCCAGAAGAGCACCCAGAATATGCTTAGTAGTAACACCTCTTCCCACCCCCCTAGGTGTAATCATCCAAGACTCCCATAAAGGGGAGTCTCCCTCAAGCAGGTCTTTGCTGTCTCATCCTTGGGAGCAGCTGGCCCTGAATCCTTGCTCCCAGGATGTCCTGTCTATTCTGCCCTTAACTTTCAAGATATTGTATTTCCTCTGTAATCAATTATTCTATGATGCATCTCTCTGCTGTGGGTCTCTTGATTAAATTCCTTTAAATTAAGATGACAAGAACCAAAGTCTTACAAAAGTAGTCTTTAATAAATGAATCCAGCCTATTTGGGAAGGGACCTTTCCAGACCTCTGCAGATTGCAGGACTCTGCCCGTCAGCTCAATCAGCCATCCATAAAATGTCCTCCCAAGACCAGCAGCATGAGCACCACCTAAAATGTACATTCTCAGGTAATCCCAAACAAGTAAAATCTGAGAAATTGTCACCAAGAGGATCCTAGGGAGACGTGACAACTCAAGGCAATGTGGTGTCTTGGATGGGGAGGAAGGAAGAGGAGGGCATTGTGTAAACACTAAGGAGGCCTCAATAAGGTATGGGCCTTAGATCACGGCAATATATCCAGTCAGTTCATCGCTCCAGTCAGTTCAAAGGTGCCATCCTAATGAACCATGTTGGCAATGGGGGAAGCCATGTGGGGCATTAGGGAGCTCCATGGACTTTAGAAAGCTATTCTAAAATGAATTATATATTTTAATGCACACTCTCAGGCCCCATGCCCGGTCTGCTCAATCAGAAGCTGAGTCTGGGGCCCACCCACCTGAGGATTAACCACGCCTTCAGGGGATGGTAGTATCACTAAGACCAACTAGTCACCAGAGACTCCCAATGCCTCTGTAGTTCAAGAGTCAAATCGGGAATTTAGAGGTTGCCAAATTTAGGCCACAAAATACACCATCTGGGGCAGGGAGATAAATATGCAGAGCAGAGAGGATTCCGGGGGCAGTGAAAATACCCCCCAGGATACTCCAGTGGTGTGTACTCATGAGGCCTTTGTCCAAACCCACAGCACGTACAACACCCAGAGCGAGCCCTAATGAACACTATGGACTCTGGGTGGTGGTGATATGTCCAGGCAGCCTCACTGATGGAACAGGTGCACCACTCTGCTGGGGATGCTGGGCAGGGAGAGGCTGTGTTGTGTGAGGAGGGAGTCTAGGGGAACTCTGTGCTGTCCACTGAATTTCCCTGTGAACCTAAACAGCTCTGAAAAAGAAAGTCTAGAGCCAGGCGTGGTGGCTCACCCCACACCAGCCTGGGCAACAAGAAATCCCATCACTACAAAAAATTATTTCAAAAATTTGAATATCATAATTATAATAAAGTCTAATAAAAACAATACAGGGCACAGCGGCTCATGCCTGTAATGCCAGCACTTAAGGAGGCCGAGGCAGTTGGATCACTTGTACTTCGGAGTTCAAGACCAGCCTGGGCAACATATCAAAATTCCATCTCTACAAAAACCACAAAAATTAGCCAAGTTGGTGGCGTGCTCCTGTAGTCTCGGCTGCTCGGGAGGCTTAGATGGGAGGATTGCTTGAGCCTGGAAGGTCGCGGCTGCAGTGAGCGGTGATTATGCCACTGAACCTCAGCCTGCGTGACAGAGGGAGACGCCATCTCAAAAAAAAAAAAAAAGAAAGAAAGAAAAAAGAAAACGAAAACTCTACAGGATACCCAATAAAAGCTGAGTTTCAGATAAATAAATAATTTAGAACATGCTGATACTAAAGAAAATTGTTTATCTGAAACTCAAATTTCATCAGGCATTATGTATTTTATATGGCCACCCTCCTTGGACAACTGTACTTTACAGCAAAACAGTGGGTAACCCCATGTCAATCAGGAAACTCAGTTTTCCGTTATACAATATTGAAAACTAATAAGATGATCGTTTATTGGAAGAACAGCAACACAAACCAAAATAAACCTATAAGAAAACAATGGACATAATGAAACAGAAAACAAAGCTCAGTGGGGAGGACACATATTTACTCAAACATCCTGGCAATTCATATCTAGGGCACTCCCTCTGTGTGTCAGACGCCCTTGCATGTGTCAAATGTCATCTGATAACATTGATGAAAAATATCATTCACTTCTTCTTGGTGCAGAAGGCATAGACCGGATTATGCAATCACTGAGAAGTAGCTTCTGGATGTGTTTTCTGGTGGCGTCTTAACAATTTCAGCCGACTGAAGGCTCTTGGACACTTGGAACATTTGTAGGGTTTCTCTCCGGAGTGGATGCGCTGGTGCTCCTTCAGGCTCCCCCTGTAGGTGAAAACTTTCTTGCAGTCTTTACATTCGAAGGGCTTCTCCCCTGTGTGGCTTCTCTTGTGACACTTCAAGTAGGACTTCTGGGTGAACTGCTTCTGGCAGACGTCACACGTGTAGGGCCTCTCGCCAGTGTGGGTTCGCTGGTGAAATTGGAGGCTAATAAGCTGCATGAAGCGCTTCCCACAGAGATTACATTGAAAGAGTCTCTCGCCTGTGTGTGATCTCTTGTGGATGACTAGCTTGGAATTACACGTAAACCTCTTCTCGCACACGTCACATGCAAAGGGCGGCAGTGCCTTGGCTTCTTGGCCATCCGGGTGACTGACTGGGCTCGCAGGGCCTGGGGAATGAATTGAATTCATCCCAGCTTGTCCCGGGGATTCTCTGTTGCCCACAGGTGTGGCTTCTCCTTGAGGCTCTTCTTGGGAAATGGAGGAGGCATCTGGTTTGCTTCTTTTGGGACTGCTCAGATTCAGAGCGTCTCCTCTGTTCCCGCTGTGAGTCGAAGCTTCTCTCTCCACAACGCAGGCAGAAGGTGTGTCAGCATCCACATTTTCCACAGAGGCTATTTTTGGGGGGTCCTTCCCCTCCTTTGCTCTCACCAGATCTGCTGGAAGAAGGGATTCCACACACACAGTTAATAAAGCGCATTTTCAATACACCAAACTCATTGCAACCAAACACTGATGTTGGCTGACAACTTCCGCTCAAGCTCAAGCCTAAGACATTGGACTGTAGGTCTCTGGAAAGTAGAGGATGGGGAGGCTTTGACAGCTGAGTGCCAACTCCCCCAGGGGATGATAATGCTGGGCCCCCAGCCCCGCACCCCAGAAGAGAGGGACTAACCCCTGTGGATCCAAGTCTTCATACTCACTGGGACTCTTTGGAAGCTGAGGCTCTGGGGATGTCAGTCCTGGGTTCTCTTCCCTGTTTTCCTTCAGATCCTTCTCCAAGGTCTGCTTGGGTCTCAGAGACTTTGGGTCACCTGTTACGTCAATACTCTTGTGTAGCAGAAAGTCCTCTCCCTGAAGAGGAAAAACCAAGAGTAATGACTGCTGTGTCCAAACTGGTGGAAGCAGGGACACATCTGTCCCCTTCTGATTGGATGCAACAACTCTTCTAATGACACAGGTGTGGAAATACGTGCAGACTTCCCCTGGACCACCCCATCACCCCACGTAAACATCACCATCTCATTTCTGTGTCTGTCCCTAATCTGCACCCTCCATATTCCAAATCAGCTCCTGTGCCTGGTGGTTTTCACTGTTTGGTTCTCTGAGCATATTTCTCCCCGCCGTGCCAACGTCTCCCTGCACCTGACACTGGAAGGAGCATGACTCTAGTCGAGGCCCCTCAGCTGTGGCACCACTGGCATTGGGGCTGCATCACCCTGCTGGAGGGGGCGCTCCTGTGCAGAGCAGAGACCCCACCTCCACCCTCTAGATGCTATTAACACCCCACCATCCCCTACAATGACACACAAAAGCATCTCCAGACATGGCCATGTGTCCGGAAAGGCAGAATCACCCCAGTTGAGAAACACTCCTCAAATTAAGAAATTGACAATCTGTAGAAAATGGTTTCCTTGCTGAATTATTACATTAAATGTCTTTGAGGAAACTGGCTACGGGGAAGGAATCTTCATTCATCTGTGCAAACTGCCTCCCTCATTTCACTGAGATCATTTCTTATGCCCCACCCTAAATGCTAAAAGCTCTCATGGTGGAGAGAAAAGTAGATGAGGCTTCCCTCTCTGTGATGGCTCAGGAATGAATGTTTGGGGATGTATCATGTCCATGGGGAATGGCTCTAATCTTGTCCTGTGTCAAATCTCTCAATCAGTCCAGCGGCCACACGATTTCCTCCTGTTCCTTCTCCCACCTCTGCCCAGACACCAAGGCCTCACACACTCACCTGCCTCCTGGACAATGCAGGGACCCTGGGCAGGATCTGCAGCTCTCGGTGGGCCTGGCCTTCCCCTGGACGCATCTGGTTCACCGAGGAGGCCCGTTGGCTGGACACGTCTTTCAGATCATCTCTGACACTGGAGGGGGCTTCAGCCATCTCGATATCTGAGTCCTGCACAATATATTCCTTTCCGTGGAAGGTGACCACAGACTGTAGAGAGAAAAAAGACAATCAGACTCACCATGAGAACCTGAAAGTAGCTCTCATATTCCCTGGGTCCTGCCATAATGCTCACACTTTACTGTAATTAATGTTCAAATCTGCCTTCCCAATAGAGAGTCAGCTCTGTGGACACAGCAATCCTGTCTGAATTTTTTCCTCTCTAGACTCCAGCACCTGCCTGCGCCTGGAATATTCTAGTTAAGTACATAAACATGGGTCCTTTAGATGAAATAGTCTCTAAACCAAAGAGAAGACAAGGAGAAATATTCTGGGTGAATCCAACTCAATTGGCCGATGGCAGCTCACCTTGTATTAGAACTTAGGGGCTCATTTGGGGACCTGGGGGCAGATCCCTGCATCTGATACCAACCACTTTCCCTGCTTCAGGATGGGACTCCTGGGCCCCCCTTCAGTTCACTCTAATGCCTCCTTCCCTACATTCCATCAGGCCTAATATTTCACCAATGTCTTTCTTTCATGTTGGCCTCACACAGTGTGTGGGTCCCTGTACCCCCTCTGCCTGTCCATCTCCTACACCAGGAACTTGCCGTCTCAGCACAGCTGATATTGGAATCTGGATGATTATTTGTCATGATGGGTTGTCCTGAGCGTTAGAGAACGCTTAGCAGCGTCTCCTGTCCTCCCTGACAACAAAAACTGTCCCCAGACACTGCCATGTGTCCCCGACGGGCAAACTCTCCTCTACTTGGAAGCCCTGACCTAGAGCAGCCCCTCGGGTCCTCTCGAGTCCAGCTGCACCGTGCAGCCCCCATCCCAGCTCCCCTTCCCTGCACCAATCACGAGGGTCCCACTCACCCATTTCTTGGGTCTTCTGTTATTTCGTAGCAGGTCCTCCAGGTCTTTGCAGCTCTGCACACCGTTCATCATGACTAAGACCTGGAGCTCCTGGGGCATGGAGATCATGAACTGCTCCATCACCAGCATGTCCAGGATCTGCTCTTTGGTGTGGAGGTCGGGCCTCAGCCACAGATGGCACAGCTCAGTGAGTTTCCTCAGAGCCTGGATGGGGTCCGACTCCTTCGGGCAGCTGAACATCCTGAAGTTCACGTGAGAAATCTCAGGGTCCACGTCGTGATTTCCAAGTTGAGTTTCTGAGGATGCCATAGACCGTGGCAGCTCCAACCCAGGTCTGTTGCAGGATTCTCCTAGACTCCATGAGGATGTGCAATTTGCAGCCATATCTAGTGGAGAATTTTTTAATCAGTCTCTGAGAAAGCTCTTCCAGTAGCTGGTATCTAATTGATACCTATCTACACAGGCTTCCTCTGGTTTTCCTCAGTAATAGATTCACTGTTCATTCAGAAGTCTGGGGGGGAAAAGTATGAGCCTCATTAGTTTAAGTTACTACTCCATCCATCCCTCCCTTCGAAATCCCTCATCCTGGATGCCACTTCTTCAGCAGCATCGAATTCAGCACAGTGGAAATCTTCCAGTGTCTATACCTGACTACATACTCTGGTTTAAAATCTTAATGACCCCTGGATTCTGATCTCTAGGAAATCACTGTGCAGAGGCTGAATCAGTTTTCCTGTCAATTGGAACAACATTGTTCTTGACTATAAATTAAATAAGATAGTTAGGTGAAGCTCTGAAAATGTGATGCAACAATAAAGTAAGCCCTTTATGTTTCCCCATCAGGACAAGATCCAAGGCAAAGCCCTTAGTCATAATTATGCAAAAGGATAGAGAAAAAGAGTTAGAATGTAATATTTTCCCCAACACATATTCTTGTTAACTCCAGAACATTTACTTGCTCCAGGGAAGGGACAGCATTAAAGGATCCTATGAGGATTAAGCACCTACACAGATATTTTGTTATTTTGGTAAAATGTACATTCATAAATTTCATCATTTTTTACTCTCTTCAAGTTCACGATTTTATGGGACTAAGACATGCACCATGTTGTACAACCATTACCACTGTTTACTTCCAGAATTATCTCATCAACCCAAAAGCAACCCCATCCCCATCAGTGATCACCCCCTGCCCACCCACCCCAGCCCCTAGCAATCACTAATCTACCTTCTGTCTCTAAGGGTTTCTGTATTCCTAATCTCATCTCAGAAAATGGATTTAAAGTCTAGTGCTCTTTGATATTTTAAAGAAGTGGGTTGATACAATAATAAGATTTTTAAAAATTAATTCCTAAACCTAGCTTCATTAGGCAGGAGCCACTGAGTGATACTCTCCAGGCATCAATTATCGTCCAAGTTCAACAGCTATGAGAACACAGCCCTGCTTTCCTAGACACAGGTGGGGGAAGCAACCTGAAGGTCTGCAGAGGGGAGAAAAAACTGGCAGAAGGGTCTTGGGAAAAGTCACTGGTAGCCTGGAGGGCGAGTGCCCCACACTTCCTGGAAGGACTTTGAGCAAGTGCAGAACAGAGAGACAGCCAGGGAGACAATCGGCAGAGGCGGGAGACAACCCAGAGGAGGAGACAATATTTACACACCACACATCTCACGGGGCTCCTGTGCAAAACATAAGCAACTCAAACTCCTCCAGAGCGAGAAAACACATAACCCACTAGAAGGGCTTAAGGCGCCTGTGTGGACATCTCAGATGAAGACATGTGAATGGCCAGCAGGTCTAGGAAAAGGTGCTCATTATCACTCATCATCAGGGACATGCAAATCCAAACCACAAGGCACCCCTCACGCCTGCTAGAGTGGCTGTTCCCAAAAAGACACATGGAACGAGTGTTGGTGAGGATTTGGGGGAAAGGGGTCCTCTGCGCCCTGTGCTGGGATGTAAATTAGAGCAGCCGATATGGGAGACAGTATAGAAGCTCCTCAGAAAATTGAAAGTCCAACAACTGCATGATCCGGCAATCCCGCTCCGGGGCAGGTACACAGAGGAAAGGAAATCAGGACGTGGACTCCAAAACAGTGAAACTCTGGAGGGATAGAGGGAGGGAGGGTTGAAAAACTACCTATTGGGTACTATCCTCATATCCTGGGTGATGGGTAGAGTCATACCTCACACCTCAGCATCACTCAATATACTCATGCAACAAATCTGCACAGGTACCCACTGAATCTAAAACACAAGTTCAAATTACAAAAAAAAATTTAAAAAGAAGTAAATAACATAAATAATAATTAAAAACCCAGTGGAACTCATAGTAGTAGTGAGTAGAATAGTTACCAGGGCTGGGGTAGGGGTTGGGAAGATATAGGTCAAAGAGTACAAATTTCAATTGAAGAAATCAATTCAAAAGAGCAATTGTCCAACATGGTGACTTCAGTTCATAACAATGTATTGTATACTTGGAAACTGCTTAAAAAAAATTAGATTTCAAGTATTCTCAAAACCAAAAATGGTTAGTACATGAGGTAGGGCATATGAATATTAGCTCAATTTAGCCATTTAACAATGTTTGTAATACTACAAAGCATATTATGCTATATGCCATAAATATATACAATTTTTAGTTTTCAATTAGAAGCAAATTAATTTTTATTGAAAAAGCACACAGATATGATAGAGAAAAGGGAGCCTGAAATTCTGGAATTAAAAGTGGTTTTGCCAGAGGGCGCCTGCTGCTGCTCAGGAGGCAGAGGCGGAGGTGGGAGGATCACTTGAGCCCAAGTGTTTGATAACAGCCTGGGCAACATAGTGAGATCCTGTCTCTAAAAAAGAAAGTGGTTTCATGTTCCTAGAAATCACTTTGTATTTGATCTTAGTTCATTCCCCGTTAAAGTAAGAAACAAGACACAGGAAAAAATAAAGGCAGACACAGGAGTTAGTATTCAATTCTGGGAGTATATACCACACGGGTCACCCAGGTAGGGACACTTAGCTCAGATTCTCATTGGCCTAGTAGGTTGATGCTCATTCATCAATGATTTGATTTCACCCTGTGCAAAGGGAAAATCCAGCAATGCTTTTTAAAAAGGGTGTGTGGCAGGCAAAGTGGCTCAGGCCTGTAATTCTAACAGGTTGGAAGACCGACATGGGAACATGCTAGAGCCCAGGAGTTCAGGACCAGCCTGAGCAATATACCGAGACCCCATCTCTGCAAAAAAAAAATTAAAAATTTATCCAGTCGTTGTGGCATATGCCTGTAGTCCCAGCTACTCGGGAGGCGGAGGCGGGCGGATCGCTTGAGCCCAGGAATTCCAGGCTAGTCTGGAATTCAAGCGAGACCCTGTCTCTAAAATAAAATAAAATATAACCTAAGCTTGATGAGAAAGTTAGTATTATTCCTAGTTTACAGAAGCGTTACATAACGAGTCAGAGTTAATCATGGGGTGCAAAGGAGACCCGCTGCCTTCACAAAGTCTCCGAGAAAACGCACGAAAAAATAAACCCAAACTTTCTGAAACCAACCCCCGACATGCCAGCTCCTAAACCCGACAGACATCCCCGCTGGACACTCACCTCCTTCCCGGCTTCTGCCTCCGACCTTCTCGGTCTGGGATGCGCTCTCCAACCGGCCTGGAGCTGAACTGCGTCTATTTATGGAGAAGCGGGACTCCAGGCCGCGTTTCCGGTTCCCTGCGCCGCCCCGTGATTGGTTTAGGGCCATAGAGTCCATTTTACGTAATCGGCGTTGATTATGGTTCCCACTGAAACCCCACCCACAGGAAATTAATGTACTAAACATGCCTACTGTGCAAATATTTCCCGCTCTACTGAGTTGTCATACTGCTGAAGTATTTGGTGGCCTCAGAAAATATAGATTTGCGAGTTTTAACCATTTTGGGTCCCCTCATGCCACAGACAGTAATATCCTAACAAGTAAAGAACATGTTAAGAGCTGGTGGATTAGTATCAAACCAGTGATTTGATCTAGTTTGAGCAAAGCTCTCACATATGAATGTCAAGATACTGAAAAAAAGAGACAGTCTTTGTTGATACATAATGAATATTGGTGATAATTTTTTACTGAAAAAAAGAGACAGTCTTTGTTGATACATAATGAATATTGGTGATAATTTTTTATTTTTTAAAAAGAATATTGGAGTTGACATGGGAAAGCTTTGTTTGAACTAGACTAAATCAGTGGTTTGATATCAGCCAACCTACCCTTATATAAAAACAGTGGGAACCAGAGAAAGGCACATGGTCCCCACTCTGCATTCATTCCAGGACGGTGATAGGGTGGTTTATAGATACACTGAGGGTCCTACGGGGTTCCCTAGTTCTCAGCCCCCCTCAGTTAGGGCTCTCAAGCACGAAAAGCCTTAACGGTGGGTGTGAATTTTACTGTGTGGATCATGGAGTTAATGTGGAATGATAATTAAGTGCTAGGCAGGATTAGATTACAATTTGGGAAGTTCACACCATCAGTTGGATGACACTAATCCATTCAAGTAGTGACTCATTCATTTTAATTTCAGAGGAAACCTTCTCGTCTAACCTTTAGGACAAATTGGAGGGCTGTTAATTTTACACTGATTCTGGTTTAAATCCTTGGAAAATCTTAAGCCGCTTCACTCTGGGAACTTCAAACTTCTTGGGAGTAGAACTTTCCTGATGTGTTGTTTTGAAGATGAAGTAAGACTATGTCAGTAAAGTGCTCAATACAAGGTTCATTTTGCCAAGAAATTGTAACAATTATTTTCTGAGGCATGTTCTCATACTTTGTTACATTTTTTCTTGTTTACCACTGAGGTGTTGACTCTAACTCAACTCTAACAAATGAGTTAGAGTTAAGAATGGAATTATTCACTGGAATTAACTGGGAGCTGCCTAAGCCACTCTCTGGCTACCCAATTCCCGATTCCCCTAAATCCTCCCCTCTGTAAACTCATAGTCTTATTTCTGTGAAGCTGCCGTTGGTATTTTGGAAGAGACCGCATCGAATCTGCTGATGTCTATTAATAGTATGGTCTTTTTCACATTCTATGAACATGGCTTTCCATTTTTGGTGGTCTTTTTTGTTTTTTTTCATTAGCACTTAATAGTTTTTCTTGTGGAAATCTTTCACCTCCCTGGTTAAATTTATTACCAGGTTTTTAGGGGTTCTTTTGCTATTGTAAATGGGATTGCTTTCTTGGTTTTTGTTCCACTAGCTTGTTGGTGTATAAAAACACTACTGATTTTTGCATGTTGACTTCGTATCCTGTAGTTTTACTGAATTCCTTTATCAGTTCTGTTTTACTGGTGGAGGTTTCAGGTGTTTTTATAGATGATAACATGTTGTTTGCAAAGAGAGACAATTCGACTTCCTCCTTCTGAATTTGGATGCCCTTTATTCCTTGCTCTGGCTAAGACTTTCCCAACACATTATTATTATATTATTATTATTATTTTGAGACAAAGTGTCGCTCTGTCACCCAGGCTCACTGCAACCTCTGCCTCTTGGGTTCGAGCAATTATTTGCCTCAGCCTCCCAAGTAGCTGGGATTTCAGGCACACGCCACCATGCCCGGTGAATTTTTCTATACTTAATAGAAATGGGGTTTTACCATCTTGCCCAGGCTGGTCTTGAACTCCTGACCTCGTGATCCACCCGCCTCGGCCTCCCAAAGTGCCGGGATTACAGGCATGAGCCACCATACCCGGCCCCAACATATTATTATTAACAAAGGTCACCAGGGTGAAGTTTGGAAACAGGTATACGTTGTGATGCAATCGTCAGAACCAAGCTAGTTAACATCTCCATCACCTCACATAGATACCATGTTCTTTCCTTCTTATTAGTTATTTAACTCTTGGGCTCAAGCAATCCTGCTTCAGCCTCCCTAGCAGCTGGGGTTACAGGCACGAGCCACATCTGGCTTTCTTTTTATTTCTTGATGTGTGTGTGTGTGTGTGTGTGTGTGTGTGTGTGTGTGTGTTGGAAACATTTAAGATACACCCTCTGAGCAAATTTCAAGTATACAGTACAGATGCTCCTCGACTTACAATGAAGTTACATCCTGATAAACCCTATTGTGAATGTAAAATATAGAAAATAAAAATGCATTTACTATTAGGTCACTTACTGAACATCAGCACTTAGCCTAGCCTACCTTCGACGTGCTCAGAACATTTACATTCCCCTGCAGTCAGGCAAAATCATTCACAGGAAACCTATTTTATAATAGAGCACTGAATATCTCATGTCGTTTATTGAACATTGTACTGAAAGTGACAATCAGAATGGTGTGTGAATATTCCTCAGTAACGTACACAGCTGAAAGCAGAACTTTGAGATCAGACTGGCAACATGGCAAAACCCAGTCTCTACAAAAAAACACGAAAGTTCACTGGGCATTATGGTGCAAGCCTGTAGTCCCAGCTACCTGGGAGTCTGAGGCAGAAGAATTGCTTGAGCCTGGGAGGTCAAGGTTGCAGTGAGCTGTGATCACGCCACTGCACTCCAGCCAGGGTAACAGAGCCAGACCCTTTCTCAAAAAATAAATGAATACATAAATGTTCCCCTCATACAAAAAAGATAAGTATGCAAGTCACTCATATGTCAAATTATTAGATTTAGCATTGCACGTTGTATATATGTATCAAAACATTATGTTGTACACCAAAAATGTGTATGTACCATTTTTATTTGTAAATTTATAAAGTTAATAATAATAATGACAAAAAGAAAATAATGCCTTCTCTAAGAATGCGTGACCAACCACCATCCTTCCCTCATGGGAATGTGGAGTTTCCCTTGTCTTGGATGCCTAACAGACCTGTCAATCACCACACATCCCAGACCTACCACATCTTTCCCCACCTCACGTAAAGGTGGCTCCAGCCCCCTTGATGTGCAATCCACAAGATTTGTGGGGTTATCCTTGATTCCTGCATTTCCCTCACATGACACACTCAGTCTCTCAACAAATCCTATACCTTAATTAATGTGTTTATTGACATGAATTTCACGTGACATAAAATTAACTGTTTTATCTGTACAGTTTAGCAGCATTTGGTGCATTTACACTGCTGTGCAGCAGCTCCTCTAGCTGGTTCCTGTGCCTGCATGTCCAGAGTCCAAGTTCTGACATTTGTACATACTCATGAAGTCATTGCCGTCATCAAGAAGCTGAACATCCCCACCATCCTCCAACGCTTCCCCAGGCTCTTCATCATCTGTCCCTCCCACAGCTCCATCCCTGGACAACCACTGGTGTTCTCTGTGTCATTACAGATCACGGACAGAATTTTCTTTTTTCTTTCTTTTTTTCTTTTCTTTTTTTTTGAGACAGTGTCTTGCTCTGTTGCCCAGGCTGCAGTGCAGTGGTATGATCACGGCTCACTGCAGCCTCAACTTCTCAGCCTTAAGTGAACCTCCTACCTCAGCCCCCCCAGGTGGCTGGGACCACTATGTCCGGCTAATTTTTTCTACTTTTTGTAGAGATGGGTCTCACTACATTGCCTAGGCTGATCTTGAACTCCTGGGCTCAAGCAATCCACCTGCTTTTGCCTCCCAAAGTGCTGAGATTACATGTGTCAGCCACTGTGCCCAGCCTAGTAATAGAATTTTCTAGAATTTTATATTGATAGACTCATACCAGATGCACTTTTTTTCTGGCTGTCCCCTTTCACCTTCGTAACTATTTTGAGATTCATCCATGTTCTTGGGTGTTATCAATGATTTCTTTTTACTGCTGAGTAGTATTCCAAACTTTATTAAATTGGGCCCTTTGGATATGAGTTATTTATTTTATATCAACTGTACCTCAATAAGACCATGAAAAAAAAAGAGGATTCTCTTAAAACTTGAAAACAAGTTCAGAATCTGACCAGCTCTCCTCATCTCAACTACCAGTACTCATGGGCAAGCCACAGCCATCAACCTGGCTGACTCTGCTGTGATCCACACTGAGCTCTTTTTTCTTCCCCTTCCCCTATATAGGCTAATTTTTTTTTCTTTTTCTTTTTCTTTTTTTCAGACAGGGTCTTGCTCTGTTGCCCAGGCTGAAGCACAGTTGCACAATCATAGCTCACTGCAGCCTCCACCTCTCAGGCTCAAGCAATCCTCTCACCTCAGCTTCCCCAGTAGCTGCGACCACAGGTGTGCACCACCAGGCCTGGCTAATTGTTTTGTATGTTTTTGTAGACACCGAGTTTCACCATGTTGCCCAGGCTGGTCTTTAACTCCTGGACCCAAGCAATCCACCAGCCTCAGCTTCTTAAAGTGCTAGGATTACAGGCATCAGCCATCATGTCTGACTATATGGGCTTATTTCCAAGACTTTATTCCAAAAAAAATGTTAAACAGAAGTCAGAAAGCTACTCTATGAAGGCAGAGGCATTCGTTGGAGCTGTGAGTGATGTACCTGCAATGTCTAGATTCTAATTTTAGGAGTTGGCAGTGTCAACCCAATTCTGTCTCAACACTATTCAATGACTCAAATAATGGCAGCTCCACCTACTAGTACAATGGGTCAAGTTTTTACATTTCACATGTGCCTACAGGATGGGGCCTGGCAGGCTTGAGATGAGACTTCTGCTTGTTTCTATTTAGCTTCAGACTGTTGAGAAAGTCAGGTCATGGCATTCATTTAGTCCAAACATCATTGTCTATAAAAACGGTGTCCACGTTTTGTCTTTGAAATGGTCCCCGCCCTCCGCTCGTTATCGTGTTGAGAATGAAATGAGAGGACATGCTTGGCACCTGGAGATGATTGGATATTACAGCTGTGCGCCATAAGGGCAAATGGTTCCATTGTTTGATGAGCCATCCTGGCGGTGGGTGGATCATTCACTTCTAAACAGATAAGGAATGGCTAGAAAGTTCTTGTACCAAACCAACTTGAAGCAACCTCACCCACACCGAATCCTATACTTTTCTATGAAATCACCTTTTTTTTTTTTTTTGGAGATCTCCAACTTTTTTTCACAGCTGCTTAAAAAAAAATACTACTGTTCACCCCAGACTTTCTTTTGATACACTAAGTAAACAAAACAGATTTTTTTTTTTTGCCATAAATATCAGCAGACACTTCCTGGCACCCCACACTGTATCAGCATGTGTGTTAACAGTCCCAGTTCAGATGTGCAGTGTTTCAAGTGGATGCACTGTAACAAGGATGCAAATGCGGAGCCACCCTCAGAATAACATTCAGTCATGGGGTTGCCCTTCCAAGCTGGCAGAAAAGGAACCCGGGCCAGGCACCGTGAGCACGCACAGTAACTCACGCCTGTAATCCCAGCACTCTGGAAGGCTGAGGCAGGAGGATTTCTTGAGACCAGGAATTTGAGACCAGCCTGGGCAACATAGTGAGACCCAACTCTACAAATAAGAGATTGTGTGTCCGGAGGCTGAACTCACAAAGATTTCAGAATGTCAGTAGGAGAGGAGGTGTGTGGGATAGCAGCCAATTCGTCAGTGAATGAGGCAGAGAAATTGGTAAAAAGAAGGAAAGTGAAAACAAGAAGCATGTTCCCATTTTCAAGGTCTTCCTGGTTCACAAAGTGGGAAGGAAGAAACTACTGAAGAGGAAAGAGTTCTCTTGAAGAGTACAGAATTCCTGGGCTCCCCGGTTCAGGTCATAAAAAGAAAAGAGAAAACGTTTGCAGCCATGCAGGGTGAACAAGCTCTGAAGATATATTATACGGACTAGGGGTTGTAATCAATGTTAGGGACCATCCCCTACTTCTGAGGGCTCTGAGGCAGGAGAATAGGGTGAGGGAAGAGAGAGACCCTCTCATATTGTTTTATATTGTTTTATACTCAATACCTGTTTTAAAAAAAAAACAACAAGGAAGTAAAACCAAAGACAGGCAGCCCGGCGCCAGGCCCGAAACCAGGCCTGGGCCTGCCTGGCCTAAACCCAGTAGTTAAAAATCAACTGATAACTTAAAAACCGATGTTATTCATAGATTCCAGACATTGTATAGAACAACATTGTGAAACTCCCTGCCCTGTTCTGTTTCTCTCTGACCACCGGTGCATGCAGCCCCTGTCACGTACCCCTTGCTTGCTCAAATCAATCACGACCCTTTCATGTGAAATCCTTAGAGTTGTGAGCCCTTAAAAGGGACAGGAATTGCTCACTCGTGGAGCTCGGATTTCAAGGCAGTAGCTTGCCAATGCTCCCAGCTGAATAAAGCCCTTCCTTCTACAACTCGGTGTCTGAGAGGTTTCGTCTGTGGCTCGTCCTACTACAAGGGAATTAGGGTAACCAGGGGTTAAGGTAGAAGCAAAAGAACCGCACTTGCAGCCAGTTCTAGGCAAGATTAGGCAGCACACAGGCCACATCCTCACTCCTGTGATAACGAGACAGAAGCCTCCACTCCAGCCTCTGATTGACCGTGGGCCAAGCCTCCACTCCAACCTCTGATGGACGGTGGGCCAAGCCTCCACTCCAACCTCTGATGGACGGTGGGCCAAGCCTCCACTCCAGCCTCTGATTGACCGTGGGCCAAGTCTCCACTCCAGCCTCTGATGGACGGTGGGCCAAGTCTCCACTCCAGCCTCTGATGGACCGTGGGCCAAGTCTCCACTCCAGCCTCTGATGGATGGTGGGCCAAGCCTCCACTCCAGCCTCTGATGGACCGTGGGCCAAGTCTCCACTCCAGCCTCTGATGGACGGTGGGCCAAGTCTCCACTCCAGCCTCTGATGGACCGTGGGCCAAGTCTCCACTCCAGCCTCTGATGGATGGTGGGCCAAGCCTCCACTCCAGCCTCTGATGGACGGTGGGCCAAGCCTCCACTCCAGCCTCTGATGGACGGTGGGCCAAGTCTCCACTCCAGCCTCTGATGGACGGTGGGCCAAGCCTCCACTCCAGCCTCTGATTGACCGTGGGCCAAGTCTCCACTCCAGCCTCTGATGGACGGTGGGCCAAGCCTCCACTCCAGCCTCTGATTGACCGTGGGCCAAGTCTCCACTCCAGCCTCTGATGGACGGTGGGCCAAGTCTCCACTCCAGCCTCTGATGGACCGTGGGCCAAGTCTCCACTCCAGCCTCTGATGGATGGTGGGCCAAGCCTCCACTCCAGTCTCTGATGGACGGTGGGCCAAGTCTCCACTCCAGCCTCTGATGGACAGTGGGCCAAGTCTCCACTCCAGCCTCTGATGGACGGTGGGCCAAGCCTCCACTCCAGCCTCTGATGGACGGTGGGCCAAGCCTCCATTCCAGCCTCTGATGGACGGTGGGCCAAGTCTCCACTCCAGCCTCTGATGGATGGTGGGCCAAGCCTCCACTCCAGCCTCTGATGGACGGTGGGCCAAGCCTCCACTCCAGCCTCTGATTGACCGTGGGCCAAGCCTCCACTCCAACCTCTGATGGACGGTGGGCCAAGCCTCCACTCCAGCCTCTGATGGACGGTGGGCCAAGTCTCCACTCCAGCCTCTGATGGACGGTGGGCCAAGCCTCCACTCCAGCCTCTGATGGACGGTGGGCCAAGTCTCCACTCCAGCCTCTGATGGACGGTGGGCCAAGCCTCCACTCCAGCCTCTGATGGACGGTGGGCCAAGCCTCCATTCCAGCCTCTGATGGACGGTGGGCCAAGTCTCCACTCCAGCCTCTGATTGACCGTGGGCCAAGCCTCCACTCCAGCCTCTGATGGACGGTGGGCCAAGTCTCCACTCCAGCCTCTGATGGACGGTGGGCCAAGCCTCCACTCCAGCCTCTGATGGACGGTGGGCCAAGCCTCCATTCCAGCCTCTGATTGACCGTGGGCCAAGCCTCCACTCCAACCTCTGATGGACGGTGGGCCAAGCCTCCATTCCAGCCTCTGATGGACGGTGGGCCAAGTCTCCACTCCAGCCTCTGATGGATGGTGGGCCAAGCCTCCACTCCAGCCTCTGATGGACGGTGGGCCAAGTCTCCACTCCAGCCTCTGATGGACGGTGGGCCAAGCCTCCACTCCAGCCTCTGATGGACGGTGGGCCAAGCCTCCATTCCAGCCTCTGATGGACGGTGGGCCAAGCCTCCATTCCAGCCTCTGATGGACGGTGGGCCACGCCTCCACTCCAACCTCTGATTGACCGTGGGCCAAGCCTCCACTCCAGCCTCTGATGGACGGTGGGCCAAGCCTCCATTCCAGCCTCTGATGGACGGTGGGCCAAGCCTCCACTCCAACCTCTGATTGACCGTGGGCCAAGCCTCCACTCCAGCCTCTGATGGACGGTGGGCCAAGTCTCCACTCCAGCCTCTGATGGATGGTGGGCCAAGCCTCCACTCCAGCCTCTGACGGACGGTGGGCCAAGTCTCCACGTCAGCCTCTGACTGGTCGCAGGTCAGTCCTTCACGGGGTGTAGCCAATGGGAGGCCTGTCAAAGACACCGAGGGGTATTGCCGGGTTCCTTTTAATAAAAACCCTAATTGAGGAAGCTCTTGGGCCTCTTGCTGGAGCCCCGCTCCCAGTCTGTGAATTGTCTTCAATAAACCTGTGCTTTCCTTACTCCGTTTTTTTGTGTTTTTGTCTTTCGTTGCTTTGTTCTTTTGTTACTTTGTGCGTTTCATTCAATTCTCTGTTCAACACGCCTAGAACGTGGACAACTCCATCCGGTAACAGCTCCACGTACAATTTTTCTCCTTTGCGGCGGTGCTTTCAGCTGTGCACATTGCTGAGGAGGATCCACACCGCCATTCTGATTGTCACTTTCAGTTCAGTATTCAATAAACTACAGGAGAGAGTCAACACTTTATTATAAAATAGGTTTTCTGTTGGACGATTTTGCCCAACTGTAGGGGAAGGTACGTGTTCAGGGCGGGTTTAGGGTAGGCTAGGCTAAACTCTGATGTTTTGTAGGTGACATAATATTAAATGCATTTTTTATCTTCTATATTTTCAATTTATCAGGATGTGACTTCGCTGTACGTTGAAGAGCATCCACACTGTATCGCATACTTGAAATTTGCTGAGAAGATCGATTATGGGCCGGGGCGCGGTGGCTCATGCCTGTAATTCCATTAATTTGGGAAGCTGAGACGGGCGGATCGCTTGAGCTCAGGAGTTTGAGACCAGCCTGGGCAACATGGCGAAACCCCGTCTCTACAAATAATATAAAAATTAGCCGGGCATGGGTGGCGCCTGTATTCCCAGCTGCTTGGGAGGAAGAGGCAGTAGGATCATTTGAGCCCGGGAGGTGGAGGTTGCAGTGACCTGAGATTGTGCCACTGTGCTCCAGCCTGGGTGGCAGAGTGAGGTTCTGTCTCAAAAATAAAAAAAATTTAAAAAATGATAGATCATAAGTGTTTCACCACAGACACACGGACACACACACATACACACATACGCACACATACACACACACGTCAAAGAAACAAAAAGCAAGCCAGGAGTCGTGGCATATGTGTCTAGTCCCCTAGACACACACAGAGACACACCCGGACACACGGAAACACATACGAACACACACCCACACACAGACACACACATGGACATACACACATACGCACACATACACACACACACGTCAAAGAAACAAAAAGCAAGCCAGGGGTTGTGGCATATGCTCTTAGTCCCCACTACTGGGGAGGCTGAGGCAGGAGGATTACTTGAGGCCAGGAATTAAGCAAATAAATAATGAAATGAAAATAGTCACTATGTGAGTTGACGAATACATTAATTAGCTTGATTGTAGTATAATTACACCATGAATAGGGATATGTAAACACCAGCATGGTGACCTTAGTCACCAAGGACAGGTAGAGGCCAGGAATTGGAGAGCAGCCTGGGCAACACAGTGATACCCCCATCTTTACAAAAAAATCTTTTAAAATTAGCCAAGTGTGGTGGTGCTTGCCTGTAATTCCAGATACTCACTCAGGAGGCTGGAGCAGGAGGCTCTCTTGAGCCCAGGGGTTCAAGGCTGCAGTGAGCTATGAGTTTTCCATTGCACCCAGCCAAGGTGAGTGAGACCTTGGCTCTAAAAATAAATCAATCAATAAACAAATTTATCCACACAGGTAGGAGATCTCTACAAGAAAAACTATAAAATACTGATGAGAGGAAATGAAGAGGGCACACAAATGGAAAGATAGTCCATGTTCATAAATCGGAAGAATTCACATTGTGAAAATGACCACACTATTAATAGAGATCTATAGATCCAACTCAATCCCTACCAAAATGCCAAGGACATTCCTTATGAGAACATGACATGTTTCAAGAGGAGAGGACTGGAGGGAATTGGGTAGGTAGATGGTGGTTTTAGGCAGATTCTAGTTCATTCCACTTAATAACTCCATTCTGAACTGACTCACTATCAACGCCTCAATTCTTAACAAGGAAAAATATCACAAAGTATGAGAAAATGCATCAGGAAATAAGTGTCAGAACTTTTTGGCAAAATGACCTTGTGTCGGGCACTTTACTGACATAATCTTATATCATCTTCCAAAGAACATATCAGGAAGGTAATAATTCCCTGGTTCTATTCACAGGGAGCTTGAAGTTCACAAAATTCAGTGGCTTAAGATTTCCCAAGGATTTAAACCAGAATCAGTGTAATATTAATAACCCTTCAATGTATGTTAAGTGTTAGATGAGAAAATTTACTCTGAATTAAAAATGAATGAGCCACAATTTGAATGGATTTGTGAATCAGTCAGCGGATGCTGCGAACTTCCCAAATTGTAACCTAATCATGTAATCTAATCATGACACTCAGTTTTCATTCCACAATGACTCCATGATCCACGCAGTATAATTCACACCTAACATTAAGGCTTTTCACGTTTGAGAGGCCTCAGTCAGGGGGCTGAGAACCAGGGAACCCTGTAGGACCCTCAGTGTATCTATAAACCACCCTCTCACCGTCCTGGAGTGAGTGCAGAGTGGGGACCATGTGCCTTTCTCTGGTTCCCACTGTTTTTACATAAGGGTAGGTTGGCTGATATCAAACCAGTGATTTAGACTAGTTCAAGCAAAGCTTTTCCATGTGAATTCCAAGAGTTTGAAAAAGAAAAGTAAAGAATTATCACTAATATTTATTGTATATCAGCAATGACTGTATTTTTCAATATACTGACATTAATATGTGAAAGGCTTTGCTTAAACTGCATTAAATCACTGGTTTGATATTAATCCAACAACTCTTAACATGTCCTTTATTTGTTAGGATATTACTGTCTGTGTGGCGCGAGGGGACCCAAAGTGATTAAAACTTGTGGACCTAGGGCCAGGTGTGGTGGCTCACGCCTGTAATCTCAGCACTTTGGGAGGCCGAGGTGGGCAGATCACTAGGTCAGGAGTTCAAGACCAGCCTGGCCAACATGGTGAAACCCCGTCTCTACTAAAAATACAAAAATTAGCCAGGCGTGGTGGCGGGCACCTGTAATCCCAGCTACTCATGAGGCTGAGGCAGGAGAATCGCTTGAACCCAGGAGGTGGAGCTTGCAGTGAGCCGAGATCACGCCACTGAACTCTAGCCTGGGGGACAGTGTGAGACTCTGTCTCAAAAAAAACCAAAAGAAGAAAAAAAAACCCATAAAACCAAACAAAAAAAAACTTGTGGATCTATATTTTCTGAGGCCTCCAAATACTTCAGCAATATGACAAATAATTCAGTAGAGTGGGAAAACCTATGTTATTTGCACAGTAGGCATGTTTAATACTTTAACTTCCTGTGGGCAGGGTTTCATTGGGAAATGTAATCAACTCGGATCACCTAAAATGGATTACGTGGCCCTAAACCAATCATGGGGCAGTGCAGGAACTGGAAATGGGGCCTGGAGTCCTTCGACTTCTCCATAAATAGGCGCAGTTCAGCTCCAGGCCAGTTGGAGAGTGCATCCCAGATGCGAGAAAGTTGGAGGCATAAGGCGGGAAGGAGGTAAGTGTCCAGAGGCCATGTCTGTGGGGTTTAGGAGCTGGCATGCAGGGGGGTTAGTTTCAGAAAGATTTGGGTTTATTTTCTCATGCATTTGCTTGGAGACCTTGTGAAAGCATCGGGTCTCCTTTGCACCCCGTGATTAACTCTGGCTTGTTATGAAACCCTTATGTAAACTAGGAATAATATTAACTTTCTCATCATGGGTAGGTTACATTTTAGAGACGGGGGTCTCACTCATTGCCCAGGCTGGCTTGAATTCCTGGTCTCCAGTCATTGGCGAGACTTCACTTCACCATCAGCTGGGACGACAGGCACCTACCTGCCAACAGGCCCGGCTACATTTTATTTTTTTGTAGAGATGGGGTCTCGGTATGTTGCACAGGCTGGTCTTGAACTCCTAGGCTCAAGCAATCATACCACCTGGGTCTTCCAAACTGTTGGAATTACAGGCGTGAGCCACCTTGCCGGCCGCACTCCACTTGTTAAAAAGCATCACTGGATTTTCCCTTTCCACAGGGTAAAATCAGCCATTAATGAATGAGCATCAACCTACTAGGCCAATGAGAATGTGCACTAAGTGTCCCTACCTGGGGGTCCTGTGTGCTATATACTCCCAGAATTGAATACTAACCCGCATACCTGCCTTTATTTTTTCCCATGTTCCATTGCTTGCTTTAATGGGAAAAGAACTGAGAGTGAATACACGGTGATTTCTAGGAACATGAAACCACTTTTTTAAGAGACAGGATCTCACTATGTTGCCCAGGCTGTTATCAAACTCCTGGGCTCAAGTGATCCTCTTGCCTTGGCCTGAGCAGCAGCAGGCGCCCTTGCAGCAAAGCCACTTTTAATTCCAGAATTTTAGGCTCTCTTTTCTCTCTCATATTTGTATGCTTTTTTCAAAAAAAATTAATTTGCTTTCAAATTGAAAACTAAAAATTGTATACAATTGGGCACAGCATAATGTGCTTTGTAGGATGTGAACGCTGTAAAATGGCTAAATTAAGCTGCTATTCACATGCCTTACTTTATGTACTAATCATTTTTGGCTGTGAGAATACTTGATTGAAATCTACTCTTTTAGCAATTTCCAAGCATACATTGTTATGAACTGAAGTCACCATGTTGGACAACGGCTCTCTTGAATTCATCTCTCCAACTGAAATTTGTACCCTTAGACCTATATCTCCCCAACCCCCATCCCAGCCCTGGTAACCACCATTCTACTCACTGCTACTATGAGTCCACTAGGCTTTTAAAATTATTATTCATGTCATCTACTTCTTTTTTAATTTTTTAAATGATTTTAACTTGTATTTTAGATTCGCTGGGTGCCTGTGCAGATTTGTTACATGAGTGTATTGAGTGATGCTGAGATTTGGGGTATGACTCAACCCGTCACCCAGGATGTGAGGAGCACCCGATAGGTAGTTTTTCAACCCTCCCTCCCTCTATCCCTCCAGAGTTTCACTGTTTTGGAGTCCACGTCCTGATTTCCTTTCCTCTGTGTACCTGCCCCGGAGCGGGATTGCCGGATCATGCAGTTGTTGGACTTTCAATTTTCTGAGGAGCTTCTATACTGTCTCCCATATCGGCTGCTCTAATTTACATCCCAGCACGGGGCGCAGAGGACCCCTTTCCCCCGAATCCTCACCAACACTCGTTCCATGTGTCTTTTTGGGAACAGCCACTCTAGCAGGCGTGAGGGGTGCCTTGTGGTTTGGATTTGCATGTCCCTGATGATGAGTGATGACGAGCACCTTTTCCTAGACCTGCTGGCCATTCACATGTCTTCATCTGAGGTGTCCACAGAGGCACCTTGCCCACTTCTAGCGGGTTATGTGTTTTCTTGCTCTGGAGTAGTTTGAGTTGCTTATGTTTTGCACAGGAACTGCTTGTGAGATGTGTGGTGTGTAAATATTGTCTCCTCTGGGTTGTCTTCCCCCTCTGCTGATTGTCTCCCTGGCTGTCTCTGTGTTCTGTACTTGCTCAGATTCCTTCCAGGAAGCGTAGGTTTTCCATCCTTCAGGATTCCAGTGACCTTTCCCGAGACCCTCCTGTCAATTCTTTCTTCCTTCTGAAGACCTTTCGGTTGCTTCCCCCACCTGTGGCTAGGAAGACAGGGCTGCGTTCTCACAGCTGTTGAACTTGGATAATAACTGATGCCTGGAGAGTATCACACAGTGTGTCCTGCCTAATGAAACTACATTTAGAACCAAATTTCAAAAAATCGTTCTTTCTTTCTCTCTTTTTTTTTTGAGACGGAGTCTCGCTCTTGTTGCCCAGGCTGGAGTGCAATGGCGTGATGTCGGCTCACTACAACTTCCACCTCCCTGATTCAAGTGATTCTCCTGCCTCAGACTGCCAAGTAGCTAGGATTACAGGCACGTGCCACCATGCCCGGCTAATTTTTGTATTTTGAGTAGAGACGAAGTTTCACCATCTTGGTCAGGCTGGTCTCGAACTCCTGACCTCAAGTGATCCTCCCGTCTTGGCCTCCCAAAGTGTTGGGACTACAGGCATGAGCCACCACACCTGGCCTCAAAAAATCTATCGTATTATTTCACTTCCTGAAAATTTCATAGAGCACTAGACTTTAAATCCATTTTCTGAGATGAGATTAGGAATAGAGAAACCCTTAGAGACAGAAGGTAGATCAGTGATTGGCAGGGGCTGGGGTGGGTGGGCAGAGGGTGATCATTGATGGGGATGGGGTTCCTTTTGGGCTGATGAGACAATTCTGGAGCTAGACAGTGGTGATGGTTGCACAGCATGGTGCATGCATGTCTTAGTGCCATGAAATTGTGCACTTCAAGATGGTAAAAATGATGAAATTTATGAATGTGCATTTTACCAAAATAGCAATATCTGTGTAGGAGTTGAATTCTCATGATTACTTAATGCTCTCCCTTCCCTGGAGCAAACAAATGTCCTGGGGTTAACAAGAAAAGGTGTTGGGGGACAACTGTAGGTTGTAACTATTTTTCTCTATCTTTGTGCGTAATTATGATGAAGGGCTTTACCTTGGATCTTGTCTGGACAGGAAAACATAAATAAGTTATTGTTGCATCAGATTTTAGGAGCTTCACATAAGTATCCTATTTAATTTACAGTTGGGAACCATGTTGTTCCAATTGAAAAAAAAACTGATTTCACTTCTGCACAATGATTTCCTGGAGATCAGAATCCAGGGGAGCATTAGGATTTTAAATCAGAACATATAGTCAGGTGTAGACAGCGGAAGAGTAACAGGGTGGGTTGATTTCCACTGTGCTGAATTCGATGCTGCTGAAGAAGTGGCGTCCAGGATTTGGATGAGGGTTTTGGAAGGGATGGGTGGATAGACTAGAAACTTTGATCGGGCTCATGTTTTTTTTTGCAGACTTCTGAACAGTGAATCTATTATTGAGGAAAACCAAAGGAGGCCTGTCTAGATAGGTCTCAATTAGACACCAGCTACTGGAAGAACTTTCTCAGAGACTGACTGAAATATTCTCCACCAGATATGGCTGCAAATTGCAACTCCTCATGGGGTCAGGGAGGACCCTGCAACAGCCCTGAGTCAGAGCCGCCACAGTCTGTGGCTTCCCCAGAAACTCAACTTGGAAATCATGACTGGGACCCTGAGACTTGTCACGTGAACTTCAGGATGTTCAGCTGCCCAGAGGAGTCGGACCCCATCCAGGCTCTGAGGAAACTCACTGAGCTGTGCCATCTGTGGCTGAGGCCCGACCTCCACACCAAAGAGCAGATCCTGGACATGCTGGTGATGGAGCAGTTCATGATCTCCATGCCCCAGGAGCTCCAGGTCTTAGTCAAGGTGAACGGTGTGCAGAGCTGCAAAGACCTGGAGGACCTGCTACGAAATAACAGAAGACCCAAGAAATGGGTGAGTGGGACCCTCGTGACTGGTGCAGGGAAGGGGAGCTGGGATGGGGGCTGCACGGTGCAGCTGGACTCGAGAGGACCCGAGGGGCTGCTCTAGGTCAGGGCTTCCAAGTAGAGGAGAGTTTGCCCATCAGGGACACATGGCAGTGTCTGGGGACAGTTTTTGTTGTCACAAGGGGGAGGACAGGAGACGCTGCTAAGCATTCTCTAATGCTCAGGACAACCCACCATGACAAATAATCTTCCAGATTCCAATATCAGCTGTGCTGAGACGGCAAGTTCCTGGTGTAGGAGATGGACAGGCAGAGGGGGTACAGGGACCCACACACTGTGTGAGGCCAACATGAAAGAAAGACATTGGTGAAATATTAGGTCTGATGGAATGTAGGGAAGGAGGCATTAGAGTGAACTGAAGCGGGGCCCAGGAGTCCCATCCTGAAGCAGGGAAAGTGGTTGGTATCAGATGCAGGGATCTGCCTCCAGGTCCCCAAATGAGCCCCTAAGTTCTAATACAAGGTGAGCTGCCATCGGCCAATTGAGTTGGATTCACCCAGAATATTTCTCCTTGTCTTCTCTTTGGTTTAGAGACCCTTTCATCTAAAGGACTCATATTTATGTACTTATGTAGAAAAGGAAAAAATTCAGACAGATTGCTGTGTCCACAGAGCTGATTCTGCATTGGGAAGGCAGATTTGAACATTACAGTAAAGTGTGAGCATTATGGCAGGACCCAGGGAATATGAGAGCTACTTTCAGGTTCTCATAGTGAGTCTGATTGTCTTTTTTCTCTCTACAGTCTGTGGTCAATTTTCTTGGCAAGGAATATCTTATGCAGGAATCAGATGTCGAGATGGCTGAAATCCCTGCCAGTGTCAGAGATGATCCGAGAGGCGTGTCCAGCCAGCGGGCCTCCTCTGTGAATGAGATGCGTCCGGGGGAAGGCCAGGCCAGCCAAGAGCTGCAGACCCTGCCCAGGGTCCCTGCACTGTCCAGAAGGCAGGTGAGTGTGTGAGGCCCTGGTGTCTGGGCAGAGGTGGGAGAAGGAACAGGAGAAAACTGAGTGTGCCTCTGGACTGATTGAGAGATTTGGCACAGGACAAGAACAGAGACATTCCCCATGGATGTGTTACATCCTTAGACATTCCTGAGTCATCACAGAGAATGAAGCCTCATCTACTTTTCTCTCCACCATGAGAGCTTTTAGCATGTAGGGTGGGGGGTCAGAAATGGTCTCAGTGAAATGAGGGAGGCAGTTGGCACCGATGAATGAACTGAAGGTCCCTTCCCCATTCAGTTTCCTCAAAGACATTTAATGTCATAATTCAGCAAGGAGCGCACTTTCTACAGATTGTCAATTTCTTAATTTGAGGAGTGTTTCTCAACTGGGGTGATTTTGCCTTTCAGGACACATGGCCATGTCTGGAGATGTGTTTGTGTGTCATTGTAGGGGGTGGTGGGGTGTTGATAGCATCTAGAGGGTGGAGGCGGGGTCTCTGCTCTGCACAGGAGCGCCCCCTCCAGGAGGGTGATGCAGCCCCAATGCCAGTGGTGCCAGGGGTTAGGGGCCTCCACCTAGAGTCATGCTCCTTCCAGTGTCAGGGGCAGGGAGACGTTGGCACAGCGGGGAGAAATATGCTCAGAGAACCAAACAGTGAAAACCACCAGGCACAGGAGCTGATTTAGAATATGGAGGGTGCAGATTAGGGAGAGACTCAGAAATGAGGTGGTGATGTTTATTTGGGATGATGTGGGAGGCCCATAGGAAGTCTGCACGTATCCCTAAACCTGTGTCATTAGAAAAGTTGGTGTATCCAGTCAGGAAGGGACAGTGATGTCCATGACCCACCAGTTTAGACAGGGCAGTCATTGCTGTTGGTTTTCCATTGTCAGGAAGAGGACTTCCTGCTGCCAGAGACTACTGTCATGAAAAGTGCCCCAAAGGCTCTGAGACCCAAGCCAACCTTGGAGAAGGATCTGAACGTAGACAGGGAAGAAAACACGGGACTTACATCCCCAGAGCCTCAGCTTCCAAACGGTCCTAGTGAGTATGAAGACTTGGATCCACAGGGGTTAGCCCCTCTCTTCTGGGGTGTGGGGCTGGGGTCCCAGCATTATCATGTCTGGGGGAGTTGGCACTCAGCTGCCAAAGCCTCTCCATCCCTTACTCTCCAGAGACCTACGGTCCAATGTCTTAGGTTTAAGGTTGAGGGGAAGTTGTCAGCCAACATCAGTGTTTGGTTGCAATGAGTTTGGTGTATTGAAAATGTACCTTATTAACTGTTGTGTGTGGAATCCCTTCTTCCAGCAGGTGTGGTGGGAGCAAAGGAGGGGAAGGAACCCAAAAAAAGAGCCTCTGTCGAAAATGTGGATGCTGACACACCTTCTGCCTGCGTTGTGGAGAGAGAAGCTTCGACTCACAGCGGGAGCAGAGGAGACGCTCTGAATCTGAGATGTCCCAAAAGAAGCAAACCAGACGCCACCTCCATTTCCCAAGAAGGGCCTCAAGGAGGAGCCACACCTGTGGGCAACAGCGAATCCCCAGGAAAACCTGAGATAAATTCAGTTTATTCCCCAGGCCCTGCAGGTGCAGTCAGTCACCCCAATGGCCAAGAAGCCAAGGAACTGCTGCCCTTTGCATGTGGCGTGTGCAATAAGAGGTTTACGTGTAATTCCAAGCTAGCCATCCACATGAGATCACACACAGGAGAGAGACCCTTTCAATGTAATTTCTGTGAGAGGTGCTTCACGCAGCTCTCAGACCTCCGCGTCCACCAGCGAATCCACACTGGTGAGAAGCCCTACACATGTGACATCTGTCACAAACGGTTCAACAGGATGTTCTCCTTGAAGTGTCACAAGAGGAGCCACACGGGGGAGAAGCCCTATAAATGTAAGGACTGCAACCAAGTTTTCACCTACAGGAAGAACCTGAACGAGCACAAGCTCATCCACTCCGGAGAGAAACCCTATAAATGTCCCAAGTGTCTAAGAGCCTTTCGTCGGCCTGAAACGTTAAAATACCACCAGAAAACACATCAAGAAACCACTGCACCCAGAGAATGTGAAGGATGATTTTTCACTGACGCTATTAGATGAGATATGACATGAAGCAGGTGCAAGGGCGCCTGGCACACAGAGGGAGTGCCCTAGATAGGAATTGCCAGGATGTCGGAGTAAATATTCATTCTCCCCACAGAGCTTTATTTTCTGTTTCATTAGGTCCATTGTTTTCGTACAGGTTTATGTGGGTGTGTGTTGCTGTTCTTTCTTTTATTATTTTTTTTGAGACGGAGTCTTGTTCTGTCACCCAGGCTGGAGTGCAGTGGTGCGATCTCGGCTCACTGCCAGCTCAGTCTCCCAGGTTCACATCATTCTCCTGCCTCAGCCTCCCGAGTAGCTGGGACTACAGGCGCCTGCCACCATGCCCGGCTAATTTTTTGTACTTTTAGTAGAGACGTGGTTTCACCTGTTAGCCAGGATGGTCTCGATCTCCTGACCTCGTGATCCGCCCGCCTCACCCTCCCAAAGTGCTGGGATTACAGGCGTGAGCCACCGCACCTGGCCTGTTCTTTCAATAAACAAACATCTAATTAGTTTTCAGTATTTTATAACAAAAAACGGAGCCTTCTGATTGACATGCTATTACCCACTGTTTTGCTGTAAATTAAAGTTGTCAAAGTAGGTGTCCAGATTAAATACACAATGCCTGGGGAAATCTGTGTTTCAAATAAACAATTTTTTTTTAGTATCAGCTTGTTCTAAATTATTCATTATTTATCTGAAACTCAGCTTCTATTGGGTATCCTGTATTGTTTTCTTTTTTGCTTCTTTTTCTTCTCTTTTCTTTTCTTTTGAGATGGGGCCTCACTCTTTCACCCAGGCTGCAGTGCAGTGGTGTAATCACAGCTCACTGCAGACCTGACCTCCACGGCTCAAGCAATTCTGCCGTCTTGGCCGCCGGAGTAGCTGGGACTAGAACACACCACACCATGTCAGCTAATTTTTGTATTTTTTTGTAGAGAGGGGTTTTGCCACGTTGCCCAGCCTGGTCTTGAACTCCTGAGTTCAAGTGATCTGCCTGCCTCGGCCCCCCAAAGTGCTATTACGGGTGTGAGCCACTGCATCCTGTATTGTTTGTATTAGGCTTTATTAGTATTATTTTATTCAAATTTTTTGAAATAATTTTTTGTAGTGATGGGATCTGGTTTTGTTGCCAAGGCTGGTCTCAAAGTCCTGGCCTCAAGCGATCCTTCCACCTTGGCCTCCAGAAGTGCTCGGAGTATACGTGTGAGCCACCACGCCTGGCTAATGACTTTTTCAGAGCTGTTTTAGGTTCACAGGGAAATTCAGTGGACAGCACAGAGTTCCCCTAGACTCCCTCCCCACACGGCACAGCCTCTCCCCGCCCAGCATCCCCAGCAGAGCGGTGCACCTGTTCCATCAGTGAGCCTGCCTGGACATATCACCACCACCCAGAGTCCATGGTGTTCATTAGGGCTCGCTCTGGGTGTTGTACATCCTGTGGGTTTGGACAAAGGCCTCATGAGTATCCACCACTGGAGTATCATGGGGGATATTTTCACTGCCCCCCCCGAATCCTCTCTGCTCTGCCTATTTATCTCCCCGCCCCAGATGGTGTATTTCTTGGTCTAAATTTGGCAACTTCTAAATTCCTGATTTGAATCTTGAACTACAGAGGCATTGGGAGTCTCTGGTGACTAGTTGGTCTTAGTGATAGTACCACATCCTGAAGGCTTTGCTAATCTACAAAAGGGTGGGCCCTGATCCCAGAGCTTCCAGTTTAGTAGATCAGGGGTGTGGCCTTAGAGTTTGCATTGAAAAATAGACTTCATTTTATTTTAGACCAAGTCTCACTCTGTCACCCAGGCTGGCTGGAGTGCAGTCGCGCAATCTCGGCTCACCCCAACCTCCACCTCCCGGGTTGAAGCAATTCACTTGCCTCAGCCTTCTGAGTAGCTGCAATTACAGGTGTGCCGCCACCACGCCTGGCTAATTTTTTATTTTTAGTAGAGACAGGGTTTCGCCATGTTGGCCAGGCTGGTCTGGAGCTTCTGATCTTGGGTGATCTGCCTGGCTCAGCCTCCCAATGTGCTGGGATTACATGAGCACGAGCCGCCATACCTGGCCTTAGATTTCATCTTAGAATATCTTTCAAAAGTCTATAGAGCTCGCCAATGCTCTGCACCATTTCCCCCACTGTTCACATGGTTCTTTAATACGGCACATTTGCCACAAGCGATGAGCTGACTCTGTATATTGCTGTGAACTCAGGTGCCTATTTTATTGAGACCTCCTCAGTGTTGATACGATGGCCTCCTCTTCCTTCTTTTCCATCCAAGGCGCCACATTGCCTTGAGTTGTCATGCCTCCCTAGGCTCCTCTTGGTGAAAATTTCTCAGATTTTACTTGTTTTAAATAACCTGAGCATCTGCATTTTCAGTGATGCTGATGCTGCTGGTCTTGGGAGGGTATTTCATGAATGGCTGGTTGAGCTCACAGAGGCAGAGACCAGAGATCCTCAGAACTCCGGAAATAGGCTGGATTCATTTATTAAAGTTCACTGTTGTGACACCTCGGTTCTTGTCTTCTTAATTTAAAGGAATGTAAACAATAGACACACAGTAAAAGAGATGCAGCATAGAGTAATTCATTGCAAAGGAATAAGAAAATTTTGAAAGGTAAGGGCAGAATAGACAGGACACCCTGAGAGAGTGGATTTAAGGCTGGCTGCTCCTAAGGATAAGATAGCAAAGACCTGCTCAAGAGCGACTCCCTTTCTCCATCCCCAGACAATTTTGAAACATATTGATGCCTGACTCTCACCCTCAAGAGATACGAGTTTGAGTCGATACTTGGAAATCAGGTTTAAAAAATTTTTCCAGGTAATTCTAATGTGCAACAAAGGTTGAGAACCACTGGTGTACAGTATAAAGAGAAATTTCTAGCATCTCGCTTCATTTACTGTAACCTCGTGGCCCTCAAATTTTTAATGTGCATATAATTCACCCTCAGATCTTGTTAAAATGCAGGGTCTGATTCAGTGACAGGCTCCAGGTGAGGCACATGCTGCTCGTCAATAGACCCTCATTTCAGTGGTGAGGAGGCAGTCTCCTCTGGGTTCCAGCTTTGCATCAACTGAGCAAAATCTTACCATCTCTTACTGCTCAAGTCAGCATCTTGAGGCCAGTGTCTGATAAGTGCATTTGAAATATTCAATCCTTCTGGTTTCTTACCCAGAATGCTACACTAAGTGTTTTATTTCTCCCACATCCGCTCCTACCCAACGGCTTTCCACCCATTATCACATGGCAGCCATACTGAGTATGAAAGTGAGCAAATCTAATCCTGCTGTTACACTCTTTACATTTTATTTTCTATGGATTCTATTCTTTTTAGCAAAAAGACCATGTGCTTTATGTGGCCTAAGCTATTCAACTAAATGACCACTGATCCCAGCACTTTGGGAGGCCAAGGCAGGCAGATCACGAGGGCAAAAGATCAAGACCATCCTGGCTAACACAGTGAAATCCTGTCTCTACTAAAAATACAAAAAATTAGTCAGGTGTGGTGGCATGCACCTGTAGTCCCAGCTACTTGGGAAGCTGGGGCAGGAGAATCGCTTGAACCCGGGTGGCAGAGATTGCAGTGAGCCAAGATCGTGCCACTGCACTCCAGCCTGGGCAACAGAGCTAGACTCCGTGTAAAAAAAAAAAAAAAAAAGACCACTGATGACCCTTGTGACTGTCAGTCTCTGTTACCCTCCGTACTTCAGGAAGACCCTTCTGTATTCAGTGACTGACTGGGGGTGCCTTTCTCCATGATGTTTAATTTTTTTGAATGGGGGATGTCTATGGCCCATTTTTGGTGCTTTTCTGTGTAGTTGAAGATACACTAGTTTTGGACTTTTGGCCTTTATCCACTTTCTAGCGTATTCTTTCTCTGGGGAAAAATGATTGGGAGTTTCGAAAGAGAATCTGCATTGAGAAGCTGTATCAGTCAGAGTCCAATGAAGAGAAAAAAACCCACAGCAATTTGCACAAGCAGCATTTAATATAAAGCAGGGGCTGGCACACGATGGCCTGCTACCTTCAATAGCCCACAGCTAGAAAATAGTTTTGTGTGTGTGTGTTTTACAGGGTCTTATTCTGTCACTCAGGATGGAGTGCAGTAGCATGATCATAGCTTACTGAAGCCTTGATCTCCTGGGCACCAGCTTCCAGCAGGTGATTGTGTTAAGTGAAATAAGCCAGTCCAAGTTATCCTGCCCGCTCAGCCTGGCTAATTTTTAAATGTTTTTATAGAGACAGTGTCTCACTATGTTGCCCAGGCCAGTCTCAAAGTCCTGAGCTCAATTGATCTTCCTGCCTTGGCCTTCCAAAGCGCTGGAATTACAGATGTGAACCAGCACACCTGGGCAAGAATTGTTTTTTATATTTTTAAAGTGTGGTAATATGAGCAAACCAGAGAAGAATATCCAACATAGACCAAATAGCCTGCAAAACCTAAAATATATATTCTCTGCTCCTTTGTGGAAAAAAGCTTTCTGACCTCCAAAATAAAGATTTATTGACCACAACATGGGCCTAACTATAAAGAAAAAAGAATTCTGAAGGATACCTAGGGAGGAAGGTTTCTCAGAGGAATGGGAATCCATTGACAAATTTTAAAGAATGGAGCAGCACAATTGGGTTTACCTAATTTAAAGCTCAACATGCCTGTCAAGTGATAATGGATTGGAGGGTGCTGGGTAAGAGAGGATATGGGAGCAATCAAGATTCTCTTATGGTTTTCTGGGAGAGAAAAAGGAGAACTGATGGATTCAGGTGCACCTACCCAAACCTGGCTTGAGCAGGTGAGAGGCTGTAACAACGCAAAGGTTGGGGCCGCCCAGGAGAAAAAGGATTACACCACCCAAAATTGAGTTTGAATGTTAAGACTGAGGACACACACATACCCACACTCCAAGAGGGTATGAAGCTTATTACATAACAGGATTTCTGAAGAGAGCAGAGTGGGCTTTCCCAAGCTGGTCTGAATGTGGCTTGAGAGGGCAGAGAAAGGAGGCTGGTTTGGGGTTGGGGTTTTATGGTGCTTAGGGGATGGGCCACAGCCAGGGGTACTGCACAGGGTTTGAACTCCCCACTGGCACTAGAAGAGGGAGTACCCAGGTTTTCTAATCAGCTTGTCCAGCTGTGGGGTGATAAGAAACAAACATCAAACATGGTCAAACTTTTAATAATCCCAAGGAAAGAGCAAGTCAAAAGTGGAGGTATGAACCTCAACGTCTGGGTGAGGCCTCTGGTTGGGCAAGGGTGGGACCATGGTCACCAGGGGAAATAGGAGGCAGCCTTCTGGGGTCCAGGGGCCAAGGCTGGTGGCTGGAGTATGGAGAGGCCTGTGGTAAGGCAGCCACAGGCAGGAGCTGGGGTCGTGAACACGCCAGGGGGCCCCATTCACGTGGGGCTGACAAGGCCATAACAGGAGCAAGAAGAAAGACAAGATGGCGGCGCAGTGGCGCCTCTTCCTCCTGGGATATCCCTCCCACCCCCTCTAGTGGCAGAGCCTAGCACTGCGCTCCCTGCAAAGTTGCCAGGACAGCTCCGTGATTGCAGGGCCGGCACTGAACCTGTGGACTTAGAAGCTGGGAGGCAATTGACTGGTAACTGACACAGAAGCCCTGTTCCTTTCCCTTGCAGAGGTGTGAGCCTATAGGTTCAGTTACTCTGGAGGCTGAGGTGGGAGGATCACCTGAGCCTGGGAATTTTGAGCTGTGATTGTGCCACTGCACTCCAGCTTGGGTGACAGAGCAAGAGGCTGTCTCAAAAAAAAAAAAAAAAAAAGTCCTCTGGATGGTCAGAAGAGCAACAGAAGGTGGGCAGGGAGGAGGGGTGGAGGGGGAGAGAAAAAAAGATGGAGAGAGAAATTTGTGGACCCCAAGAATATAGCTCACCTAGAAAGGTTGGAACACCTGAAATGGAAGTAGTGGCTTGTCCGCAGGATCATAGAACTTGTAAAAGAATCCCGTGCACCAAATAAAGCACGCAAATAACAGGAAAATGCCAGAAAGCTGAACACCTGGGTGGCAGTCTGTGCACCCCAGTGAAGGGACGTGAACAAGTGGCTCCCATCGGTGTGCTGGCAAGACACACACTGGCTGGAGGTGAGGGTTGTGATATTAAGGACTGAGGTGAACAGTTTTGAACGTTGGGATGTCAACAGAATGAGGACGCGTGGGGAGACGTTATCCGGTGTTACAGACACTAAATACATTTTTTTTTCTTACAATAAGAAGTTGAAGATCTGAGTGGATGAGAACTGGAGAAAGTAGGGATGCAGTGTCTCTTCGTCAATTCAGGTTTTGCACGGGGTAAGGTGGCTGTGTCTAAGCCGGTGCCACTAGCATCATACGCACCCAGCTTATGTTAAAAATTTAAAGTTAGAATGATTTTATAGCTAATTTGTATAGTTATGACAGATGTCCAGCAGATGGCAGAAAAGATCTTGTTCTAACAGATAACAGCTAGATGGTTCTGCTTCTGTTTGACATTAAACATAACCAAAGCGTCAAACAACAGAAAAGGTTATCTAACTGATATACCAGTGAATGAGCATCTTTTTTTTTTTTTTTAAATAAGTCTTCCTCTTCTGTTAGTGTGAGGCTAAATTTGGTGGTTCATATGATGGTTCACTCGATCTGACATTTTTTTCTTGTACTCTACTAGAATGTATATTTAAATTTTATAATGAAATATTTTATTATTATACAAATCATTGTTGTTGGTCCCAAAGTATTACATAAACTTTGGTTGCTATATATAATTACATTCTAATTAGTGTATAGACTATTTTATTTATTATACAATTTCAGGAGGAGACCAATGTTTTCATCATCTTACCTATTAGTTGTAACAAATTCTAGGATAAACTGCTAACATTATTATATTATTTTTTCTGGTGTCAAATGAGGTCTTTGTAGCATGTGTCACAATGTCCTCCCTTTGGAAAGGGGAATAATATTCCATTGTACAGATGGACCATATTTTGTTTATCTATTCCTTCAGTGAACGCTTGGGTAGCTCCTACTTCTGAGCTATTGTGAATAACGTTGCAATGAACATAGGAGTATGAGTTCCTGCTTCCAATTTTTTAGGTACATAAGCAGAAGTGGCATTCCTGGATTATATCGTAATTCTATGTTTAATTTTTGGGGGGGGCTGCCATGCTGTTTTCCTTGTGTATTAACAGTATACCAGGGTTCCCATTTCTCCACATCCTTGGCAAAATTTGTTATTTTCTGTTTTTTGATAGCAGTGGTGTGGTTTTGATTTACATTTCCCTAATTATTAGTGAGGTGGAGTGCCTTTTCTTGTGTCTGTTGGCCATTTGTAGACCTTCTTTGGAGAAATGTCTAAGTTCTTTGCCCATTTTAAAATCATGTTGTTAGTGTTTTGTTGTTGAGTTAGCGTTCTTTATATACTCTGGAGATGAACCCCTTTTCAGATATGTAATGTGCGAATATGGTATCCCCCTATTCCATTGGTTGCTTTCACTCTGTTGATTGTGACCTTTGATGCAAAAACTGTGAGTTTTAAAATATATATTTTAAAATATATATTTTCTTATTACAATTTTATTTAGGAATAAGTGAGGTACAGTAAATGGCACGTTATCAGTTTATGATTTGTCGTGTTCTGACATTTTCACAGGCTTTCTGCATTTTTAAAGCTGCTCCCATTGGAAACAGGAAAGGAACTTCCATTTTAGTTAGGAAAGCTTTTGAATAATATTTAGATAGTCCAAAAAATACACAAAGTGATATATAACCTACAATTCCAAGAACGTCAATATTGAGCAAAGCGTGGACAATAGCCGGCTGAGCGCACAAGGTGGGGAGTGGGGAGGGAAGCTATGGATTTGCCTGTGGTAGGGAAGACTTTGCCCAGTCAGCCACAGAGAATTAGAAAGTCTGCCGCCCGCTGCTGCCCACGAGCAAACAGAAAAACAAAAAACCCAACCTGCCTCAGTGCTCACAGGCCGACTCTGTGCCGTAGCCCAGTGCAACTCTCCACCTGCCATCTCACTGTTTCACTCCCTCTAACGGGTCCACGTTGATTAATTCCCAAACCCCTCTTGCCTGTGACCCAACGTGGTTTTTCCCTTTGGCTTTTTTTTTTTCTCCCTCAAAGAAGCTGTTTTTCTTGCCAGCCCTGAGATGGGTTGAATAAACTGATCATAATTACACAGCCTACCTGGACGGATGAAAAACATGGTGTCGTCTATTCTCAGGGTCCCTAGGAGGGTTGTTAGGGTGGTTTTAATGAGTCCCAAAGCACCTGGCTCTATTTCTGCCCGTTGAGCTGCTAAACTGGCATCAAAAAGTTAACTCTGAGGAGGCAGAAAACATGATTTGTTAACTGCTGGCCTCAAGGGTGACTTGATTTATTTCAGGGCTTATTTAAAAAACAGTAATTATTGCCTGTTTCCAATCCTGAAGATAACATACATGCATGTAGTGAATACATTTGGAAATTGTATTCCCATGAAACTTTTAATGAGATATTTGAATAGAACTTGTTAAGTAGCTGGTAAAGTTCAGAAGAGAAAATGCACACACACTAAAAAACTAGAAACACAATAAAAAGAAAGAACAGTCAGGAGGAAATGCTTTAAAATACAGAAAAAAGGATAATGGAGAATATATGTCATCCATAATCCCACCATAAAGAGAGGATTTTAAATTTTTTGTTGTTTTGTTTGTTTGTTTGAGACAGGGTCTTACTCTGTTGCCCAGGCTGGAGTGCAGTGGTGCGATCATAGCTCACTGCAGCCTTGACCTCCTGGGCTCAAGCAATCCTCCCTCCTCGGCCTCCTGAGTAGCTGGGATTATGGGTGCACACCACCACACCCGGCTAATCTTTTGTGGTTTTTGTAGAGACAGAGTTCTGTCATGTTGCCCAGGTTGGTCTTGAACTCCTGAGCTCAAGTGATCCTCCCACCTTAGCCTCCCAACCAAAGTGCTGGGATTACAGAGTAAGCCACTGTGCTCAGCCTGTATTTTTAATATGTAGTGCATGTCCTTACATTTTTCAGGTGTGTGCGTGTATACATATATACATACATGCATTATATATATTGTATATACACATATCCACAGACACGTATTTTAAGATGCAGAAAAACGGGGGAGACACTGAGGAGATTTAAACATGGGTGTGGCATGATTCAAATTTCATATCATTCTGGCAGTTAGTGTGGAGACAGATATAGGGGCAGCCCCTGGTGGCAGGGACCAGTGGGCAGGTCACCCAGGGCTTGATCCCTGACATCCAGTCGTGTGACGATTGTGTCCTGAGTTCAGGGAAGGGCTGTTGATGAAGCAGAAGAAATGTTTGAGAAGCACTGGAAAAATCCGGAGCCACCTGTTTTGCGATGGATTATCTGTTGCAGATAGTGGTGAAAAAAAAAAGCAAACAGGTGGTTCTGGGATCCCCCCGAAAGGGAAACCCAAGATGAGGAGCTGGTGGGAAGGGGAAATTAAATGCTCATTTAACTTAACATGTGGGATGTCCAGAGGTGTATTTGCCATCAGGGGAATACCTGCGTAAGGGCTCTGGAATAGACACCTGACTTGGCTATCATTTCTAGCGGGGTTAGATAGCCCCTCAAAAGACAGAGTGTGGAGAGAAGAGCCACATGTCAGGCTTAGGTCCAAGAGGGGCGAGTTTGCAGAAGGAGTGATGGCAGGAGAGCGGGGAACCAGGGGCATCCCAAGTTTGGACAGAAGCAATGTGAATGGACACGAAAGGAGAGATTCGAGTGAGATTTACACGTTAGAATCCCTGGAACCAGGTGACTGATCAGGGCTGGGAGAACAAAGGGAGGCAGGTGGAGATGAACCCAAGGGCTGATCTCCACGTTCCCAACAGATGTCACGGGAGGATACAGAACACTTGTCCCTGGGATATGGACTGCAGTGTCCCTGCAGTACTAAACAGACCATTGGTATGTGGGAGCGAGATGCCCACCATTGTTACCTGGCTGAAGAGCTGGTCCCCTTTCACACCTGGCTCCTGCCTCCCACCACTGCCCATCTTCTTAGACACAGGCGCCGGGGGACTCTGCAAGCCTTTCACACCTGGCTCCTACCTCCTACCACTGCCCATCTTCTTAGACACAGGCGCTGGGGGACTCTGGAAGCCTTTCACACCTGGCTCCTGCCTCCCACCACTGCCCATCTTCTTAGACACAGGCGCCGGGGGACTCTGCAAGCCTTTCACACCTGGCTCCTGCCTCCTACCACTGCCCATCTTCTTAGACACAGGCGCCAGGGGACTCTGCAAGCCTTTCACACCTGGCTCCTGCCTCCCACCACTGCCCATCTTCTTAGACACAGGCGCCGGGAGACTCTGCAAGCCTTTCACACCTGGCTCCTGCCTCCCACCACTGCCCGATCTTCTTAGACACAGGCGCCGGGAGACTCTGCAAGCCTTTCACACCTGGCTCCTGCCTCCCACCACTGCCCGATCTTCTTAGACACAGGCGCCGGGAGACTGCAAGCCTTTCACACCTGGCTCCTGCCTCCCACCACTGCCCGATCTTCTTAGACACAGGCGCCGGGAGACTCTGCAAGCCTTTCACACCTGGCTCCTGCCTCCTACCACTGCCCATCTTCTTAGACACAGGTGCTGGGGGATTCTGCAAGCCTTTCGCAGGTTCCCAGGACTCAGCTCCCACCCGCCTCTTGGTGCTATAACAGGGTAGTGAGGGGGTGTGGTTTCAGCACAACCAAGCTTATCTCTTCTGTGAGCCTTTTCTGGGCCACCAATAGAGTCTTCCATAAATACTGAGCACTGACTACGTATCAGGTCTCGTGTGGGCACAAGGGACACTGAGAGGAAATGGAGTCCTTGTCCTTGAAGGTCTCACCTTCCAGTGTGGGGGTGACGGACACGCCTTCCAGTGTGGGGGTGACGGACACGCCTTCCAGTGTGGGTGTTGACAGACACACCTTCCAGTGTGGGGGGTGACAGAGACGCCTTCCAGTGTGGGGGTGACGGACACACCTTCCAGTGTGGGGGGGTGACAGACACACCTTCCAGTGTGGGGAGTGACAGACACACTTTCCAGTGTAGGGGGTGACAGACACGCCTTCCAGTGTGGGGGGTGACCGACACGCCTTCCGGTGTAGGGGGTAACAGACACACAAACACACTTGCTGTGGTTTTTGAAGATGATCACAACACTCTCCCATCTGATCTGTTCAAATGTGTCAGGTCCTCATCAAGAGGTGGAGTTGGATTTCCATCCCCTTGCATCTGGGCAGGGCTGTGACTTGCTTGTCTCCAACAGAAAGTGGCAGAAGGGACATTGCGTGACTCCTGAGGCTAGGTCAGAAAAGACGACACAACCTCCCCCTTAAGTGCACGAAGGCCTCAGTTCCCCTCAGCTGTCCCATTGTCCAGAGGCTGCCATGTTGTGAGGGAGCCCCACCTAGCCCACGACACACGGAGAGGACCTGAGACAGCATGAGAAGAGAGAGCTGGTGGGTGGGCCCCAGCTGTTTCAGTCACCTGGAGATCCAGCTCTAGTCAGCACAGAAGAGACCCTGAGCCTAACCACCCAGCTGAGCCCACCACCGATTTCCTGACCCACAGAGATACTAAAAGCACTGTTGTTCTGAGTCACTGAGTTTTGGGGTGATGTGTTATACAGCTACAGATAACTGGAACAGCATTGTGTCTTCCCACCCTGTACTTATTTTATTAATTTTTTTTTTAAAATAGAGATGAGGTCTTACCATGTTGCCCAGGCTGGTCTGAGCAACATGGTAGAACCATGAACTTCTGAGCTCAAGCAATCCACCAGCCTCGGACTCCCAAAGTGCTGGGATTACAGATGTGAGCTACCGCGCCTGGCTGCACCCTGTAATTCTGATCTTACCCTCTTCTTACCTGGACCCTCGTACGATTTCCCTGGGATCTCAGTCTCTAGAATTCAATCAGCCTTTTCTTTGGGATTTGGTTCCTGTTCATGCCTCTCGTTTACCCGTTCTGTCCTCTCTGCCCCTTTTGTTTATTGAGAGGCACTTGTGAGATCTATGGAGGTATGCTTGTGGCGTGTGTACTAAAAATTTTAGTGGCAGAAAATTCATGTGTTTGAGTAGCTAAAAATGGATTTTAAGGGAGTTTCATACTCAGGATTTGTGTGCATGCCAAGCAGCTTATCTGAAAGTAAATGAAAAAGTTGACCGGGCACGGTGGCCCACGCCTGTCATCCCAGCACTTTGGGAGGCCAAGGCAGGTGAACTGCTTGAGTTCAGGAGTTTAAGATTAGCCTGGGCAATGTAACGAAACCCCATCTCTACAAAAAATATAAAAATTAGCTGGGCATGGTGGCACTTGACTGTGGTCCCAGCTACTCAGCAGGCTGAGGTGGAGGCTAGTTTAAGCCAGGGAAGTCGAGGCTGCAAATGAGCTGTGATCGTGCCCTTGCACGCCAGCCTGGGTGACAGAGCGAGACCTTGTTTTAAAAAAATAAAAATTAAAAAATTGTTAAATGCTATAAAAAATGTTTTTAAAAAGAAAAAAGTTAATAAAAATAACAATGAAACAATATCGGCAAGGAGAACACCACTAACTTCAGGTTTGAGCCTCTGCTCTCAACTAGCAAAACTTTTCTAAGCTCTGTAATATCTACCAACCATGGACATATTAGAGAATATTTTGGGAAATATATAGATTTTGTTTTAGTAATTAAATATTTTTTTACTTTTTTTTTTTTTTTTTTGGAGACAGTTTCACTCTTGTTGCCCAGGCTGGAGTGCAATGGTGCGATCTCGGCTCACTGCAACCTCCGCTTCCAGGGTTCAAGCAATTCTCCTGCCTTAGCCTTCCTAGTAGCTGGGATTACAGGCATGTGCCACCACGCCCGGCTAGTTATGTATTTTTAGTAGAGATGGGGTTTCTCCATGTTGGTCAGGCTGGTCTCGAACTCTCGACCTCAGGTGATCCGCCCGCCTCGGCCTCCCAAAGTGCTGGGATTCCAGGCATGAGCCACCGCGCCTGGGCTTTTTTTTACATTTTTTTAATTTCTTTTTTCTTTTTTTTCCCTCTGGTGTTGAAACTAATATAATTACATATTTTAATGTGCAGTAAAATATCAGTAGGACAAAAATCTGCAATTTTATTGTATTTAGGTATTGCTTAGGATAAAGCTACAGTGACCATCTAAGTAAACAAGTTAATATGTTTGAGGAAAATCAATCAATAAAAAGTAATACTAAGGATACACATGGAATTGACAAAAAACTAGGAGGTGGTACTTTCTTGAGAGAAGCTTGGGAAGCCCTGAGCTAGAAGATATTTTTCTTTTAATTTATAAACATTTGGAGAGCACTCTTTTTTGTAAAAATTACCTCACTTAAACTCCACAACCAACTGCAAGAAACTGTTACACTCATTTTATAGAAATGGAAAATGTGGCTGGGCGTGGTGGCTCATGTCTGTAATCCCAACACTTTGGGAGGCCGAGGCGGGTGGATCATCTGAGGTCAGGAGTTCAAGACCAGCCTGGCCAACATGGTGAAACCCCATCTCTACTAAAAATACAAAAATTAGCCAGGTGTGGTGGCAGGCACCTGTAATCCCAGCTACTTGGGAGGCTGAGGCAGGAGAATCTCTTGAACTTGGGAGGCGGAGGTTGCAGTGAGCTGAGATTGTGCCACTGCACTCCAGCCTGGGTGACAGAGCAAGACTCTCAAAAAAAAAAAAGAAAAAAATAAAATGTAGGGAGCTTAAGTGACAGAGACAGGAATTAAGTCCAAAGCCTGGCTGATGGCCAAATTGATGTTGTCTACAGGATATGGTACTGATCTCCCAGTGGTAGCTCAGGGGCTGTGACATTCCTAGAACAGGCATCTAATCTGCCTCCATTAATCATGGAGGACTTCCTGAAGGAAGTGACATCTGAGCTGGGACTTTCCCTTAGCTCAGGGACATCTTTCTCCCAAGCATGGCCCCCACTGGTGAATGAAACCTAATTTTCTTTAGAGAGAACCCTGTTATCTGTCCAGTATTCCCCAGAAGAGGCTGGATAAAGCACAGATAGCTGCCTGACTTGAAAGTGTCTTTCAGGACTGGATCAGATCCAGGAGCAAATTGAGAGAGAGAGGGAGAGAGAGAGGGAGACAGAGAGAGAGAATCAAAATACAACTGAAAAGTGTATTAGGGGAGAAAAAGGGGAGAAAAAGAGATTATTTCTTCAGACTAATATCCTGTTTGGAAACACCAAAAACTGATATTATTGAAAATTTCACATGTAAAATAAAGAGCTTAAATAACAATTCAAGTCTAAAGTTTGGCTATCACAATTTTTCTTTATTTTTGTTTGTTTATTGAGGTATAACTTACATATAGTGAAGTGTACAATTCTTAAGGTTACAGTTTAATAAATTTTTACATATGGATAGACGGATAGATTCACATAACTATGACCCAGATAAGAAGACACAATATTTCCAGTACCTCAGAAGTCTCCCTCTTGCCCCTCCAATCTGTGCCTACCTACAGGTAACCACTTTTCTAACTTTTTTTTTGAGATGGAGTCTCACTCTGTTGCCCAGGCTGGAGTGCAATCTCAGCTCTCTGCAACCTCTGCCTCCCTCCCAGGTTCAAGTGATTCTCCTGACTCAGCGTCCTGAGTAGCTGGGGTTACAGGCGCCTGCCACCATGATCGGCTAATTTTTGTATTTTTTAGTAGAGACAAGGTTTCACCATGTTGGCCAGGTTGGTCTGGAACTCCTGGCCTCAAGTGATCCACCCGCCTCAGCCTCCCAAAGTGCTAGGATTACAGGCATGAGCCACCGTGCCCGGCCCACTTTTCTAACTTCTATCACCATAAATTAATTTTGACTATTTTAGAGTTTCATAAAAGTTGTATGTTACAGTATGCAGTCTCGTTTCTAATTTTTTTTTTTTTGTTTTTTTGTTTTTTTGAGACGGAGTTTTGCTCCTGTTGCCCAGGCTGGCGTGCAATGGCATGATCTTGGCTCACTGCAACCTCTGCCTCCTGGGTTCAAGCAATTCTCCTGCCTCAGCCTCCCAGTATCCCAAGTAACTGGCATTACAGGCACCCACCACCATGCCCGGCTAATTTTTTTGTGTCTTTAGTAGAGACGGGGTTTCACCATGTTAGCCACACTGGTCTCGAACTCCTGACCTCAAGTAATCCACCCACCACAGCCTCCCAAAATGCTGAGATTACAGGCATGAGCCACTGCGCCCGGCCCTGATTTTCATTCAACATTATATTGATAAAAGTCATCCATGTGGTTGTATGTATCGATAGTTCATCCTTTTTATTGCTGTGCAATATTCCATTGATTTATTTATCCATTCCTTGATTTATTTATCCATTCTATTGTTGACGGACACTTGGATTATTTCCAACGTTTATCTATATGGGTAATTATGCTGTAAGTCGTTTTGCATATGTCTTTTGGTAGAAACAATACTTTTTTAAAAACAAATTTAGTAGATTATAAATTCCTTAGTGATGGGTAAGGTAGGAGTATGTATTACTGAACATAGAGACACTTGGTAGAGACTCCTCACATGCACATCTGAATGATGCCTTGGGACTAGGCAGTGATCCTTTGCCCTTCTTGGGGCCAGGCATACCTCCAATGACTTGGTAACAGCTTCAACTCTTCTTCCAAGAAGATTGCCCACATACTCAACATTTAGCATTGGGCTTCTGGAATGTGGTGATATCTAAGGTTCTTCCAGCTTTGGCCTACATGAGACGGTGAGCTGGGTGAAGTGCATTTTAAGGGCAAGCGCTGAGCTCCAGCTTATGAGGAATAGCCCTCCAATGTGCCAGGAACATGTTATGTGCCCTCTGGAACAAATAATATTTCACTTTTCCGAAAGCCAGAGCTTTGGGATCCCAGATCTAGTAAGAATCATCTTATTCATCTTCCTTTCATCTCCAAGCCAGAAGGAGGCTCGTTGAATTTACAGGGATGGAGTTGCAAAGGGCATTAAGGAATCCTGCATCTATGCTATCAGGACCTACCAGTCCCAAGTGGCTTTGATAGATAAAATGTTCTGAGTGCCTTAACCCAGAAAAACTGCAACTCTAGACCCTGGATGTTCTAAACGACGCAATCAGAACATCTTCCCATATTCTTTGGAAGAAACTCTAACACTTTCCTCTTTCTACTTCTACCTAAAACATCTGAAAGAAGGGAGGCGAGAGAGGAGAGAATTATGCATTTAAACAAAGACAAGGAATTGCGAAAATCACCATTTTTAAAGAAGTATAGATTTCATAAGAACCTCTGAGATGATGATAATGCATGATAATAACATGTAATAACAATAATTATAATAGTATTATGCTTCTATGAGCCATATAAATATTATATGCTATACATATTGCTAAGTGTTTTACAACCTTCACCTCATTTATTTCCCCCTAAAAGTCTATGATTTTATGTAAGAGGAAAATGAAGCTCCAAGAAAAACTTTTTTTTTTTTTTTGAGATGGAATCTCGTTCTGTCACCCATGCTGGAGTGCAATGGCATGATCTTGGCTCACTGCAACAGCACTATCTTGGCTCACTGCAACCTCCGCCTCCCAGGTTCAAGCAACTCTCCTGCCTCAGCCTCCTGAGTAGCTGGGATTGCAGGCACCCGCCACCTCACCCAGCTTAATTTTTTGTATTTTTAGTAGAGATGGGGTTTCACCATGTTGGCCAGGCTGGTCTCGAACTCCTGACCTCAAGTGATCCACCTGCCTCAACCTGCCAGTGTTGGGATTACAGGCATGAGCCAGCACACCCAGCCCAAGAAAGACTTTTTGGACACTATCTCAGGGTAAGGGAGTAGCAGGATTGGGATTTACACCTGGATCTGACTCTCAAGCTCATGCTCATTCCACTACAGAAAATGACCTGTTTGTTCAGGTCTTCCTATTAACTGAGATCTTCCATCTTCCAGGAATGATGCAGTACATTCCAAGAAAGATGTGTTATGGAAGTGACATCAGATCTGAATCCTGAAGTCAAAGTTTCATTTAGTAGAAATCAAGGTAAGATGAGGAAGTGTTGGGAGACTGGACTATGAAGTATGAAGAGTCTGTATCAGAGGCTGGCAAACTATAGTTGACCATTTGTTTTTATAAATAAAGTTCTATTGGAACATAGCTAGCTCCCCTTGCTTATGTATTGTCTCTGGTGGCTTTCTCACTACAGTGGCAAAGTTGAGTAATTGCGACAGGGACCATATGGCTAACAAAGACAAAAATAGTTACTATCTTGCTCTTGACAGAAAAAGTTTTCCTACTCTTGATCTAGGTCACACTAAAGCTTTTAGTCATAAATGCTATCCTAGGGCTGGGCGCGGTGGCTCATGCCTGTAATCCCAGCACTTTGGGAGGCCGAGGCAGGTGGATCACTTGAGGTCAAGAGTTCAAGGCCAGCCTGGCAGACATGGTGAAACCCCGTATCTACTACAAATACAAAAATTAGCCAGGTGTGGTGGCAGGCGCCTGTAATCCCAGCTACTCGGGAGGCTGAGGCAGGAGAACTGCTTGAACCTGGGAGGCGGAGGTTGCAGTGAGCTGAGATCACACCACTGCACTCCAGCCCGGGTGACAGAGTGAGACTCCATCTCAAAAATAAATAAATAAATTAAATAAATGCTTATCCTGTATGTAATGTTGAGCCATGGAAGGATTTGGAGTAGGGGAGACACATGGGCTTATTTCAGAATTACAAAAAAACCATTCTCAGATCCATCCTAGCACAGGGCACTCCCATGATAAAGGCATCAACAACACAATTCCAAACCATCTTCACTTCTCAATCTTTCACCTTGAATACCATTTCAACAAATATTAATTGAGCATCTAGTATGCACCTATACTCTATGTAAGTGGTTAAAGCTGTAAGCAAGCAGTAAGGCTTGAAACTTAAAGCTGGTGGAAAGTAAACTGAGGAAGTGAGCTTTCTCTTTGAGAGATCCAATGGAAGGAAGACTATGTACAGAAGGACAGCAGCCAGAGGTTGCCTTAGAACACAAACAGAGCTGAACTTCTTGAATCAAGCAGGTTTTTTGGGTTCCAGTGGCAGAAACGGACTTTGGCTAGCTTAAAAGAGAAATCACTGGAAGGAACTGGCAAAGGGGTGGAGTTCAAAGGATTAAAGTGAAGGCTGGAGAGTGGGTTTGGGAAAGAGTGAAGCCTGGGAAACCAAGAGATTTCTGTATCATGAGCCACTCAACACTCTCACCTGAAAAGCATTAAATCTGCTTCTTCCACTCTTGCTTTACTCAATTCGAGATTTAAAGTGCCAGGTAAGCAGTCTGATTAGCCTGGCTTAGGACAAAGGTTGGTTGGCTTTAGTGTAAAAATAAGGATCTGGTGCAAGGAGCTTTGAGGGACCCTGCTTGCTTTTCATTATGAGAAAATGGGCACGTGCATTAACTATCCCACCAGGACCACATACAGTGGAGCAGAGGTAATTCTTCCAAAGGAAATCAGGGTATAGAGACTTAGCAGCTAAACAAGTTCACAAATGTCAATCATACCTGTATAGATTCAAATCCTACCTCTTCCAATTATTGGCTTTGTTGACTTTGGGCAAAGTTATCTCATTTGCAAAGAGAAATTATAATACTACCCAGCTCTTAAAATTATGAGCTAATAGATATGAAGTGCTTAGAACCACGTCTGGCACATCATAATCACCCAATTAAGCTTAACTGCTGAGAGTATTATGATTATTACTGCATGCTTGCTAAAAATAGCACCAAGTGATAGAGCCCACGGTGAGATCTAGGCCCTCATTCCAAAGCTCCCGCTCTTTCTGCCAAGCCAAGCTGCCTTTGCAGATCCAACCTCAGTTAAATGAGATGATAATGTGTGTGAAGTTGTTGGGGCAGGTGCCCAAAGAGGATGCTCAATTACTGTCCAAGACTTTCTTCCTCTCTCCCCAAAGAAGTGAGTAGGCTTAGGCTTTGCTTTCTGCTTGGGAGATGCCCCCACTTTTTTTTTTTTTTTTTTTTTTGAGATGGAGTCTCACTCTGTCACTGAGGCTGGAGAGCAGTGGCGCGATCTCGGTGCCTGGTTCAAGCAATTCTTCTGCCTCAGCCTCCCGAGTAGCTAGGACTACAGGCACCTGCCACCATGCCCGGCTAATTTTTTGTAATTTTAGTAGAGACGGGGTTTCACCATGTTACCCAGGATGGTCTCGATCTCCTGACCTCGTGATCCACCTGCCTTGGCCTCCCAAAGTGCTGGGATTACAGGCGTGAGCCACGGTGCCTGGCCGGAGATGCCCATATTTAATAGAGAACCAAGTGGGTGTAAGAGGGCCCAGGGAAAGCAGACAAAGAGGAATGTTCCTGGTTTGTGCTTACTATCATTCTCACGGCGGAGCCCACTCAGGTTTGTTGACAATCTGGCCCCTGCCTACCACTCTAACCTCTCCTCCCTCCACATTCCCATGAGCTTACCCTGCTCCATCCACAATGATCTTCTTTCTGCGTGTCAAATTCCTTCTGCTTTTTTCTGCCTCGGGGTCTTTGCACAAGCTGTTCCCTCTGTCTAAGCTACTCTTACCCCAGATCTTCATTAGGATCTAAACTCAAATGTGACCATCTCAGTGAGGTCTCTCCTGACAACTCTAGCTACGGCAGCATCTCAACCCCATCGGTCTCTAACACATGGCCCTATTTCAGTTTCTTTGCAGCAATGACCAGTACATGAAATTATATATGTGTTTGTCAATATTGTTGTTTGTCTTCCTACACCAGACTATAAACTCCACAGGGTTAGAGAAAGTGCATCCCCAACACCGAGACTGCTTGGTTCACAGAGGGTGCTTTTACACATATGGCTCTGTCAGAACTGTCATAGCAACCCTGTTAGGTATATAGTCTATTAAGGCTGAGAGGCGCTTAGTATCATGATTTAGAGCAGCACTGTCCAATATATGTAGCTATTTAGATTTACCACGTAGCTATTTAGATTTACATGCTTCATAATGAAATAAAATGAAAACTTCATTTCCTTAGTTGCATTAGCGTCACCTCAAGTGCTCAGCAGCCGCACGTGGCTAGTGGCCACCATTCTGGGTAGCACGGATACAGGACATTCCTATCACTGCAGAAAGTTCTACTGGACAGGGCTGGTTTAGAGCATTCACTGCAGATTCATATACTTAGCTTCGAATCCCAGTCCTGCCAATTACTAGTGGTGTGATTCTGAGTGGACCTTATGCTTTTAGATCTCACTTTTTTCATCTATAAAATGACGCTAATAACAGTTCCCATCTCATAGTGTTGTAGGAGTTATTATAGGCAAAGGCTCTTAGAAGAGCATCTGGGATGTAGTCAGTGCTAGAAAAAGTATCGACTGTTGCTATGACACCTCCATTTTTACTCCCTGAGAAACTGAGGTCCAAAGAAAAGAAATCCTTGTCCTAGTGCACACAGCCAGGAGGTGGAGGGAGCTGAGGTTTGATCCCGCACCTCTATGATTTCAGAGCCTGGCTAAATCCGATGACACTTTTCAGGTCCCTTCTGGGAAAAATCCCTGAAACTTCTGACCCATTGCTCCCTTATCTGTTTAGTGGGGGACAGAAGACTCCAAGGGCTCCTCTATCTAGGATAGATGTGAAGGAACTGACTGGAGAGCCAGCCAGAGCCCAGGACATGGGTTGTCTATTCTAGGACCTAGTCAGTGGCTTGGGACTCCTTGGGGGTTGGGAAGCCAGGCTGCCCAGGACACAGAAGCATTGGTGTGGCTGAGCCAGTCATGCCAGCTGCAGCCGAGACCCCTTGTGTGGGCGCTGCCCCTGTGGGTGTAATGGCCCCTGCGGCAGGGACAGAATGCTCATCCCTCCCACCTGCTCAAGCTCTGGGACTGCCCCAGGAACTGTACAGAGGGGTTGAACTATTTCCACTTGTTTCCCTGTAGAAGCCTCAGATGCTGCTGCTGCTGCTGCTGGTTTAATTTTTAAATTTAGTTACTTTTAATACTTTTTAAATTTAGTTACTTTTAATATGCACAGTCCCTATGCTTGTACTGTTTTCTTTGTTTTGTTTTGGTAACATGGGATTTTTAATTGCTATTTTTAGAGCTTTTAACACATTTTTCTACATTTAAAACTTTTTTAATTGAGGTAAAATTCATATGATATAAAATTAACCATTTTAAGTGTACAATTCAGTGGCCTTTAGTGCATTCTCGATGTTGTTCAACCGTCACCCACATCTAGTTTTAAAACACTTTCCTTACCCCTCACCCCATCTCACTAAGCAGCCATTCCTCTTTCCCTCCCCATTCCTAGTCCCCGACAACCACTATCTACTTTCTGTCTCTAAGGATTTACTTGTTCTGGATATTACGTATCAATGGAATCATACACTAGGTAGTCTTTTGTGTCTGGCTGCTTTTACTTTGCATAATATTTTCAAGGTTCACCCATGTTCTAGCATGTATCAGTACTTGATTTCTTTTTACAGTTGAATAATATCCTATTATATGGCTATACCACACTTTACCCATTAATCTATTGATGGACATTCGAATCATTTCCATATTTTGACTCTAGTGAATAGTGTCGCTGTGAACATTCGTGTGTGAATATTTGTGTAATTACCTGTTTTCCGTGCTTTCGGGTACATACCTAGGAGTGGACTTTCAGGGTTATACGGTAGCCCTATATTTAACTTTTTGAGAAACTGCCAAACTATCTTCTACAGGGGCTATACCAATTTACATTTCCACCAGCAATGTATAAGAGCTCCAATTTCTCCACATCCCCTCAATATACTTTAAAACATTCACAATTATATGGCATAATAATATAATAATTAATGATAATAATTGTTGCTATCATTAATAGGAGGAAACCGAGGCTCAGGGATATAGTCAATTGAGCAAGTTTATGCATCTGTGAGGCAGGCAGAATAATTGTCCCTGAAGATACCCACATCTGACTCCTGGAACCTGGGAGTGTGTTACTCTCAGATGTGATAAAAATAAGACTGTTAATCAGCTGACCTTGTGGGGAGATTATCCTGGATTACTGGGGTAGGTCCAATGTAATCACAAAGGATCTTGTAAGTGAAAGAGGGAGGGAAATGGGTAACAGAGGGAGACGGAATGATGAAAACAGAGAATCAGAGCAATGTACGGTGAGAAAGACTTGACCGGCCATCGCTGGCCTGAAAATGGGAGAGGGTTGGAGAGAGATTTGAAGACGCCATGCTGTTGGTTAGGAAGATGAAAGAGGCCGACCAGGAGTCAGGAATGTGGGCAGCCTGTAGAAGCTGCAGAAGGCAAGGAAACAAATTCCTCCTAGAGCCGGCAGAAGGAATGTAGCTTTACCAAGGCTTTTCACTCTATCAACCCATTTCAGACTTCTCAATTCCAGAACTGTATGATAATAAATCTATGTCGTCTTAAGTCACAAATTTTATGGTAATTTGTTATGGTAGCAAGAAGAAACTCAGGCCAGCCGTAGTGTGGTGGGGCAGGGATTGGCATCCACACTGGATTGACTCAATGTCTGTGATTCTAACTGATTGGCTGTCTGTGACTATAACAACCAGGTTTTTTGCCGTCTCCAGGTCCAGCACCACTTCCCTGCTCCACATAGACATGAGTGGATCTCACAAACATCACGCTGGGTGAAAAAAAAAAAAAAGATCCCAGCACTATGGGAGGCCGAGGTGGGTGGATCACGAGGTCAGGAGTTCGAGACCAGCCTGGCCAACATGGTGAAACCCTGTCTCTACTAAAAATACAAAAATTAGCCAGGTGTGGTGGCGCACGCCTGTAATCCCAGCTACTCAGGAGGCTGAGGCAGGAGAATCGTTTGAACCCAGGAGGCGGAGGCTTGCAGTGAGTTGAAATCGTGCCATTGCAATCCAGCCTGGGCGACAGGGTGAGACCCCGTCTCAATAAATAAATAAATAAATACATACATAGCTAGCAAGTTGTGCAAGAAAGATTCAGTGAAACACCATTTAGAATAAATGTAAAAACACACAAAATAATATTACATACGTGTACTGGAGCCAGCTTATGAGGGTCAATTGTTAACGTTTTCAGTTTTCTACATTTAAAACATTTTTAAATTGAGGTAAAATTCCTCATTTTAGCTGCTTGCCTAACATAGCCCAATACTCAAAACTAAATTGTATAAACTTGAACATAAATAAGTTATAATAAAAATAGAGTAATAAGCACTAAAAGCTCATCACTTCCTAGTTGTGGCTCCCCAAACATGGTGGCGGTGGTGGTTGGTGTGGGGTGGGTGGGGCAGGTGCTACTGTGTAATTGATAGGGACCAGAGATGTTGCTAAATATCCCACAAAGCGGAAGACAGCCCCCACCACAAAAACGATCTAGTCCTAAATGTCAGCTGTGCCAATGGTGAGAAATCCTGATCTTCCCTAAAGCATGAGTTCCTCATGAGCAAGGCCAGTATCTGACTCATCTCTGTCCCCAGATCACAGTCTGGCAGAGCAGATAATGCTAAAGAATATTAATGATGTTCTACATCCCAGGCATTTGTTGCATTTAAACCCTAGTGTTATGAGTTAGGGACTGTGATTATATTTGATAAAGCAAAGAAACAGCTGTGCTGGTAATGAGGCTGCTAAGGAAGGATGGAAAATCGAAACGTAGGACTAATCAGAGAAATCCAAATATGCTCCCCCAACCAATCACAATGGCCTCTAATTAACCACTGCCAGCTTCCTTATGCCAACGGCCTCCAACCAGGCACTCTTGAAGCCTTCCCTTTCTTTCACTATAAGCTTTCCCACTACCCTGCCTGCCTTTGAGTCTGTGCCAAACACAAATGGTGTCAGTGGCCTCCCTTATTACAGCAAGCTCTGAATTAATAGCCTTTGCTTGTTTTCATTGGGTGGTCTTTACTTCCGCATAGCACCGGATGTGAAAAGCCTTCCACATGTTTTACGCCTTGTTTCTTCTGCTCATTATAACAAATCCTGTAGTATCACGTTTTCCCGGTGATGAGTTGCCAGGACCATGTGCTCACAAAGGAGGGGAGCTCTGAAATATGGCAAATGGCCAACAAGAACTCTCTCCTCCAGCCTAGTCTGAAGGATCGCTGAGGTATCCCCTAATGTACATGAGATGGTCCAGCTTGTACTAGGGATTGAAACATAGATAGCACCAGAGATGGCGGCAGGAGAGAGTCCCCTGCAAGAGTGGACATCCCTCCACACCTGGAACTCTTTCCTTCCAGGACACTACACACAACCCTCTGTTTCTATCAGGCTTGAAGGAAGTACCATAGAAACCTTCAGAGCTTAGATAGACCAGTGGTCTCTACACTCTGCCTTTATTCCAGGAGTCCAGAGGGATACTGGGTCAAGTTCATATTCCCACTGACAGCTAAAGTTCTTGACTGTCAAAGCAATTTCTAAGAATTACCAGTGGAAACAGTTAGTTCCCTGTGGCTGCTATGAAAAATTATTACAAACTTAATGGCTACAACAGTACAAATTTACTATCATACAGGTGTGATATGATAGTATCACATTAGCCTGGAAATATCATTATCCCAACTTTATAGATCAAGAAAATGAAGCACAGAGTGGTTAAGTAACTTGCTCAGGGTACATAGCTAGTAAGTGCTAGAGGTAAGTATAAACGTAGACATCTTTGGAAAGGAATATACACAAAAATGTAAAAACAATACTTACTTCTGAGTAGAAATACGATAGATGTTGTTTGCTTGCTTTGTTGTTTTTCTGAAATTTACAGTACGTCTAGGACAGGGGTCCACAAACGTTTTCTATAAAGGGCCGGACAGTAAATATTTTAGGCCTTTTGGCCCAGATGGTCTCTGTCACAACTACAAAGCTCAGTCTTGCAGCCTGAAAGCTGCTGTAGACAATACATAGTGAAATGGCATGGCTGTGTTCCAATAACACTTTATTCATGGACACTGAAATTCACATTCTATATAATCTTCATGTCATGAAATATTTTCTTTTGTTTTTTCCCTCCAACCATTAAAAAAGGTAACAATTACTCTTAGCTCATAGGCCCTACAAAAACAGGAGGAGGGCAGGATTTGGCCAGCAGATCATAGGATGACAAGCATCACACTCAGCATGAAACTGTTCTAAAATGTTGCTTTAAGATGAAAAAGCAGATACAGTTCTTTGGTCAGCAGTTGGTGGCGTGGGCACAGGTCTGGAGACCTGCCAGCCTCCAGGCAGGCTAGAGGGCAGGTGTGGGCAGTTAGTTTTGTCCCTGGAGCCTGGGAAGACGGTGGGTGACCAGAGAGTCCTGTCTATCCTAGGAGGAGAACATTCAGCCCAAATCCCAGCCCCATCATGCACAGATCAGAGCCATTTCTGAAAATGTCGCTGCTGATTCTGCTTTTCCTGGGATTGGCAGAAGCCTGTACTCCTCGTGAAGGTAATGCTTCCAGCCATGCCTTGTGTCCTCTATGTATTTTCTTACAACTTGGGAGGCTCTTGTGGGCTGGATTCAGAGAGAAGCTCCTGAAGTCTAACAGACTTCTTCTTGCTTCCCATTTAGACATTCACATTTCCCTTGATGGACACAGTGGGGTGAATGAGTCTAGGTTGCTAGCCCCTGCCCTTGGAGATACACTTGTGTCTGCATCCTGGTTTCTATCACTGATTCTGTGACTTTGGGGAGACACTGCGTCTGCAAACCTTGCTGTCCTCATCTGACCAACGGGGCTCACAAGAATCCCCAGTTCATGGGACTGTTGCATGTCATTGACGAGCTTACGTTGTGCAGTGCCTGGAAGTCAACATTACCATAGTTAGATAATTCTAGTGAGACTCCAGACTTTTGCGACGTAAAGACACCAAAGAGTATATTGGGAAGAGGACTTGGGTCTTGCCATAACTCTGAGTTCCCATTTCCTCATTCGATCCACAAATGTTTATTCCTGGTTCTTTCCACGGGCTTGATGCTGGGAATATAGTGATGAAAATAGTTCTGTCTTCATGGAATTCTCATGCTAAACACACACATTCTAGTGTGGGGATTCGGAGATGGCCTCTCTAGAAAAGTCACATTTGAGGTAAGGAATAGGAGCTGGCCAGCTGAAGAGTTAGGAGAGACTATTCCAGGCAGAGACTTGAATATGCAAAGGTCCTGGGGCAGAAGGCACTGAGTCCCTCCATCAGAGAGAGGCCGGTGTGTCAGGAACGTGGTAGGCAGAAGGAGGGGCATGGTGGTGAGACTGTTACAAGTAAGAAGAGACAGGAGGCAGGAAACAGAACAGACGGGGGCATGTGAGTCACAGGAAAAATGTTGGATGTTATCCTCAGGGAAAAGGAAGCTGTGAAAGGGTTTTCAGCAAAGGAGTGTCATATTTAGGAGCGTGTGTGTGCATGTATGTGTGTTTCTGTGTGTTTAAACAATGTGTCTTGCCCTCAGGAAAGAATGGATTAGGTGGGAATCAGATTAGGGGCAAACACACAAGTTAGAAAACGTTTTGGTCATCAGGGTGAAGATGGGGATAAGTAGAAGGTTACGAGGCACTGAGGAAACAGCTCACAGGATTGAGTGATGGGTCAGATGCTGGTGGTTGGGGATAGAGAAGCATGCAGAAAGGCTCTCTTTATACATACATGTATTTGCAACTGGGGAATTGAGGCTGCCCTTAACTGAGATGAGAAAACTCTGTAGAGGTCGGGCGCGGTGGCTCACACCTGTAATCCCAGCACTTTGGGAAGCCAAGGCAGCTGGATTATTTGAGGTCAGAAGCTCAAGACCAGCCTGGCCAACATGGCGAAACCCCATCTCTACTAAAAATACAAAAATTATCCAGGCATGGTAGTAGGGGCCTGTAATCCCAGCTACTCAGGAAGCTGAGGCAGGAAAATCGCTTGAACTCAGGAGGTGGAGGTTGCAGTGAGCCGAGATCCTGCCATTGCACTCCAGCCTGGGAAACAGAGCAAGACTCTGTTTCAAAAAGAAAAAAAGAAAAAAAAAAAAACTCTGTAGAGGAACACGTTTTTTAAAAAATTTATTTTGAAATTATTTTAGACTTGAGGAAAAGTCACAAAAATTAAGTTTCTGAATATTCTTCACCCAGTTATCTCAGCTGTTAACATCTTACCTAACCATAGCACAATGACTAAAAGCAAGACCCAACACCAGAACAAAACTATTAAAGAAATTACAGACCTCATTCAAATTTTACTAATGTTTCTACTAATAGAAAAACTATTCTATTTGAGGATCCAATCCAGGATCCCACCTTGTATTTTCAATTAAGTTTTTTGTTTTGTTTTGTTTTGTTTTGTTTCAGAAAATCCAGCTCTTGCTCAACCATGTTGCATTTTGTTATCCCATCTCCTTTGGTCTTGTGATTTGTCCTTAGGATGTGTGATTGAACCTCCTCAATCTTTGTCTTTCACGACCCTGAAACATTTGAAGAGCTCTGATCAGTTGTTTTGCAGAATTTCTCTCAATTTGGGTTTGTCTGAAGCTTTCTCATGATTGGATTGAGACTATGCATTTAGGGCAGGAATACCACAGAAGTGGTCTCACACCCTTCCCCGGGAATTATATCAGGGACCACATGATGTTGATGTGTCTTATTACCCATGGTGTAAACTTTAGTCCCTCGGCTAAGGTGGTGTCTGCCAGGTTTCTCCACTGTTAAGTTACTATTTTCCCCCTTTGTAATTAATAAATACGCTGGGGGAGAAATTTTGAGGCTATGCGAATACCCTGTTCTCCTCCAATTTTTGCCCATTAATTTTAGCATCCATCTGTGGATCTTGCTGCAGAAATGATTGCTACAGTGCTTCTCCAATGGTGATTTTCTATTCCCCTTATTCATCTACATATATTCAATGGCCTTTCTCTGTAAGGAAAAGCTGACTTTTCTTCTCCATTTATTTATTCAAGTACTGTATTTATTTATATCAGCGTGAACTCAGGGATATTTATCGTATTGGTTGGGTGCAGTGGCTCAAGCCTTTAATCCCAGCACTTCGGGAGGCCAACGCAAGAGGATCACTTGAGGCCAGGAGTTTGAGACCAGCCTGGGCAACATAGTGAGACTCATCTCTACAAAAAATAGTAAGAATAAATAAAAAGTATTGCATTAACAGATTATTTTTTGATGGATAGGAGTGTGATGACCACAGATTCTTTTTTGAACAGGCTAAGCTTGAAGCACCTGTAAGATGTTTGGGACATCCATAGATAGCAAGTTCTGTGAGAACAGAGTTTGGGGTGTCTAGTGTACTCTTATACCAGAACTTCTCTTCCCAATCAGCCTTGCAAATACCTACAGAGCAGGGGCTGAATCTGATTTATCTGCGTCTCCAACACCAAACATGGGCCAATGCCCAGAGCATGTACCATGTGAATGTTGGTTGGATGGATGATGAACGAATGGACTTATCGATGGATGGATGGGCTGATAGATGGGCCCGAGTAGCTTTATTGATAGCAGTGAGTGGGTCAGCTGATCTCCAGGGACACTTCTATCTCTGGTCTTCTTGGTTATTGCACTGATCTGAGTCTAATGCTAATTTCTCTCTCTGCTCCCTGCTCCCGTTGTGAACTGGCTGGCTGATGCTTTTGTCTCCAGTTGCAACTAAAGAAAAAAGTAAGAACCGTGGAACCCCCAAGTCTGTATTTTCATAGCTACCTCTCCTAAAATTCTTTTCGATCTTGCAACCTCTCTGGCAATTCTGGGGAAGGGTGGCACTTGGATCTGGTGCACAGACCTGCCATGGGGTCTGGACATGACTCAGAAAAGCAAACCTATTGTTTGCTTACAGTGATGCTCACAACTAAAAGAGCAGCCCTCCTTCACTCCTTTGTCTGGGGAAGAGAGGCCTATTCGGAAAATGAAGAGCATTTATCAGGGAAGAGAGACTTCGGGCAGATCTCCATTAGAATAACACCTTGGCTTATGTTTAACACCAGCTGGTGGTTTGCAAACTTCATGGTCTTAGGGCCACTGAACACGCGAAAAAAATTATTAAGGATCTAAAGAGCTCTTTTTTTTTTTTTCCAGTGAGGGTTATTTTTATTTATTTATTTATTTTTGAGACGAGCCTCGCTCTGTCGCCCAGGCTGGAGTGTAGTGGTGCGATCTGGGTTCACTGCAACCTCTGCCTCCTGGGTTCAAGCGATTCTCCTGCCTCAGCCTCCCGAGTAGCTGGGACTACAGGCTGCGCGCCACCATGCCCGGCTAATTTTGTATTTTCAGTATAGACGGGGTTTCACCATGTTGGTCAGGCTGGTCTCGAACTCCTGACCTCAGGTGATCCGCCCACCTCGGCCTCCCAAAGTGCTGGGATTACAGGTGTGAGCCACTGTGCCCGGCCAAAGGTTATCTTTATTGATATTTACCTTATTGTAAATTCAAGGATTTTTAACTTAAAAATATTTATATTTACAAATATTATAAATATTTACAAATACAAATACTTATATTTACAAAAACTATTTCTATTTACAAATAAGCACATAAAAAGATGCTCAACCTCATTAGCCATCAGAAAAATGGAAGCCAAAGCCACAGTGAGGTATCACTTCACACTAACTAACGTGGAGAAATCAGAACCCTCATATGCTGCTGGTGGGAATGTGAAATGATACAGCTGCTTTGGAAAACAGTCTGGCTGTTCCTCAAAATGTTAAACACTGAGTTACTCAGCAATTCCGCTCTAGGTATGTGCCCAAGATAAATGAAACGTAAGTCCACACAAAAACCCATGCACAAATGTTCACAGCAGCACTATTCCTAAGAGCTAGCAAGTGAAGGTAATCCTAGCATGCATCCATTAATGAATGGAGAAACAGAGTGTGGTCTATGCATACAATGGAATATTATTCACCCATAAAAAGAAACAAAGTTCTGATGCATTCAACATCGTGTGTGAGCCTTGAAAACATTATTCTCAGTGAAAGATGCCAGTGATAAAAGATCACATATTACCTGATTCCGTTTACCGTATATGAAATATTCAGGATAGGCAAATCCATAGAGACACAATGGACATTAGTGATTTCCAGGGGGTGAGGGGTGGGGGAATTTAGAGACAATGACTAAGGGGTTCAGGGTTTATTTTGGGGTGATTAAAGCCTCTAAAACTGGTGTAGTGATGGTCGTACAAGTCTGAGTATCCTACAAACCACTGAAATGGGTGAATTGCATGGTATGTGAATTATATCTCAGTAAAGCTATTATTCAAATATCTATTACTGCATTAAAAAAATAAGGATAATAGAGACTCAGAAGGAAGGAGGGTGGCAGGGAGGTGAGGGATGAAAACTACCTTTTGGGTACAATGTACATTACAAAGATGCTGGTGCACTAAAATCCTAGACTTCACCACTGCACAATTCATCCATGTCACCAAAAACCACTTGTACCCCTAAAGCTACTGAAATTAAAAATATTTGAAAAATAAGGATAATAAATATACATACTGACATAAATAAAATGTTTTAGTGAAATGGCTGTTTCCAAACCAAAAAAGTTTAGTAAGAAAGGTATTATTTTACATTTTTGCAAATCTCTTTGATGTCTAGTTTAATAGAAAACAGCTGAATTCTCATTTCTGCTTCAGTCTGTCACAATGTGCTATTTTTTTTTTTTTTAGCTTTATGTGTTTGTTTATTTTGGAGACGTAGTCTTGCTCTGTCGCCCAGGCTGGAATACAGTGGCACGGTCTCGGCTCGCCATGACATCTGCCTCCTGGGTTCAAGCAATTATCTTGCCTCAGCATCCGAAGTAGCCTCCCAAGTAGCTGGGACTATAGGTGCATGCCACCATGCCTGGCTAATTTTTGTATATTTAGGAGAGACAAGGTTTCACCATGTTGGCCAGGCTGGTTTTGAACTCCTGACCTCAAGTGATCTGCCCACCTCGGTCTCCCAAAGTGCTGGGATTACAGGCGTGAGCCGCCCCGCCCAGCCACAATGTGCTATTTTGGTTGAAGCAAATGAAAATCTAATCTCACACAGATAAGGAGTTGGAAAAGGGAAGATCATGCAGACCCGTTTTAGGCAGAGTTCTCCAGAGAGACAGAACCATGAAGATATACATATAGATACATATATAGATAAAGATATTGATAGAGATATTTGAGAACAAATTTCTTAGGGGAATTAGCTCACTCAGTTGTGGGGTCTGCAAGCTGCAGAACCAGGAGGGCCAGTAGTGTGGCTCAGTCCAAGTCTGAAGGCCTCAGAACCAAGGAAGCTGATGGATGGTCTAACTAACTCTCAGTCTGAGGCCAATGGCCTGGGAGCTCAGGGAGCTGTTGGTTCAAGTCCTAGAATCCCAAAAGCTGGAGTACCTGGAGTTCTGACATCCAAAGCCAGGAGAAGGGCATCCCAGCTGCAGAAGGGAGAGCAAGAATTGACCCTTACTCCACCTCTTGGCTTCAGCTGGGCCTCCATCCAACTGGATGGTGCTCACCCACCGTGAGGGTGGATCTTCCCTACCTAGTCTTCCAACTCACACCCCAATATCCTCCAGAAACACCTTCACAGACACACCTGGGGCAGCCCAAACATTCTAATCAAATGCCAAACCACTCAGGCTTCCCTTTCAGCAGAAGACGGATGGACTCAGTGCCTACTGAAGCATTGAGAATAAACGTCTTACTGCTATATGGGTGCCTTAGTCAAGCTGACACCCCAAATCAACCATCACATCCCCTGAAAGGATCTCAGGGACCACCTCCCACCCCCACCAAGTAGTCTTTGGATGATACTTCGAGAATTTCTGCTCCAAGTCACATGGAAGGGAAAAAGATCTCTTTTTTTTCCACCCCTACTAGACTGCAAGACTGTAAGTTCCTAGAGGGCAGGGACTGTACTTTACTCAATCTGTTTATTCCTATAGCCTAGCAAAATTCCTAGCGCTCAGTAGGACTAAATAAATGGAAAGAGCCTTGCAAAATGGAAAGGACTGTGAGAACATAATTTAATGCTATTATTTCAGGTTGAAAGGAGATAAAAGGATCCAATATTAATTAAGCATTTAGCATGTACTGAGAATTTAAAATACGTCATGCAATTTAATTTTCAAAATCGTAAGTGTCCCATATGGGGTCTGAGGTTTCCAAAGCTCTGAATCCTCACACTGGACCATCATCATGAGAATCACATGGGAAACTTTAAAAATATTTAATCCCCACACCAGACTTGGTGAGCTAAAATGCCTGCAGATAACATTTTGGGTTTTTTATACCTAAAAAGCTAGCCTATGTTAGTTCCTTCCTATCTTCAAAAGCTGAACCTTCTAAACCTAAACAAATGCAAACATCTCATGATCCACACTGTTTTTGTTTCAATTTAAAATATTATGCTGTTTTAATTAAAATGTTTTATGTTAAATTATTTTATTAATATTTCAATTAACAAAACAGTATTTACATAAACTTTAATTACATTTAAATTACTAATTAATTATTCAATTTAAAACATCATGTTATTTTCATTTAAAATAAGATTTCCAGGGTTCAGAATTAAAGAAGTTCTCAAGGTTATACTGGAAAAAACTCCTTCCCAACCTATTCACTCATTTCCCTTCCCCGAAAGAATCTGATATTAATTATTTCTTCCAGATCCTTCCAGAGATATTTTATGCAAGTAGAAACAAATGTGTATTTATATATTCAAAGTCCTCTTGTTTCTATTTTTACAAAAAAGACAGCGTATTATACACACTGTTCTGTATGCACCTTACTTTTTTCACCTAATAATACTTCCAGAAGATGACTCTGTGTCAGTTCATAAGGAGCATCCTCAACCTCTTATTTATACGTTTTTGGCTGAATAATATTTCTTGTATGGAAGTCCACAATTTGTTTGACCAGTCACATACTAATGGCCACTCAGGTTGTTTTCAGTAGTTTGCTCTTTTAAATAATCCTTCAAAGAAAAATTCAGCTTACATGAAATTAGACATATAGGATATATATCAATGTAGATCTACATATTTATATCTGTAGGATTATACATGGAAATATGTAGAATTATATCTATATATAGATATATATTTCTTTATCATCTAGATATAACCACTGTCGTAGTCTGTTTTGGGCTGCCATAACAGAATACCTGAGACTGGATAATTTATAATGAATAGAAATTTATTGGCTCATGTTTCTGGAGGCTGAGAAGTCCAAGATTGAGGGGTTGGCATCTTGTGAGAGCCTTCCTGTTGTGTCATCCTATGATCAAAGGACAGAGAGAGAGACAGAAACAGAGACAGAGAGCTCAGAGCTTCAAGCCCTTTTATAACCAGCATTTATCTATTCATGAAAGTTGAGCCCTTGTGACCTAAATACCTCCCATTAGGCCCCACCTCCCAACACTGCTGCATTTGGGATTAAGTTTCCAACACATGCTGTTTGGGGTACACACTCAAACCATAACACATACACATTTGACCCTTGAACAATGTGAGAGTTAGGGGCACCAACCTCCAGTGCAGTTGAAAATTCACATATAACTTTTGACTTCCCCAAAACTTAACTACGAATAGCCTACTGTTGACCAGAAGACTTACTAATAACATAAACAGTAGATTAACATATATTTTGTATGTTACATATATTACATGCTGATTCTTACAATAAGGGAAGCTAGAGAAAAGAAAATGTTATTAAGAAAGAGAAAATATGTTTACTCTTCATTAAGTGGAAGTGGATCATTATCAAGGTCTTCATCCTTGTCATCTTCACAATGAGTAGGCTGACCAGAAGAAGGAAGGGGAGGGGTTGGTCTTTCTGTCTCAGGGGTGGCAGAGGCAGAAGAAAATGCACATCTAAGTGGATAAGTGTAACCATGTAGTTCAAACCTGTATTGTTCAAGGGTCAACGGTGTGTGTATGTACACATATACATTTACATATTTATATAAATATATATCTGTAAGATTAATTTCTGAAACTGCAAAGTTAAAGAAGGGTTTCTAACACTCGTGCCACTACAATGCTATCGCTGTATTGATCTTTGTCAAATTTATGTGACAAACTACATAAAAATAGCGTCCCATATAAAGATCGCACTCCATATAACAACAGGCAAATAAATGTTCCATGAAGGAATAAAGAAATGCATGTAAAAATTAACAGAGATGGATGATGTTAATATTAATTCCACTCTCTTCCTTGAATTTTCCATGTTGATTCACTGGCTCCTGGCTCTGCTGCCCCTTCCAGTCAACTGTAAGTCATATCTCCTTCTCCCTACATAAATGGGGAGCCCGCCCTTCAACCTAGAGAAGGAAGGGAATGAAAGAGAGAGGCAAAACTGCTGACGATCACATTCAACCTGGGGCAGATTCAGATGTCCTCAATTCAAACATGACCTCTTCACCCAGAATCTGCAGATTGCCCGGGGTGGGAACGGTGCAACTGGATGGACTTTGAGGAGGCCAACAAGCCTCTGTCATTAGGTCTAAAACTGGGTGTGCTGTCAGAGAGAAAGAGAACCTGTGTGGTGTTCTGGGAAATAGCTTTGATCAGATTTTCAGTAGGATCAATGACCTACCACAATCTAGGGGCCTTTGCTCTAGAATGTACACCTGGGTTAGATTGTGTGTATTTATTGGTGGGTTTTAGATGAGAAAAATATGGTACAGGGTGGGTAAGACGTCTTCCTTTCCCAGAATTAACATCCAGTCTCCGGTTGAGAAGTGGAGATGACACTTGGTTATTATGGAGACCTTCCTTATGCTAGAAATTCAGCTGGAGAAGGGAGGGTCTGGATTCCCCAGGCCACTGGTACCCCTGAAGTTTCTGACTTCAGGGTAAATGTGCCTCCAAAGGGGTCCAATGCACTTAGAATGAATTGCAGCTCCCCATTCTGGTTCCCTAACCTATCTCAGGACCTATGGGGTGCAATGAGGTACCAAGGATGACTTAATTCCTTTCATATTCTCTCTGAACCTTCATTGGCAATATGGTTCCCACTGGCTACCATCGGTCCTGTCCTTCCTGCTGCTTGTCTGCCAACAGTGCTGAAAGGTAAGCTTCTCATTCCATCTCTTTCCCTTTGGGGTCTGTTTGCCTTTGTCCAAAAGGGATCATTGCTGCTGAACTTCGACTTACGTTTCTTCTCTGGTCTGTTCACAGCTTAGCTTCTAATAGCGGAACTAGTAAAACCAAGTGTGGAATTGTCCTTTGATGAACAACAACAACAACAAAAGCCCTTTTACTTGTCTCCCCTCAAAGCCACTTGTCCAGAAACTGAGCACTCTTTCATGGTCCGCACATGGCTCAAGGAAAGCTATTAGGTCTGAGAGCTCAATTCAGGTCTACCTGACATCGATAATAATATTTGGTTAGACACAATGACTTACATCTTTGCTTTCTGAGGTCAGGTAGTAAAAGCCACCATCATCGCTGCCTATTTAATAATTCCTAGAGATAGCAATCTGGAACAAGTTAGGTGGAATGAGACCATGGCTTTGTCACTGAGTTTGCAAGACTCTGGGGCAGAAGGCTAGGTCAGGAAGTGAGATGATGACTTGCAGAAAGGGGACAAGGCCCACATTAGGCACCTTTGCATTCGGAGCCTAATTCTGCTCCTTCCTAGGTGGGGCAATCTTAGAGAAGTCACTTCACCTCTCTGTGCCTACTTTGCAAGGTTAAGTGAACTTACGGTTGCAAAACATTTTCAACTCCATAAATCCAGACTTTACCACCTCTTTCTGATTCCACGTCCCTGCTCCCACTGCACACACACACGTACACACCCTTATGTATGAATCCAATACTATTATCATCATTATTATTATTACGTACTTCATATTACTATTTCTAACTTTACTAAATGTTACCTTGAGCCAGGAGCTAGGCTAAGTACTCAATCTGCATTATCTTCCTTCTTTATTGACACAGATCCAAACAGGAAACAATATCTCCATTTTAAAGAGCACAGAGAGTTCATTCATCATCCCAAGGCCACCCACTTAGTAAAATGTATAGCCTGGATATCAGCCATTCAATGCCCACATCAATATTCCCAACAACGTTAGGCATTAACTACCAGACGATTTTCAGTGATACCGAGAAAGGTGTTGCGAGCTCCATAAATACAGCACTTTCCACTAGCAAACCCAGTGGGATTCTTCAATACGTAGCAAGCCTCGCCCCAGTTAACGTTCCCGTTTTGCAGATGAGGAAATGGAGACTTCTAGAAGAAGTCAGAGAGATCTGAGTTTGAGTTCCTGCTTTTTCACTCACCAGCTGCACAGGTCTCTGCAAATCACGTAATTCCTTGGAGGTTCACCCGTCCTCACCAGCAACATAGGGACAATATCTGATCTCAAAGGGCTGGTGTGGGGTAAATAGAAGGACAGAGCTTGGCTCCTCTTTCTAGAGGCAATAAAGGATCATCTTTTCTTCTGTTCCTAGCATGAATGAAGAACGGTTCATGATTACTGTCCCAACCTCTTTCTCCACTTTGGACGCTCTTCCCTGCATCAAATGCACGAGGGTCCTCAATAATCTCACAGCGTTCTGAGTCTTAGTCCCTGACTGCTCACCATGCATGACCCCTTGTGGATTCTACTTCCCAATCTGTTCCCAGCCCCCAGCATCTGACCTCGTTTTTGGTTTTCTAATTATGGCTTCGTCTTTGTGACCTCTTGGGGACAACATTCTGGACCACGCATGTAACCTTGGCCACCATGCTGACTCTCCTGGATGGGCTGCCATCAGGGATCATAGGTAAGTACCTTGCCACTTCACAATGCCCCCAGACTGTGCACTTTGGCGGGAAATTTTGGGCTTTGCTCTAGAATGTACAACTGGGTTAGATTGTGTGTATTCATTGGTGGGTTTTAGATGATAAAAATATGGTGCAAGGATTTTGTGCAAGAATTTCTGAGTATCTAGTCTGTGCCTGGACTCATGCTTGGGTGATGGGAGCCCAGAAGTGGATCTGATATGCTCATTCTTTATAAACTCAAAGTCTGGTGGGAAACAGAGATAAGTAAACAGAAATTAGATTAGAGACAAGTGATGCTTGCTGTAATTTTTTTTTTTTTTTTTTTTTGAGACAGTCTTGCTCTGTCACTCAGGCTGGAGTGCAGTGGCACAATTGTAGGTCACTGCAGCCTCTGCCTCCCGGGTTCATGCCATTCTCCAACCTCAGCCTCCTGAGTAGCTGGGATTACAGGCACCCACCACCATGTCTGCCTAATTTTTGTATTTTTAGTAGAAATGGGTTTGGCCATGTTGTCCAGGCTGGTCTTGAACTCCTGACCTCAGGTGATCCACCCACCTCAGCCCCCAAAGTGCTAGGATTACAGGCCTGAGCCACTGCGCCTGGCCTTGCTATGATTGATAGAGGTAGGAAAGGGGATTAAGTGGGAATAATGAGGCATCATGACTGAGGCATTATAGCCACACTTCCTGAAGAAGAGTTTGTTACATCTGTTGAACTGGGAGAAATCCATTAATTAGGCATATTTCTTTCTGCTGCATTTGCACATCATGTGTTATGTCTTCTTCCTCAGGTCTCATGAGCAGACTGTCACCGGATGGTAAGTGTCAGGATTGTATCTTTTAAACCTGGTCTTTCTCTTGTCCGCAAGGTAATGTAGACTTATTGAGTCATTTATGCTTTTAGGTAGAGTCTAAAGAACACTTCAGGTATTATCCAAGCACATGTTTTGTTTGAACTTTGATGTAATGAAAATCTTTATTGCTATATAAGGTTACAGCTAGAATTTTGCCTAATAATTATTATGCTGTGGAGTTTTTTAAGTTTTATAAATAGCATATGCACATGGGAAAATATCGAGGAAACATAAAATGAAAGTCAAAATCATTCTCTTCACCACATTCCCGGCTCTGCTCTCTAGAAGCAAGCACCATTTCTAGTCTCACGTGTATTCTCCCCAGAAATAGTCATACACATGTATGTACATCCTTAACTCTTCAAGTTAAAAGTACTATGTGTTTTAGTGATATAACTTTACCTCTTTCAAATACCTGAGAAATGCTTCGTGTGTACTCCCATAATTTAATGAGCCTCTGGTTCATGTACATTTAGTTTTTTTTCTAATATATATGTTTTTAGTTGTTTCCTTTCACCCCATTGACTGGGATTCCTAACATATTTTGATTTGTTTTGTTTGTTTTAATTTTTAAATTATTATTATTATTTTTGTATTTTTAGTAGAGACAGAATTTCACTATGTCGGCCAGGCTGGTCTCGAACTCCTGACCTCGTGATCCGCCCGCCTTGGCCTCCCAAAGTGCTGGGATTACAGGCATGAGCCATCACGCCCAGCCCAGTTTTGTTTTATTTTGTTTTGATGTTATTATAAACAGCGCTATAATGGAAATCCTTATCCAGTCATTGCTTTTTTATTTTTGCAAATTCCTATCTGTTAAGTTCCTAAAAGGGAAATGGCTGGGTCAAAGGGTATCTGCCTTTTAAATCTGGACAGATGTTTAACAAATTTGCATCTTCATATACAGCCTGTGGGGATGCTTGTTTCCCCACACCTTCAGCAGCATGGGATATTATCTAACTTTTTATTTATTTATTTAGAGACGGAGTCTCGCTCTGTTGCCCAGGCTGGAGTGCAGTGGTGAGATCTCAGCTCATTGCAACCTCCGCCTCCCGGGTTCAAGCGATTCTCCTGCCTCAGCCTCCCGAGTAGCTGGGACTACAGGCGCCCACCACCATGCTCGGCTAATTTTTGTATTATTAGTAGAGATGGGGTTTCACCATGTTGGCCAGGCTGGTCTTGAACTCCTGACCTTGTGATCCTCCTGCCTCGGCCTCCCAAAGTGCTGGAATTACAGGTGTGAGCCCCGCACCTGACCCAAACTTTTTATTTTTGATAATGTGGTGGCCAAAAAACACTGCCCCCCATATTTTTTTCACAGACGGACTGAACCCCAACAGGTGTTCTTGCTGCATCTATGCACCGCCAGAACCCCCACACCTCCCATTCTTCAAATGGACGTACAGCTTTCTCCTTAAGTCAATAAACTTGAAAAAGTTGCTTTATACCGCTTGAGTAAGTGGTCAGCCTCATAAGGAGGAGACAACTGTGAAGATAAATATCATGAAAACAAAACGAGATTAAATTATAACTAGACACTGTTTTCTGCCAAGGCTCTTTGTGTGAAGGTTGTTCCCGCTGTTCGGTGGAAATAAACACTAGCAAGTGTTATGAGTTAAAGATGCGTTAGTGCCATTTTGAGAATTTCTCTCTGGTTGAAAGAGAATTGGAGAGAGAAAACCTTTCTCACCATGTGGTACCCAAGGAGTTCAAGCTGAATCTGTGTCCACGTGAGATCTGCTCGGCGTCACTAAGCACTCATCTCTCACTGCTAGAGATGCCCGGCAGAGCGAATGCTAGTGGGGCTTCCCAATACATCCATATCTGGAATTTCCACCTGGCTCCACTATTTACCAGCACACACCACCCAGGACAAGTCTGTTTTCTTCCCGGTAAACCAGGATTCACAGCACGCACTGCACAGTGTGGTTGTGAGATTATGATAAAATGCCAGAAACACTCAGATATTAGGGAGCTGGTGAAAGTGGATTTGACTCCTTCCCACCCCCACCATTCCATGGATTCTGGAGTCTAAAGTCTTCCTTGTGGTTTCTGTTACTCCTGTGATGACAGTTTCCGAGTTTTGTCCATCTTAGGTGGTGAAACCACCATGCACTTTCTCTGTTTTCCCATCAACCTGGAAGTAGAACTCTCCTCCTTGCCCATCGACCTGGAAGTAGAACTCTCCTCCGGGGGTTCCCCCAAGAAATGTGTTGTGGGAAACATTTTACGGAAACCTATGACTGAGTTTTGATGGAGAATGTCAGGAACAGTCAGTCCAGCCTCGAGCACATGGTTCCTCACCTTACCAACTCTGCTCACCTCTCCTTTTCTTCCCTTCCCGCCTCTCCTCCCTCCCACATTGCCTGCGGAGCTACACAGTCTTCTCCTTTTAACAAGCACAATAATTCAGTTCTCCCCCACTCCCATCCCCCCAAGTCCACCTAACCCATAAATATCAGCCCTCTGTGCACCAGGAGCTTCCTCCTTGGAATGCAGCCGGACTTTATAAAAAGCAAAATGTTCTTATTCCACATGTGAAGTGCCTGCCACGAAACCAAGTACCAATCGAATGTAGCCACTGTCAGGTATAATAACGGCAGGGGGTTGAGGCAGATGTGGAGGAAGTCACAGACTCATGGGGCTAGAAATCATCTGAGTCATTAAACAGGTGGGGAAACTGAGGGCTGGAAGGAGGCAGAGCATCAGAGGCAAGGTGGCCACTAACAGTAGATTCATTCAGCACCTTAAATCAGCCAATGAATTTCCAAGTATCCCTTTGCATGGATTCTTTTAATCCTTATAAGCCCTCTAAGAGGTGTAAATGCCACAAAAGCTACAGTGACCAGCTCGTCCCAGGACACTTCCAGTGTTAGCTCTGAAACTCTCGCATCCTGGGAACCCCTTCAGTTCTGGGCAGACCAGGAGCGTGGGTCTCTCATTTATGATTCCACTTTTCTGATGAGGAGACTGAGGCACAAGGAGATGGAGTGAGTTGCTGATGGTCACGAGGCTGGTGTGGCAGAGCCAAGAAGGGAGCACAGGCCCAAATGGGTCCATGGTGTCCGCTGTTCTTAGGATGAAGGCTGAGGCCCTTAAGCTGACCCACAGGGGTCTGCCTCACTGAGCTCCAGATACTCTCCAGCCACGTCTTGTACCATGATCACCTACCATCATGCCCCTGAGGTGGGCTCCTTCAAGCCCCCGGCAGCTGCAGGCTCCATCCAGCCCAGGAAGACGCCCACATCGTTCCCTCTGTCTGCGACACTTTCCTGCCTCCTCTTCCAAATTTCTTCACCCAGCTAACCCCTGCTCATCTTCCAGGTCTCAGACACAACATCACTTCCCTCAAGATGCCTCCCCTGGTGTCCCCGCAAGGTTAGCAACCATCACCCCCTTATAGGTTCCCATGGAACCCAGCAGGTCTACCCAGAATACTCATCCCAACGATACCCCACTTTTGATGCTTTTGCTGTCTGCTTCTCTCTGACTAGTCTGTGAGCTCCCTGAGCAGCTGGGTCTGGCCTGCCTTGCTTTCCACTGCACCCTCCATACCTTGCGTGATGCCCAGCACACAGGAGATGCCTCATAAACATTTGTTAGAAGGCGTGACTGAGTGCTTAAGTCTGTGTCTTCACCCGTAAAATGAGTGAATTGGGTTGCCTCATCTCCAGTAGCATTTCCACCTCTGCTCTCCTCTGACTGGTCAGGGATGCTTAGTCAGTGGTGTCTGAGACCCGTGTCTTAATGTTGATTTCTCTCTCTACTCTGCCCCTCCGTTGCAACCTGGGCTGCCTACATTCTAGCCTCCAGATAGGACAGAAGAAGAAAGTAAGTACTGTGACAGTTTTTGTCTCTGAAATTAGATTCTCATAACCACCGCTGGGCCTTCAAACTCCTTTAAGAAAATGCCAGGGAAGGGTTGGTCCAGGCCCCAGTGTTTAGCCATTCGCCTGGCATCAGGAGCATCATCAGTACAGATTCTGCCAAAGAATCTAAGCTATGCTGTGCTGGTAAATGTCTAACAACCACCTCTGCAAGGGGAGAGTGGGAAAGGGAGCCCTGGTTTGTAGCGACTACCACTTCCCATGGTGTAAATACTCTGACCATGCCTGATTTCAGGATGCTAAGGGTCTGAGAGCTGCATTGGACAATTCCTAAATTTTAGTAATTGTCTCTTGTAAGCTAGCTTCAGCACCTCACTAAGTGTAAGCTATGTCTTTTTTTATTTGGTGTAGAAATTGCTCCAATGCGAGGGAGCTTACCCCATTCATTCCTCCAAAGGAAAAGTGATAGTCTGGAGGAGAGAAAGGGGCCAGGCCCTTTACAGAGGGGAGGGGAAATTTCAAGGAAGAAAGATGGTGGAGCAGTCTCTTCGGAAGACAGACGTATTTATACTCTAGTTCGGGTAAGACGGAGAGAGACCCCTCTTCCCATGAGTACTGATCCTCGAGGCCAAAGACTTGTCCATCTTTTAGTACATGTCCTAGAAAACTGTATGGCACATAGTTGGACCACACAAATGTTTCTCTTGTGTGTGGTGGTCTGTTTGTTTGTTTTTGGGTTTTTTTGAGATGGGTTCTCACTTTGTTGCCCAGGTTGGAGTGCAGTAGTGCAATCATAGCTTACTGCAACTTAGACCCCCCAGGCTCAAGCAATCCTCCTGCCTCAGCCTCCTGAGTAGCTGAGACTACAGGTGCACACCACCATACCCAGCTAATATTTTACATTTTTGTAGAGACAGGGTCTCACCATGTTGCTCAGGCTGATCTTGAACTCTTGGGCTCAAGCAATCTTCCCATCTCAGCCTGCCAAAGTGCTGGGATTACAGGCAGGAGCCACCACTTCTGACCCTCACAAATGTTTCTTGTACCTCTAATTCATGTTATTTTTGCTCATTAGAAGGAGTTGAAGAAAACGAATACTGGAGAACCTGCCTCTATTATATAACTGAATTCTCCCAAGAGCACTGGTCAAATGGAACCCAAGTTATAAAGAGTGGTTTCCCCAAACTGGCTAATTATCTGAAACTTTTTCAAAAAGACAGATTTCTTTGTTCTACCTGGACCTTCTGCATGAGAATACCAAGGGGTGGGTCCCAGGAATCTGTCCTTTCAAAAGGTTTCTCAGGTGCTTCTGATGGTTTGGCTCAGATGGTTTGAGAACTACTGAGATAAAGTAGGACTCAGCAGAAAGGCCCACTGCTTGTTTTTATAAATAAAGTTTTACTGACACACAATCACACCCATTCATTTAGGTATTATTTGTAGTTGTCTTTGTGCTCTAATGGCAGAGCTGCATAGTTGTGACTGGGGCCATGTGGCCTGCAAAGCCTACACTATTTACTGTCTGACCCTTTAGAGGTCAGACATTTATTGACCTCTGAGCTAGAGCAGTGCTTCTCAGGGTCTTTGTTTAAAATTAGGGCCTAGGACCCTACTTCATATCTAAAGAAGGAGGATGTCTGTGATGGAACTCTAAGCTCTTGAGTTTGCTTCCCAAATGGTGATTCTTTGGGTTGGACACGGTGGCTCATGCCTATAATCCCAGCACTTTGGGAGGCTGTGGTGGGAGGAAGGCTTGAGCCCAGGAGTTTAAGATCAGCCTGGGCAACATAGGAAGACCCCCTTCTCTATGAAATATAAATACATAAACAGTTTAAAATAGTTTTACGATATTGAATGGAGGAATAATTGAATGTCCTATACTGCTGATTCTATTCTCTTGCTCACTCTTCTCCACACTGACTCCCCGAATGCTGGTTCTGCTACTTCCTCCAGTAAAAAGTAAGTTATTTTTCCTTTCCTATGGGTCACTTGGAAGTTTTCAGGTGCTGGGAAGAAGAGGCAACTATCCAAAGAAGGGAATCTTTGGATAGTTCTTCTCAATGTAGAACACAAGTTGAGAGGGACCCTCCATCTGCTGCTCCCCTCTCTGAAGGGGTTTCAGGGTGGGCTGCAAGCCCCAGATTGTGTGGAGAGCCGTGAGGGTGTGTCTGGGATACGGTGGGTCTGGGGCTACATGCAGGACTGAGTATGTGAGCCCTTGGCATATCACGTCCCCGAGCTCACAGGACCGTTGCCCCAGAAGACAAGAAAGCATTGAGTTGTACATATTTGTTGGGAGGGCCATTGAGAAGAGAACCAAAGAGGGGCACCTTGCTCCTTCCTCAAGCTCCCTCCTGACCCTCGGGGGAGAAATGAGAGAGAACCCTGGAGACTCAAAGGGATGCTCTAGTATCTTCCTAATCTCTGGAAGATGAATCCCCACGGAAACTGAATACCTGGGGCTTCTGTCCACCTGGATTAATGCGTCTCTAAAGGAGTAAAGTCTCAAAGAAGCATCTCGAGTCACCCACCCTGGGCCCCAGCCTATCGCATTAATCTGGAAGACACTTTATTTCTCTTTTTTGGGAAGATCTGTTTTGAGAACCACAGGGTGGGAGGAGCTAGGAAGAAGGCGTTATTAATTTCTTCCTTTTCCTCTCCTCTCCTTCCTTCCTTCCTCCACTGCTGCCCAACAATGCCCACTGGATCTTCTGCTCCTGGCATCTCATCTCAACAGCACTGAAACCTAAGAGTCTTGTTTCACATTTGACCCCTTCTGTTTTGCTCCTGTTCTCATCTCTGCCAAGGGAGGTCCACTCTTAGCCATGGATCAACTCTCAGCTTTTGACCATCTTTTTTTTTTAAACTCAAGAACTGGGAAAAAATAGCTATATTACCATCATCTTCAAATAGATGGGATGTCTCATGGAAACCAATCCCTCCTCGAATCAGGCATTCATGTAATGCCATGATGAGGATGGTGATGACAGTGATGGAAATTTACAAAGAGCTTTCTAGGTGCCAGGCGCGAGGCACCAGAGCAGCACTTTTCAATGTGTTATGTGTAGTTATTCCCCACAACTTCTTCACAAGGCAAGTATTATTCATCTGCACTTGACTGAGGTATAAAGGTTAGGTAACTAGATCAAGACTGGGCATCCCAGTGGTGACGGTGGGTTACGGATCCTGGGCTGCGTGACTCAGCTGCTTAACCACGGTGCTGTGCTTCCTCCCACTGCTGTGTGGCTCAGACTTATTTTCCCCAAGAACATCTCTGACCATTTCATCATGCTGTTCCCTGAAAAAGTCACTGTTTGCCACATGTGGGTAACATACATCTTTTAAAAAGTCTTGAAATTGTAGTAAAATATACAAAACATGAAATTTACCATTGTAACTTGTTTTCATTTTTTAGAGACAGGATCTTGCTCTGTTGTCCAGGCTGGAGCACAGTGGTGCAGACCTCCTGGGCTCAAGCGATCCTTCTTTCTTAGCCTCCTGAGGAACTGGGACTACAGGTGTGCATCATCACACCTAGCTAATTATTTTTGGTTTTTTTGTCTGTTTTTACTTTTTTTTTTTTTACTTTTTTGTTTTGCTTTGTTGCCAAGGCTGGTCTTCAATTCCGGGGCTCAAGCAATCCTCCTACCTCAGCCTCCCAAAGCACTGGGATCACAGGCACGAGCCACTGCACCCACCTTAACCACTTTAAAGTGTGCGATTTAGTGGCCCTTGGTACACACACAATGGTGTGCAACCATCACCACTGACTCCAGAACTTTATAATCACTGCCCCACCAAAAAAAAAGTACCCATTAAACAGTCAGTCCCCATTCTCCCTCTGACCTCAGCCCCGGCAACCACCATTTCACTTTCTGTCTCTGCAAGTTTGAGGATTCTAGGTACCTCATAGAAGTAGAATCGTACACGATGTGGTCTTTTGTGTCTGGCTTCATCACTCAGCACAGTGTCCTCAAGGTTCAGCCACATTGTGGCCTGTGACAGTGCTTCACTCCTTTTCATGGCTGAGCAATACTCCATTGCATGGATAGACTGCATTTTTTAATCCAATCATCCACTGATTGAATTTTGGGTTGATTCTACCTTTCGGCTGAGGACACACTCTTCTTTTGGTCCACATTCAAAGCCATCTAAACCCCAGTTCTGAGACACCATCCTGTCCATGCCCCACACCCACCTCCAAACCCCACTTCTATGCAGCTTGAGCCTCAGTGAAACCCAAGACATCCTGATCTGAAAAAACAAATTGAAAAATGGTATCCTGCAGCTCAAGAGCACGTTCTGGGTACCAGGCATGGTTGTTAAGTGCTTGACTCATGACAGTCCCCAAGTCATCGTCCTTGTTTTACAACTGAAAACACTGTGGTAAGAGAGGGAGAGTCGCTTGCTCATGGTCACACAGCCAGTCAGGTGCAGAGAATAACTTAAGCCCAGTCTGGATCCCAAACGGTGCTATTAAACAATGCAAACTCAAAAGTGTTCAAAGCGGCTCAGACTAACGAGGTCCCTGCCTCATCCCTACACTGGAAGTATTATCATTATAATTGTATGTTGTATATATTGTAAGGAAGATAAAATTATGCTAAGAAAGGGAAAGAGGAACTGGCAGAGAGTGTGCACTGTGGGCGCCGGTCCTGACTGCACCACTTTCTAGTTCCGTGGGCTTCGGACCCTCGCCTCCTGAAGGGCTCAGGCCCCTGGTCGGTACAATGCACATAATAGTTCCAGCCTCATATGGTTGTGAGGAGTAAACAGGATCATGCACTTGGCAGGATGATTCCCAATTGGGGAGATTTCGCCCCTCAGGGGACACCTGGCAATGCCTAGAGATATTTTTGGTTGTGAGGACTCAGGGAGGTGGTAGGGGAGGCTAACGGCATCTAATGGGGGGAGTCTCGAGATGTTGCTACACATCCTACAATGCACAGGACACCCCACCCCCACAACAAAAAAACTATCCAGCCCCAAATGTCACTCGTCTGGAGGTTGAGAAACCCCCCGCTGAATAAAATGTCTGGCACGGGATAAGAGCTCAGCAAGGGTCTGTGAGGACCACCTCATTTACCTTTGTTCTGAACACTCCCATGTCTGCAGGAGGCCCCTCTGCCTTGCTCCTTTCGCTCCTTTTCCCAGGCCCTTCTCCAGCCTCCGTCCTCATGCTGCACTGACAGCACTTTGCAAACTGAAAGCAGACCCAGCAGGAAAATCCCAAACACCTGCCTAAGGGCCCACCAGGTGCCAAGCAGACCCAGCCCTGCTCCAGTAACGAGCAAAAGCCAAACCCAGCAGGAAAATCCCAAACACCTGCCTAAGGGCCCACCAGGTGCCAAGCTCTGTACTGGGCGATTCACGTGGGCTCTTTCTCCCGGACCCTCACATTAACCCAGGATGCAAGTGGTTCGGTGGAGACAGCCTGAGTTTTAAGGCAAAGAGGCCTGGGTGGGAACTCTACTCCCATCATCTATAATGTGGGCGTAACTTACCCAAACTCCCTTAGATTCTATTTTCCTACCTGATTAATGGAGATAATATTTTTTGCTTGTTTGAGAATTCAGTGACATAAGGCAGGGATCAATCAGCATTTTTTTTTCTGTTTTCTGTAAAGCGCTAAATAGTAAACATCTTAGGCTTTCAGGGCCAGGTGGTCTCTGCTGCCACTCACTACTCAATGCTGCCTTTGTGGCCTGAAAGCAGCCACAGACAACACACAGTGAATGGGCATGGCTGTGTGCCAATAAAACTTTATTTACAAAAGCAGTAGACAACACATTGTGAATGGGCATGGCTCTGTTCCAATAAAACTTCATCTACAAAAGCAAGTGTCAGGATGTCCACCCACCGATGAATGGGTAAATAAAATGTGTCTATTCATACAATGGAATGTTATTCAGCCACAAAGAAAGTGCTGACACAGGACACAACATAAACGCGCCTTGAAAACACAGTGCTCAGTCAAAGAAGCCAGACACAAAAGCACATAGGGTATGACTCTGTCTCTACGACATGTCCACAGCAGGCAAGTCCACAGATAGGGAAAGCAGCTTAGTGGTTGCCTAGGACCGCGGGAGAGGGGGGTGAGCCCAGAGAGATGGGGAGTGACTGCTCAGGGGCACCAGGTTTGGAGGCAATGGCCAACGGGTACACGGTTTCTTTTTCAGGTGATGAAAACGTTCTAAAATTGTTTGTGGTGATGGATGCACAGCTTTGTGAATGTCCTAAAAACTACTGTCTTGTACACTTGATGGGTGAGTCATAAGTTATGTGAATTATATTAATATACCAGTCAAGTTGTTATTAAAAAACAAAGTTCAGAAAACAACAACGGGTGGTGGGATGGAATGTGCCACCCCTGGATGAGTATGTAGGTGCCTACATTAGAGTGACACAAAATACATGGAAAAAAGGCCTGGCATGGTAGCTCACACCTGTAATCCCAGCACTTTGGGAGGCTGATGCGGGCGGATCACCTCAGGTCAGGAGTTCTAGACCAGCCTGGCCAACGTGGTGAAACCTCCGTTTCTACTAAAAATACAAAAATTAGCCGGGTGTGGTTGCGGGTGCCTGTGCTCCCAGCTACTCAGGAGGCTGAGGCAGGAGAATCGCTTGAACCCGGGAGGCAGAAGTTGCAGTGAGCCGAGATCGTCCCACTGCACCCCAGTCTGGGCAACAGAGCAAGACTCCGTCTAAAAAACAAAAAACAAAACAAAACAAAAACAAACAGAAGAGATGGGAATGGCGTGGCGGCTTCCTTCCCAGCCTAACCTTGCTGCGGTGCAAATCCTGCAAGTCACTGCACGTCCCTCCAACCCACACGAAGCAGCCTCTGACTGTTCTGCGCTGTTCACTGTGGCATGTCCTGACTACTCAGCACGACCCACCCAGGGCTCCGCTCTCCTGTGCTCCCATCGCTCTGTCTTCTGATGTTGTGATTTTTCCCTACATGTGGCCTCCTCTTCCACGGCTCCTGGGAACTCCATACTCTGGGCCTGTCTGCTCCCCTGACCTGTCTTGCTTCCTGGACCCCATCTCCTTCTGGATGGACATCATCAGAGATCCTAGGTGACACCTCACTCCATGCCTGCCCCGGGACTCTGTAGGAAGCTGGTTTGGGAGGAATGCTTTTTAGGGCTGGGCAGGGTGGTGGAAAGCTGAAAGATGGATCTGACAAGCTCACACCCTCACGTCAACTCACAGTCTAGTGGAGGTGGGGAGATGGAAAAGTAACAGGCAGTTAAACTACAACAGGAATCTGTGTGGCACAGGGGGGAGGTGGCAGTGGGGACAGTGTGCAAGAGGACGATGCGGGCAATCCAGCAGGGCTTCTCGGAGGAGGAGTGGCTTGGGGCGAGCCTGCTGGACCTGCTGGTCTGGAAGTGTTTATCATGCTGTCCCTTCTGACTCGCGTTGTATGCCCCTGTCCTCCTTAGGCTTGCTGAGCCTCCAAGTACTGCATGGTAAGTCTGGTGACTGCTATTTCGTGTTCACTCCTGTGCACAGAAATATACAGGTACTGGTTTTTTCTATGGTGGGGGGTCCCTTAAATATCATCAGACCCTACACTCTTTATCCGTATCATCATCTGCATCATAAATGTTTAACATGTTTTTATTTGTCCAACAGATATTAACTGATGTTAGCTCTCCTGTACCAAATGTTATTCTAGGTGTTAGAGATGCAGCAGAGGATAAAACAGACAGAAGTCTGTGACCAAGTGAAACTTGTATTCCAATCAGAGGAGAAAAAACAAAGAGCAGTAGTTATAGGTCTGCTGAAGGCTATTATGTCCTATGGAGACAATAGAGTAATGGGGATGGAAACGCAGTGCGGGAAACTTAAGTTTTTTGGCTGGGCATGGTGGCTCATGCCTGTAATCCCAGCACTTTGGGAGGCCGACGTGGGTGGATCACCTGAGGTCAGAAGTTCGAGACCAGCCTGGCCAACATGGTGAAACTCCGTCTCTACTAAAATACAAACAATTATTTTGAAACAAATTTTGTAAACATAGAAAAAATTAGCTGGGCATGGTGGTGTGCACCTGTAATCCTAGCTACTCGGGAGGTTGAGGCAGGAAAATCACTTGAACCTGGGAAGCAGTGGTTGCAGTGAGCCGAGATCATGCCATTGCACTCCAGCCTGGGTGACAAGAGCAAAACTCTGTCTCAAAAAAAAAAAGTTTTTAAAGGGCGATCAGGGAACATGACATGTGAGCAAAGGCTTGAAGAAGAAGGGCAGGTGAGCCAGAGATAACTGGGGGAAAGGCATTCCAGGAAGAGAGAACAGTATATGCAAAGGCCCTGAGGCAGCTGAGTCCCTGGGATCCAGGGACACAGGGAGACTAACTTTATTCTCTTCTCTCCTCATTCGAGGCACCTGGAAGCACTATTTAGAGTTTGGTCTCCACCCACTTCATAATTCACCTGATGGTTTCTTTTCTTTTCCTTTCTTTTCTCCTCCTCTTCCTCTTCCTCCCTCCCTCTCTCCCTCCCTTTCTTCCTTTCCTCTTCCTCTTCCTCCCTCCCTCTCTCCCTCCCTTTCTTCCTTTCCTCTTCCTCCTTCTCTTCCTGCTTCTTTTTCTCCTCCATCTCTTCATTTTTAGAAGAAACAAGTGGCTGCAAGGAGGAAGGTAAGTGCTTGGGGTCGTACCATTCCTCATCTATAAGACAGTGTGTCCCTTCTGTCTGGGCTATGATAAAGCCTTAGAAGAGAAGATTTCAGGTAATCAAGGCCCTGCAGGGGCTTTGGTACCTGAGAGGCTGCCTTCCTGAAGGGCATCCAAAGTCTGCAAGCCACTGCCCCTTTCACACTGCTCATGGGCATCGAGGAGACCCAACATACTGAGATGTGAGTGGGAGACATTTCTATCCCAGCTGCTGCTTCTGTGGACTGTGAGTCCTCTCTTCCCGACATGGAAATTACCAAGCTAAGTCCTGGGTGATAGGACTGAGGGCCGGAAAACCAGAAAATAGCAGCAAGCCACCAAGTGATCCAGATGGTGGAGATGAGCGTTTTAAAGTAGGCAGAGCCGGGCATGGTGGCAGCACCTGTGGTCCCAGCTACCCGGGAGGCTGAGGCAGGAGGATTATTTGAGCTGGGGAGGTGGAGGCTGCAGTGAGCCGTGATTGTGCCACCGCATCCGGCCTGGGTAACTGAGCAAGTCTCAAAAAAAAAAAAAAAAGCCAGAACAACACTAATGGTTGGTTCTTTTGAAAAGCGTAATACAAATTTAATCCTCTAGCATTACTGACAAGAAAAAATAGAGGAGAAACAAACTGCCAATATTTGGAAGGAAGAAGAGAGTATCATAGCAGATCTTGCAGGTAACAAAATAACAATAAGGTGATCATTGGAGAAACTTTATGCCAATAAAATTGAAAGTTTAGATAAAACGGACAAAATCCCAAAAAAACACAAATTACCAAAAACAAATGAAATGATATAAAAAATCTGGGCTGGGCGCGGTGGCTCACATCTGTAATCCCAGCATTCTGGGAGGCCGAGGCAGGCGGATCACAAGGTCAGGAGATTGAGACCATCCCACCCAACATGATGAAACCCCGTCTGGTGAAACCCCGTCTCTACTAAAAATACAAAAAAATTAGCCAGGCGTGGTGGCGGGTGCCTGTAGTCCCAGCTACTCGGGAGGCTGAGGCAGGAGAATCACTTGAACCTGGGAGGCGGAAGCTGCAGTGAGCTGAGATCGTGCCACTGTACTCCAGACTGGCAACAGAGCAAGACTCCATCTCAAAAAAAAAAAAAAAATCTGAATAATCCTCTATCTATTAAAGAAATGCCACCTGTAATTAAATAGCCTTACCACACACAAAAAAGTCTTTCAGGATCAAGTTAGCTTTAATAGTGAATTAAAAGGAAGAAATCACATTGATCTTACAGGAAATCTTCCAGAAAATTAAAAACAGTCATTTCCCAACTCGGTTTTAGGACAGAATAACCTTGATAAAAGATCTGACAAATACGACAAAGGAAAATTTCAGGCCAATCTTCCTCATAAATATAGATGGAAAATCCTAGACTAAATATTAGCAAGTGCAATTTGGCAATACATGTTAAACAATCATGACTAAATTCACTTTATTCCAGCAATGCGACAATGGTTTAATAGGTAAAAACAAATATATGGTATTCCCACCTTATTAACATAAAAGAAAACAAGCACATTATCATTTCAGTAGATACAGAAAAAGAATATGGTAAGATTTTACAGCTTACATTATTTTTTTTTTGAGACACGGTCTAGCTTTGTTGCCCAGGCTGGAGTGCAGTGGTATGATCACGGCTCACCACAGCCCTAAACTCCTAGGCTCAAGTGATCCTCCCCTCTACAGCCTCTGAGTAGCTGGGACCACAGGCACGAGACACCACACCCAGCTAATTTATTAAATTTTTTGTAGAGTTTGGGTCTCCCTATGTTGCCCAGGCTGGTCTCAAATTCCTGGGCCCAAGTGAGCCTCCCGCCTCAGATTCCCAAAGTGCTGGAATTACAGACATAAGCCACCATGCCCAGCCTTGTTCATGATTAAAAAAAAAAAAAATCTCAGCTAGCTAGGAGTAGAGAGAACAGCTTAATATAATAAGGAATAGCCACCAAAAACTTACAAAGAACAAGCTGTTTAAGGTAAAACACAGTTGTCCCTCAGTATCCTCAGGGGTTGGGTCCAGGACCTCCCCGCAGATAGCAAAATTCCTTGATGTTCAAGTCCGTGATATAAATAGCATAATGCTTGCATTTAACCTATGAACAGCCTCCTGCACACTTTAAATCATCTCTAGATTACTTATAATACAATGTAAATGCTCCTTAGTTATTGTACTGTTATATTTTTGTATTGTTTTTATTGTTGTATTGCTATTTTTATTGGGATTTTAAAAAGTATTTTTGACCAGTTTTTGGCTGGGTCCTCAGATGCAGAGTCCAGCGACACAGAGGGCTGAGGGTGTAGAACATGTTCCCTCTGAGATCACAGATGAGACGTTCTTGCTATCACCACTTGCATTTCACATTGGACTGAACGTTCTATCCAGTGCAAATCCTAGCCAGGCAAGAGAAAGGTAATAATAGGCAAAAGGATTGTGAAGAAAGAAAGATGAGCCTCATTTTTTATAGATGTGATTGTGTACCTTTGATTGGGAGGGTATATCTGAGAGGCTTGGGATATGCTGGTGTTGGTGAAATATAATTAAAAACAAAATATCCTCCAAACCCAGAGCTCTTCTCCACCCAGGTAGAAGAGAAAGAAAATAGTTTTATTAATGGGTAAGCATTAAACCAGAACATGATATGCGAAGAGACTGCAAAGACAGAAAAAAAAAATTTCACCCTTTTATATAGCCAAGCAGATACAACTTATTACATACCTGCTCTCAAGATAAACAACAGCTAGTCCTCAAGTTAAAGAACTTGACAGCTCTATTTGCTGTACATGGTTCACCGTAAATTCACTTGGTTATTGGGATAGCCAACTGTGTTTGTTAATTGGCTTAATCCAAGGGAAAAATAAACTTCTAGTATCTTTATCACAGGAGGTAGATTTGCTACTTGGGGTGAGGTGCCCACCAAAGTTAGGCTCCATCCCCTCCCAACAAGAAGCTGGGGAAGATGTTTCGAGGTCCTTGAAAACACCCTCCTGGGTCATAATGCTGGCCGCAGGCTTACTTAGCTTTGAAAAAGATTAGTGTAAACGTTGAAGAGAGAGAGACTTGCAATGGCAAAATTTTCTAAAGTAAATGCTCTAAGCAAAGGGGACAAGGAGTAATCGCTTCCTGAATTTTCAACAGGGAGAATTCATTTTTTTTCGTTTTCGATTTGCATTTGCCTGTACACTGGTAATGTTTTATTTTTTGATTGGAAACCTGTTTAGACAGACAGGTTTACGTGTAAAAAAAAAATGAGATTTTCTGAATGTAATACTTTTAAAATAAAAAGACAAGGGAAAAATGTTACACAGGCGAAAGAAACACTCTTGCACCTCATGAGGTTTGACATAAGAAAGCGACACGGTCGGATCTGGTGCTAGAAAGATCCTGCTGGCACTCATGTGGGAGATGGATGAGAAAGAGAAAGGATGGCGTAGTGGGCAGAGGCAGCCATCAAGAGCAGAGCCTGAAGCCTGGGGATGGGGGAGAGGTGGTGGTTTTGTTACCAGAAAGGGGTCCCGATCAAGACCCCCAGAGAGGGTTCTTGAATCTCGTGCAAGAAAGAATTTGAGGCAAGTCCATAAAGTGAAAGCAAGTTTATTAAGAAAGTAAAGGAATAAAAGACTGGCTACTCCATAGGCAGAGCAGCAGCAAGGACTGCTGGACTGAGTCTCCTTATAGTTATTTCCTGAATATATGATAAACAAGGGGTGGATTATTTATGAGTTTTCCAGGGAAGGAGTGGAGATTTCCTGGAGCTGAGGGTGCCTCCCCTTTTTAGGCCAGTAGGGGAACTTCCTGAAGTTGCCATGCCATCTGTGAACTGTCATGGTACTGGTGGGCGTGTCTCTTAGCCTGCTAATGCATTATAATTAGTATATAATGAGCAGTGAGGACCACCAGAGGTCACTTGAATCGCTATCTTGGTTTCGGTGGGTTTTGGCAGCTTCTTTACCGCAACCTGTTTTATCAGCAGGGTCTTTGCGACTTGTATCTTGTGCCAACCTCCTATTGTCATCCTGTGACTAAGAATGCCTTAACCTACTGGGAATGTAGCCCAGTAGGGCTCAGCCTCATTTTACCCAGCCCCTATTCAAGACGGAGTCACTCTGGTTCAAACCCCTCTGACAGTTTGGTGAGAAATCTGGGCAAGACAGGGTCAGATTTGGTGATGTCTTGGATGTGAGGTGGGAGAGCCAAAAGGCATTCCTGACTGTTTGTCTGGAGTATGGTGGTAACCAAGAAGGGGGAAGCTGGCAGTGATGGTGGGTGTGGACCAAAATTTCAATTCAGGAGGCAGGCAGAGATGTGAGTTTGGAGATCAGAATGGAGAGACAGCAGTGACAGGAAGCTCTAAGGCAGGAAGGGAAGGCCATCAGCATCAATCATCTCCACGGTTCTCTCCAGTTAAACCCTTCTCAGGCACCACCCCATCCAGGAAACCACTCCCCAAGAGGAAGAACACGTGGAACTTCCTGAAATGCGCCTACATGGTGATGACCTACCTCTTCGTATCCTACAACAAAGGGGACTGGGTAAGAAGAAGGCAGCACGGAGGGGAGGAGTGTGAGGAGAGGAAGGAAAGAGGAGGGAAGTGGGGGCACAGAGGAAGCGAAGGAGGGTGCCTCAGAGGTGCCAAGCAGGAAGTGGTGGGAGAGCCCTTCTGTAAAACACTCTCTTCTTCCCACTCTCCCACCCGCCTCCATCTCTCATTTCATTCTTCCTTCCTCTCTCCTTCTTCCCTCTTTTCTCCCTCCCTCCCTCCCCTTCCTCCTTCCCTTTCCTCTTCCTTTTTTCTTCCCTCCCTTACTTCCTCCTTCTCTCTCCTCCCTCCCTATTCTTTCCTCCTCCCTTCATCCCTCCCTTTCTCCCTTCCTTCCTTTCTTCCTCTCTCCGTCTGCTTCCTCCCTCCCTTCTTCCTTCCCATCCTTCTTCCCTCTCTGCCCTTCTTTCCTTCCTCCCTCCCTCCCTCTTCTTCCTCCCCGTTCCTCCCTCCCTCCCCCCTTCCTTTTCTTCCTCCCCCTTTTCTTCCTCTCCCTCTTCTTCCTCTCCCTCTTCCTCCCTCCCTCCTCCTCCCTTCCTTTTCTTCCCCCCCTCCCTGTTCTTTCCTTCCTCCTTCCCTCCTTCTCTCTCCTTCCTTCTCTTTCCTTCTTCCCTCCCTCCCACCTCTAGACTGGGATAAAACTTCTCCCTTCTGCACTAACACAGCCCCAGGGGCTCCTTTGAAATACTGTCACTCATTCTGCCTCTCTCTCTGCCGCTGTCTCTTGTTCTTTCTAAGGGACGTTCATAAGGACCAAGCCTGTTGCTGGTTGCTGGGGACTCTGATGGTTGAGCTACCTTCAAGAAGGTCCTAATTCTGTAAGGGAGGCAGACATCCACAGAGAGAACCAGATCACCGAGTGGTAGCACTTCATGAGCAGGTGCTAGTGCAGGAGGCAGTGGCGCTTATCTCAGCCTAGGGGAAGTGTGGGCTCATGGAAGCCTTTCTGCAGGAGGTGACACCTCTGCTGTGGGTTAAGGACAGAATGGAATTAGCCAATTGAGGAGGGGAAGCAGGGGAAGCATTCCAGAGAAACACCATGTGCGAGACTCAGAGAGGTGAAAATAAGGCAGGGTGCAAGAAACTACAAGCCAGGCCGGGCACGGTGGCTCACGCTTGTCATCGCAGCACTGTGGGAGGCTGAGGCGGCTGGATCACGAGGTCAGGAGTTCAAGACCAGCCTGGTCAACATGGTGAAACCCCGTCTCTACTAAAAATACAAAAAATAGCCGGGCATGGTGGCGCATGCCTGTAATCCCAGCTGCTCGGGAGGCTGAGGCAGGAGAATCACTTGAACCTGGGAAGCAGAGGTTGCAGTGAGCCAAGATCACACCAGCCTGGGTGACAGAGTGAGACTCTGTCTCAAAAAATTAAAGTAAATAGAAAAAAAAAGAAGGAAAGGAAGGAAAGGAGGGAGGGAGGGAGGGAGGCAAGACGGAAGGGAAGGAGGGATGGAAGGAAGGACAAGTCATCCTTCATTCATTGATTCAGTCAGTCTTCAAATATTCACGTGTGTAGAGGACCCATCCTAGATGCTGGGGACTCAGAGAAGAACGGAACCCATAAGGTCCTTGAGTCCCCAGGGCTCCCATGTTTGGGATAGCAGGAGGACTGCAGAGAAACAAGCAGCCAGCTCCAAAAAACATGAACTAAATCAGGGTGATATCACAGAGTGAGCAGCCATGGCCACGGGCAGCCTTCCCCGGGCAGGTAACGTCTGGACATAAGAGATGAGACAGTGGAAGGATCTTGCCTTCAGAGCAGCTTGGGGGCAACCACTGCAAGCAAAGCAGGCATGCACAGCAGACCCTGAGGCAGGAACACACTGAGTACCTTCGAGGAACCAAAGGAACATCTATGTGACCTGAGAGGGGCAGGGGGGTCCAGGTCATGTAAGGTTCTCATAGACCACGAGAAGGAAGCTTGTGTTCTAAGCTAGTGGACAGCCGCCAGCAAGATCCCTTCTGAGTTATCAAAGGATCCTTCTCAATGCTGCCTGTGGAGAGTGGATCGGAATCAGGGCGAGAGTGGGAGCAGACAGACTGAGAGGAGGAGACACACTGAGAGGAGGCCCGACCAGCCAGCGCAGGGGACCTGGCGGTGCTCATGGAGATGAGAGCCGTGCAGCAGTTCTAAAGGAACTGCTTATGCGCTGGGTGTGAGGAATAAGGAAAATGGAGAGACCAGGGAGATGAGCCTGAGACAGTGACTTCAGTTATGCTAGTGGTTCTGAAACGGGGGTGACGTTGCCACCCAGGAGACACTCAGCAGTGTCTGGACCACAGGATTGGTTGTGACAGCTGGAGGAGGGAGCTCGACTGGCATCCAGTGGGCAGAGGCCAGGGAGGCCACTCAACCTGCCATACGGCCCAGGACAACACGCCACGACAAAAATAACCCAGGTCAAAACGTCAGGAACCTGAGGCTGAGAAACCCCAGCTTAGGGGATTGTGCTGCTTATGGGGATGAGGAGAACTGGCTGGAAGATGGGGAAGAAGGTGGGAGTGGTGAGAGGCGGGCTGAATAGAGAAGCAAGACCAGAAGATGTTACAACCAGAGGGAAAGAGCAGAGGGGGAGGACGGGAAAGAAGCGAGAGGGGGATGGGGAGAAAGGGAGGTAAGGAAGGAATTCACTCGCCTCACCCCAACTGTTTCTTTCTCTGTTCCCAGTTCACTTTTTCCTCCCAAGTGTTACTGCCACTACTGTAACTTGGAACTGGACATCAGGTATGCTATGGCAGGGAAGTGGGCTTTTCCCACCGCTGGGGTGGGGTTAGGGGAGGTTCATCCCAACTGCCTGGCATTTGAGGTAAGGAACACAGGTGGATTTGGAAGCTGCAATCATAGAAACCCAGAATTCCATGAGAAGTCCCAAGTTCGTCACCCTTACTTGCAAGCCACTGCCTGACAGGGGCAAGGAAACACATTGTAAATGACAGGGATGTGCCGGGCAGGAGGAACTCCTTTATAAATTCACTCTATAATTTTTTCACAAGTCTTAGGACTTGTGGCCCAACACACACGACATAAAATTAACCATTAGTGACATTCAGTACACTCAAAATATTGTGTGGCCATCACCACTAATCTGTTTCCAGAATCTTCTCATCATCCTAAAAGGGAACTCTGTACCAAGACATCGTCTCTTCCCCCTGTTCCTGGCAACCACTAGTCTACTCTCTGTCTCTGAGAACTCACCTACTCTGGTCATTTCATACACATGGAATCATACACTACGTGGCCCTTTGCATCTGGGTTTATTCATTTGGCATAATATTTCCAAGGTTCATCATGGTATACCTTGTATCAGGACTGTATTCGTTTCTGCTGGATAACACTCCACGGCATGGACATAGCACACTTTGTTTATCCATCATCAGGTAAAGTGCACTGGGTTGCTCCCACCTTTTGACTGTTGTGAGTCGTGGTGCTATGAACAAGTTATGTTAGAATATCTGTTTTAAAATCTTTTGGGGTACAAACTAGGAGTGGAATTGCTAGGTCATATGATAATTCTGTGTTTATAACGACCCACTGATGCATCCTGGATGCAGTAGTGAACGGGGCAGACAAGATTCCTGAGCTCACAAGAAAACAATTAGATGATTACAGGTGATACTTAGAGCTAGAGGAAAAGCTGAGGATATGATGAAAAAGAGAACTAAAGAACCTTGCCCTGGATAGTTGGGTGATGAAGGAAAGCCTCTTTAGGAAAGTGACAATGAATCAAAGGCCTGTAGAATGAGGGGTTGTCAGATACACAGAAAACAAGTGAAAGAGCCTCCAGGTGAAGGAACTGGCTTGTACGAAGGCCCTGGGGTGGAAAGTGGCCTAGATGTGCCTGGAGTCAGAAAGAAAAATGGGGGCAGGAGAAGGGGGAGGGAGTGGGAGGGCACTATGGGAGGAGTGTGGGTGACATGCTCAGCAGACCACCTCAGACCTGGAAGATTAGAGCAAGCATTTTAGACCCAACCTTCAGAGCCATGGGAAGCCACGGAAAGGCTGTCAGTGAGAAAGAGACACGTCCCAGTGACATGAAGTGTAGAGGCCAGTTAAGAGGCTACTCAGTTTCCACGAGATGACGGTAGCCTGGTCAAGGCTAGGGTCCAGGGTACGGAGAGAAAGTACGAAAGACAGATGGGAGGTTTCTCTTCCCTCGATAGCTGCAAAGAGGGTCCCCCTGGCCTCTCCCGCATCGCCAGAGAAAGTACTAAGGACAGATGGGAGATTTCTCTTCCCTTGATAGCTACAAAGAGGCTCCTCCCTGGCCTCTCCCACGTCGCCAGAGAAAGTACTAAGGACAGATGGGAGACTTCTCTTCCCTCGGTATCTGCAAAGAGGGTCCCCCCCGGCCTCTCCCCTGTTGCCAGAGAAAGTACTAAGGACAGATGGGAGATTTCTCTTCCCTTGATAGCTACAAAGAGGCTCCTCCCTGGCTTCTCCCACGTCGCCAGAGAAAGTACTAAGGACAGATGGGAGATTTCTCTTCCCTTGATAGCTACAAAGAGGCTCCTCCCTGGCCTCTCCCACGTCGCCAGAGAAAGTACTAAGGACAGATGGGAGACTTCTCTTCCCTCGGTATCTGCAAAGAGGGTCCCCCCCGGCCTCTCCCCTGTTGCCAGAGAAAGTACTAAGGACAGATGGGAGATTTCTCTTCCCTTGATAGCTACAAAGAGGCTCCTCCCTGGCTTCTCCCACGTCGCCAGAGAAAGTACTAAGGACAGATGGGAGATTTCTCTTCCCTTGATAGCTACAAAGAGGCTCCTCCCTGGCCTCTCCCACGTCGCCAGAGAAAGTACTAAGGACAGATGGGAGACTTCTCTTCCCTTGATAGCTACAAAGAGGCTCCTCCCTGGCCTCTCCCACGTCGCCAGAGAAAGTACTAAGGACAGATGGGAGACTTCTCTTCCCTCGGTATCTGCAAAGAGGGTCCCCCCCGGCCTCTCCCCTGTTGCCAGAGAAAGTACTAAGGACAGATGGGAGATTTCTCTTCCCTTGATAGCTACAAAGAGGCTCCTCCCTGGCCTCTCCCACGTCGCCAGAGAAAGTACTAAGGACAGATGGGAGATTTCTCTTCCCTTGATAGCTACAAAGAGGCTCCTCCCTGGCCTCTCCCACGTCGCCTGCCTTTCATCCTCTCCCTGGCATCCCCAGTGCCCTTTTTACATTAAAAAATGTCAACTCGATCATACGATATACCCCCACCCCCTGCTGCAGTCCTGCTTAAATCCACCAGTGGAAACTCACCAACTATGATGAGTGTCTTTCAAACTTTAAAAGAAAGAAAATCCAAAACACTTTTCTACTGAAATCTTACATGGAATCCCAATATATAAAAAATTCTAAGTTGCTTTTCATTACCAGAGGTACTTTTCCTAAGGTTAACTGTGTGACATTTACTTATTATGAAGTGAGGTGATGAGATTTGCAAGCACAGGGTACAGAAGGCCTCTGCTGTCTTACGTTACTCTCTTTTACCCCGTATCTTGCAGTGTTTCCTTTTAATTGTTCATACGGAGAAAAATCTGAGCCCACAGAGATAAGTCACTGCAAATGCCTAATAGTTTGCCTTGTGAAGTGTACATGCCCTTCAGGTAATACAATTTTTTCCCCAAGGTCTGTATGTAAAACATGCAACAGGTTGGTGTGGCTCTCCAGTGAATAAAAATTTCAGTCCATGTGCTATATTTTGGGTACACACCTATTTTAAAAAATAGTTTAATTTTTGAAATGAAAATCAAAGCAAACCTTTGTGGAATTCCTAAAAGATCCCAAGTTTTCAGGGAACCTGGCAGGAAGCCTCTGCCCCATTGATCAAGTTCAGGTCTCTGGCATGGTACCCAAGGGTTCTCAGGCTCCAAGCTCCTCCTGCTTCTCTAAACTTTTCTCCACTTCTCTTGATCCCCCCACCCACATTCCATCCCCTGTCCATATTAAACCTTTTTTTTTGAGACAGGGTCTCGCTCTGTCGCCAGGCTGGAGCGCAGTGGCGCAATCTTGGCTCACTGCAACCTCCGCCTCCCGGGTTCAAGCAATTCTCCTGCCTCAGCCTCCCAAGTAGCTGGGACTACAGGCGAGTGCCACCACGCCCAGCTAAGTTTTGTACTTTTAGTAGAGACGGGGTTTCACCATGTTGGCCAGGATGGTCTCGATCTCTTGACCTTGTGATCCGCCCGCCTCGGCCTCCCAAAGTGCTGGGATTACAGGCGTGAGCGGTGGCTCCCAGTCTTTTTTTTTTGAGATGGAGGCTCACTCTGTCACCCAGGCTGGAGAACAGTGGCCCAATCTCAGCTCACTGCAACCTCTGCCTCCCAGGTTCAAACGATTCTCCTGCCTCAGACTCCCAAGTAGCTGGGATTACAGGCATGCACCACCACACCTGGCTAATTTTTGTATTTTTAGTAGAGATGAAGTTTCACCATGTTGTCCAGGCTGGTCTCGAACTCCTGACCTCAGGTGACCCACCCACCTCGGCCTCCCAAAGTGCTGGGATTACAGGCATGAGCCACCACGCCCCCCCATATTAAATCATTTCTGATTCCCCCCAAAACATCACATTTTTTTTCCCGCTCCATTATGCCATTGCACACATTGATTCCTTGATCTCTGTCTACCTAGAAAAGTCCTCCTCAGTCCTCAAGATTCACCTAAGCAATGCTTTGGTTCAGGAACCAACAGCAATCCTTCAGATTCCACTGGGGAGGATGCTGAAGGAAATGAATGGTGTTGAACGGTTTCTCAGGCTCTCTTCAACCATACATTAAAGCACCGGTCAAACCAGATAGTTATTTTCATATAAAGGTGTGCTTTCAACCCATTAGGCAAGAGGTTGGCAAACTTTCTCTGTGAAGGGCCAAATATTACGTGTTGGCTTTTCAGGTCATATGGTCTGTTGCAACTACTCTAGTCAAAGCAATCGTAGAGAATACACTGATGGCTGTGACTGTACCCAACAACTGATGAAAGGATAAACAAAACGTAGTGCATTCATACAATGGATTATTATTCAGCCCCCAAAAGAGGAATGGGGTCCTGGCACGTGCAACAACACGGCTGAACCTTGAAAACACTGTGCTGAGTGAAAGAAGCAGACACAAAAGATCACACAGTAGATGATGCCATGTATATGAAACAGACAGATCTGGCAAATTCAAAGAGACAGAAGGCCAATTACTAGTTGTCAGGGGCTGAGGGGAGGAAGGAACAAGGGGAGTGACTGCTTTTAATGGATTTCTTTTTTGGGTTGATGAAAATGTTCCACTCTTAGAAGTGACAATTGCACAACATGGCGAATGTAATGAAGGCCACTAAATTGTGCCCTTTCAAAATGGTTAAAATGGTGAATTTTATGTTATGCATTATGTTTGCATTTTACCTCAATTACAAAAAGAAACTTTATTAAAAGGGATGCAGGCTGCAGTTGGCCCTGCGGAACACAGTTTGAGGGCCCCTGCTCACATAGACTGTGAGCCCCTGTGGGAGCAGGAAGTACCCCTGATCCATCCCTGGAACTCCAGCACCCAGAAGCAAACCTTAAGGTTCTCTTCCTGCAACTCTGAGTGACTCCAGCACACCAGGCTAGGGGGTGCAGCCCAGCCAGGCCTGGGCAGTCCCTGCTCCTGCGGGGCGCGCCCTCTAGTGGGAGGTAGGGGTGCAACACAAGCTCAGGCCCGGCGCCGGGACAGTGAGGAACTGGAGGGGGCGCTGCTTCCCACTGGCTGGTTTCTAGAAGAGCCCTGCTCTGAGGAGGAGACACTTGCCCTGGTGATGGGGCAGAGCTAGGGTCCATAAGATCTGAGGGAAGCGTGTTCCAGCTGCTGGAACAGCCCGGTGGGAATAGGGACAAACTTGGTGGAACCTAGTGAGTGGGGAGAATGGGCTAAGCTGGAGGGAGGAGGTGGGCTTGAGGCAGGTCACAAAGAGCCCTGTAGAGGTGGATGGAGAGGGCACCAGGCAAGGAGTATGAGAATGCATGAAGACGAAAATCAATGCACAAATACATTTCTCTCTCCTTTCTTAGGGATGATCCCTGCTGTTCTTTCTAGTGAGCCTGCTCCATCTCAGCTTAGCCTTCACAAGGCCTCCATCTCCCAGGCATTCTAACCTCTGAAGAAAGCTCTCTGTCCCCTGGACTGCCTGTGTGGAGGGTAATGAACTGGGTCCTTTAAGGAATGGCACCTGGGTGCCCAGAGGCATGGCCAGAAGGTGTCTGTGGGGGCCATGCCTTAGGGGGATGCACCCAGGGCGGCTGAGAGAGCAACTGCAGGAGTTTCCCCTAAAATCTCTCCTCCAGATCGTTCTCGAACTTTCCCCACTACTTCCATAATAAAATGTATACTTGTTGAAATGGCTGAAAAGGCTGGGTTATTCCATTCGCCCAACACTGAAAACTAACAGGTATGCTGGTGGATTACCAAGAATCAAACGCTATCAGTTAACTGTGCACTTTACAGGTGAAGACACTACAGCTCAGAGAGACCGATGGCTCGTCCAACATCACACTAAGCTACACAGCTGAGATTTGACCCAGTTGGACTCATTCCAAAGTCCGTATTCTTTTGTGTAAAGATTTGGGGCTGCCCCCACCGTCCTGAGGAAATACAGTTGTGAGGATATGGCTGTTCCAGGAGGAAGCCGTATCCAGCTCTCCAGCCTGCATGTTTCTTGCCTATTCTGGAGGAGGTTCCTTGTCCTGGTTGAAAGCTTTGGCTCTGGAGACAGGTTTCTTGGGTTCGAATCCCAGCTCCACCCCTTAATAGATATGCAGGCTTGGGGAAGGTATTGTCTCTTAATGCCTTATTTTATCATCTGTAAAATGGGGATAGTAACAGTAGGGTAGAAGTTCTCTTATCATCATGATCAGAACCATCACTGGTTGGTTCATCAAATAAGTTGGTTCCAATAGGTAATTAAAAATACTTTTACCATTTTGTTTTAAAACATAAAATTGTACAGGCATTTGCTAATCTTTTGATATAAGACCAGGGGGTTTCGTTGTTGTTGTTGTATAGGTCTATGGACCTACAATTTCCAGTTTGTCCCTTAAAAGGGCAGCGGAGACACAGGCATGCTTGCAAAGCTATTTAAGCAAAATCCTCACTGCATTAAAAAAAAGAAAAAGATCATCCCTATAGCCATCTTGCTCATTCCAACTTGACATATTTTTTGTTGTTGCTCTTATTAACAATCGGCCTTTATCACATCTTTCCCACTGAATTACTGTTTTGGGTGGAAACAATTCTTTGCTGATGCACTCATATTTTCCTCATTTATGTTAAATGTAATTGCATTACATAATTGAAATAAAATCCATTAGAATGAAAAGGTTTAGAATAAATGCAACTCAACTAGCTCTGGGTAGTCACACAACTGAACCAATAGAGAAGAATGAAGGCATATTAGAAAGCACTGCACTAGCCAGGGGCATTCAGTGAGCCTGAAGCATCAGTTGGTATATTTCATAGACGGATGGAAAATTCTTTTACCCCAGGGATCATTTTAAAGTGGAGTTTAAGAAACAGTCTACTGAGTTTGCCTCATAGAGGTAAAGTTTAAATGAGATAATATATATATATTTTTAAGTTCCACGATACATGTGCAGGCTGTGCAGTTTTGTTACACAGGTAAATGTGTGCCATGGTAGTTTGCTGCCCCTATCAATCCATCACCTAGGTATTCAGCCCAGCAGGCATTAGCTATTTTTCCAATGCTCTCCCTCCCCACAATCCCATACCCCGACAGGCCCCAGTGCGTGTTGTTCACCCCTATGTGTTCACGTGTTCTAAATAAGATAATATTTCTAAAACACACTGCCTGGCACATAGTTCTCAATTAATGTATTGTTATTATCTAGGGCAGTGTTATCCAATAAAAATCTGTGAGCCACACTTATTTCACACTTCCTACTAGCCCAGAAGCCCGGTAAAATCAATTTGAATAATATGTACGATTTAATTCAATATATCCAAGATACATTTCAACATGTAGTCAATAAAAAAAATTATTAATGAGATCAGTTATATCCTTCATTTTGTATGAAGTCTTTGAAATCCATTGTGTATTTTTCACTTATGGCACATCTCAATTTGAATGCTAAAATTGATCTGCAATTATATTTTCTAACATTTATAGTTAAAGAGTAGATCCACATATCCAAGTTGTTCCAAACAGGGTTAAAGGTTGTCTGATAACTGAACCAAGTATCAATTTAAAATTTTTCATTAAAATTAAAAAAACTTTACAAGTCAGTTCCTGCCCATAATCCAAGTCTAGTCATAAGCAAGCATCATACAATTCCAAATGGAGGGACATTTTACAGAACACCTAGTCCGTACACCTCAAAACTGTCAAAATCATTAAAAACAAGGAGAGTCAGACACACTGCTGCAGATCAGAGGAGGGCAGGAAGACATGGCAACTAAATGTCATGTGGTGTCCCACATGTGACCCCAGCACAGGAAAAGGACGTTAGAGAAAAAACTGGGGAAATGTGAATAAAGTCTGGCGTTAACAGTACTGTAGCAATGTTACGGTTCTGACATATCTACTAGGCTTATATAAGATGTTAACAGTAGTGGCAGTGGGGAAGGGGTACATGAGAATGCTCTGTACTGTATCATTGCAACTTTTCTGTAAATATAAAATTATCCCAAAATTAAAAATGTAAAATAAAAAATATTCCACTCTTCAGCTGCACTTATCTTACGTGTTTGTGTCCCCATGTCCTCCTCTGTTAAATGGGGATGTAGACTGCACCTATTTCATACAGTCATCGTGGGAATTAAAGATGGTGTTTCCACAGAAATCCTGCAACCATAGTTCAGGCATTGTCAGCACACCATGCTTGTTAGCGCCAGTTACTGTTACTGCTGCTGCTATGATTATGATTGTTTATTTGTAAGTGCAGAGGTCTGGGCTCCCATCTCCAGACATTCTGACTGAGTTGATATGGCTGTGTTTGCATAACAGCTCATAGGAAGCTCTTGTCTTTTCTTACAGCAACTCATGTGCAAACAGGGCTGATCCTTTAAAATGTAATAAAGAAACTGCTAAAAGCCACGGAAACCACCCAGTAAGTTGATGACAGACAGATGGAAGATGTATTAGTCTGTTTTCACGCTGCTGATAAAGACATATCCAAGACTGGGCAATTTACAAAAGAAAGGTTTAATGGACTTACAGTTTCACGTGGCTGGGGAGGCCTCACAATCATGGCAGAAGGTCAAAGGCACGTCTCACATGGCAGCAGACAAGAGAAGAGAGCTTGAGCAGGGAACCTCCCCTTTATAAAAAACCATCAGATCTCGTGAGACTTATTCACTATCACAAGAACAGCATGGGAAAGACCTGCCCCCATGATTCAATTACCTCCCACGGGGTCCCTCCCACATGTGGGAATTCAAGATGAGATTTGGGTGGGGACACAGCCAAACCATATCAGAAGAGAATGCCAATCCCTCCGTAGGTAAGTTAGGCAAAAATGATGTATTTTATTTTGGTGGAACCCAGTAGTAACTAATTTTTAAACTAGCTTTATAAATTCTTTTATCATTAGGAGGTTTCATACGCTAACCAGATGATTATATGTCCAGGTGCTTGATGTTAGTTTTTTGTAACTTCTCCTGGATACCATTAATGGCCTTTGTACATTTAATTATCCCTTCCCTTTGATGATGGGAGTGCTCTTAAATTTGATGTAAAATGAAGTTAATGTGTCAGATCATGTCCAGACATTCATATCAGATTTCAATCATCTGGTGAGAGTTTACTGGGTGACCAAGTTATGGGAAGGTATAGAAGAGTGTTCAGGAAAACTTTTAGGGCAGCAGTTCTCAGTAGGCTGACTTCAGCCCCCAGGGGACATTTGGCAATGTCTGGAGACATTTTTGGTTGTCACGACCAGGAGCTAGGGGCTGGAGAGAATTTTTCCTGGCATCCAGTGGGTGAGGTGAGGGAAGATCCTCAATATCCTACCACGCACAGGGCAGCCCCCCACAACAAAGCAATGTCTGTCCCCAGTGTCAATAACCCTGGTATTGAGAAACTCGGTAAGGTCTGAGGCCATTCAGCTGTTGAGCTCACTGCTGTCTCCTTGGCCACTAGCACTTATTCGGCTCTCAGTGAATGAATGAATGCACAGCACGAACCTGTAATCAAGGACCAAGCGAACTGCGGGAGGCAGGGTTGCTCCTGAGAGCAAACAGTGACCTAGTTAACCTGGCGACAGGCGTGAAAGGAAGTCTGGGTTTCCAATCAAAAATCGGGAGGGAAGGAAAAAAGAGTGAATCAATTCTTGCGAAAAGTCTCTGCGCACTTACTAGAAAGCACGCGGCCAGGAATCATGCAGGGCGCCTGCACGCATATTATTATTTAAATAAAGCTGTCCCTCAGCACAAACAGCCCGCAAGGTCACGGAAACTCCTCCAGTCCCATCCCCGGGCTCGGTCCTCCCACGAATCTCCCCCTCCTCCCACGTCCCCGCCCCAGGCGCATGCGCCCTCCCTCTCCCCAACCCACCCCAGTCCGGCCTCCGCCAGTGACGTCACCGCAAGGGCGGAAGGGAAGCTAAAGTCGTTACCATGGTGACCGCGACACACTCAGAAACGTCTACTAGTGACGGTCAAGCCACCTACAACCGGTCCCAAAGCCGCAAACGAGTCAGGCATCGTGGTAGGACCTGGCGAGTGGGGCCGGGGAGAGCGGGACGCCTGGATCGGGAACTTGTCGCATTCACATTGGCTGCTAGGAGGCCTCGGCGACCACTTCCGGATCCGGGGCGGGGGTCGCAACTCCCAGCCCTTGCTCAGAGGGCTGAACTAGAATTCCCAGAAGCCTCTGCGGCCGCCTTCCTGCTCCTTCACTCCTGCTTCCCCCACAAATAACAGTGAGTGAAAGCATCTAACAAGCGTTTCCAACTCGCCGAATCATTACTAGTGCAGGCATTTTATTCTAAGCTGCTTTTTACTAAAACGTGCTCTTGTCGCTCTGAACCTTTAGGACTACAATACCCAGAAGTCTCTGGGAGTCGCCGAGCCCTGTAGTTTAGGGTTGTTTTGCGGCCAGCGAGACGCCGGAAGTCTGGGAATAAGGCGGGACCAGGGAAAAAGCAGGATTCCGATTGGTGAAGAGGCCACATGGCCTTCTTTAAAGGACGGGATAGAGTTGCACACGCGCATTGAGGCGTGTCTTCCCTGGTTCTGCGTCCGTGAAGCCTAGAGATTCCCGAGCCTGGGTCACCCGGGCGGTGTCGCATGTCGTCTGCGGGGAGGTTGGGGCTGCTCGCGCGAGGCGCTCTGGGTCTCATTTCCGAGGCCGAAAATGCTGGCTCCAAAGTGGTGCCCTGGGAGATGAGGGCGACTCGCAGATTCCACCCTATTCTCTGAATGGGCTTCGAGTCTCCATGGTAACGGCCCCTCCCAGTTCCCCTGTGACTTCATAGCTGCCCACGGGAGGGGAGAAAGCTGATGTGAAGGGGCTGTGGGTTCTCAGCCAAGCTCTGTCTTTGAGGCCACCTACCCTATACCACTCGTCCCGGAAAGGGTGAGCCGGTGACCTTTCACCCTCTCTGGGCCTCAGTTTCCCTTTTTGTGAAATAATGTCTGGTACCCCTGCTGTGCTCCCTTACTATTTCAGGGCCCCGGGCAAGAGACACACTCTGTGTCTCAGTTTCCGCATAGGTAAAGTGAGGATGATGTTAGAATTTGATGTTAAAATTTAGGTGGTGGTTGTGAGAATTAAGGGAACCTCAGAGCAATGGCCAGCACACAATGACCCTTCAAATGTCAGCGGCTTTGATGATCACCATTCTTACCTTTTCTTTGGAGATTTGGACAAGTTACCGCCCCACCTTCCTCCAGGGTCTTTGTGTATTGATCTGCAGGTTGGATGTATTGGATGTTACGACCACTAAACTTTCTTCTGAGCACACACGAGCAGTGGTGTTGTTCTCTCTGAGAAATACTACAGGCTTTGGTGTTAAGACACTGGAATTCCGGAAACCTGTCCCTGTCATACCAGTTGCTGTGTGACCTCCGTCAATCATGGTTCTTTACTGAGCCCTGAGACTCCGCACGTGAAAATGGATGGGGATGAACTTCCAGTCCAGGCAGTGCCACTGACTTTGCTTGGGGACCTGGGGCAAGCTCTGTGGCCCAGCATTGCACCATCTGTAACAACATAACCAAGGGGTGCGCAATTGAGCTTTGAGGTTAATTTCGGTGCTAAAATCCCGGTCAGTAGTTCCGTCATCTTCACAGACCTCACCCTACCCAATGCCCTTATTGTGCTCCACATCCCAATCAACACTTACTGATTCCAGATTTGTAATTTTTGCCATTGTAGTGAGAAGTAATTAACTATTTTATGGTTTTTTAAATTTGAATTTTTGACTATCAGGATTAGCATATTTTTTTTTTCTTCGTTAAAGACTAGTCAAGTGCATTAGTGAGGAGGGGGGAAAGAGTAGACCAAGGAATTTGGTCTGTAACTGACTGTGGACAATACATTGGTAGAACTCACTACCTTTGAGCCAGCCAGAATCTTTTTATTATTCACTGGATATTCAGGTTTTGCCTCTGTAAATTTTCTTTCATTGCCATTTTTTTCAAATAGTTCATTCAATCTTTGTTTTCAGATGTGCTTTCCACAATCAGGTTACAAATTCTCTGCCACTAATGATCATTACAATTCCTCTTCTCAGCCTGTTTATTGTTTGGTCTGTTTATGGTTTCTCAGGCTTCTTATTTATTTATTTAGACAGAGTCATGCTCTGTTTTCCAGGCTAGAGTGCAGTGGTGTGATCTTGGCTCACTGTAGCCTTGACCTCCTGGGCTTAAGCAATCCTCCCACCTCCGCCACCTGAGTAGCTGGGACTACAGGCGCATGCCACCACCTGCAGCTAATTTCTGTATATTTTGTAGAGATGGGGTTTTGCCACATTGCCCAGGCTGGTCTCGAACTCCTGGGCTCAAGCGATCCAGCCGCCTTGGCCTCCAGAGTGCTGGGATTACAGGTGTGAGCCACCATGCCTGGACTAGGCTTCTTTAAACATTGAATAGTGTTCCTTTCTAGATGAAGGAGGATCACATAGCACTTGGGAGCAAAGATGCAGCCAAGTAACCCAGTGCTGGAGCCCACGATGGAGAAGATCTCACGGCCACTCTGGCCTTGCCCTGGGTGCTTTAGTAACTCGGGAGGAAGGCCACCCAGACACTGCAGGACACCAGCATGCTGAAGGTCAGGAACTTGGCTTCGTTGAAAGCATCAGGCAGGTTCCTTGCCAGAAAGGCTACAGCAAGGGACCCTAAAACCAAGAAGCCCAAGTAGCCCAAGACAGAGTAGAAGGCAGTGACGGAGCCCTCATTACACTGGATAATGATGTAGCCAGGCATGAACTGAGGGTCCTTGTTTACGAAGGGAGGCTCTGTCCCCAGCCAGATTCCACAGAGGGTCACTTGGGTAAAGGAGCAAAGGAAGACAACAGAATTTGTTTTTTGGGGACCCATCCACTTTCGGATCCTGCTTTCTGGCCTTATAGCCTGGAAGGCCCTGCAGAAAACACAGCCACTGTGAACACAGCTGCAAAGGTGGTCTGTGAGAGGAGGCAGGTGGCAGGGCTGGGGCGGCCGATGAAGAGCGAGGAAGAGAGAAAGCAGAGTGTGAGGGAGACAAGGAGGGTGTAGCTCAGAGTCTGGTTGCTGGCCTTGACTATGGGAGTGTTTTGGTGCCACACAAACTCCACAAGGATCAGAACAGAGAGGACAGAGTAGAACAAGGCTGTGCATGCCAGAGTCAGGCCCAAAGTTTCATCATAGGCCAGGAAGGTCTCCTATTTGAGAAGGTATGTTCCCTTTTCTTGTTTGGATAATGATATTCAGGACAAAGCCTGCATTGTTTTATATCTGAAATAAACAAAAAGGGTGTCACTGTCTCCAAAACAGAGCACTGCACGTTTGGTAAGATTCCATTGCCCAGAGCTCTCACCACCACAGCGCCATTTAGGTGGACTGTTTGGCTGGTGTGTGTGTGTGTGTGAGAGTTGTGTGTGTGAGTTGTGTGTGTGCGTGCACGCAAGCATGCGTATATGTGTTCTGCATGTGTTTTAAAGGAAAACATAAATACTTCACCAGCTTTTTTTTTTGACCATTTTAATCAGTTTTATTGATTCATGCTTCCGGTTCTTATTCAGTTCAAAACAAGGCACATTAAATACATCCTCTTATTGCTTTATAAATGCACGTAGCTCATTCTCTATATCAAAAGTAATAAATAATGGCCATAAAACACCAAGACCTTTATAAAAATGACAACCCAGCCTTGAACATAGTATTTAACAGTCCAATCTAGAACAATAACCCAACACGGTACATCAAAGTGCCACATATGAAAACATGCAGTGTGTGTAGTCACTCTAGTACTGAGCTTGCACTGGCTATTCTTTAAAAACATACTAGGGCTTTTTCACTCCTTAAAAAAGGTGGACATGATGCAAACATTGCAAGTTATAGCATCACTGACTTTAATATTACATTTATGTGCCAAAAATCTTTACAGATACATAAGAGAAAATAAAATCAATGATAACACCGTATATTTAATAAAAGTGAAAATGAGTTTTTTGTTGTGCCAAAGAGGAAGCTACATATTTTGAAACAGACAAAGCCAAGCCAGAAACTGAAGCAGAAGAGGGATCACGCATTTAATAGCAGAAATCCTAATACACTCAGTATAAATTGATTGAAAGCAGGAATATTGCAAACAGCATGATGGATATGAGGCAGACCACCGTGGCTAAACAAATAATCCAGCATTATCATTATTGTTATGACTGTGGTGGGGCTATTTAAAGGAGTATCCAACTCTCTAGCACAGATGGGGGTTCCTTCACCTGACTCCCCTTAAAGGCTCTTGAAATAAATCACTTGATAATAAAAGGCAATCCCTGCATACCCACCCCAACCCCAACAGAATCAACTAATGTCAAGTTTATATGCAAATGGAAAATTTTTTCTTTTGTTCTTGGAACGAATTTCAAAGAAGCTCATTCCCCCCTATTTCTTGTCTCCCTTTCTTAAATCAGGTAAGGAAGCTGTACAGGCTTAATTCAGAACTTATGGCTGGGTGCAGTGGCTCACGACTGTAATCCCAGCACTTTGGGAGGCTGAGGTGGGTGGATCACGAGGTCAGGAGTTTGAGACCAGCCTGACCAACATGGTGAAACCCCATCTCTACTAAAAATACAAAAATTAGCCAGATGTGGTGGCGGGTGCCTGTAATCCTCACTACCCGGGGGGCTGAAGCAAAAGAATTGCTTGAACCTGGGAGGCAGAGGTTGCAGTGAGCCGAGATTGCACCACCGCACTCCAGCCTGGGCGACAGACCAAGGCTCCATCTCGGGAAAAAAAAAAAAAAAAAAAAAGAATTTACACAAAATGCTGGGGTGCTTTATTCACAGTAATGGCTTGAAATCAGTTCATTTCCAAACGAGTCTCTGGGATTGGTGAAGGACCGTGTGTTTTAGCATTTAGCAGATTTTAAGTAAAAGCAGATATGCTCAAAAGAAGAAAAGTGTGCTTTTCTTTGTCCTTAAAGGAACTTCATTCATAGCAAAATATGCACAAACAAGACCTGTTTAACAAACACAGATCTGCTCGGGCCAGTCGCATCCTAAGCCCGGTCCCTCCTGTAACTATGGTCCACTGGAATTGGGACTCTTCTGTCGAGGTTCTCTTCTGCAGTTTTCATTAGTATAAAGAGCCGGCTTCCAGACACCCTTCCTTTTTGAATAGCACTCATCAGCTGCAAAAATTCATTGAGTTCAACCTGTCCATTTTTATTCAAATCGACTTCATTTAGAATTTCATGGAGTGTATTTTCATCCATTTGGACATTGATACTCTCTAATACACATGGAACATCAACAATGGTAATAAAGCCTTTCTGGTCTGCATCAGACTTACAAAATCTCTTCTTATACCTGTCACTGTCTGAAGGCAGTAGGCTAATTTCAGAGCCATCTGTTAACTGTTCTGATCAAAGTTTAGTCTGTTTCATAATATAGAAACTTCCTGGTTGTTTCAAGTTGTTCCTGTTTCTTATAATCATCTCAATTCTGTTCTCTGCCCATTAGTTCAACAATCCTGAGTAGGGCTTGCTCTGCTGCCCGGACATTTAGAAAGGCCAGGCGAGGCTGAGGCAGGCAGATCACCTGAGGTCAGGAGTTTGAGACCAGCCTGACCAACATGGAGAAACCCAATCTCTACTAAAAATACAAAATTAGCCAGGCGTGGTGATGTCCTGACCAACATGGAGAAACCTAATCTCTACTAAAAATACAAAATTAGCCAGGGTGGAGACCCAATCTCTACTAAAAATACAAAATTAGCCTGTAACTCCAGGTACTCGGGAGGATGAGGCAGGAGAATCGCTTGAACCCAGGAGGCGGTGATTGCAGTGAGCCGAGATCATACCATTGCACTCCAGCCTGGGTGACAAGAGCGAAATTCTGTCTCAAAAATAATAATAATAATAATAATAAGCCAGGCGAGTACAACGTGAAATCATATCCACGGTGGTGCAGGAATACTCCTTAATCCCATAGTTCACCTCTGCTTCAATATATGGAAATTCTGACACAAGACGTACTCCAACAATAGGCCACCTTTTGCTAGTCACACTTGCCATTGTGGCCACCTCAAAAGCCTTATCACCATAGGTGGCAGCAAGATGCTGTGCCCCCTCGCTTTCAAGTCCATAATCCTGGACAAGCTTCATGTAGAGTGTGGGGTTCCAATCTTTACCCCCTTGAAGGAAAAGCCCAGCTGTTCTACTTGGTCCTGCTTTCAAATTGTGGGTTTTGATAGCAGCATTTAGGGTATCTTCGCCACAGACCGGTAAGTTGTCCACTTTCCACCTGCTGTAGTAATAAGACTTCTCTCACTGACATGGACAACATGATTTCAGGAGATAGACTGAGTATCTGCAGATTTGGGATCTGTAACAAGGGGACGGATACTGCTCCACGCTGCTAGGATGTCGCCCCTCTTCTCACCTCAACATCACAGCTCAGGTAATTACGTGCTTCATTCAAAATGAAGTTAATATCTTCTTCTGAAGGACTTGGATGGTGTGTAATATCAGTTGGGGTATCAGTAGTGCCAGCAATCATCATCTTTTGCCAGGGTAAGAAGAAAATAACTCGCCCATCACTGGTCAAGAAGTCCCATGCCCTCTGGGCTGTAATAACCAGGCATCACAATGTGGACACCAGCAGTTGGCTGGCAGATAGCTGCAGCATCCTTATCATCTATTTTGCACACAGAGTCTGTGAAATGTCCAACGGCATTGATAACACACTTGGCTTTCATGTCAAATTCCTGCCCTGTGAGGACATCCTTGCACCATGCACCACTCACACGCACTTTCGCTGTCTGTCTGGGTGTCTGTCTTCTTAAGCAAGCTCACTACCTCCCTGTCATTGACTGTGGCATCCCCATATCTGGCAGCAGTCAGCACAATGGCAAGGTTCATCCATGCATCGTTATGTCGTCCATCATAGTAGACAATTCCTCCTACCAGTTTGTCCTTCTGGAGCATTGGGAAATGTTCAAGGGCTCTTGATTTGCTGAGGACATAACTGCTTTTCAGGCAATTACTTCCTGCAACCAAATCATACAGCTTGATTCCTACCCAGTAGTAAGGTAACTGCCACCACTTGTAAACTGGAAGCATGATAGGCAATGGAGCTGATAAATGGGGAGAAATTTCTGGCAGGTTGGCACGCTCATCAAGGGCTTCTGTTACCATCCGGTACTGCTCAATATCCAACTTCATCATGGCCTTCTGAAGATATCTCACACCACCATGGATCAAATTAGTGCTTCTGCTGCTGGTCCCTGGTAAGTAATCATCTCTTTCTACAAGGCTGTTTTTAGTCCTCTGGTGACGGCATCTAGTGCACAGCCACTTCCTCTTTCTTCTCCTCCCATAACAAGGATATCAAATTCAGATATATTTTTGCAAAGTCAGTAGCTGAGCGTCTCTGGAAGGAGGCTCCCTGTTAACAGGTTCTGAAATGCAGTCTGCTGCTTCAACATAGACCAGGCTCATTTGTTTCCTTCTGTAATAAGCAAACTGAGAAAGTCCTAAAACAGTTGCAAGAGCACCTCCTTCAACAAGAATTGTCCCTTTCACTGCCTTTTGAAAGGCCATTTCTTAGCCTGAGGACTTCTCATTGTCTGCCGCCAGATCTGGCTTCCCCTATTCCACACCTCTCAGCCGGCAGGCTTCCCTAGGCCTACAAATTTGTCCAGGAGGCGGGCGACCCCGCAACCCCACCATCAGAGCTCAGAGCCCTCGCCTGGCTTTACACTTCACCAGCTTTTCCAGTAATACTGGGGGCAAAATATCCTGGAAAAACTTCCACTACAGTGTCTTTAATAATTGTGGATCTTACCTCTCTGTTCATCTCTGTCTCTATCTCATGTAAACGCGTTCCCTCCCTGCCCAATCTATCTCTCGCCATCTTGATATCTATCTATAGATACAGACATGTAGTCGCCTCTCAGTATGTCTGTAGGGGATTAGTTCTAGGATCATCTCAGGCACCAAAATCTCAGGCTGCTCAAGTCCACTGCATAAAATGAAGTACTATTTGCATATAACCTAGCACTTACTCCTGTATACTTTAAATCATCTCTAGATTACATATAATACCTAATACAATGTAAATGCTATGTAAATAGTTGTTAGACTCTCTTGGTTTTTAAATTAGTATTATTTTTATTGGTTTCTTTTTTTTTTTTTTTTTTTTGAGACAGAGTCTCGCTCTGTCGCCCAGGCTGGAGTGCAGTGGCGCGATCTCTGCTCACTGCAAGCTTCGCCTCCCGGGTTCACGCCATTCTCCTGCCTCAGCCTCCCAAGTAGCTGGGATTACAGGTGCCCGCCACCACGCCCGGCTAATTTTTTATATTTTCAGTAGAGACGGGGTTTCACCTTGTTAGCCAGGATGGTCTCGATCTCCTGATCTCATGATCCACCTGCCTCGGCCTCCCAAAGTGCTGGGATTACAGGCGTGAGCCACCGCGCCCGGCCTTGGTTTCTTAAAAATATTTTTTGGAGACCGGCTTCTTGCTCTGTCACTCAGAGTGCGCTGGCACAATCACAGCTCACTGCAGCCTCAACCTCCCAGGCTCAAGTGATCCTCCCACCTCAGCCTCCTGAGTAGCTGGGACTAGGTGCATAGTTTATTTTTTGTAGAGACAAGGTCTCACCATGTTGCCCAGGCTGATCTCAAACTCCTGGACTCAAGTGATCCTTCTGCCTTGGCCTGCCAAAGTGCTGGGATTACAGGTGTGAGCTACTGTGCCTGGCAAAAAAATATGTTTGATCCCAGGTTTGTTGAATTTATGGATGCAGAACCCTGAGGCAGAACTTTTTTTTTTTTTTTTTTTTGAGACAGCGTTTCACTCTTATTGCCCAGGCTGGAGTACAATGGTATGATCTCGGCTCACTGCAACCTCCGCCTCCCGGGTTCAAGCGATTCTCCTGCCTCAGCCTCCCAAGTAGCTGGGAGTACAGGCATGCGCCACCACAGCCTGCTAATTTTGTATTTTTAGTAGAGATGGGGTTTCTCCATGTTGGTCAGGCTGGTCTCAAACTCCTGACCTCAGGTGATCCACCCGCCTCAGCCTCCCAAAGTGCTGGGATTACAGTCATGAGCCACCATGCCTGGCCGGCAGAACTTTTTTTTTTATAGATACATAATAGTTATATATATTGTGGGATCAGTGGTATTTTGATGCATGCATACAATGTCTAATGATAAACCAGGACAATTGGGACTCCATCACCCCAAACCTGCACCCTTTCTTTATGTTGGAAACATTTCAATTCCTCCCCTCCAGCAACTTTAAATCATACAACAAATTATTGTTAACTATAGTTGCCCTGCTGTACTACTGAACAGTAGATCTTATTCATTCTATCCAACTGTATTTTTGTGCCCACAAAACAACCTCTCTCCTTTCCCCCTCTATTCATAGCCTCCGGTAACCACCAATCAACTCTCTAATTCCATGAGATCCATGTTTTTAGCTCCCACATATGAGTGAGAAGATGGAATATTTGTCCATCTATTCCTGGCTTATTTCACTTAACATAATGTCCTCCAATTCTATCCATGTTGCAGCAAATAACATTTTATTCTTTTTTATGGCTGAATAATATTCCATTGTGTATATGTATCATATTTTGTTCTTCAGTTGGTCAAGAGGTATATGAAACTCTGTTCAACATCAGCACATCAGGGAAATGCAAATCAAAACCACAATGAGAAATTATCTCACTCCAGTTAAAATGGCTTTTATCAGAAAGCCAAAAAATAATGGATGCTGGTGAGGATGCAGAGTAAGGGGAACCCTCGTACAATGTTGGTGGGAAAGTAAATTAGTACAGCCACTATGGAAAACTGTGGTGGTTCATCAAACAACTAAAAATAGAATCCCCATGTGACTGGCATTCCCACTGCTGTGTACATGTTCAAAAAAAAAAAAAAAAAAGGAAGTTAGTAGGTCAAAAAGATATCTGCCCTCCCACATTTACTGACACAAATTTCTGAGGGCCTGTGGAGGAAAAGTTAAATATTAAGTTTGAATTCAATTGAACATGGCCACAAACAATGGTCACCAAGTCCTGGAACAGGTTGTGTGAGCCCCTTGAGGCATTCACCCAGCACTGTTTTGGAGAACTGTCTATTTCAATCTATTCCTATACATTAGTTATTGAAAAACAATAGACAACCACAAAAAAAAGTTGACCTTTTTGTGTTCCTTGAGCCCAGTCGTGAAGGGCCCTTGTGACTGGGCCTCATGTCAAACAACTCCTTACAAAAAGAACTAGGGTCCCAGACTGCGTTGAAGCTTCATGAGACCTCTCATTTTCTGTGCATGGACGAGTGTCTGACTCTGGAGCCTAGGCTGTTGCTTCCCAGCCTGGTGGTGAATCCTCCATAGTCTGGTGAGTGTAAATAGATGTATATCTTTTCCCTTCTTCCCTCCCCATTGCAATTTGCTTATTATATCCATTTGCTTATTATATAATTTGCTTATTCTATCTACATTGCCATTTACGTGGGATAAAGGTTGTTTACCCTTAAAGGTATTGTGTGTGTGTCTTTTCTTCTCCCCTCACACGTTTCCCACACAGAATGGGGCCCCTCCCCAGAAACTGTCTTCCTTCCTAATGTCCCGCTTTATGGGAGCTCAGTTCAAGATGAGATTTGGGTGGGGACACAGCCAAACCATATCAATGACTGCTTTGTTTGGCCCAGATTCCAGTTGTATCTACTGGGAGAGGAATTATCCCCTGAAAGAGAACAGGGAGGTCATGGGGCTTAGCTTGCTAGGTTCCCTTCTTGTGTGAATTTCACTCTTGCATGACCTTTTATCCCTGCCTGAAAACTGTTGCCAGATAGAATGCATCCAGGTTTGTTGTTTTCTGTATCAGGAAGTCCAGTCTAGCACCAGTCACTCTGTCATCACCAGAAGTAGACACTTAAAAAAAAAAATAGCGTTTGAAGGGGTTAAGGAGGGAGAATTCATTAGATTAGTGAGGCAGATATACTGGTTATCTGTTGTTGTTGTTGTTGTTGCTGTTTTCAGGATTTCAGGGCCTAGATTTTATGACAAGAAATATTTCAAGAGGATTAGAGTGTGGTGTTAAAGAATTAAGAAGACAATATATATTGAGTGCCTTTTGCCAGCTTTGAGTTTTGATTAACAAAAAATTACATATATTTAGAGTGTACAATGGGATGTCTTGATGTATGTATATATTGTGGTTTTTTTTTTTGAGATGGAGTCTTGCTCTGTTGCCCAGGCTGGAGTGCAGTGGTGTGATCTCCGCTCACTGCAAGCTCCACCTCCCGGGTTCACGCCATTCTCCTGCCTCAGCCTCCTGAGTAGCTGGGACTACAGGCCCCCGCCACCACGCCCAGCTAATTTTTTTTTTTGTATTTTTAGTAGAGACGGGGTTTCACCGTGTTAGCCAGGATGGTCTCGATCTCCTGACCTCGTGATCGGCCCGCCTCGGCCTCCCAAAATGCTGGGATTACAGGCGTGAGCCACCACGCCTGGCCTGATATACGTATATATTGTAAAATGTCTAAAACAAGCTAATAAATATATCCACATCTCACAGTTACCATTGTGTGTGTGTGTGTGTGTGTGTGTGTGTGTGGTGAGAACATTTGAGATAACTCTTGAAAAATTTCAAGTACACATTAGGATTCTCTATGTTCACCATGCTATACATTAGGTCTCTAACAGTATTTCATCTTATAGCTGAAAGTTTCTGCCCTTAGACAAGCATCTCCCCAATCCCCCAACCCTCCACCCCTGGTAACTGCCATTCTACTCTCTGTTACTACTCTCTGAGTTTGACTTTTTAATATTCCACATATAAATGGGAATCACGCAGTATGTGGCTCTCTGTGCGTGGCTTATTTCACTTCCCATAGTGTACCGCTGGGTGCCTTTCAGTACTGGGCGATTAACTGCAAATGACACCCCCACCCACACATGCTCTCACGTAAATGTGCGGCATCTCTCCCTCCACTTCACTAATGGTACAAATCCCACTAGATCTCGAGTCTCCTCTGCTTTGATTTCCATCATGGGCCCTAATATGCAACATATTGATGCGCTGCTCATAATCAATCATGCCAAGTCTTCTTCATGCCTGTGGCTTCCTCTTCAACACATAAAGAAACCAGCCTTGAGCAGAACATAGCAGCTGAAAGACACTCCTTACACTTTGCTCTGTACCCATCATTCACTCATCCAGCAAACATTCACTCAGTGCTATATGCTGACCCACCTACAATGCCCTTCACGAGTTGAGGTTGTGCTTAACCTCAAAATAGTCATGTGACACTTACATGAATATAGAAAAGCTACAGTGATTTTTTTTTTTTGTTAGAGATAGAGTCTAATTTCAGGTGTCCATTAGGATTTACTACATTCGTCATGCTATATATACATTAGGTCTCTAATGTCACCCAGGCTGGAGTGTAGTGACACGATCATGGCTCACTCCAGCCTCAAACTCCTGGGCTCAAGCAATACTCCTGCCTCAGCCTCCCAAGTAGCTAGGACTAAAGGTGCATCCCACCGCACCTGGCTATGTTTTTTATTCTTTATAGAAATGGGGTCTTGCTATATTTCTCAGGCTGGTCTCGAACTCCTGGCCTCAAGCAATTCTCCCATCTCACCTCCCAAAGTGGGGGATTACAAGTGTGAGCCATAGCACCTGGCCAACTGCAATGATTTTAATTATAAATATATATATTTATTAATAATACATTTACTATGTTTATATATTATGTTTTATAATGTACATGTTAAATATGTATACCATATAAGTCATACACATATTGAATATAAATATGCACATTATATTAAATGACATTAAATATATACAAATATCTTATATGTATGATATATAATTTTACATCCCAAAATGCATATTTTACAATATAAGTGCATGCATATCTTATACTATCTAGGTATAAATGTATTTTATGTATTCTATACAAATACTATACAATACATAAATTTATGTATATATTCAATTTTACACATCTACTAATATATGTAATCTATTTTGTTTTTACATGTGTATTTACATACACATGCGATACATATGCACTGTAGTTCATGTATTACATATGCATAGTTGTGTGTTATATGTAGTATTACATAAGTATCCATACGTGTATATATTTCCCATGTAAATGAATATGTGTAGTATAGATAATTCATATATATCAAAATATGATAGTATACATGATATATTCACATTAGTACATATTTTGATACATATACATTATAAACCTTACATACATTTATATTATGAAGTATATCCACATAGTTAGAAGTAGCTTAATAATAAACTCAACATTTATGGTAGTGGTCATGTATGGGAGTAGCACAGTGAAGGGAGAAAGAGAGAAGCATGGATGGACAGGAGAAGTGATCAGTGTTTACTCCTTAGGTGGATGGGGATGTTTTTGGTAGTTCATCATTTTACTATGTTTTATAACTGACATGTATGTTGCAAGTTGTTTTTTCAACATATTGAATACTTCCAAAGATACAATTATAAAGAAAAATGCTGTCACAGAATGCAAACTTCCTGTTTTAAAAATTTTACTATTTTATTATAAAATAATTTTAGTTTTATGACATTAAAAAAACATATTTGTGGCCAGGCGCAGTGGCTCATGCCTGTGATCCCAGCACTTTGGGAGGCCTAGGCAGGTGGATCACGAAGTCAGGAGTTTGAGACCAGCCTGACCAACATGGTGAAACCCCATCTCTACTAAATACAAAAATTAGCTGGGCATGGTGGTGCGCACCTGTAATCCCAGCTACTTAGGAGGCTTAGGCAGGAGAATCACTTGAACCGAGGATTGCAGTGAGCTGAAATCACACCATTGCACTCCAGCCTGGGCTACAGAGCATGACTCTGACTCAAAAAAAAAAAATTGTTCCAAAAAATGGGTAAAATATGGTAAAGAAGATAATCACATAAACCAAATGTGGGTCAAAGAAGAAATATGGCCAGGCGCGGTGGCTCATGCCTGTAATCCCAGCACTTTGGGAGGCCGAGGCAGGTGGATCATGAGGTCAGGAGATCGAGACCACGGTGAAACCCCATCTCTACTAAAAATACAAAAAAAAAAAATTAGCTGGGCATGGTGGCGGGCATCTGTAGTCCCAGCTGCTGGGGAGGCTGAGGCAGGAGAATGGCGTGAACCCAGGAGGCGGAGCTTGCAGTGAGCCGAGATGGCGCCACTGCACTCCAGCCTGGGCGACAGAGCGAGACTCCGTCTCAAAAAAAAAAAAAAATAAATAAATAAATAAATAAAAGAAATGTAACAGAAATTTTAAAAATAATTTGACCTTGGCTGGGCATGGTGGCTCATACCTGTAATCCCAGCATTTAGGGAGGCCAAGGTGGATGGATCAGTTGAGGCCAGAAGTATGAGACCAACCTGGCTAACATGGCGAAACCCCGCCTCTACTAAAAATACAAAAATTAGCTGGGCGTGGTGCCATATGCCTGTAAACACAGCTACTTAAGAGGCTGAGGCACGAGAATCAGTTGAATCTGGGAGGCAGAAGTTGCAGTGAGCCGAGATCGTGTCACTGTACTCCAGCCTGGGTGACAGAGCCAGGCTCTGTCTCAGAAAACAAAAACAAAAACAAACAAACAAACAAAAGTTGAACTAAATAAAAATGAAGTTACAACTTACCAGATTTGTAGGATGAAGCAAAAGAAATGCTAAGAGGGAAATAGGAGAGTTATAGTATTAAGTATATCAGTAAAGAAGATAATTCTATATTCAATAGTCTATGTTTATACCTTAGGAAACTAGAAAAAGTACTGTATTCTGTACTCTAATCCCAAAGCAAGCAGAAGAAATAATAATAATAATTGGAGTAGAAATTATTGAAATTGAAAATAGAAAAATAGAGAAAGTCAACATCTAAATATTCCTTGAAATAGTCAATACAATTTAAAAAACATAAAAAAAAAGTTTTTCATGATAATTTACTTTCTCACATCTTGGTAGGTCAAATATCTTATTTTGTTCTTTGTGTATCACCATTGTAATCTGGGTAGTTTATTTATCCCAACAATGAATGTTTTTATTTTTAAAAAATTTTTATTTCAAAACTAATTTCCACTTTAGGTTCATGGAATACATGAGTAGGTGTGTTACTTAGGTATGTTGCATGATGCTGAGGTTTGATGATTGATCCTGTCACTCAGATAGAAAGCACAGTACCCAATAGTTTTTCAGCCCTTGCCTCTTGTCTTGCTTCTCCCCTCTGGTACTCCCCAGTGTCTACTGTTCCCATCTTTATGTCCATGTGTGCTCAGTGTTTAACTTCCACTTATAAGTGAGAACATGCAGTGTTTGGTTTTCTGTTCCTGTGTTAATTCACTTAGGATAATGGTTTCTACCTGCATCGATGTCACTGCAAAGCACAAGATTTTGTTCCGTTTTATGACTGCATAGTATTCCATGGTGTATATGTACCACATTTTCTTTATCCAATCCACTAATAATGGGCAGCTATGTTGATTTCACATCTTTGCTTTTGTGAATAGCGCTGCAATGAACATATGGGTGCATGTGTCTTTTTGGTACAAAAATTTATTTTCTTTTGGATATAAAACCAGTAATGAATTGCTGGGTCAAAGGATAGTTCTGTTTTAAGTTCTTTGAAAAATCTCCAAACTGCTTTTCATAGTGGCTGAACTAATTTACATTCCCACCACAGTGTATAAGCATTCCCTTTTCTCAGTAGCCTTGCCAGCATCTCTTGTTTTTTTTACTTTTTAATAATAGTCATTTTGACTGGTGTAAGATGGCATCTCATTATTGTGGTTTTGACTTTCATTTCTCTGACGACTAGTAAAGTTAAGCATTTATTCATGTTTGTTGGCTGCTTGTTTTCTTTTGACAAGTGTCTGTTTACATCTTTTGCCTACTTTTAAGGGGGTTACTTTATTTTTGCTTGTTTAGTTGTTTACTTTTTATGTTGATTCTGAATATTAGACCTTTTTTGATGCAGTTTTTGAATATTTTCTCCCATTCTATAGGTGGTCTGTTACTCTGTTATTAGTTTCGTTTGCTGTGTAATTAGATCCAATTTGTCATTTTTTTGTTGCAATAGCTTTTGAGAACTTAGTAATAAATTTTTTTCCAAAGCCAATCTTCAGAATGGTGTTTCCTAGGTTTTCTTCTAGACATCTCTTAGATTGAGGTCTTACATTTAAATCTTTAATTCTTCTTGAGTTAATTTTTGTATATGGTGAAATGTAGGGGTCCAGTTGCATTCTTCTGCATATGCCTAGCCAGCAATCTCAGCACCATTTATTAAATAGGTAGTTCTTCACCATTGTTTTTCTGTTGTTGCCATTGTCTAAGGTCAGATGGCTGTAGGTGTGTGGCTTAATTCTGGGTTCTGTTTTTTGTTCCATTGATCTATGTCTGTTTTTGCATGCTGTTTTGCTTATCGTAGTCTTGTGGTACAGTTTGAAGTCAAGTAATGTGATGCTTCCAGCTTTGTTTTTGTTGTTGTTTAGAATTGCTTTGACAATTCAGGCTATTCTTTGGTTTTAGATGAACTTTAGAGTAGTTTTTTTCTAGTTCTGTGAAAAAAGATGTTAGTAGCTTGATAGGATTGGCGTTGAATATGTAATTGCTTTGAGCAGTATGGCCATTTTAACAATATTGATTCTTACAATTAATGAACATGGAATGCTTTTCCATTAATTTTTGTCATCTATTATTTTTTTCAGCAGTGTTCTGTAGTTCCCCTGGTAGAGATGTTTCACCTTCTTGGTTATATATAGTCTAGGCTTTTTTTTTTTCTTTCAGCTATTGTAAATGGAATTGCATTCTTTTTTTTTTTTTTTTTTTTTTTTTTTGAGACGGAGTCTCGCTCTGTCACCCAGGCTGGAGTGTAATGGTGTGATCTCGGCTCACTGCAACCTCTGCCTCCTGGGTTCAAGCAATTCTCCCGCTTCAGCTTCCTGAGTAGCTGACATTACAGGCACCCGCCATCATGCCCGGCTAATTTTTGTATTTTGGTAGAGATGGGGTTTCGTCAGTTGGCCAGGCTGGTCTTGAACTCCTGACCTCAGGTGGTCCACCCGCCTCGGCCTCCCAAAGTGCTGGGATTACAGGTGTGAGCCACTGCGCCCAGCCTAGTATTTCAAAGAATTTTTTTTATTTCTCCCTTAATTTCATTGTTTACCTAAAAGTCATTCAGGAGCAAGTTATTTAATTTCCATGTTATTGTGTGGTTTTGAGAGATCTTGGTATTGATTTCTATTTTTATTGCACTGTGGTCCAAGGGTATGGCTGCCATGATTTTTATTTTTTTTAATTGATTGAAACTTGCTTTAGGCTGAGCTTGTTGTCCATGTGTTCCATGTGCAGATGAGAAGAATGTGCACTCTGTAGTTGTGGCTTCAGTGTTCTGTAAATGTCTATTAGGGCCAATTGGTCAAGTGTCAGATTTAAGTCCAGGTTTCTTTGTTAGTTTTCTGCTCTGATGATCCGTCTAATGCTGTCAGTGGGGTGTTGAAGTCCCCTACTATTATTGTGTGGATGAGTCTTTTCATAGATCTAGAACTACGGCTTTATGAAGCTGGGTACTCTAATGTGGGGTACGTATGTATTTAGATAGTTAAGTCTTCTTATTAAATTGAGGTCTTTATCATTATGAAATGTTTTTCTTCATACTTTTTTATTTTTGTTGTTTTAAAGTCTGTTTTGTCTGATCTAAGAATATCTACCCCTGCTCTTTTTTGTTTTCCATTTGTATGATTTTCTTCCAACCTTTTACTTTGAGCCGTATGGGTGTTGTCACATGTGAGATGGATCTCTTGATAACAGCAGACAAATGAGTCTTTCTTTTTAAAATCAAACTTGCCACTCTACGCCTTTTGAGTAAGGCATTTAGGCCATTTATATTCTAGGTTAATAGTGATATGTGAGGTTTTCATCCTTTCATGAAGTTGTTGCCTAGTTGCTTTGTAGGTTTTTATTGGGTGGTTGCTTTATAGGATCTGAGGACCATATACTTAAGTGTATTTTTATGGTAGCAGGTATTGTTCCTTTGTTTCCATGTCTAGAATTCCCTTAAGGATTTCTTGTAAGGCTGGTCTAGTGGTAACAAATACCCTTATTGCTTGCTTGTCTGTAAAATATTTTATTTCTTCTTTGCTTTTGAAGCCTAGTTTGGTGTGACATAAAATTCTTTGTTGGAATTTCTTTTCTTTCAGAATGCTGAAAATAGGCCTTCAATCCCTTCCAGCTTGCAAGGTTTCTGCTGAGAAGTCTGCTGTTGGTCTGATGGAGTTCCCTTTGTGCATAATCTAACATTTTTCTGTAGCTGTCTTTAAGATTTTTTTTTTTTAGTATTGATGGTAGACAGTGTGGTGACTATGTCTTGGTGATGTCTGTTTCGTATAGTATCTCCCAGGTGTTCTCTGGATTTCTTCTATCTGGATGTCTACCTCTCCAGCAAGATTAGGGAGATTTTCTTAAATTATTCTCTCAAATATGTTTTCCAGGTCATTTACCTTTTCTCCTTCTCTCAGAAATGTCATTAATTCATAAGTTTGGTCACTTTATATAATCCCATCTTTCTCAAAGACTTTATTTTTTTTTTAATTCTTTTTTTTGTTTGAGTTTCTTCAAAAGACCAGACTTCAATTCCGAAATTCGTTCTTCTGCTTGCTCCAGTCTATTGATAAAGCTTTTAATTGTATTTTGAAATTCCTTAATTGAGCTTTTCAATACCAGAAGCTCTGACTGATTTCTTTTTGACATGTTTATCTCTTCCTTCATTTACTAGATTGCTGTAGAAATATTTGTGTTGATTTTGAACCTTGCCTTGGGTGTTGCTGAGCTTCCTTGCAATGCATGCTTTGAATTTTTTGAGAGCTTCTCTTAGTAAACAATAATAAAGTATATACCTAGTGACATTGGCCACAGCCATCTCTTATTCATGCATGCCATCTGCTGGTAGTATGCCAAACTGCACAATAGCTCAATATAAAGCCAGACATGAGAAGAGTCCATAGGGCTATAAAAGCAAAGCCAAAAGATGGTAGCAAACATACTGTATGCTCACACCTTCTAGGGAGACAGGGGAAAGGAAAAAGAAAAATATATATATATATATAAGAATCTTGTCTGCATGAAAATAATTACAAAAATTAGGAATGCCAACATCTCCAGATGAGAAGAAGCCATTGTAAGAATTCTGGCATCATGAAAAATCTGAATGTTGTGACACCACTGAAAGATTACACTAGCTCTTCAGCAATGATCCCTAACCAAAATGGAAAATAAGAGATTACAGATTTAAAAATTCAAAGCATGCATTCCAAGATGGACAAGTCTGGAATGGGCAGGCCCATGTACAGGCTTCCTGATAGCAGACACAAGCACCAGTGTCAACCATGTACCCAGAGGTGTGACTAGCCATGGAGATCAGATAGGAAACCTCCTTGGCTCCAAGTTCTCTGCATAGAGTGGGGTGTTCTAGATGCCTGGAGGTCTGCCTGGGCTTGGACTATAGACCACCCCACTGCACCACAATCTCTGCAAAGAAAGGGTGGGGTGGCTCACAGACTGCCTATTTTATCACATCTCTACCATTTGGTGATGATCTGATCTTGCACAAATTATTTTATTATTATTTTTAAATTTTTTATTTTGTTCACTTTTCCAACATGATGTATCAGTTACATTGACATAACCATTTATTTTTATTTTTTATTTCTGTGGGTACATAGTAGGTGTATATGTTTATGGGTTACATGAAATATTTTGATATAAGCATGCAATGCATAATAATCACATCAGGATAAATGGGGTATCCATCACCCCAAGAATTTATTTTTTGTGTTACAAACACAAATATAGAGCTCCCAGAGGAATGGGCAGAATTCCATCTTTGCTATTTCTCAGCCTTCACTGGTGATACCTCCAGGTACTGGAAAATCTGAGATGACTAGGGACTGGAGAGGACTCCTAGCAAACCACAGCAGCCCTATAGAAAAGTGGCCAAATTATTAAAAGAAAAAAATACTCATCCAAAGGTCAGCAACTTCAAATATTAAAGGTAGGTAAGCCCACAAAGATGAGAAAAAAATCAGCACAAGAATGGTGAAAACACAAAAAGTCAGAGTGCCCTCTTTTCTCCAAATGACCACATCACCTCTCCAGCAAGGGTTTGAAACTGGGCTGAGATGGCTGAAATGACAGAAGTAGACTTCAGAATACGGATAAAAACAAACTTCACTGAGCTAAAGTATCATGTTTTAACCCAATGCAAGGAAGCTAAAAAGTCATGATAAAGCATTGCATGAGCTGACAGACAAAATAGCCAGTGTAGAGAAGAATGTAACCAGCCTGACAGAACTGAAAAACACAATAAAAGAATGTTAAAATGCAATCACAAGTATTAATAGCAGAATAGACCAAGCAGAGGAAAGAATCTCAGAGCTTGAAGACTGCCTTTCTGAAATAAGATAGGTAGACAAGGATAGAAAAAAAAAAAAGAATGAAAAGGAATAACCAAACCTCCAAGAAATATGGGATTGTGTAAAGAGAACAAATCTATGTCTGGTGTACCCAAAAGAGATGGGGATAATGGAACCAATTTGGAAAACATATTTTAGGATATCATCCATGATAACTCCCCCAACCTAGCTAGCCAGGCCAACATTTCCATTTGCTTGGTAGATCTTCCTCCATCCCTTTATTTTGAGCCTATGTGTGTCTCTGCATGTGAGATGAGTTTCCTGAATACAGCACACTAATGGGTCTTGACTCTTTATCCAATTTGCCAGTCTGTGTCTTTTAATTGGAGCATTTAGCCCATTTACATTTAAGATTAATATTGTTATGTGTGAATTTGATCCTGTCATTATGATGTTAGCTGGTTATTTTGCTCATTAGTTGATGCAGTTTCTTCCTAGCCTTGATGGTCTTTACAATTTGGCTTGTTTTTGCAGTGGCTGCTACCAGTTGTTCCTTTCCATGTTTAGTGCTTCCTTCAGGAGCTCTTTTAGGGCAGGCCTGGTGGTGACAAAATCTCTCAGCATTTGCTTGTCTGTAAAGTATTTTATTTCTCTTTCACTTATGAAGCTTAGTTTGGCTGGATATGAAATTCTGGGTTGAAAATTCTTTTCTTTAAGAATGTTGAATATTGGCCCCCACTCTCTTCTGGCTTGTAGAGTTTCTGCCGAGAGATCGCTGTTAGTCTGATGGGCTTCCCTTTGTGGGTAACCCGACCTTTCTCTCTGGCTGCCCTTAACATTTTTTCCTTCATTTCAACTTTGGTGAATCTGACAATTATGTGTCTTGGAGTTGCTCTTCTCAAGGAGTATCTTTGTGGCATTCTCTGTATTTCCTGAATTTGAATGTTGGCCTGCCTTGCTAGATTGGGGAAGTTCTCCTGGATAATATCCTGCAGAGTGTTTTCCAACTTGGTTCCATTCTCCCCGTCACTTTCAGGTACACCAATCAGACGTAGATTTGGTCTTTTCAGATAGTCCCATATTTCTTGGAGGCTTTGTTCATTTCTTTTTACTCTTTTTTCTCTGAACTTCTCTTCTCGCTTCATTTCATTAATTTCATCTTCCATTGCTGATACTCTTTCTTCCAGTTGATCGCATCAGCTACTGAGGCTTGTGCATTCGTCACGTAGTTCTCATGCCGTGGTTTTCAGCTCCATCAGGTCCTTTAAGGACTTCTCTGCATTGGTTATTCTAGATAGCCATTCGTCTAATTTTTTTTCAAAGCTTTTAACTTCTTTGCCATTGGTTCGAACTTCCTCCTTTAGCTTGGAGTAGTTTGATCTTCTGAAGCCTTCTTCTCTCAACTCGTCAAAGTCATTCTCCATCCAGCTTTGTTCCGTTGCTGGTGAGGAGCTGCATTCCTTTGGAGGAGGAGAGGTGCTCTGATTTTTAGAGTTTCTAGTTTTTCTGCTCTGTTTTTTCCCCATCTTTGTGGTTTTATCTACCTTTGGTCTTTGATGATGGTGACGTACAGATGGGTTTTTGGTGTGGATGTCCTTTCTGTTTGTTAGTTTTCCTTCTAACAGTCAGGACCCTCAGCTGCAGGTCTGTGGAGTTTGCTGGTGGTCCACTCCAGACCCTGTTTGCCTGGGTATCAGCAGCAGTGGCTGCAGAACAGCGGATATTGGTGAACCGCAAATGCTGCTGCCTGATCATTCCTCTGGAAGTTTTGTCTCAGAGGAGTACCCAGCCGTGTGAGGTGTCAGTCTGCCCCTACTGGGGGGTGCCTCCCAGTTAGGCTACTCGGGGGTCAGGGACCCACTTGAGGAGGCAGTCTGCCTGTTCTCAGATCTCAAGCTGCATGCTGGGAGAACCACTACTCTCTTCAAAGCTGTCAGACAGGGACATTTAAGTCTGCAGATGTTACTGCTGCCTTTTGTTTGTCTGTGCCCTGCCCCCACAGGTGGAGCCTACAGAGGCAGGCAGGCCTCCTCGAGCTGTGGTGGGCTCCACCCAGTTCGAGCTTCCCGGCCACTTTATTTACCTACTCAAGCCCCGGCAATGGCAGGCGCCCCTCCCCCAGCCTCACTGCTGCCTTGCAGTTTGATCTCAGACTGCTGTGCTAGCAATGAGCGAGGCTCTGTGGGTGTAGGACCCTCCAAGCCATGTGTGGGATATAATCTCCTGGTGTGCCGTTTGTTAAGCCCATTGGAAAAGTGCAGTATTAGGGTGGGAGTGACCCGATTTTCCAGATGCCATCTGTTACCCCTTTCTTTGACTAGGAAAGGGAATTCCCTGACCCCTTGTGCTTCCCAGGTGAGGCGATGCCTCGCCCTGCTTCAGCTCATGCACAGTGCACTGCACCGCACCCACTGTCCTGCACCCACTGTCCGGCACTCCCCAGTGAGATGAACCCAGTACCTCAGTTGGAAATGCAGAAGTCACCTGTCTTCTGCGTCACTCATGCTGGGAGCTGTAGACTGGAGCTGTTCCTATTCAGCCATCTTGGCTCCACCCGCCCTGTACTTTCATTTATAACTTGCTTGTTTTACTTAACAATGCCTCCTGGAAATTATTCCTTAACAGGTGTGAAGTTTATCTAGTTCTGTGTGTGTGCGTGTGCAGGTACATGTTGCTTTACATCCTGGTCAATATTTAGTGATTACAGATTTGTAAGTTTTTCTTTTATTCTGCAAAGTAATATGCTATTTCGTGGCTTTTTAATTTGCATTTTTGATTACTAGTTAGGCTTAGCATCTTCTTTTTTAAAACTGAAGACTAGTGAAAGTTGAATCCTGGAAGAGGGGAGAGTATAACAAGATAAATCTGTTACTGTGAAAAATTAATTGTGACAACTCAATACCTTCCAATGAGCCCAGAATCTTCTTATTCACTGGATATTCAGGTTTGCTTCTGTAAGTAACTTGCCAATATCTCATTTTTTTTTTGAAACAAGTTGTTTAATATTTATTGATTTTTCAGGAGCACTTTACACAATTAGCTTACAAATTCTCTACCACTAATAAGCATTATAGTCCCTCCTCTTAATCTAAATATAGTATAGTCCTTCTGTTTATGGTTTCTCAGCTTCTTCTTTAGGCATTGAAGACTGTTCCTTTCTGGGTGAAGGAGAATCACGTAGCAATTGGGAGCAAGATGCATCCATGTAACCCAGTACTGGAGGTCAAGATGGAGACAATCTCCACAGCCACCATGGCCTTTCCCTGAGTGCTACTATAACTCAGGAGGAAAGCCACCCAGATACTGCAGAACACCAACATGCTGAAGGTGAGACATTTGGTTTCATTGAAGATGTCAGGCGGGTTACTTTCCAGGAAGACTACAGCAAAGGTCCCCAGAACCAAGAAGCCCAAATAGCTCAAGACACAGTAGAAAACAGTGATAGAGCCCCCATTACACTGGATGATGATTATACCAGGACTATGGGTCTTTGTCTAGGGAGGAAGGAGATGTTTCCAACTAGATTCCAGAGATGGTCACTTGGATGAGGGGGCAAAGGTGACAACAGAATGAGATTTTAGGGTACCCAACAGGACCTTGGGTCCTGGCTGGCCTTGTAGCTTTCCCATCCTGCTAGCTGGCCTTGTAGCTTGGAAGGCCATGACCACAGTGAAAGTTTTGGCTGAAGCAGAAGACACAGCCACTGTGAACTGAACTGAAAAGGTGGCCTGTTCCCAGGGTTCAAAGCATATATGGAAGGAGAAAGCTTGACAGTGACGTAATGTATTTGGAGTGCAAAAATGCCTGCAGGGAATTCATTCTAAATGGGGAGAAATACAGAACAGGCCTTAGGAACAATGTGACCTGGGCATTGTCATCTTTTCATTGTAACTAATTACAGACTGCACTGGATTTGTGAGACATATGACAGCAAACCTTTTCTGTAAAGGGTAATAAATATTTACAGTTTGCAAACCAGAAGGTGTCTGTGGCAACTATTCAAGTCTTCTCTTGCAGATTGAAAGCCACTGTAAGCAATATGCAAAGGAGCAGTTGTAGCCGTATTTAGCAATATGCAAAGGAGCAGCTGTAGCCATATTTAGCAATATGCGAAGGAGCGGCTGTAGCCGCATTTAGCAATATGTGAAGGAGCGGCTGTAGCCGCATTTAGCAATATGTGAAGGAGCGGCTGTAGCCGCATTTAGCAATATGTGAAGGAGCGGCTGTAGCCGCATTTAGCAATATGTGAAGGAGCGGCTGTAGCCGCATTTAGCAATATGTGAAGGAGCGGCTGTAGCCGCATTTAGCAATATGTGAAGGAGCGGCTGTAGCCGCATTTAGCAATATGTGAAGGAGCGGCTGTAGCCGCATTTAGCAATATGTGAAGGAGCGGCTGTAGCCGCATTTAGCAATATGTGAAGGAGCGGCTGTAGCCGCATTTAGCAATATGTGAAGGAGCGGCTGTAGCCGCATTTAGCAATATGTGAAGGAGCGGCTGTAGCCGCATTTAGCAATATGTGAAGGAGCGGCTGTAGCCGCATTTAGCAATATGTGAAGGAGCGGCTGTAGCCGCATTTAGCAATATGTGAAGGAGCGGTTGTAGCCGCATTTAGCAATATGTGAAGGAGCGGTTGTAGCCGCATTTAGCAATATGTGAAGGAGCGGTTGTAGCCGTATTTAGCAATATGTAAAGGAGGAATTGCAGCCATATTTAGCCTGTGGGCCAAGATTTGCCTGCCCTTGCTCTAGATGACTTAGAGAACTCAACACCTGCCCACACTGACCCTTCCAATCTGTTCCTGGGGATTGTCTGATACTACTGTCTTGGGGAAAGTCTGAGCATTTTTCCCCTCCTCCATCCAAACCCAAAATGGACAGAGAAAACTCACTTTGTGCAAAATGGAAATCCAAATGGAAATTGGATTCCATTTGGATTTCCATTTTGCTATGGAGACTCATGCAACCTGTTCTGTGGCCAACTGGACCTAGAAGGATGGTGTTCTCTCAGAATTTGCAGGATAAAGTTACCCAAAGAGTAAACATGAGTTGAATGTCAACTTTCAGAAGGAATCATTTGAAAGCCCCCCTATCATCTTTCTGTCAGCAAAATGTCTCTCAAGGCAGTGCCTGCATTCAAAGTAGCAGTGGAGCCAGCAGGGCAGCTCTCACTGCAGACGGAATGAGAAAACTGGAGGAAGCAGAGTTCTAAGGTTAGATTGTCGGATCTCCAGGAGAACGAAGTTCAAAACCACTTTTCCTTTTCACAATTCTCTTGATTCTTCTCTTAGTATGAGTCAGGGTAGCAGGTCACATCAATGTCATGAAAGGAATACTAATGATAATAATTTAGGATATTTTTGGCTACAGCTAGAGAAATCTCAAACAAACAAGCTTAATCAGGAAAGCTTTTGACACATAGTTGGAAATGGAGGTACTTATGTGTTTCTGAAATCCTGTTTTTATTGGCTTCTCATTGGCTTTTTCATGATGGCAAAATTATACTTAGCTGTTAGAGCCTTCATATCCATGAACTACAATTTCTGTGGAATAAGAAGGAGATATACTGGAACTGAAGCTTTTGGTAACCTCGAATTTTCATTTTGGCAGGCAAACCAAAGAGAAGAAAGACTTTGTGCTTGAGAGTTGAAAATGAGACCACCTTGCCATGTCAATTCAGGTCTCTTAAAGTCTTCCCTTGCAGGAGAAGAGGGAAGTGAAAAGATCTTCTTGTGAACAGGGTCTGGTGTGGACCTCCAGCAAACTCCAACAGATTAATTCATTGACAGAATGGGATTGTCTTGTGAAAGGGAAATATCTTGGATCCCTTCAAGCTGGGAACCCCTCAGGGCAAATCTGCCTACTTCTGTCAATTCATCAATCTCATTCTCCGTCCAGTTTTGTGCCCTTGCTGGAGAGGAGTTGCCATCATTTGTCATACACAAGTATCAATAGCCAAATTGATCACGCAAAAGAAACGATATCAGAGATTGAAGATCAACTTACTAAAATAAGGCATGAAGAAAAGATTAGAGAAAAAAGAATGAAAAGGAACTAACAAAGCCTCCAAGAAATATGAGACTATGTGAAAAGACCGAACTACAGTTGATTGGTGTACCTGAAAGTGACAGGGAGAATGGAACCAAGTTGGAAAACACATTTCAGGATATTATCCAGGAGAACTTCCCCAACCTAGCAAGACAGGCCAACATTCAAATTCAGGTAATACAGAGAACACCACTAAGATACTCCTCGAGAAGAGCAACCCCAAGACAAATAATTGTCAGATTCTCCAAGGTTGAAATATATACAATATATTCAATATAAGCTCTCAGTATTTAAAATTTAGTAGGGCTTGGTGTCATTTTTAGACCCAGGAGTCAAGGCCCTGTAACTCAATGTCACAAGGACTTTAAAAGCACATACAGGAAGATAACAAATGTAATAACCTTCATTAAAAATTTTTTTAACCTCAGTTTTTTCTAAGCAATAAAACATAAAATCTTCTAGGCAGGTTACCAAAAGGCAAAAAAAAAAAAAAAAAAAAAAAAACCCTTCTGCAGTGCACAGAATATTATGTTCAAAGGAAACATTTCCTTTAGACCTTTGAGAAAACACTGTTAGCATCAGGCAACAACAACAACAAAAAACTGGAACCCAAGGAAAACAAACTTATATGACCTGAAAATGAGTTGAAGGAGAGTGTTACTATTTTGTGCCTTTTAAAAAGGGAGAGAAAACCAAAACCCGTGAGATGCAATAAAAGTTGAATTTTGGGTTAAAAATTAAAAAATAAAATATCTTATAATTTATTGAGTAAATCAACCCCTTAAGAAAATTTCATTGTTCTAACCAATTCTTTAGTGTATAAGTGTTTTCTTACATCAAACCCAATCTACAGAAACACTACTATCATTTCTCTTTATAGACAACTTAATCACATAAAAGTTTTTGATTTGCTTATTTAATAATCTTCTTATAGTGACTTATACAGACCATTCATGACATGCTTGGATTTTCTGGTTTGTTCTAAATATCACTTTTTCTTAAACAACTAGTCATTTTATTCTAGGACTAAATTTACCATACAAGATTCTTTCTCATATAAAATTATTTCTCTTTAAGCTGTCTTACAAAAAAAAAACCTCTTTCTTTTTTTTGGGGGATGCCCTTAAATAAATATTTTATTTTGTTTATATCATTGTAGATACTAGTACCCTTAGTTTAGTAAAAGAAAACTACCACATGATCTTTATTTTTAAATTCTTGGGTTAAGCTCTGGAGAATTTTCATAGGCAAATTCTGTGTGGGCTGGAACAGTAAGCACTCCAATAAAATCTATCTCCAGGAAGAATGGACCACCCACTTTATCAGCCAAGGTGAATGCTATAGAAGAGATCTTGTCAAGCAGAAGCTGACTCTGAACATCCTGCACTCTTCCTTGATTAGGGAAAAAAATTTGGAAAAAGGGATCTTGACCTCCTGCCAGTAGGAGTCCCCACGGGTGAACATGAAGTAACTATACATCTGTTTTTCCTCTGGATTATATCTGTGTCCTCCCTGATATTCATCATCCAAGGCCAACCATCCCCACATACACGGAGATACAGAGTACTGAACTGGGACCAATCATAAGACATTTTCCTAAGACATCTTCCTCTCAAAAGCACCCCCTGGAATCCTGGATATCATTGCACAGTACCCACTTCAGGTAGTCTCCCCATCCTGAGGCACCTCAGAGCTCAGAGTTCCATATAGCAGTGCACTTTGGTTATTCTTGCCCATTTTCAAAAATACTTCACTTCTGCCTCCAATCGTCTTTTCAGAAGTCACTATCTACTTATCCAAGTCTTCTTTCCCCCAGAACTGTCAGACAACCTTGGCTTGTTCCAGCAAGACCTCATGCAGAGGGCGGCCTTCGGGTCCTATCCAATGATCCACAATTTCATCCTTCAAATGCCTAAAATGGTCCTTTATTTCATCTCTAATTGCTTTATTGAAACTAACTTCAGGTTTCTCCTCAGGAGAAGTTATATCCAAAGCAACTTCTTTCTGGTGATGTCCTTGGCAACCCCCTTCAGTATTCCTCTGTGAGGAGGCTTTGCCAGGAGAAGCCACTAGTTTCTGAAGACTACTGGAGTGGTGTGCAAAGTGAATACCCAAAAATGAATGCAAGGTAGCAGTTGTCTTAGAGCATTTTCTGAGAATATAAGTGCCATGCAGCAATTTGTGAACCAAAGCCATGGTACGAAAAAATCAAAATGTAAGTTTCTTCCTGGGCTACCAAGGGCTACCAAGAAGCTTCAGCAAATAGCCCAATTCTACCAAATGCCAGAAGCTGCTCTAAGTGTATTTTCATTGACGGCTCACAACAACCCTGAGAGAGGTACTATTATCATTTCAATTATAGAGATGAGGAAATGGATGTTCCAAGACTAATTTACAGAAGGTCACACAGGTAGTGAGTAGTAAAACTCTTCTGCCTCGGGGTTTGCCTCCGGCACTCACTGCCTGACTTCCACAGGCTGGACGTTCCCCACGCTGGAGAGAAAAACCTCTTTATTTCTTTAACTTTCTTTATATCTCTCTTATTTCCTGGTTCCTTTTACCTTGTTTTATATAAAACCTTTACATAAGCTTTGAATTAGACAAAAGAGTGTATACCTTTTTAAAAAGCACACACCTGTTTTTAGAAAGAATGTTTTCCTACAATATATTTTGTTGAAAAATACCCAAATAATAAAATATCTATTATTTAATAGTAATTTAGATTTTAAATTATGACAATTTTATCTACAAGTATTCATCCCATTACATTTACCTAATTATCTTATGTTAATCACTTACCTACATTGTTTATGAAACTGTGATAGGCATCATTTAAAATTATGAAACCACCATAACTGAGACAATAACAAAGATCTGACCTAACTGACTCCATCTTGACTCTAACCTCCACACTGTCCTTGTTCATTCCTGGGCATAGGCCAAACAAACTTTGGGAGGAACTCACTTTATATTTAGCTTTGAAACGAAGATGATAACAGTCCTTTCCCAAAACCAACTTCCTTACTGCCTGTGGACTAGACCACCTAAAGCCACAAGATTAGAAGTTACGGTAATGTTACTAAATTCAAGATAGAGCTATTTTTATTAAACCAATATCAATGTCTTATTTATTAAAGATTACACAAGCAAAGGTCATTCTGTTTTGGCTGTGTTTATGCTTTTGCAACCCCTATGTCAAGTTTTGACACCTTATAGTATTTGGCAGGGATAAGTATGAAATTGTTTGATCCATAAATGCAAACAAAGGGCCAGGCATGGTGGCTCACGCCTGTAATCCCAGCACTTTGGGAGGCCAAGGTGGGCGGATCACCAGGTCAGGAGATCGAGACCATCCTGGCTAACACGGAGAAACCCCGTCTCTATTAAAAAAAAGATACGGCCGGGCGCAGTGGCTCACGCCTGTAATCCCAGCACTTTGGGAGGCCGAGGCGGGTGGATCATGAGGTCAGGAGATCGAGACCATCCTGGCTAACAAGGTGAAACCCCGTCTCTACTAAAAATACAAAAAATTAGCCGGGCGCGGTGGCGGGCGCCTGTAGTCCCAGCTACTCGGGAGGCTGAGGCAGGAGAATGGCGTGAACCCGGGAAGCGGAGCTTGCAGTGAGCCGAGATTGCGCCACTGCAGTCCGCAGTCCGGCCTGGGCGACAGAGCGAGACTCCGTCTCAAAAAAAAAAAAAAAAAAAAAAAAAAGAAAAAAAAGATACAAAAAATTAGCCAGGCGTGTTGGCAGGCACCTGTAGTCCCAGCTACTCGGGAGGCCGAGGCAGGAGAATGGTGTGAACCCAGGAGGCGGAGCTTGCACTGAGCAGAGAACACGCCACTACAAATCCAGCCTGGGCAACAGAGCGAGACTACATCTCAAAAAAAAAAATGCAAACAAAAATGTATGCTGGCAATTCTTAAGACATTTCTAATATTACTTTAATAATAATTTTAAAGCTAGCTTGTTTATTAAAGATTTTACTGAAGTCACATAAACTTGAAAAAGCATTTGAGTAGTCTTTTCTTTTTCTGATAATTTGATGTACACTTTTTAAGCCAATTAATCAGAGCTCTTTTATATATTTTCATTAGTGAAACATTGTTTACATAACACATAAATACACAAGATATATTAGACATGCGGAAAGAAGTACATCTTCACCAATTCACAAAAACCTTCTTTTTTGCTATCATGGATTTTCAGATTCTTGGTAACCTGTTTCACAACTCTAGGCAGTTGTCAGTGAAATAGCCTTAAATTTGCATATTAAAGGAAACAACTCAGGTGAAAATCAAATAGAAAAATTTGCATTATAAAGTATGGAAAGAAAGAGTCTGGTGTGCTAGAAGGAGATTAAAGAGGGATGCCAAATCAAACATAAAATTATAAAAATTTATCATAGAATGGTATAAGGAGACCAATTTTATTTAGATAGGGATTATCTATCCTTTAACTGGCTCTCTGAGCTCTGGGCAGAAACCCACACTGAATGCTGTGTTTCCAAAAAGGGAGAATTATTATGAGGCTAGACCATGTGATGTTTTTACAGTGCACTTAGAAAAAAAATTTTGTAAACAATGACATTTCTAACTGTCTAAACTATACACTTCTTTAAAACCCAAAGAGTAGACTTTGTTGTGATAACTATTTTAGTCAATAAATCAGGTAACACAATACAAAAGCAAGCAGTTTAAGAGCTGAGATGAACTTTTCTGTTTACACTCTTGGGGTTTGATAAGGAAAAACAGGTGTCTACCCCAAGGGAGTTGCACCTTCTCCATTTTCTTTAAGGAACCTCAGACTATGATAAACTATGTCACGTTCCTCATGCAGCAGAGGGTGCAAGAGAAAGGAGAGACAGCAGAAGTAAAAGAAGAAAACAGAAGTCAGTCAGCTGAGAAGAAAAAACCTTTGCTCAATTAAAAAAAAAAAAAGGTAGAGTTGATAAAACCCAATGGGGAAAAAAAGCAAAACAGCAACGAAAACAGAAACAAACAACAACAACAAAAAACATTTAAGCAAAACAAATGATCACACAACTTATATGATTATGGAGTGCTCTGATGGTAACAAGAAATGAAGACCAGCTGGTTGCTACTCTTCTCTTTGGCCAAGACAATCCCCAACTCAGTTACTTATCTAGGGATCATGGGTCACAGGTTGAAGCCTGCTCTCTACCATTAGGGGAGCAGGGCAAAAAACCTCATCTTTCCTGTTGAAGGCAAGCTCAAACTCCATAAAGGAGTTGCCTGAAGGAAAACCTGGCCTTTTTTGTGTTAGAAGCAAGTAAAACTCTAGAAAAAAAAAAAAGAAAAAAAGAACCCACAAAAACCAGAGTTGTACAGCAAAATAAACTTTAGATATCAACGGAATTTTGGGTCCTAATGGTACCCCATTAGCTCAGGGGGATAAGCGGAAGATAAAGCACTTTGTAATATGCATTTTAGAAAACCAAGGCCAACCTCTCTATTACTTTTTTTTATTTTTTATTTTTTTTTTAGACGGAGTCTCGCTCTGTCGCCCAGGCTGGAGTGTAGTGGTGCCATCTCTGCTCACTGCAAGCTCCACCTCCTGGGTTCACGCCATTCTCCTGGGTTCACGCCATTCTCCTGCCTCGGCCTCCCGAGTAGCTGGGACTACAGGCACCTGCTACCATGCCCGGCCAATTTTTTGTATTTTTAGTAGAGATGGGGTTTCACCGCGTTAGCCAGGATGGTCTCGATCCCTTGACCTCGTTATCCGCCTGCCTCGGCCTATCAAAGTGCTGGGATTACAGGCGTGAGCCACTGTGCCCAGCCTCAATTATTCTTGTTGTAACCGAGCAAGTTACAGAGAAACGCCACACGCTGAGACAAATTCAGGAGTCCTTTATTAGCCAGAGACCGAGAGACGGCTAGTGCTCAAGATTCTCTCGGCCCTGAAGAAGGGGTTAGATTTTCTTTTATACTTTGGTTTAGAAAGGGGAGTGGGGGGAGTCTAGTTAAAACAATCTTACAGAAATAAAGCAGGCAAAAAGTAAAAAGGATAAATGGTTACAGGAAAGCAAACGGTTCCAGGTGCAGGGGTTTTAAATCCATCACAAGGTGATAGGCGCGGGGCTTTGGGTGTTATCAACCGGACACAAACGCGGGGGGCTCTGGGTGCTATCAACTGGGCAAATTCCTAGGAACTGCAGATATAGCTTGCCACAGTATCTTATCAGTTAATTGCACTCTTGGATGTGCTGGGAGTCAGCTTGCACAAGTTAAGTCCTTGAGGAAGGGGGTGAGTAAGGGGCTGTAAGTGAAGGAGCCAAGATGGTGTCTGTCTGGCTCTCTCAGCTAAGGGAGAGTCAATTCAGGTTAAAACAAGGTATCATACTCTAAACTGTCTATAATGGACCAAAAGCCAGATAAGACTCCTGTAGCCTTTATGGAAAGGCACTAATAGAGTATACCTCCTTATCCCGTAATTCAGTTGAGGAACAGCTCATCCTGAAGGACAAGTTTATTACACAAGGCAGCTCCTGATAGTAGAAGGAAACTACAAAACCAAGGTACAGGACCAGACAGCACCTTAGAGAGCCTCCTGAAAGTGGCCACTTCGGTCTTTAATAATATGGACCAGGAGGAGGATGCCCAAAAGAAAGAGAGCAAGCTCGGGAGACGGACAGAGGCTCTAGCAGCAGCTTTGCAGGCTTGCAACATCCAGAATCCCCAAGGTGCATCTGCTAGTTGCTATTGATGTGGCAGGCCAGGGCATTTTAAGGATTGCCCAGGCAGCAAGACGAAGCAACTTCGACCCTGTCCAGCCTGTGGCAAAAACCACTGGAGATGGAATTGCCCCCAGAGGCGGAGGTCACTGGGTTCAGGACCAGTTTCACAGACGGTCCAGCAGGACTGATGGGTCCCGGGGCTCAAATCTCGGCTCCAGCGGTTCAAACTGCCATTATAGCACAGGAGCTCTGGATGATTCTGGAAATTAAAGGAAGGAAAGTAAACCTCCTTCCAAACACTAGAGCTAGTCTCTCTCTGTCTTCTCCTCTCTAATCCAGATCTCCCCTCTCCCCAGAGCATGACCGTAAGGGGCATCTCAGGAAAAAGGCTAATCCAATCTTTTTCTCAACCTTAGTTGACACACGCTTGCAAGCCATTGTCATGATAGCTCTACTAGTCAGAAAAGCCTCCAAGTTAACCCTAGGAAATAATTTAACTGTTTACAGCCCACATAATGTAGCAGAATCACGGTCCTCTAGGGGGAGCTCTTAGCTGACAGCCAGTAAAGCAAGATGTACATAAGGCAGGATAAGCAGTAGTCACTCTCCCCAGGCACAAACGCTCAATTAGCTGAGCTAATAGCTCTTACAAGAGCACCTAAATTAAGCAAGGGAAAGGCAGCTAACATTTACACTAACTCCAAGTATGCTTTCATAGCTCTCCATGCTCATGCTGGGGCCATTTAAAAGGAAACACATTTTCTTACCACTAATGGATCTCCTATAAAATATCACCAGGAAATTAGCAGGTTATTATCCTCAGTTTTTCTTCCACAAAAAAATAGCAAGGATGCATTTTAAGGAACATTAAAAGGAAACAAGGTAGCCGAAAGAAATAAATTAGCTGATCAGGCAGCTAAGTCAAAGGCATGAAAGCTTCGAGGTATTAACACACTTCAAGCCCCTTCTAATCTAAAAAGACTCTGTAAGAGAAATTAAACCTCAGTATTCCCCTACAAAAATAGAATAGACTACTTCTCTAGGGCATACTTTTCAGCCCTCAGGATGGCTACAGTCAGGATGGCAAACTCTATTTGCCAGCCTCCAGCCAATGAAAAGTTCTTAAAATCCTTCACCAAGCTTTTCACTTGGGAAAGGATAAAACTTATCCATGTGCTCAGAAATTGTTTTCAGGCAGGAAACCTCTAAATTGGTTAAGCATGTAACCTCTCTAGCTCACTTCCAGCAGGAACCACCTCTATTTAACCCAAGAAATTTGGTATTAGTAAAACTCTCACCTCTGTCACCTTCCCTAAGCCAAGCTAGGAAGGGCCCTACACTGTTGTTCTCTCAACCCCCTTGGGCAGTAAAAGTTACAGGAATCAACTTGTGAATACATCACGATCAAGCCAAAGCCTGCAAAGCTGAGGAAGCAACCCCTGACGGTCCAGAGGAATGTCCTCAATATCAGTGTGAAGAAATAGAAGATCTTGGCCGAGCGCGGTGGCTCACGCCTGTAATCCCAGCACTTTGGGAGGCCGAGACGGGCGGATTACGAGGTCAGGAGATCGAGACCAGCGTGGCTAACATGGTGAAACCCTGTTTCTACTAAAAATACAAAAACTAATTCAAATTAGCCGGGTGCAGTGGTGGGCGCCTGTAGTCCCAGCTACTCAGGAGGCTGAGGCAGGAGAATCGCTTGAACCCGGGAGGTGGAGGTTGCAGTTAGCCAAGATCACACCACTGCACTCCAGCCTGGGCGACAGAACAAAACTCCGTCTCAAAAAAAAAAAAAAAAAAAAAAAAAAAGTAGAAGATCTTAAGCTGAAAATCATAAAAGATAAGTAACTGAGTGAGGGCTACGCATCTTACTCAGTCCCACTCCTACCTTATCAAATACTTTTTATTATTTCTAAACTTTCCTCTCAAAGTTCACTGCCAAATATTAGAACTTCTTTTTAATGCATATTTGCAGAGAGATTTAATTATTCATAGAATCATATTTGTAACTTTGTAAATCCCCAAAGGGACATGTTATGTCTTGGCAAGTAAAGTTTTAAATGAAAATTATTTACTATGCCACTCTTGTGAAAATTGTTCTAGTCAAGCTACTATTTGCAATAGAACTAAACGCTGTGGCACTCACAATGTGGAATTCTGGTTGTAAAATTCTAATTGCTGTAATATTTTGCCAGATTATCATCCTTATAACAGGATTAATAATTGCAGGAAAAATTTAGTCAAGGTTGTTTTGCTTATAGCAGGACTAATAGTTATGGATAAGAAGCATGAAAGTTATACCATCACTAAGTTTGAAAAGACTTTTTACTAAAGGTTGGTAATATAATACACACTATGAAAAGGTTATAAAGGAAGAGATTTTATGTACGGAAGGATTTTGTATGGTAAATTCTTGTACTAAAGGGAAATAACCGGTTGTTTAAAGAAAGGATGTTTAGGACAAATCAAAAAGTGTAAAGGTGTTGTAAGAAGGTTTATAAAAGTCATAAAAGAATTTAGTAATTAAAGGAAAGGAATTGTCAAAATTAACGCTAAAGTTATTTTAGCCACCCAATAATGTCTTTCTCCCAATCATATTGCAAGTTGTAAAAATGGCCTAGGCCTAAAGTTATTCTCTAACGGCAGATTAAGGGGGAAATGTCCGCTTTTCTCTAGGAAAAAGTTACCGCTATATTAACGTTTCTGGTAATGTACACCGACATCTAGTGGAGGCAAGCCAGTATTGCAATCCATTGGTGTAACTAAAAGGTGTCAAACTCTACTGTCAGTTATGGTCTAACAGGGCCCCCCACTAACGGTGGTAATTTTAATAATTGTATCCTAACCCTACATTTTAAATCTTCTTGTAAAATTTATATTTTTTCACCTTAAATCAAATAAAGTTTAATATTTTAATATTTTATTAAATAATGTTTTATTTAATAAAACATTAAATAAAGTTTAATAGAAGCAATTAAACTTTAAATGGTGCTGTGAGCTGAGCCACACACAGACATGCCATTCTTCTGAGAACCTCAGATCAACCACAGGAGAAGGCCCAATTGCTGTCCCCCCCCAACCACACGCCCCTTTTCAGCAGACAGTACCCAGAAAGAATCATCATCTAACACCCCCTAACAGCAGTTAGGTTTACTTCTCTTTGAGGGGGGGATATTACAGGAGTTATTAAGAAATCATTTTAGGCATACAGTAAGGGTAAAGGTTCTTGGTGAAAATTTTCCTGTAATAAGAAATCTCTTTTCTAACCAAGCAATCTCTTTTCTAACCAAAAAGGCGGCTTCAAGGGCCGGGCTGACAAGCTTTGATATGCAAATGCTGGCCACTAGAAACTGGGTCCACTCAACATGGTGATTCCCACCGTCTTCTCCTTGTTACCACCTGTGCAAAGTGTGAAGGCCACCTCCAAGTAACACCATGTGTTCAAACCATCATGGCAACCCACATTTGCATATTAAAAGGCTATGGCGGGAGGGCCTGGTTTCTCCCAGGCTACATGAATAACACACCTGGTCAAGCCAATCCTTTGGGCCCTATGCAAACCAGATACTGCCTCCTCCAGCCTCCAGATATAAGGGACTGTCTTTCTGTTGCGCACAGGGTCTATCTCTGTTCCTTTCCCATGTCTCAGTACGGGGGAGCTGTTCTCTTCTTTCTTCCTTCTTACTTGCTATTAAACTTTTCACTCCTTAAAACTACTCCACATGTGTCCATGTCGTTAATCCTATCAGCACCAGACCAAAAAGCCTGGTAATCGTCCAGTCATCGGAGCTGTATCAAAATGAACTTGGGCTGCTCTGTCCCAATGTCTCCATCCTTTGCATCTTAACCTGTCGCAGAACAAGAAAAGTGGTGCCGCTAAGATTGCACAGGTGCAGCGAATACGAACCTGGGAAGACTGTGGTGTTTCTTTAGATGGCTGGTGGATCTATCTGGATTGAAGGGATTCCTTTTCCCAGCAATAATTTTACAGACCTGAGACGTTTGCAAGATGAAATTGTGTTGCGGGATGAAGATGTCATTACACTTTCTTACCCAAAGTCAGGTAGGGAAGTGGGACCCGAAACTCAGGAAGGGATGCGGTGAAGATACTGATGGAGTGCCTTCTTTATGCCCTGCGCTTGGGTATGCTTTGGTGGATAGTGTGGGGTTTTTTTGTTTGTTTGTTTCTTTGTTTTTGAGACGGAATCTCGCTCTGTCACCCAGGCTGGAGTGCAGTGGCACGATCTCAGCTCACTGCAAGCTCCGCCTCCTGGATTCACGCCATTCTCCTGCCTCAGCCTCCCAAGTAGCTGGGACTACAGGCGCCGATAGTGTGGTGTTTTAACAAAGCTTCTACTCAGAGAGACGGATTAAACCAGACAATTAAACATAATGCAAATGAATGTGATTACTGGGGCACTGTAGAGACAGAGAGAGACATGAGATCCCACAGAAGCTAAGGCAGATTTAAGTGATCATGCAGGATGGTTAGAAGGGACTGATTATTGAAAGAATTTCGGTGAAAAAATAAACATTTATCCTTAGATGCTGAGCGTGAATGTGAGACTGTTAGATGTAAAAGAAAAAATATTCTGACACTTGGGTAAATGGTGAGGAAGAATATTCAAGACAATTGCAACAGGGGAGAGAGACCCAACTCTGAATATAGCAATGATAGTTGGTTTTTTGTAGACAATTATCAAAGTAAGGCGGTCAGTGGGTGGGAAATTACAAAGAACAACTTGATTAGGTATCAGGAGCAGAATCCTTGCTAAAGGCAGGCCAAAGATTTAGACATTAAGAGTGGAACATGGGAAATCTGATCAGGTATCAAGGATGGGGGGATTCTCATTACCCTTGTTGAAACTGGGTGCAACACAGTTTCAACACAGATGTCCAAAGTCCAGGCCTAGTCAGGAAGAGGACTCAGGGAAGCCCAAGTCAAGTCTGGTCGAGGAGAAGGTCTTTGCCAGATGGCAGTGTTTCGATCTATTACACTACAGACATTGTGGGCCACATAATACATTTTCAGGGGGAAGAGGGCTGTCCTGTGCATTGTAGGATGTTTAGCTGCATCCCTGGCCCCTGCCCACTGGAGTCAGTAGCATACTCAAGTGTGATAACTCAAAATGTCTGCAGTCACTGTTAATTTTCCCTTGAGGTGGACACAGTTTACCCCAGCTGAGAACCGCATGGATGAGGAGAAGGCACATACATATGCCTGAGGTTTCAGGCAAAGAATAGTAGACATGTGTTGGTGTCATGCATTGAGGCAGAGATCGCTGGTGGAGAAGCACATACAGGGAAGCTGGGATTATCGAGTGTAACGGATACTACAGTGTAACTAGAGAAAGAATATGAAAGGTGGGAAAATGGGAGTGAAAATATTGTAATATTTAGCAAGTGCATGTGTGCAGTGGTTCAATGGTCTATTCTGTGCATTAAGACTATTTGGTGCCATTGTTTTACTGGGCTGAGCTTATTTCACTTAACATAATTTCTTCCAGTTCCCTCCCTCCATGTTGGCTGCACATGACAGTTTTGCTCTTTTTAAAATGATATTGAGGCCGGGCGCGGTGGCTCACGCCTGTAATCCCAGCATTTTGGGAGGCCGAGGCGGGCGAATCAGGAGGTCAGGAGGTCAGGAGATCGAGACCATCCTGGCTAACGGCGGTGAAACCCCGTCTCTACTAAAAAAAAATACAAAAAATTAGCTGCGCGTGGTGGCAGGCACCTGTAGTCCCAGCTACTCGGAAGGCTGAGGCAGGAGAATGGCATGAACCCGGGAGGCAGAGCTTGCAGTGAACCGAGATCGTGCCACTGCACTCCAGCCTGGGTGACAGAGCGAGACTCTGTCTCAAAAAATAAAAATAAAATAAAAAATAAATAAATAAATAAATAAAATGATATTGAGCAGTGGGAGCAAGAATATTAGGGCATCCAACAGCCCAAAGGTGGAAGCAGCCCACATGTCCATCGACAGATGAACAGATAAACAGAATGTACTCTATACAAACAATGGAATATTAGTCGCCCTTAAAAGAGAGGAAGTTCTAATACATGGTACCACATGGATGGACCTTGAGGGCACTATACTATGTAAAAGTCAGGCATGAAAGGATAAATACTGTGTGATCCAGTCATAGGAGGTACCTGGTATAGAAATATTCATAGAGAGGGAAAGTAGTGTGGTGGTTGCGAGGAGCTGATGGGAAGAGAATAAAAAGAGTTGCTTTTTAATGTTTACAGAGTTTCAATTTTGCAAAGAGAAAAACATTCTGGAGATGGATGGTGGTGATGGTTGCATGATAATGTGCATATTTACTGAACCGGACACTTACAAATGGTTAAGCCAGTCAATTGTTTGTTTGTATTTTACCACAATTTAACATTTTAAAAGTTGGTTTTTTAAAAGAGTATTATGACAAAACAGGGTAAAGATGGCCACATAAAGGTGAAAGGAACAGAGTACCTCTAGAATAAAGCATCAGTTGAATGCACTTAAGACTAAGATGAGGAATGAAAACACCAGTTGGATTGATGGGCAGGGGCATTATTGCTGAAATAACACAGGGTCTTTAAGATGTAGTGGTGGGGTCAATGTCACATTGAAGTAGGTGACACCTTCTTCTTTTTTATTCAGGAAGCTTTTGGATAGTGGAAATCATCAGTCTGATCCACTCCAAGGGAGATCCTAGTTGGGTCCAATCTGTTGTTCCCTGGGATCGTTCACCATGGATAGAAGTTAAACGTAAGAAAGCAGGTTTAGAGAGTCAGAAGGGCCCACACCTCTACACCTCCCACCTTCCCATTCAGCTCTTCCCCAAGTCATTCTTGAATTCCAAGGCCAAGGTGAGTTAATAATGGAATGTCAGCGTGGACCACTTTCTGACGGCTGAATGACTGTGTTTTAGGGACAGAGTTAAAATGCGATTCCCTAAACTATGCATATTAGAAAATCTTGTTCCAATCTACTGTGTCATATACAAGACAATGTTTCTGGTATTTCCCCAGGAAATCCTCAGCCTTCATTTAAGTAAATCCTGGCTACATCCCCAAAACTGAGGACCCCAACATTAATATGCTCATGTGGAAAGCATCTTAGCTGTAAACCAGCACCTGAATTTCAGAGGAAATGTGGGTGTGACACTGATATTTGAAACCCAACGTGGTTTTTCTATTGAGGATAGTAATCATGATGTGGGGCATTTTGTTCCCAATTGACAGCTCCACGGGTCTCCCATACATAATTTCAGAAGCTCCACATGAAGCCTCTAGCATTGAGTAACCCTGGGCAGTAAGTGTGAACTTTTTCTCATGATAGATTATTGCTTAAATCAAAACTTACCAAAACTATCAAAATTGTATAAAACTGCCTCCAAATGTCTCAGGTGATGTGGTAGTAACAGTATTATCAAAATGTTCTAATATTACAGTGTCACAATGTATTAATACTGTGCTGTATTTCTATTTGCTTATTTACTGTCAGGTTCATTTATTTTACTGTATACTCCATGATTTTGAAGATCATGTCAATTTTTTTCCCAATTTTTACTGTTTTACACTGACTTAGCTGATGCTTAAAACATTGTAGAGATACAAGAAAATACTGGAAAAACTAAATTAAAAAATAAAGTAACAACAATAGCCCAAGACCAAGCTCTGTAAAACAATTATGACTGTAAAACAATTATGATAAAATGATTTATAACAGAAAATTCCAACTTGAACTTTGGCTCCAGACTGTGTTTATTGGCAAATAGTGCAAGATGTTTGAAGCGCAGTTTGTGTGTGTTTAAACTGGCAGTACTGATCCTTCCATGTATTTGTTCCTGATTATTTATTAACTTAGAATATGCATCCATTCTTTATTCCTTCATATGTTTAGGTATTAAGCACCTATTATGGGTCAAGGTTTGAATCAGGATTGGGAAGAAGGTAATGATTATGATGACCTCAAGTCACAACCTAAAGAAATTTACAGATTAGTATTTGGGAAGACAAAGAACAGACATACACTTATTTTCTGTGGTGCCAATATTATTTACTGACATCCTCATTAATACCAGATACCAGTGTGTAGTTGGTGAAAAACATCTACTTTAAGATATGCAATAAATAGATGAAAGGATGAGACAGGGAGAAAAATGTAGGGAAAGTACCACATTGTCCCAGAAGGTAAATGCAGGGTTTGCTGATGGAGTTATGCAGATGGAGGATTTGGTAACTGTCTTGTAGCGGGACAATCAGAGATGGGAGAGACTGAACAGAGTTCAGGAGAGCCTTTATTAAGGTGAGCACCTGGCTCAGTAGGACTAGCGTCCAGGAAAGTCTGAGCCCCGAACAAAGAGAGCAGCCACCTTTTAAACAATCAGTGGTGGGAATTACGTGATGCAGGAAGCGTACTTACAGAAGCGAGAAGAAAGGCAGTTGTTACTCCATGTCTTACATCCTTGGGAATACATGGTTGTGTAATATATACGTATCAATCTTATGACCTTGCAGCTGTGCTGGGGAGGTAAGCAAGAATTCACAGAGCTCTAAGGAATGTGAAACTGGGGAGTATAGATGAGGCTCATGGAGCACAGAAGGAGCACAGGCTGTTAATATCCTTCTCTAACTTCTACTACGGGGTGGGGACGGGGGCGCTACCTTATAACTAAGCCCTGAGGGGAAAGTTAATTTTCTGGCTTCACATATTGTAAAATTCATTAATTTCCTCTTCAGTCTCAGTGAGGAGAAAACCAAGAGTGTATAACTGATTCCATTTACCCCATATCCTTCTTTGTGCAATTCTTATAATTTTTACTTTTGCCTGCAGTATAAAAACTGCCTGTGGGGTTATTGTTCTTTAAAGAGTCGGTAGTGTTTTACAGCAATTCCATCAGGAAAGAAAATGTTGTCTTTTATATATACTCCTTTACTGCTTCTCAGGTTCATCCCTGGACCTGCACTATGATTCCTGCAGACTGAAGGAGTTCCTTTAGAACTGGTTGTCATGTAGGTTGTAGGCAATAAAAATTCTCATAGCTTGGCATGTTTCTAAGATTACCTTGATTTTTATCCTCATATTTAAAGGATATTTTCATAGGATATAGCATTAAGTATTTTTTATTCTTCAGCAATTTAAAGACAATTTTCCATTTGTGTTAGGCCTCCATTTTTTGGATGAGAAGTCAGGGGGCCTTCTTCTCCTCTTTCTCCACTGTCTGTGACGTGTCTGTTTTTGTCTGGCTACATTCAATGACTCAGCTGGATGCCAAGGGTGTTAAGGAACTGTTCATAGTCACTGCTGTGTGTTAACAAGTTTGGAGAGTGAGGAATAATAAAACATATCACTGCTATTTGGTAAATGTCTGGTGATCTTGCCTCATGCATGCGAAGCCCAGCCCTCAGCCATAAGTGTACAGAGACCCCTGACACAGACTTTATCATTACATAATACTTACACATGTTTTGTTGGTACACGCAGTATTTTGATACATGCATACAATGTATACCAATAAACCAGGGCAACTGGGACTCCCTCACCCCAAACCTTCACCCATCTTTATGTTGGGAACATTCCAATTCCTCTTCCCCAGCAACTATACCACAAAATATTGTTAGCTATAGTTCTACTGTACTGTCAAATACTAGATCTTAATCCTTCTGTCCACATGAAAAAAAATCAAATTCAAATTGAAGGACATTTGATAAAAAAATTTGACAAGTGCTCTTCAAAACTACAAAAACACCCTGAAGTACACAGACCAACGACACCATGAAGCAACTAGATTAACAAGTCTGCAAAATTAACCAGCCAGCATCATGATGACAGGATCAAATTCACACATAACAATATTAACCTTATGTGTGAATGGGCTAAATGCCCCCAGTAAAAGACAAAGACTAAAAAATTGGATAAAGAATCAAGACCCATTGGACTGCTGTATTCAAGAGACCCATCTCACGTGCAAAGATACACCTAGGCTCAAAGTAAACGGATGGAGGAAAATTTACCAAGCAAATGGAAAGCAGAAACAAGCAGGGGTTGCAATCCTAGTCTCTGGCAAAACAGACTTTAAACCAAGAAAGGTCAAAAAAGACAAAGAAGGGCATTAGGTAATGGTAAAAACTTTAATTCAGCAAAAAGAGCCAACTATCATAAATATATATTCACCCAATACAGGAGCACCCAGATTCATAAAACAAGTTATTTTTATTTTGTTTTATTAGGACTGAATCTCTCTCTATCTCACAGGCTGTACTGCAGTGGTGCGATCTCAGCTTACTGCAACCTCCACTTTTCAGGATCAAGTGACTCTTGTGCTTCAGCCTCTCAAGTAGCTAGGATTACAGGCGCCCACTACCATACCCGTCTAATTTTTGTATTTTGAGTAGAGGCAGGGTTTCACCACGTAGGCCAGGCTGGTCTCGGACTCCTGACCTCAAGTGATCCACCCGCCTCAGCCTCCCAAAGCGCTGGGATTACAGGCGTGAGCCTCCACGCCCAGCCCATAAAACAAATTTTTAAAGACATACAAAGAGACTTGAATACCCACCCAATAATAGCGGGAGACTTTAATACCTCACTGCCAATATTAGACAGATCATCGAGAAAGAAAATTTAGAAAGATATTCAGGACTTGAACTCAGCCCTGGATCAACTGGACCTGACAGAGATCTACATAAGTCTCCACCCAAAACCAACAGAACATACATTTTTCTCAGTACCACATGGCACTTACTCTAAAATTGATCACATAATTAGAAGTAAACCACTGCTCAGCAAATGCAAAAGAACTGAAATCATAACAGTCTCTCAGTCCACAGCACAATCAAATTAGAACTCAAGATTAAGAAATTCACTCAAAAACACGTAACTACATGGAAATTGAACAACCTGCTCCTGCATGACTTCTGGATAAATAATAAAACTGAGGCAGAAACCAAGAAATTCTTTGAAACTAATGAGAACGAAGAGACAACATACCAGACTCTCTGGGATGCAGCTAAAGCAGTGTTAAGAGGGAAATTTACAGCACTAAATAGATCCAACAAAAAGCTAGAAAGATCTCAAATGGACACCCTAACATCACAACTAAAAGTACCAGAGAACCAAGAGCAAATAAATTTCAGAGTTAGCAGAAGACAAGGAATAACCAAGCACAGAGCACAACTGAAGAAGAAAGAGACACAAAACACCCTTCAAAAAAATCGACAAATCCAGGAGCTGGTTCTTTGAAAAAAAAAATCAATAAAATAGATAGACCATTAGCTAGACTAATAAAGAAAAAAAGACAAGATTCAAATAAACACAATCAAAAATGATAATGATGACATTACCACTGACCCCACAGAGATACAAACTACTGTCAGAGAAAATGATAAACACTTCTATGCAAATCAATCAGAAACTCTAGAATAAATGGACACATTCCTGGACACATACACCCTCCCAAGACTCAACCAGGAAGAAGTTGAATCCCTGAATAGACCAATAACAAGTTCTGAAATTGAGGCAGTAATTAATAACCTACAAACCAAAAAAAGCCCAGGACCAGATGGATTTACAGCTGAATTCTACTGGAGGTGCAAAGAGGAGCTGGTACATTTCTTCTGTAACTATTCCAAACAATCGAAAAGAAGAGACTCCTCCTTAACTCATTTTATGAGGCCAGCATCATTCTGATACCAAACCTGGCAGAGATATACAACAAAAAAATAAAACTTCTTGCCAATACCCCTGATGAACATCGATGTCAAAATCCTCAATAAAATACTGGCAAACCAAATCCAGCAGCACATCAAAAAGCTTATCCACCATGAACAAGTTGGCTTCATTCCTGGGATGCAAGGCTGGTTCAATACATGAAATCAATAAACATAATTCATCACATAAACAGAACTAGAGACAAAAAACACAACACTATCTTAACAGATGCAGAAAAGGCCTTTGATAAAATTCAACATCTCTTCATGATAAAAACTCTCAATAAACTAGGTATTGATGGCACATATCCAAAATAAGAGCCATTTATGACAAACCGACAGCCAGTATCATAGTGAATGGGCAAAAGCTGGAAGCACTCCCCTTGAAAACGGGCACAAGAAAAGGATGCCCTCTCTCACCACTCTTATTCAACACAGTATTGGAAATTCTGGCAAAGGAAATCAGGCAAGACAAAGAAATAAAGGGTATTCAAATAGGAAGAGAAGAAGTCAACTTGTCTTTGTTTGCAGATGACATGATGCTGTATCTAGAAAACCCCATCAACTCAGCCCAAAAACTTCTTAAGCTGATAAGCAACTTCAGCAAAGTCTCAGGATACAAAACCAATGTGCAGAAATTAAAAGCACTTCTATAAACCAAGAACAGACAAGCAGCGAGCCAAATCATGAATAAATTCTCATTCACAATTGCCACAGAGAAAATAAAACACCTAGAAATACAGCTAATAAGGGGAAGTGAAGGACCTCTTCAAGGAGAACTACAAATTACTGCTCAAGGAAATCAGCGAGGACACAAACAAATGGAAAAACATTCCATGCTCATGGACAGGAAGAGTCAATATCATGAAAACAGCCATACTGCCCAAAGCAGTTTATAGCTTTAATGCTATTCCCACTAAACTACCATCTGATCTTCAACAAACCTGACAAAAACCAGCAATGGGGAAAGGATTCCCTATTTAAAAATGATGTTGGGAGAACTGGCTAGTCACATGCAGAAAATTGAAACTGGACCCTTTATTACACCTTATACAAAAATTAACTCTAGATGGATTAAAGACTTATATGTAAAAAAAAAATAAAAACTATAGAAACTCTAGAAGAAAATCTAGGCAATACCATACAGGACACATAAGCATGGGCAAAGATTTTATGATGAAATCTCTAAAACCAATTGCAGCAGAAGCAAAAATTGACAACTAAGATCTAATTAAACCAAAGAGCTTCTGCACAGCAAAAGAAAACTATCATCAGAGTGAATAAGCAACCTACAGCATGGAAGAAAATTTTTGCAACATATCCATCCGACAAAGGTCTAATATTCAGCATCCATAAGGAACTTCAGCAAATTTACAAAAAACAAAATGCCATTAAAAAATGGGCAAAGGACATGAACAGACACTTCTTAGAAGAAGACATACATGTGGCCAACAAATGTGAAAAAAAAGCTGAATATCACTGATCACTGGAGAAATGCCAATGATCACTGGAGAAATGCCAATGAAAACCACAATGAGATACCATCTCACACCAGTCAGAATGGCAATTATTAAAAAGCCAAGAAGCAACAGATGCTGGCGAGGTTGCAGAGAAATAGGAATGCTTTTACACTGTTTGTGGGAATGTAAATTAATTCAACCATTGTGAAAGACAGTGTGGTGATTCCTGAAAGATTTAGAACCAGAAATACCATTTGACCCAGCAATCCCATTATGGGGTATATACCCAAAGGAATATAAATCATTCTATTTTAAAAATACATGCATGTGTATGTTCATTGTAACACTATTCACAATTGCAAAGACACGAAATCAACCCAAATGCCCATCAGTGATAGACTGGATAAAGAAAATGTGGTACAAATACACCATGGAGTACTATGCAGCCATAAAAAGGAACAAGATCATGTCCTTTGCAGGGACATGGATGGAGCTGAAAGACATTATCCTCAGCAAACTGACACAGGAACAGGAAATCAAACACTGCATGTTCTCACTTATAAGTGGGAGCTGAACAATGAGAACACATGGAAACAGGGAGGGGAACACACACACTGTGGCCTGTCAGAGGAGGGCATGGTTGGGAGGAGAGTATCAAAAGAAATAGCTAATGCATGCCAGGTTTAATACCTAGGTGATGGGTTGATAGGTGCAGCAAACCACCATGGCACGCATTTACCTATGTAACAAACCTGCATATCCTGCACATGGTCTCTGGAACTTAAAAAAACAAAAAAAAGGCAGGGTGCGGTGGCTCACACCTGTAATCCCAGCACTTTGGGAGGCCAAGGAGGGCAGATCATGAGGTCAGGAGATCGAGACCATCCTGGCTAACACGGTGAAACCCCATCTCTATTAAAAAATACAAAAAATTAGCTGGGCGGGGTGGCGGGCACCTGTAGTCCCAGCTACTCGGGAGGCTGAGGCAGAAGAATGGCATGAACCTGGGAGGCGGAGCTTGCAGTGAGCCAAGATTGTGCCACTGCACTCTAGCCTGGGCGACAGAGTGAGACTCCGTCTCAAAAAAAAAAAAAAAAAAATTAAAAAACCCACTGAAAATGTGTCTGTAATTTCTTTAATAAATATTGTACCCATGTGAATTTTTAAGGTTCACAGATATACCACACTTAAGTATGAAAGTAACATTATGCCGGGCACTATGGCTTGTGCCTGTAATTCCAGCACTTTGGGAGGCCAAGGTGGGCAGATCACCTGAGGTCAGGGGTTTGAGACCATCTTGGCCAACGTGGCGAGACCCCCACCTCTACTGACAGTACAAAGAATCAGCCGGGCATGGAGGCATGCGCCTGTAATCCCAGCTACTTGGGAGGCTGAGGCAAAAGAATCACTTGAGCCCAGGAGGCAGAGGTTGCAGTGAGCCGAGATTGCACAAAAAGGCAACAGAGTGAGGCTCCATCTCAATAAATAAAATAAAATAAAATAAAAAAGATGGCCGGACGCGGTGGCTCACGCCTGTAATCCTAGCACTTTGGGAGGCCCAGGAGGGCAGATCACGAGGTCAGGAGATTAAGACCATCCTGGCTAACACGGTAAAACCCCGTCTCTACTGAAAAATACAAAAAAATTAGCCAGGTATAGTGGCAGGCACCTGTAGTCTCAGCTACTTGGGAGGCTGAGGCAGGAGAATGGTGTGAACCAGGGAAGCAGAGCTTGCAGTGAGCCAAGATCATGCCACTGCACTCCAGCCTGGGCGACAGAGTGAGACTCTGCCTCAAAAAAAAAAAAAAAAGGTAACATCAGCCAACGCTGAAGAACATGTATACGGGAACTGCCTGTACCATTTTTACAACTTTTTAGTAATCCAAACATATTTTAAAATACAACTACTCAAGAAAAAAGAAAAAAATTTACTACTTCATAAAAGCATTTTCTAAAATGATTAATGTCCCAAAGTTATACATTCCTGTAACTCTCAGTACCTCTGCATTTTTAATGCTCCTTGCTGTTTATATATTTCAGTGGTTACCTGCCCATATTTCTCTAGTTTTCAGGTGAGGGATATGACAAGAGCACACAGATCTAATGGATTTTAAACAGTGTATTTGTCTCTGAACAGCATCCTCTTAGAAACACTCACCTCTATTACTCAGATTACACATTTGCCAGATAAGCGAAATGAATTCATCCTCTTCCTACTTCTCTTTTTCTCTTCTTCTCGTCTTCCTTCTCTGCTGCCTCTGTCTGTTTTCTTTTTCCCCAAAGTGTATTTATCCTCATGTTCTCATGCTTGTGGTTCTCATCCTAGGACATAAGAGCCAGTGGAGTATTGCTATAAAGATATCTGAAAATGCAGAAGCAACTTCAAAACTGGGTAATGGGCAAAGATTGGAAGAGTTTGGAGGGCTCAGAAGAAGACAGGAAGATGAAAGAAGTTTGGAATTTCTTAGAGACTGTTAAGTGGTTGTGACCAAAATGCTAATAGTAATATGGACAGTGACGTCCTGGCTGCTGAGGTGTCAGATGGAAATGAGGAACTTATTGGGAACTGGAACAAACGTGACATGTGTTATGCCTTAGGAAAGAACTTGGTTGAATTGTGTCCATCCTTTAGGACTCTGTGAACATTTGAACTTGAGAGTGATGATTTAGGTTATTTGGCAGAAGAAATTTCTAAGCAGCAAAGTGTTCAAGATGTGGCATGGCTGTGTCTAACAGCCTATGTTCAGATGTGTGAGCAAATAAATGACCTAAGGTTGGAAATTATATTCTATTTAAAGAGGAAGCAGACCATAGTAGTTTGGAAAATTTGCAACCTGGCCATGTGGTAGAAGAGAAAAGCCTATTTTCAAGAGAAGAATTCAAGTGAGCTGCTAAGCAACCACTTGATAGAGAAATTTGCATAAGTAAAATGCAAACAAGAGCTGATAGCAAAGACAATGGCAGAAAGGTCTCAAAGGCATTTCAGAGACCTCTGCAGCAACCCCTCCCATCACAGGCAATCCATCCATCCAGTAAAGCTAGAACATGGAGGAGGGGATGAACAGCTGGAGAGCTTCTGGGCAGGAAAAAAATCCTTAAGTCAGGCAAAGAATAGATTGAGGAGACAGAGAACCTGAAGGGTGACAGCACTTTTTAAAGCTCAGTGGTCCTCTGCAGGACTTTTTGAACCAAGCAATGTAGAGACAGCTTACCATATGAACTTATGTTGTTACTCAAGAAAGTTGAGAACTAAATAGGTTTTCAGCTATTGTAGGCCAATAATAAATCAGACTGTCTATTGATATTACTTTTGCTTCACTAAGAAAACAGGATACTACTACAGACACATCAGAATGACTACAATTGAAAGAACGACAATATAAAGTCTTGGAAAGGATGTGGAATGACTGGAATTATCATACATTGGTAGTGAACATGTTATATGGTACAACCACTTTGGAAAACTGACAGTTTTTTAAAAAATTAAACACACAACTATCCCATGACCCTACCTCTATTACAAGAGAAAGGAGTGCACATGGCCATAGAGAGATATGTTCATACAGCTTTATTCACAGCAGTTAAAAACTTAAAACAAGCTGGATGTCCATTAATGAGTGAATGCATAAACTAACTGGTACATTCATGCAATGGAATGCTACTAAGAACTGTTGACGTATACCCTACACATATGAATTGCTAACATTATGCTAAGAGAAGCCAGATGCAAAAGAATACATATTGTATACTATTCTAAGAAGGCCAAGAACTGGCAAAATGAATCTATGGGATAAACATCAGAATAGTGGTTCTTCTAAGGGGGTGATGAATGGGAAGGAGCTCAAGGGAAGTTTCCAGTGTGATGGAAATATTCTTTACCTTCTAGGTGATGGTTACATGGGCATACACATCATCGTGCTGTACACTTAAGATAGGTACATGATACTTCAATAAACCATTTTTAAAAGAAAACATCCATTCCTGGAAACAGAACAGACACATCACACATAAACAAGAACGCTTTGTTCTTATCAGAATGTATTACTTCATTTAAAGTCATGGTTTGGCCCTCTGGTTGGTAGTGGAGGCCCTCCAATTCCTATGACTTGACTAATTATTGTTGATCTTGAGAAATGTACATAATGGGTTGTATTTGTTTGGCTATAGAAAAAAGATGAGATTTCTGTCTTAGCAATCTCTTTAGCCGACTGCCTATGGTACATACTGGATTCTGGTGTAATGCTTATTCAATAATAAAACTGTTTTCTTTCCCTTCTACCTTTGTAGCGAGGTTTTCTGGGTTGGCAGGAAGTTTCTGTTTTTATTTCCTCAACAATAGACACGCAGTTTCCCTATACAACATGGTTAAAAGGCTTAAGCAGCTAAAATTCACTACCTGCTATTCAAAGATGAGTCTCATATGGATACAAAAGTGAACGTGTTTAAAGACATTACTGAGACTTCCAGTTTCTGGTCCAGCAAGGAGCTGGAAGTCCTCACTCCATCCTAACAACAAATAAAAAGCTGAACAAACTGAAAAATCAGCAATTCTTCTTAGATCTGTCAAATAAGTGAGGTCACAAGGCAAGCTACTGCCTCCAAAGTTGGAGACAGGCAGACACAGAGAATGATAACTTACCAGAGCAGAAACTCACAAGCAGTAATCTTTGTGCCTCTGCAGGAACCAGAACAAGGTTAGGAAAACCTGAACTCTAATTGATGAATTGCTGGAAGCTGAATGTGGTTAAGTCTGAGAATTAAAAACTCCAAGAAGACCTTGCCATAGAGCTATCTTTACACTTTCGTGAGTTTTATCTCCAAGGACTCTAGCAGGTTCTCACAGTGAAGATCTGAGAAAAGTCCCCAGCTGGTTCTGGCAGGGGAAGAGGAAGAGTAGCCATTTTGAAATATACCACGGCATTCTGTTCAATGCTCAGGAGAGAAACTATTTTATCAGAGCCTACCGTCTTGGGGTTTTATCAGTGTCCAAATGACCTGGAAGAAGGAAAATAAACAATTCTGGTCCCCTCTTGCCACCCTGTCCCACTTAAGGGGAAAGGGTTTTACTCGGAAGGACTTGTGAAATTCATAGTCCCTGGGCTCAGGATAAGAGACTGAAACCTTTGGGAGGCCGAGGCGGGCGGATCACGAGGTCAGAGATCGAGACCATCCTGGCTAACATGGTGAAACCCCGTCTCTACTAAAAATACAAAAAATTAGCTGGGTGTGGTGGCGGATGCCTGTAGTCCCAGCTACTCGGGAAGCTGAGGCAGGAGGCGGAGCTTGCAGTGAGCCGAGATTGTGCCATTGCACTCCAGCCTGGGTGACACAGCGAGACTCTGTCTCAAAAAAAAAAAAAAAAAAAAAGAAACCTTACCATTAAGACTTGTTGAAACCATTAATTGGGAGGCCATTAGGCCGAGGTGGCTCCAGTAGCCTGAATTCTTAACCTAAGCAAACCCAAACCCAACTCAGTGTAACTGGCCTTAACCAATCAGAAACCACCAATTAACCTCCTACTATTGACTTCCCACTGGAATGATCCAAATAAGGCTCTACTCTAACCAATCAAGTATTTTCTTTGCCTTGTTTCTGAGTTCAGCCTGTAAAAGCCCTTCCCTCATGCCTCTTCAGAGAGGCCCTAAGCTGCATGTGATCTGGCAATGCCCAATTCATGAACTGCTATCTGCTTAAACTCTTTAAAATTTTAATGTGCCTAAGTTTATATATTATTTTTGCAGACCATAGAACACTTCCCCTCTCACAACCAAATCTTATCACCATGTTACTAAAGACCTATCATGCGGCTCATTTTACCAAGTACATCATATTCAGCTATCAGGAAAAAATTACAAGGCACTCTAATAGGCAAAATACACAGATTGAAGATTTTACTTAACTCATTAATGAGAAAAACTGGTGACGTATTAAAACCAACTCATAAGAGAACCCTTCCCCGAGCCGAAAAAAAGTCACATTTATAGATCAAGAATATTAAAGTGGCTGGCTGCAGTGGCTCATGCCTGTAATCGCAGCACTTTGGGAGGTCAATGTGGGAGGATCGCTTGAGGCCACGAGTTTGAGACCAGCCTGGGTAACATAGTGAGATCTCACCTATACTTAAAAAATTAGCCGGGCATGGTGGTGCACACCTGTAGTCCCAGCTAATCAGGAGGCTGAGGCAGGAAGATAGATTCAATCCAGGATGTCAAGCGGTCGTGGCTGCAGTGAGCTATGATGGTGCCACTGCACTTCAGTGTTGGCAATAGAGTGAGATGCTGTTTCTTAACAAAACAAAAAAAATTAAAATTAAAATGATATGCAGCAGCAAAAGAGGCAAAAACTGGCCTCCTCACAAATGGAGATGGAGGAGGGAAGTAAGCTGAGCCTCCTCCAATTTACTTTTCTGTAAACAAGAAGTAATTTGAACTGCCATCAGTGATCCACAATGTGAGTTGGTAAATAGCTCAAAACAATGACAAAGTAGAATCAAATGACCTAAAAGCCCATGATCTAAATAATGCACTGAAGCACAGTTTCTCCATTCATTGCTTATTTTGTGCCAGGCACATTTATGAGCACTTAATCCTCGCAACACTATTAGCTAAGAAATATTGTTCCGTGCACACATGAGCAACTGAAGCTCATAAAGATTAAACAATTAAGAAAAAGTCACACAGCAGACACACTCTACAGCTCAAGTGTCAACCAAACACCCACAGAGATGCATATAGGGTCACATATCAAATCACATAACCTCACGGAGAATGGGCCTAACCTCACGGAGAATGGGGCCATCAGATACACCAAAGCAGACGCTCGGTGGTCCCAACCACCTCTCATAACACTTTCCCAAACTTAAGACGCACATGTCCACGCCAATGTATTATCATAGGCCCTTCCCCCCCTCTTAAAGCCTCCCACGAAGTCTGAACCTGGTACTGATATACGCTTCAGCCCTCAGAAGGCAACCGCTTGATTCTCTGCGCAGGCGCAGCGTTCTCAACACCGCCAACGGGCACAAAGCCACGCCCCCACGGCCGAACTCACGCCTACGTACTCAGTCACCAGCGGAACCCTCTCCACCAGGCTCCGCGTCGAGGCCCTACGGGGCGTCAATACGCACGCGTACTTTGTGTCCCAGGTAGCTCGTCTCTTAGCCATGTACGCCTCTGCATTCCGGTCACTGGGAGCGGGGCCGTGGGGGCTGCACATGCGCACTGCGAGTCCTCGCCTACTCCCAGAAACCACCCGGGCGCATACGCGGTGCGGCCGCTGCTTCAGGTCGGCGGGCTCCAGGGAGACCTGGGTGGGCAGCGTCGCCGTTTCTCCTTTCTTGGGCAGTATTTTTCCCAGCGCCACGCGGAGGCTGGGCCATTATGAGGTTTGTGTTGCGTCGGGGCGGTCCGTCTCAGAGGCGCTCCGGGGAGGAGTGGGCGGCTGAATGGCCAGAGGCCCAGGGATCCGTTCAGGTCAGCGCTGGCGTCCGGGCCTGAGTTTGGAGGTGGCGGGTGCCTTACAAGAATGCTCGCGTGATCAGTGTGTTGGCGTTTGTGTACACAGAGGACATTATTAAAATTACTCTTTGTGTGAATGGTTCTATCCCAGAGTAGGCCACTGGGGCATTGAAAAAAGCCCAGTTACATTTTTAGGAACCAGAGCTGCACGCTAAACTGTTTTCTTTTGACAGTGAAATCTGTCGTTTTTGGAGTTTGTTAGGAACATGGTTGAAAATGGGTGGCAGTGGGTTCGAGAATCTCGTCTTTGAAGTTTTCTTCCTTCTCCTTAGCTCTGCATTTCCAGGACCTGGTCACTATTCAGGACACGGTTCCAGCGCAGTGCGCGTTAGCCATGTCTCAGGTAAGTTTTTGTCCTGCAACATCATAGGTTTTAAGTCCTGGGCACATCTAATTTTGCTTACTTGGGTGGTAAAGACTGACACCGGTACAAGGCTCAGGTCTTTTCATTCAGCAACACGTGGGACTATAGCAACCTCTCTTCTCAGAGTCCATGTCCTGTACTTTAGTGTTCATTTATTCACTGAATGAATTAATCTGAGTCTCCACTGTCACCAGTCTTCTTTTAAGCACTGTGTGGTGGGTCAGAGATACATTCCCTGGAGAAGACAAGAGCCTTTATCCGGGGACTGTCGTCTTCCTGAAGTAGGGGTGAATACTCAGTCATCTTTGAATTCCTTTACAGCTCCAGACTGAGAGGACGCAGCATAGAAAATGCTTATGAGTGGTTCAGACTCAGTAATGGTAATCTGCCTTTGGAAATTTTGGGGAATGGGAATGTGATTGATATCTTAAGCATGAAAGTCCAGGTTAACAAAGTCAGGCCATTTACTAGGACATTAGTGAAAGAGAGTGTTGTGGATCACAGGTTCCAGTTTGACGTTGGGCAGCTTAAAGTCACAGGCTTCATCTGTGGAATTCCGGAAAATACCTATTGGCTTTCTGTAAATGAGGAACAAGAAGTATGCTGCAAGGGAGAAGATGGATGAGCTGGCTATATTTCCCAAAAAAGGGTTCTCTTCAGGGTGTTTGCATGGTCTCTGAAATTTTGTGCAAATACAACCAGATTTGATTCTTAGCCCGCTAAATGTAGTCACCAAGACATTTTGTTTGAAAAATAGATTTTCTTCTCAAAGGGGAAACTTACATTTTCTTTTAGGGAAACAGGCAGTATTTTCCCTACACATTCTGTTTGTTATGATGACTCAAGCTGTTCATGAAGTTGTTAAATTATATTTATGTATTTTAAAAGAAAAGTTGTTAAAAAAATTTCAACCGTCATATAACAACCATGCAGAAAAAAACATTTTTACCACTTTATTGTTTCTGTATTTTGATGTGAAGTATTTGAGCTTAAGGCTTTTTTTAACCACCAGTTCTTATCCCATTTCCTCCATACTTCCAATGCTTCCTTAACTCTGTTGATATTTTCACCATCAAGATAGATTTCCATCACTTCTGCAAGTATTTTTCATGTAGTTTTCCCTGCCCTGGCCCTCAGAGGAAACTAATTTCTTGTTTTGATGACAGTGGATTTGTTTTGCTTGGCTTCACGTAAATGGAGTCAAGTAGTCAGTAGGTGTGTGTCTGGCTTCATTAACTCAACATAATGATTTTAATGTTCATTAATGTCCATTATTTGTTGTTGTTTTGCTGAGTATTCCATTGTGTTAATATATTACAGTCTACTTACTCATTTTCCTGTTGATAGACATTTGGGATGTTTCTAGATTTTTGGCTATTATTAGTAAAACTGCTATGAATATTATTGTGTAGGCTGAGTATCCCTTATCCAAAATTCCTGGGACCAGAAGTATTTCAGATTTTGGATTTTTTTTGTTTTGTTTTGGAATATTTGCATTATACCTACTGGTTGCGCAACCCAAATCTGAAATCCAAAATGTTCCATGAGCATTTCTTTTGACTATTACATCAACACTTAAAAAGTTTTGGATTTTGAAGCATTTCAGATTAGGGATATTCAACCTGTATATGTCTTTTTGTGATCTTTTAGAAGATGTAGTGGTAGAAAAAATACTGGCATCTGGGCACAGTGGCGCACACCTGTAGTCCCAGCAACTTGGGAAGCTGAGGCAGGAGGATCACTTCAGCCCAGCATTTCAGCACCATAGTGCAGCACGATCACACCTGTGAATAGCCACTGCATTCCAGCCTGGGCAACATAACAAGACTGCTGTCTCTTAAAAGAAAGAAAATACTGGCATTTGAAGAATATCAAGAAAAAATATTCATTTAAAATATTGTAGTCTGCCTCATTTATGGTGACAGAATTCAGGATAGCAAGAGGTGTGTCTTGAAGCAATCTTGGGGAATCTTGGAGGTGTTGGTAATATTCAGTTTCTTGATCGGGGATCTGCTGATGGGTGTATTGCGTTGTGAAAATTGATCCTATTGGACATGAATTCATCATATTGATCATGGCTTACTGCAGCCTCAACCTCCTAGATTCAAGCAGTCCTCCTGTCTCAGACTCCTGAGTAGCTGGGACTATAGGCATGTGCCACCATGCCTGGCTAATTTTTTTATTTTTTTGTAGAGACTAAGTCTTGCTGTGTTGCCCAGGCTTGTCTTGAACTCCTGGCCTGAAGCAGTCCTCCTGCCTTGGCCTCCCAAAGTGCTGGTGTGGCAGGCCATGTCTCACCAAATGCAGGTGTCCATAACAGCTGTTTCAGTACTGACTGAGTGGTTAAATATTAAAAGCCACTACCCTTACAAAGAGGCTGGAATGTAACAAAAGCCCACCAACAGTTTTGCCTCGGCCTTTCCTGGGCCTTAAAGCATGACAAAATAATGAAGGAGTTCTTAACTGGACCCATTTAGGATGAAACAAGTTTTACTGGGGGTCTGAAGAAACCCCCCACGCCTCCACAAACAAATTTATTGGAGGTCTGAAGGAAATCCCCAAACCACCGTGGTTTAGCAGGAGACAAGATAAGGGTAATCACTCCAGCACCCTACACCCATTTAGATTAAGTAAATTTGCTGAGGCTCCTGAGGAAGGTCTTCAAGACTCAGACCTTGGTTATAGATTAAAAGAAGTTAATCACTTGTCTTTAGATGAATGCACACCTACACATAGACATATAGCTTAGAAGGTATATAAGCTCTGGAAAACTTTGTAATTGTGAGTTGGTCTGGCAGTAATTTCCAGGCCTTCTCCCTGTAACCGGCTACAGAAATAAAAACTCCCTTCCTCCCCAGTTAATCTGCATCTCGTTATTGGGCCTCAATAAATAGCAGCCTGACCCTCAGCTTGGTCCAGGAACACTGGGATTATAGGCATGAGCCACTGCACCCAGAGATCCTTAAGATTTCTTAAACCCCACATTCAAGTGAGAAAAGAGGAACCTTCTCTGCCCCATGTTTAATACAATTAAGTTTCAATAGCTTTTGACCTATGTACTGTTGTTACAGATGGTGCAAGGGTGTATTTGGAAAGGACAACACAGGGCAGCTGTATATGATTGGAGTGATTGGGAATCATAGTTGTATTATGAGTTGATGAAGTCCCAGGATATTGGAAAGGAAAACTAACCATAGGCTGGGCATCCTCAGTTCTTCCCACCTTCTTCCTAAGTAGCTGAGGATGAAACCTTATTCTTTGCTCCTGTTGCACAGCCTGATGGAGGCAAATAAGGTGAAATAATAACACATCTGCTGCAGTTTTCAGACCATTACATCTACTACCCTAAAATGTAGCTGCTAGAGCAAAGACTACTTTATTTCCTATGATTCTATGGGTGAGGAATTCACACTGAACTCAACAGGGTGGGAATGATTAATCTCTGATCCTATGATGCCTGCCAGGGCCTGAATCCCCAAGATGTCTTCTTCATTCATGTATTTTATATTTAGCTAGAATTGCTGGAGTCATGTATCTGGGCCACTGTTCTTTGCTGCTAGCTGAGTTACTCAGCTTTACTTGATGTAGTCTCAGAATGTCTCACTCTCCATTGGCAACGTCTCATTGTCTTTTCTTATGTGTCATGAGCCCCTATGAGGGCAAAACAGAAGATGCCAAGCCTTCCTGAAGCTTTCATCTGGAACTAGTTAGTGTTAGTTCTGTCATATTCTGTTGATTAAAGCAAATTGTAGGTCCGATCCAGATTTAAAGAAAGAGGACTACACTTTGTTTCAGCAAAAAAGTAATTTGTAAGTTATTCTGATACACTACAGATCCATGGTAGAATTGATCATGACTGGCTTTCAACAAAGTCAATGTGTGGTCATACTATGAATATGTAAGATTATAAAATCAACTATGCTAGTTCCTTTACAAATTGGTTTTGAATACGTGGATACACAATCTCTGAGCAATACATTTCTTAAATTATTCAGTGTTTTTTGAATCACCCTGTTCATCTTGAATGTTTCCCTTATTAAGTATTTTTCTATACCCAAATTTTAATAAACACTATTTCACAGTATTGCTCTTTAGTAACTTAAATAAGCTGCTTTTATAAGACAAAGAGTCCTTATCAGCTCCTCCCAACTTCCAGTTATTTCCTTGGGCTCTTCTAAGGAAGTGTTTATCATTTTCAGGGATGAGTGACATTCCAAGATGTGGCCATTGACTTCTCCAAGGAAGAGTGGGGATTCCTGAACCCTGCTCAGAGAGATTTGTACACAACTGTGATGCTGGAGAATTATCAGAACCTGGTCTGGCTGGGTAAGTGCTTAAAGCCCTTAATTCAGCAACTGGTCTTGAGTATTTCTTTTTTTGTTTTTATACTGGGAGTCTTTGGTGAGATTCAGAATTTACATGAGATGTGGAAATTGGAGTGAGCAGCTTTCTTTATCCTATCTGCCAGATGTTCTAATGTTTTTGTTTTTATAATGGCTTGTGTTTCGATTACAGTGTTGATCTGTCACAATACCTGAGTAACCAGAGCATAGCCAACTCTTTCTATTCACAGGACTTTCCATTTCTAAATCTGTGATTTCACTGTTGGAGAAAAGGAAACTGCCTTGGATAATGGCAAAAGAAGAGATAAGAGGCCCATTGCCAGGTGAGTATGAAGAACCAACTAGCGGGGGTAAGCCATGTATATGAAAGGCATACCAGGTCTAGAGGGCAAAGCACCTTTAAGATGTGAAAGATGCTCTCTTCCAATGTTCCATACGTATGTAGAAATTGAGGCTCCTTGAGTTTGAGTTCCTAAAAGGGTACTGATCACCCACCATTTATATCTGCTTTTATAAATGCCTGTGGGCTCAGAAATTACAGGTGTGTCTTTCCTCTTTGTCTATGGTAAGCTTCCTTTTAAATTCAGGATCCTGTTTCTCATGACTTTTTTTTTATTTGACTCTTTGATATTGTTTTCTTTACTGTAAGATGACTTATATAGTGGTCTGATTGTTTGAATGGGTGTATTCATTGGTCATTTATTCATTAACATTAATTCCATTTTTAAAACTAGTCAACTGTTGAGAGTCCCCAAGACCACCCCCAGGTTCAAGGACTTACTAGGAGTCGTCACAGGAGTCATCATATCATTGTATTCATGCCTGCAAAGTTAGTGAATAGTCCAGAAGAACACCATCATTCTGATGCCAGCTGCAAAGTATGGGGGTCCCCAAGACCACCCTGAATTCTGACACGAATTGCAAATCCAAAGGTCCCCAAGATGACCCTCAGGTTTGATAATTCACTAGAAGGATTCACAGAACTCACTGAAAGCTGTTACACTCATGGTTAGAGTTTATTGCCATGAAAGGATACACATTAAAAATCAGCCGAGGAAAAAGACATGGGGCAGAGTCTCGGAGGACTTCCATTTATGCCCCCACAGTGGAGTCATGGACAGTGTTAACTCCTCCCAACAATGATGTGTGGCAGTATGCACAGTGTGTGGCCAACCAAGGAAGCCTATCTGACCCTTGTTATCCAGACTCCTCATTAGGGCACCATCATGTAGACATGGCTGACTGCTAATGTCTCACCTCAATCTCTAGCTCCTCTGAAGGTCACCCTAATATCATGTGACCCAAAGCCCCACATAAATCACATAGTTTGATTATCTGGTGTGGTCCAACGCCCATAGGTAAATAGAGACACTTTTATCTTGCAGGATATTTCAAGGTGTCAGAGATGACCATCTCCCAGGAGCCAAAGGCAAAGACTAGAACTCTCTTTGGAAAAGGTTAAATTATTTACTACACAATGGCTAAGATTTATTTTAGCAAAAGATATAAAACAAAATCAGCAAAGGTAAGCTCATAAGGCAAAGTCTGGAGGAAATCAGGAATGTGCTTCCGAGATTCCTCTCCCAGGGGAGTCACACAGGAGGTACTTAATTCCTCTAGCAGCAACTTGTGTGGTATGTGTGAGATAATAGCAGCTAGACAACATTAGACTTAGTGCCAAGGAATTTACTTAGGGAAGCCATAAAGGTACCCTCTGCCGAGTATATGCTAAAAATCCAGAATCTCAGAAGGAAAGTAGGTGTTCCGCATAAACCACATCATCTGCACAAATAGCTTAGGCACAGTAAGCCACTTGTACCAGTTCCGGGAATGGTAGAAACCCTCATGAAATCCAAGTTCCTTAGAGGTCAGTCAGGGGCCAACGTTGTAAGCACACCTTTCTAAGGAGAACAGTCTCAAAGCCTGCTGTGTTCTTTTCTGAGTTTGTTTAAAAGTATAGAAACTTGCAGTGAGTTTACATTTGAGTGAGGGGATTAAGACTTGCTTCCACAAACCTTGTGCAAAGTAGAAACTAATTAACTAGTAGAAACTAATTAAAATGGTTTATTTTGATGTGTGGGAGTTAGTAAAGTTTTAGTTTCAAAACTGGGTGATATTTAAAGTTATAGAAAGTGAGGAAATGAAGTACATTTGTGATATATTTATTTAAGGAATTGTTGGAATTAAGGTATGTCTTGAACTGTGAGTTACAAATATGTAGCTGGATCTCAATAGTAATTCAGAATTGGAGATGAATGTGTTTTTTATATGTTTTGTGGTGATGGACCCTTAGGAATGGAAGAAATGAATTGCCTATAGATAGCAGAGAAGGACTGATTGATTGGTAGCAAGAGAAACAGGAAACATCCTGTGTTAGAATTCCAGGGCCTCACTATTCATGAAGAAAAGGTAACCAAAGTAAGACCAAGACGTTAGGATAAGACAACGTTGAAAGGTAGTTTATATCTGACTAATTTATGGTTCTTGCTAAAGTGGATATTTCTATGGTGAAAAGGATGTAGAATAATGAGCTTGAATCGTCACATTTGGTAATAATCTTTTATTTGAGTTCATTTTCAAAACCATTAGGCCTTCGTAGTAGAGGCCCCCTGTAAAACCAGCCCCTCTTGCACCCTTAATGAGGTTAGCCCTCTCCACTGTCTACATACACAGTATAATCTGGAAAAAACAGTGGGATTCCCACATGTTTAGTGCATGAAAAACAGGCCAGACTCAGTCATTTTCCATAATTGACCGGGGTTCTGTTCTGTTCTTTTACAGCAAGCACAGCCAGCATCTCTGCCCCTCTGCCCTTTAGCTCCTAAACAGTAAAAACAACTACAGGTTAGAAGGGTATTATGTTCGTCTTTGTAGCAAGTCCTATTGCCTTTCTTTAATTTTTGATCCTGTTGATCAGTCTTCCTGTAATGCCATTTTGGCCCCTGCAATTCCCCATAGTACATGTTTTCTTAAGCTCTAAATCTGTTTCCTTGCTGCCTTCACTTGACCCTCTTATTTTTCCTGTTTGCTTAGCGATCTCTTTAATCTCAAAATGTCTATATCAGTGAGAATTCATACCCTATCTGCCCCTGATTATATGATTGATTTTATTGTTTCTATATTATGTCAAATTGTTTCTGCAGTAAAATAATTGGAGATGCCTTCTGTCTGGACACATTAATTCCTCTGGTTAATGCATACATATACATACAGAAACTATCATTTACCTTTTTGTGTTTTGAAACTTGTGGTATAACTTAGCACACTGCATCTTGTCCTTTTCACTTAATACATTATCCTGCAGCTCAGAAAACAGCTGAAGTTCACTCTTTTTTTAGTAGCTAAGTAATACTACAGATAGAGATATACCATGGTTAATGATGAGGGACCCCTAGTTTGTTTCCAATATAAAGCCTATTTCAATAAGCATTCTTATCAATATAACCTTAAAAACTGGTATCTTAGTTTCTTGAGTAGGTGCCTAAAGTGGGATTGAAAAGATAAAAGATAGGTATATTACATTAGTTTAATTTGCTTCTGTTCATTGATTTTTTTTCCCCTTTCAGATGTGCCAGGTGCAGAGATTAAGGAGTTATCTGCAAAGAGGGCTATTAATGAAGTATTATCGCAGTTTGACACAGTGATAAAATGTACAAGAAACGTATGTAAGGAATGTGGAAATCTATACTGCCACAATATGCAGCTTACTCTCCATAAGAGAAATCATACACAAAAGAAATGCAATCAGTGTTTAGATTGTGGGAAATACTTCACTCGTCAATCAACTCTCATTCAGCATCAAAGAATCCACACGGGAGAGAGACCCTATAAATGTAACGAATGTATTAAAACCTTCAACCAGAGGGCACACCTTACCTAGCATGAGAGAATTCACACTGGTGAGAAACCTTACAAATGTAAGGAATGCAGGAAAACCTTCAGCCAGATGACTCATCTCACACAGCATCAGACTACACATACGAGAGAAAAGTTCCATGAATGCAGTGAATGTGGAAAGGCCTTCAGCCGTGTCTCAGCTCTTATAGATCACCAGCGAATTCATAGTGGAGAAAAGCCGTATGAATGTAAGGAGTGTGGAAGAGCCTTCACTCAAAGTGCCCAGCTCATTAGACATCAGAAAACTCATTCTGGAGAAAAACCCTATGAGTGTAGTAAGTGTAAGAAATCTTTTGTGCACCTGTCTTCCCTGATTGAACATTGGAGAATTCACACTGGAGAAAAACCATATCAATGTAAGGACTGCAAAAAGACCTTTTGTCGTGTGATGCAGTTCACTCTGCACAGGAGAATTCATACTGGTGAAAAACCCTATGAATGCAAGGAATGTGGAAAGTCCTTCAGCGCCCATTCTTCTCTTGTTACTCATAAGAGAACACACAGTGGAGAAAAACCGTATAAATGCAAGGAATGTGGAAAAGCCTTCAGTGCGCACTCTTCCCTTGTTACTCATAAGAGAACACACAGTGGAGAGAAACCCTATACATGCCATGCCTGTGGGAAGGCCTTTAATACTTCCTCCACACTTTGTCAACATAATAGAATTCATACTGGTGAAAAACCCTTTCAGTGCAGTCAATGCGGGAAGTCCTTTAGCTGCAGCTCTCACCTTACTCGACACTGTAGAATGTGTAATGGAAAATTTAGCAAATAACCAAAACTCAAAATGTTAATTCTGATTATTCTGTATCATCACCAGTACTTTGTACTTTGAGTCTTTTTAAATATGCTCTGTTAGTTTGTATGGAATGATATTTCATTGCACTTTTAATTTAACTTAAAAATGCCTTCCCTTGACTGTTGATATGTATTTTTTGTGAAGTGTGTGTTGAAGCCTTGCAGATTATTTTTTAAATTAGAGGTTTATCACTAGGTATATCTCCTAATGCTATCCCTCCCCCCTCCCCCTAATGTAAATGACGAGTTAATGGTGCAGCACACCAACATGGCACATGTATACATATGTAACAAACCTGCACGTTGTGCACATGGTACCCTAAAACTTAAAGTATAATTAAAAAAAAAAATTAGAGGTTTTTCTTCGGGTGCATTTATGAGAGTTCACCAGATTTTGGAAATATTTTCTATTCTGTAACCTACCTTTTCATTTACATAACAGTGATAAAAGCTTTAAGTTTGATCACATCCAATTAATCACATTTTTTAATAGTTATGCTTTTATTTGTTTTTCAGACAGGGTCTTACTCTGTCACCCAGGCTGGAGTGCAGTGGCACAATCATGGCTCACTGCAGTCTCTGCCTCCCAGGCTCAAGTGATCCTCCCACCTCAGCCTCTCAAGTAGCTGGGACTACAGGCATGTGCCACCACACCTAATTTCTATATTTTTTGTAGAGACTAGGTTTCACCATGTTGTCCAGGCTTGTCTTGACCTCCTGAGCTCAAGCAGTCCATCTGCCTCAGCCTCCCAAAGTGCTGGGACTACAGACATGAGCCATTGTGCCTGACCTAGTTCTGCTTTTTATGTTCTAAGAAGTATTATTTATTCTATGCTGAGCTTACATAGAATTTCTTCCATGTTTTCTATAGCTATAGTGTATTTTTACCTTTTACTGTTAGATCTATTTCATGTTTTTATTATGGATAATGGAGGAGGTAAAGGTTGAATTATATTTTCCCCCATATTATTGACCCATAGTGACACCAGTTTTGGGAGATGTCTTTCATTTTCGCCCTTACGTTGTTATTGGCACCTTTTGCAAAAATCAATTATTTATCATGAGTATACTTCTGAAATGATCTGTTTCATCAATCTATTTGTCTTCTCAGTAGTTCCACATTGTCTTAATTATAGCTTTAGAGGAAGTCTTGAAATTTGGTAGTAAGTCTTCCAGTTTTGTTATTTTAACAAATTTCTCTAGGCTGGGCATGGTGGCTCATGCCTATAATCCCAGCACTTTAGGAGCCCCAGACAGGAGGATCACTTAAGCGCAGAAGATCAAGACCAGCCTGGGAAATATAGCAAGACCTTATCTCTACAAAAAAATTTAGAAATTAGCTGGGCATGGTGGCACCCATCTGTAGTCCTAACTGCTCAGGAGGCTGAGGTGGGAGGATTGCTTGAGTCCAGGAGTTCAAGGCTGCAGTGAGTTGTGATCACACCATTGCAGTCCAGCCAGGTTGACAGAATGAGACCCTGTCTCTTAAAAAAAAAAAAAAAAATCCTGGTGATGCTTTTCTGGATTAAAAAATAAAATAAAATAAAAATTGGCCTCACTACTCTAGCTTATTTGCATTTTCTAATAAATGTTCAGAGTCACCTTGTCAGTTCCTACCAAAAAGCCTGTCGGTATTATAATTGAGATTGCATGAAGTCTGTAGACAAACTTGAAGAGAATTGACACTTAACAGCAGTGACTTCCAGTCTGTAACCTTAGCATAAGTTCTATTTGTCTCCTTTAATTTTTCTCAGAAATACCTGTAGTTTTCTGTATAGAGATCTTGAATGTATTTTCTTAAGTTTATTAATAGACATTTTCACAATATGTAAATTCGTTTGTCTTTTACTTTTCCAGTTGTTTGCTACTTGTACATCAAAATAGCATTTTGTACATTTATCTTGCATCTTGTCTTGAACATTTCACTTATTCTTGGAGTTGTCATACAGATTTCTTAAATTTTTTTTTTTTCTTTTTTTTTTTTTTGAGACGGAGTCTTGCTCTGTCACCCAGGATGGAGTGCAGTGGCGCGATCTCGGCTCACTGCAAGCTCCGCCTCCCGGGTTCACACCATTCTCCTGCCTCAGCCTCCCGAGTAGCTGGGACTACAGGTGCCTGCCACCACGCCCAGCTAATTTTTTGTATTTTTAGTAGAGACGGGGTTTCACTATGTTAGCCAGGATGGTCTCTATGTCCTGACCTCGTGATCTGCCCACCTCGGCCTCCCAAAGTGCTGGGATTACAGGCATGAGCCACCGCGCCTGGCCTTAAGATTTTTTTCATAAGCAATCATGTCACGTGCAAATAGACAGTGTATTCATTTCTGGTCTGTGCTGTTCTTTTTTTTCTCATCTTATTGCAATTGCTGTGTGACCTCCAGGACAGTGTTGAATGAAAGTGATAAATGTAGGCACCCTTGTTTTGCTTTCAGTCTTAGGAGGAAAGACTTAGTGGGGAGGAAGTGGCAACTCTGAGTCAGGATGTAGACTTCTTAGCATATGCATTTGCACATCTTGCTCAAATCCCAGATTTCCCTATACCCTCTATGCTCCCTTTAAAACAATGCTTTCTTTCCACAGTATCTTTCCCCCAAGTCAATAATGGGTCAAATTTCAGCAGTCCCAAACTGGGGAAGTTCTGGGACTGCTGTGGTAAGAAATGGATTCAGACACCAAAGGAGCTGTAGGACCTGGCTAACATGTACAAGCAAGAACCAGAAGAGTATACCTGGGAGGAGATCCTGAGATTACTGCATCATTAGGTAGAATACAAAGTTGAATAGGGGAGAGTTTTTTGCTATGGGGTCACTGTATGACAGGATTAACACACTGGCAAGGGAAAAAGATGCTTCTAATGGATGCTGGGACAGTTTTTGAAGCTTGGAAAAAGCATTGGTTCTCATTAAATAAAATGAAGATAGCAGAATTGCCATGACAAATGAGGATGGGATCAAAAGAAGTGGATATACAAGGGAGAACAAGCGTCATGGAGATGGCCAATAGTAGCTGTCCCCTAGGCGAGGGCTGGCTGCAAGAGGTGCTGTTAAGGAACTGGGCTCTCTAGTTGCAATGGGAATGATAGGATCTCAGAATAATGGCAGCCAGGTGATAGCTCTTAGCATCAAACGCAAGGAGGGCCATAATTACCATATGGGTAGAAGGCTTAGAATAGAATCTGGGGAGATTGATCTTCAGAAATCTATGGTTCTGGCTCATAGCACATGAGTTTGCCAATGGCAAGTCATCTGCTTCCAATAAGAGTAAACTTATTGAGACAAGGGGTTGCTCCGTTGCCCAGGCTGGAGTACATGGCATGATCACAGCTCAACTGCAACCTTGAACTCCTGGGCTCAAATAATCCTCTCACCTCAGCCTCCCAAGTAGTTGGGACTACAGGCACATGCCACCACACCTGGCTAACTTTTTTGTTTCTTTGTAGAGATAGGGTCTCCCTTTGTTGCCCAGGCTGGTCTAGAATTCATGATATCAAGTGATCCTCCTGCCTCAGCCTCTGAGTGTTGGAATTACAGGCAGGAGTCATAGTGCCTGGCCCAAACTTAACTAAAAAACAGAGAAGGCAAGGTGCATTGGCTCACACCTGTAATCCCAGGACTTTGTGAGGCCAAAGTGGGAGAATTGCTTGAGTCCAGGAGTTTGAGACCATCCTGGGCAACATAAGAAAACCCTGTATCTACAAAATAATTTTTTAAAAATTAGCCTAGCGTGGTGGCACATGCCTGTGGTCCCAGCTGTTCAGGAAGCTGAGGTAGGAGGACTGCTTGAATGGGAGGTTGAGGCTTCAGTGAGCCATGGCTGTGCCACTGCACTCCAGTTTGAGATGCCATCTCAAAAAACAAAACAAAAAAACCAGACAGTAAATATAGGTGTTGTGGCCATATAGTCTCTGTGGCAACTACTCAGCTCTGCTGTAGTGAAACCAAAGCAGTCGTAGACCATAAATGCAATGTGTCACTCAGACTTTATAAAGCAGGTAGCGGGCTGGATTTGGTTTTTATACCCTGCACTAGGCAAAATGGGATATTATGTAAAGATAAAGGTATAATTCATAAATAGAGGGTTAGTAGTATGTCCCTGTAAGTCAAACAATATAAATTAAAAAGCGTAAATGTCTGGAAACTCAAGGTGTTGGCAACATTTTTTTAGGAAATTCTGATCCAGCATACCAAATTATATGAAAACATGGAGATTTTTACTATTGCAATCTAGTGGCTTAATGGACTTATTTAGAAACTTGTATCCAAAAATGCAGAATACATATTTTTTCAATGTTCATGGTATACAGAAATCAATCTTGTATTTAACCACACACACACACACACACACAGTCAAACTGGGTGGCACAGCGGCTCATGCCTGTAATCCCAGCACTTATAGGAAGTGCTGGGAGGCCGAGGCGGGTGGATCACAAAGGTCAGGAAATCCAGACCATCCTGGCCAACATGGTGAAACCTCATCTCTACTAAAAACACAAAAATTAGCTGGGCATGGTAGCGTGCACCTGTAGTCCCAGCTACTGGGGAGACTGGGGCAGGAGAATCGCTTGAACCCGGGAGGCAGAGGTTGTGCCACTGCACTGCAGCCTGGTGACAGAGCGAGACTCCATCTCCAAAAAAAGAGTAAAATTCAAAAAGTAGATAACTTCAGGCCACATTTACCAACCATAATAAAATTAAATTAGATATTATATCACTTAGGATGCTTTTGGCTGCGAATTTACAAAATATCCAACTAAAACTAACTGAGCAATCAAGTTTTATTTTTCTCAGATAACAAGGCATCAAAAAGGCAGTTCCAGAATTGGCCTAGTAGCTGAGTCTTCTCAGGCTCTGGGTCAGCTTCTCTGAGGTCCACTTTTTTCTCTTCTTGGTTCCAAGACAGCTGCAGCAGCTTCAGGCATCATGTTCTTATATAAAAATGTTTAAAAGCAGGAAGTGAGAGAGGAGGAAGTCTTCATGATAAACCTGTCTCTTCTGAATGAGGAAAATCTTTCCCAGAAGCCCCGGCAGATTCCACTGAGCAACACTGGGAGATACTGGCCATACTGTGCTGCACAGGAGACTGGAAAATTAGCATCTGATATTCTCAGAGTCCAAGGCAAGACACAGATGCTGCCAATAACAAGGGGAATTGGGTATGGCTGCTGGGATGACAACCAATGGTTGTCTGTGCCAGTCACATAAAACAATGTAACAATGTGGAAATTAAGAAATATTCTCCTAAATTTAGATTATTTCTGGATCAGAAAGAAACAAAAACTGAGATTATTGTAAGATGGTCTCTTTATTTCATCATTTTCTGTTACTTTCTTCTTTCACTGCCTGGATGTTTGGTAGACTTGAATAGCATGTTTAGTGCATATGAGTTTATCTTTCAGATTTTCATGTATATGCATGCATTCAAAGGCTATAAAAATTCCTCCAGTGTAGCTTTGGCTTTCCCCTTACCCTCACATCTCTTTGGCCACATTTCACATCTCTTGGCATGTTAAACTCTCAATTCATTCTTTTCATTACCATTTATGGTAATTGCATGATTTCTTTGTTAAGCAAATGATAATCTGGCTGTTTTTTTAACTTGTAAGAAAACTATAACTTTTGCTCTTGATAAAATTACTACACTGTGGTTAGAAAATGTGGTTCTGGAATGTGTTAGAAATAAAATTTCTCCCAACCTTTCCCAGCATTTTTGACAATTATGATCTGAACAATTTACATCCATAAAATTTTCTTTGATATGAATTTTCAGACTTAGGATAAAGGCTTACCTCTGAATGAAGGCATTGTCACTGGCATTACATTCTTCAAGTCTTTCTCCAAGAGGGAGAAGTAAGTCACAGTCACAATTAGCCTAGGCTAATGGGCTTTCCCCATTACTTCCATTCATATGGTTGCTTGCCAACATAAATTCTCTGATGATTAGTAAGGGGTAACTGCTGATGGAAGGCTTTTCTACATTTATTATATTCACATGTGTTTCTCTATTATGCATTCTCTGAGGTTGAACGGTAGTTGAATCATGACTCAAGGTCTTCTCACATTCCTTATATTCATAGGGCTTTTTCTCAGTGTGAATAACCTGATGATGAATCAATTGTGAGCAATGACTAAAAGCCTTCCCACATTCCTTACATTCATATGGCTTTTCACCTGTATGAATTCTGTAATGTACAGTAAGATGTGAGACCCGTTTGAAGGCCCTACCACATACCTTACATTGGTAGGGTTTCTCTCCAGTGTGAATTCTCTGATGTTGCTTGAGTTGTGAGCTCACTCTAAAGGCCTTTCCACATACTTTGCACTCATAGGGTTTCTCACCGGTATGAATTCTCTGATGTCGTATAAGAGTTGAGCCTTGATTAAAAGCCTTCCCACATTCCTTACATTCATAGAGTTTCCTGCCAGTATGAACAGTCTGATGTTGAATCAACTGAGAACGATGACTAAAGGTTTTCCCACATTCCTTGCATGCATAGGGTTTTTCACCAGTATGAATTCTATAATGTACTTTAAGATGTGAGATCCGATTGAAGGCCTTGCCACATTCCTTACACTGATAGGGTTTCTCGCCTGTGTGAGTTCGCTGATGTTCAATCAACTGTGAGCTTCGACTAAAGGCCTTCTCACAATCTTTACATTCATACGGTTTCTCACCAGTATGAACTCTCTGATGTTGTATAAAATTTGAACCAGAATTGAAGGCCTTTCCACATTCCTTACATTCATATGGTTTCTTACCAGAATGAATATTCTCATGTTGAATTAGTCGTGAGCCATATTTAAAGGCCTTCCCACATTCCTTACATTTATAGGGTTTCTCATTAGTATAAATTCCTTGATGATTAATAAGGAGTTCCTTTTGCCAGAAGTCTTTTCTACATTTATTATACCCAAAAGGTTTTTCTCTAGTATGAATTTTCTGATAAAAAGTAAGGGATGCATGCTGGTCAAAAGTGGGCATTTCTTCATGTCTGATGATCATCTGATGGAAATGTCTGTCTGGATTTCCCTGTTGTCTGTCAAACTGGTTTCTGCATTCCCAATCATCTTGGAAACTTGAACACTCAAGACCATAACTTGTAAGGCTTTCCATTATCTCCCATTGGGGTGATTCGACTTCATAAACATGCTGCTTTGGAAATAATTCCTTGGTATCATATCTGGACTCCAATACTAAGAATGAAAAAAAGCGAATATGTTTGGCTTCTTTTTTTTTCCAGATAAAGGAACTAAAATAAGAACTGGAGGGTTTAGACTCAATGCCTATTAACTCTTGAATGTAGCTAAGCAATTATAAAATGGACAAGTAGAACAGTGAAAGGAAAATAACATACATGAGATGAGGGAGGCAATAAGAGAGGTTATAAAAGTGATTCTAAAATGTTAGTGTGGGGCTGGGCATGGTGGCTCATGCCTGTAATCCCAGTGCTTTGGGAAGCCAAGAAGGGAGAATCACTTGAGGCCAGGAGTTTGAGACCAGCTTCAGCAACACAGCAAGACCCCATGTCTACAAAATAATTTTTAAAAATTAGCCAGCTGCAGTGGCACATGCCTGTAGTCCCAGCTGAGAAAAGAAGACTGCTTAAGCCCAGGAGTTAGAGGCTGTAGAGAGCTATGATCACGCCAATGCACTCCAACTTGGGTGACAGAGGGAGACTTTAAAAAAAAAAAAAAAAGAGTTGGTGTGGGTCAGAATCACTATTGAACAATATTTTTTAAGACAGTAAATGTTTCTGTGAGACTCTAGAAAAGACAAATATAGAGTGACAGAAACCAAAGCAAATCATTGGTTTGACGGACTGTGCAGGAGGGAGCACAAGGGAACTTTTTGGGTTGATGGAAATGTTCGCTATCTTGATTGAGGTGATGGTTATGTGGGTGTATAAATTTGTCAACACTCATTAATAGCACATTTTAAAAATGCATTTTATTGACCATAAATTATGCCCCCAAAAGAGTGAATTTTAAAAAGATGATGGGGATTTCAAGATGAAAAGAGTTCCGGAGATGGACGGTGATGATGGTTGTACAACAGTGTGAATGTACTTAACACTACTGAACTGTACACTTGAAAATGGTGAGCACGGTAAATCTTGTATTTTACCACAGTTTTAAAAAATAAAAATAAAAGTGGTGTTGGAAGTGTGTGGTTGGATCTGCAACCTGCCTCAGTGCCTGGAGGACATGCAGGAGAATGAACCAGAGGAATATGCTGGTACAGTGGCAGCTATTCTCATGTGTCCGCTAGAAGTTAGAATGACATGGCTGCTGTCTTCCTCTGTGAAGCTTTTTATATCTGAAGTTTAGCTGAACACCATGGTGTTTTTTATATCTGAAGTTTAGTTGAACGCCATGGCTGAAGCCCATTATCAACTGAATGACATTTCTTAAATTTCTTAAATGTCATGCATTTACCTGAACCTTTTCATTTCTTAAAGGTGACCTTGGAAAAAGAAGGGCTTTTTTCCTTGTTTAGAGGATTAGGCCAGTTGATTGAGGGTGGGTCCTTCTAGAGCAACATACTTTGCTGATTATTCAAACTGCATGAAAAAGCTGAATGCTATAATGGACTGTGATTCTACCTGGTACATTATTTCAGCTACAGTGGCAGGTTTTACTGTACTTATAGCAACCAACCCCAGTTGACTTAAAGAGACTCAGATATAGCTTGACTACAGGTGGGCACCACCATGCTCAGCTAATTTTTGTGCTTTTTTGTAAAGATGGGGTTTCGCCATATTGCCCAGGCTGGTCTCAAACTCCTGGGCTCAAGCAATCCGCCTGCCTTGGCCTCCCAAAGTGCTGGGATTACAGGCGTGAGCCACCATCCCCAGCCTCAAAGTACTTTTTGCTGAGAATTTGATTCTGTCCTAATTTGCTGAATCATACATCATAGATTCAAGGTGATGTGCTAACAAGGATATCATTTTTAAATGTTGCCATGAAGTTCAAATGCACCTTTTCATACTTTAAATTGATATATGTATATAACCCTTAAACGTTTATGTTCATGATAATTCTGTTGAGACTTCTGGCTAAGGATGTTGCTATACTGGTATATAAAATGTGCACAATTAAACTCCAGTGTGATACTACTCATTTCAGTATATATGAGTGCTGTATTTTGTGCAGTAGCTTTATCTTAATATGGCTCTTTGTGAATGCACTTTATAGCATTTATTGAGGGTGAAAGAGCAGGAGGGAATTCTATGTTACGTATTTCTATAAAAACATTGGTCATTTATTCAACAGAACCAGTATTCCTAACATTTGTCTGGGTTTTAGATATGTTGTTCTGCAGATCTATTCACTGTAGTGATCCCAACATTATTGAAAATTACCAAGCTTTTACTGCTCTCACCAGTGAAAAACTGTACCTTCTTAAATTCTGTCAGCATGTCACATTTATTGTAATCAACAGTAACTGGATGTTTCTGAGGTGTTTTGATTGGACTCAAAAGTATTACAATCAGTTTGGAGACAAAAACACAATCTGCATTTTAGTTTAAGTATGACACTGATGACTTAAAAAAAAACTATATACAAACGTTCTATATAAAGTTTGCCTCCAAAGTATTTCTCTTTCTCTTTCTTTTTTGCAGGGGAGATGGGGTCTCATTCTGTTGCCCAGGCTGGAGTGCAGAGGCACAATCATATTATACTACAACCTCAAACTCCTAGGCTCAGGTGATTCTCCTCTGTCAGCCTTCTGAGTAGCTGGGACTACAGGCATGAGTTATTACGCCTGGCTGCAGAGGGATTTTAATATGTAAAAGTATTAACACAGTGTATTAACTTTGTGCCCACGCAAATCTCTTTTCTATCACATCCTTATGTTCTTCGACAGATTGACTTTTATGCTTCTCCTTTTAGAAACATAAAATTGTTTTATTCTTAGTTTTAAAAAACATTTGAATGTGTACCCTTGCTTATGCGAAGATTTATGACCTACTAGTCATAGCTAAATAGTCAACATTGTAAGAGCTGATACTTTTTGGTTCATGTGAGGTTTGGCATTCTTGCATTTATGTACACGGATGTCAATTGTGTGGACTTCTTCTGTATTTATGTTAACTAGCTTTTACTGAATTGTTGAAACTAAAAAAGTTAAAAACGTGCTTATAAAAAAAGGGGGGGGGGATTATGTCCAAAGAACCCAGGAGCCAGTTTGAAAGGGTGTCACTGGGCAAGTCTGGAAAACTATGAACGTTGTGATAAATAATGATAATGGGTAATAATCTGTTACAGGATAAAACAAGATTTATTTTATTCTGACCTGGAAATGAGAAAAAATATGCCACCTACTATTAATCCATATGATATAAATGAAGAAACAAATGGTGAAAGGGAGAAAGCTCTTCTTTACAGGAGTATGTGATCTAATAAATAAGAATAAAGTTTTTTTAAAAATCACTATTTTGTAACTATTAATCATATCTGATCCAAGAGAAAACTATCAATGACTTCTGAAACTAGCAGGTGAATAATTTGTGAGAAGCACAATATTTATATCCTCTCCAGGTGGACCATAAAATCATGGCTTGCCTCTATTTCTACAGTGCTTTCCCTCTGCCCACAGTGCAGAACCCAAACTTCATAACGTGGTTGCCTTTCCTAGCGTATCTTTTTTTTTCTTTTTGAGACAGAGTCTCTCTCTGTTGCCCCAGCTGGAGCGCAGTGGTTCGATCTCGGATCACTGCAATCTCCGCCTCCCGTGTTCAAGCGATTCTCCTGCTTCAGCCTCCCAAGTAGCTGGGATTATAGGCACGTGCCACCACACCCGGCTAATTTTTGTGATTTTAGTCGGGACGAGGTTTCACCATGTTGGCCAGACTGGTCAAGTGATTTGGCCGCCTCAGCCTCCCAAAGTGCTGGGATTATAAGCATGAGCCACCATGCCCGGCCCCTAGTGTATCTCTGTGTTCCTCCCTTTGCTCACTGACCTCAGCCACAAGGGCCATCCATTATCTCAGAGGTACCAAGGGCTCCCTGCTCAGGTCCTTCACACTCATTGGCTACAACTGGTATTCCCCAGCTACATCACACCTTCCATGTCTCAGCTGAAATGCCTTATCCTTGAAGAGGCCATTGGCCCTACCATGCACCCTGACTGAACCTGTTCTTTTTCTTTCACATATTAGCTCATGTCCAGTGTGTATGATTTCATGTCTATTTTCCCACTGCAGTGTAAGTTCCATGAAAGCAAGGATAATGTCCACCTGCCTCATCAATGTATACTGTGGCATATTCCATGGTGCATAATAAAAGCTTAATAAGTACTTGTTAACTGACTCCAGAATTCAAACAAACCGATACAAATTCCTTTAGAAAAATGGTCAAAGGACAAGATCATGTCCTTTGCAGGGACATGGATGGAGCTGGAAGCCATTATCCTAAGCAAACTAACACAGGAACGGAAAACCAAATACTGCATGTTCTCACTTATAAGTGGGAGCTAAATGAGGACACATGGACACACAGAGCGGGACAACACACATGGGCCTTTCAGAGAATGGAAGGTTGGGCGGAGGGAGAGAATCAGGAACAGTAACTAATGAGTACTAGGCTTAATACCTGGGTGATGAAATAATCTGTAAACAAACCCCCATGACACAAGTTTACCTATTTAACAAACCTGCACTTATACTCCTGAAGTTAAAAAAAATTTTAAATATTAAAATTAAAATTAATAAAAAAAGAAAAATGGTCAAAAGATACAGACATCTTTCCAAAGACAAAATACTTTCCTTAGGAACCACCATATTTGTACTCAGTCTAGCCCTATAATCCAGGTTGAATTTTTAAAGTGTTTCAGGAGGAAGGAGCAGCCACCTTTGTCAAATGCTGCTGACGAGCTGAGGAAAACAACACGTAAGACATAAGCTTTGAAGGTAGCAACCTGCAGGGAAGATCTTCTAAGACAAAGGGCCACTTCCAGCGGACCTGATACCTGCAGTGGCTGCTCCCTTCCCAATGATACCTCACTCACCTGGACACAGGCCTCCAGACACCACTCTCTCCACCATCCAGGGCTCTTTGCCTTGCTCTAGGAAGGAGATCACATCAGGTTTGGAAACGGCAAGACCTGGAGATGAGAAGAAACATGCCACCTGGTTATGGTGTGGGGGCCCCAGAATTCAGATCCAGGACCTGGTCATCAAGCAGGAGAGGCAGTTGCAGGAAGTGCCAGAGGAAGATGGGACAGTTGCCTGGGGGTAGGGGGATGCAGCTTCAGCCGACAGCGCCGCCCTTTAACCCCTCAAAAATGACCAACCAATCATAAGACTGAAAAGCACCCAAAAACTGACCAGGAAGGAACATGCCCAAGGATAACCTCCAAACTAACAGACGAGATCACCTTACCCAGTGAGACCAGGTTGCTGTAGGTCTCCAACATCACGTCTCTGTACAAATCCCTCTGAGCAGGTGCCAACCACTGCCATTCTTCTTGGGAGAAGACTATGGCCACATCCCTGAACAATTCTGACCCCTGGAATGACAGGCATGTATGATATATATGTATTTCAATGGTTCACAGTGGGATGAAAGGAGATGGGGCAGGTCTTTGCGGGAGGGGGGGTTGTTTTGTTGAACAAGAAGGGTGGGACTGAATGTGAAAGGTGACAGAAGAAATGGGGATGAGTAAAACAGAATGATCAAATTGTTCTCAAACATTCCTTTTAACTGCAAATCAATGCTCTGTGTACAGGTCTGGGATGAAAATTAAAATCAAGCTAAATGGAGTTTTCCTTATTGTTAAGAAACAGTGTAATAAAGCACACTGCCCACTCTATACTTGGCATACAATAAATTCTCAAGGTGAGACCTATCACTTCTATCTTTTGGAATAACAATAACAACAAAAAATATTTCTGATGGATTTTCCCCAAATATTTTATTTTTTAAAATTATGGAAACATGTTTTCTATCTTAGATACAGGATTTTCATGTAAGTCAAGAATTTCTTGGAGATGAAAGTTCATCATTATGTTGGAACATAACACAAGCATTTTTCTTCATGGGAAAAACCATGGAGATAACTTTTATTGAGTGCACAATTTTCTATCAAGTGAAACAACTGACTCAAACATCCTCTTATTTTGGATCCCGAGGTTGGATCAGATCTCTAAGGCTTTTCCAAGCCCTGACCACTCACCCACCTAGATGATCATCTCACTTGCTACATCGCTCACCATCCTCAGCTCTGTACTTTTCTTCCTCTTAAGCTAAAGAAACTAATGGAGGATGTCCCAGATTCAAATGCTCTGTCCAACGTCAAACTAGACTTTAATTCTGGCATCAAATTTTTGATGGATTCCCAGCCAAACCTCAATTACATATCCAATCATTAATCATTCCCAAAGCAGGACACTGTACCATGCGCTGAAACTGAAACCAACCAACACCACCTCCCCTGCTTTTCTATATGTGATTGCTCCTAAGCATTCATTCCATCTCTTCAAACTTCAGTTCTTACAAAGGATGCTCTCATTTCATACAGGGAAATGAGTTTCTCCTCCTAGCAGACGAAAACCATCAGGAGATGCAGAATGCTATAGAGAATAAATCTGTGGGCATTTGTCAGAGGGGAGAGGACAATGGGAGAGGAGACTCCTGCCTGGTCCTTTTATTCCCTAAAATGGGAAAGTCTGAGAACCAAATTTCTGGATGGAACCCAGGTGGAAAGTTTCAAGATAAGGAAAGCAAATATTTATGGGATTTAAAAACTCACAAGGGACATGACTTTTAGAATTTCAAGGGCTGATAGGTCCTCCTTCTGGTTCCTCTCTTGGGGAAGGGCAGAGTCCTGCGACGGTAGAGCTGGGGGAGGAAAGAGCAAACATGAGAGGCTAGGCTTGCCTCACAGTTCCTAGAATGCCAAGTTACAAGTCCCCACCTGCTTGCCCTCTGCCCACCAAGAAAATGAGAAGGAGGGGGAGGCAAAGGGATCCTCACCCAACCCCAGGAAACCAGCTTTAGCTGCTGCAAGGCAAAGGGGAACCAGTGGTCCTTTCCCTCCCATTTCCCCTAAACATCCAGTGGTTCTGTTTTGCTGCAAATGCAAGTCTAAGACAGGGATGCTGAGGGCTGTTCTAGTGACTGAGACCCACATGTTACCTCAAGGACAAGGAGGGCTTCCCTCAAGCCAGGGAGCATAGAAGGCCTGCATCATTTGCATAGCCCCAGCCTAGAATAAAGCCTTTCCAGGACTAGGCCATTTAACTCTCTCCTGCAGCAAATATAACACCTTTGAAAGTCTACCTGGCTCTTTTCCCAACCGCCAAATATACAAAAAGCTCTACAGCCCAAACTGAGGCTTTGTGCATGCCACTTCATGGAGCATGCCTTGCATCAACAAATGGGATAGAGTTGGAAGGAACAGTAAGAGACAAATTACACACAGCACGCCCAGTGCTCCATTATCAGCACATAAATGTGTCCTTCCATAGAGACACAGCAGTGCACAAAGCTGCATGTCCAATAATATTTGCTAAATAGGAGAACTGAAAATTAGTACGTAAGTAGGCAAGTCCACAAGTAGCCAAGAGGTTGAATCATTTTTGGCACAGCCATATAATGGGATGCCAAGTGACTATCAAAAATGACTATCAAAAACTGACAAGCAAAGATATTAACTACTGAATCCTTTGAGAACATTCAGCAAAAAGAAGTCAAACTCACTAACACACAGGCTAAAAACAAAACAAAACAAAAAAATTGGAAGAAAAAACACCCAAGTATTCGCAGTGTTGTCATTTAACCAGTTCTTGAGCTCACTGTTAAACAAGAAGTACTCTGTAAAGGAGTATATAAGGTGCCTACTGCATTACAAACATTTGGTTCTAAGTAACGTGTAAGTGAAATAATTATGAATGTTGCTTAATATGATGTAATAGGCAGCTTTTCCTTATTATGACCACTTTTATAAGCATTATTTGTATTAACTGCACGATATCCTATTTACAAAGGATGGCCTGTGATCCACTCAAGTGTTTCCCCATTGCTGGACATAGAATTTGAACATATAAAATGTTCCCAAGTATAAGTTTTTCTAAACTAGCGGTTCTAAGTCTTCTGGGGTCTTGTAACTCTCTGAGAACCTCATGAAACAAGATTTCCTCTCAGATTAAAAAAAAAAAAAGGCACGCATAACAGTGAATGCAAAACATCCGCAATTTCAGGGGGTCGGAGACCCCTGCGCACCCACCTAAGGGGTCCATGCACCTGGGCTATGAGGCTGGAAGCAGAAAGGGGGCGCCAGAAAGCGCACGCCGCGAGGGCCGGCGGGAAATGTAGTCTCACGCCGGTAAAGCCACAGAGCGACGATGAGGCGAGACGTCTGCGTTCTTCTCAGGCCTGAGACCCAACCGGCCCGGGCACCAGCTCCTGCTGGACCCCAGAGCGCCTGGAAAGCTCCGGAACCTCTCACCTGCCGCCTCCTCGGGTCCAAGTGCCACCGCGGCCGCGCCCCCGGCAGCCCAGGGCGCGCTTCCACCACGGTACCGGTGGATTCGCCGTGCGCAGCCGGAAGATGGCGCAGACGCACAAAGCACACCGATGCTGCGCCATGATAGGGCCGGCGCCGCAGTGTCTTCCGGGAAACATAGTCTTTAGGCGTAAAGGCAGCAGCCCGGCCTTGAAGCCGGATCTCGCGATGTTTCAGGGTGAGCCGGACGCAGGCGTGCCTGCGCAGTGCGCGGAGGAGTGCTGTTCGTGTGTTCGAGTCCCTGGGTTGCTTCCTGGGGTCTGTGGTGCTGGGTGTGCTATCTGCGTGTGATTCTCTAGCGAGAGATTGTGGGCGAGTGACCGAGTGGGCAAGGGGCCGTCACTGTGTGTGCGTGATTTTGACAGTGTGTGGTGGTAGCTTCTGACTCCGCGTGGGTCGTTGAATGTATGACTGGGACCGTTTAGCGGTGGATACACAACTGTGTGCGGCTGTGGAAGATTGCCTCATCCGTTACGTTCCCATTTCCGTGGAACAACAGTTTTACCAGAAGGTTTCGAAGGAACCTTAAAGTTTGGAAGCGTAAGAGTTTATCTGGTAACTAATTTTAAACATTACATCTATGGTGAGTTAAATGTGGGTTATGAAGGAGAACGCAAAATAAAAACGTTATAAAGATGTAAAGGAGTTTTATGGGGCGGCATCTCTTGGGCAAATATCAGACCGCCGTAGGTAGTTGTTAATTCTCTCTTGTTTTTAGGCGGCTTTGGTGTCATCAAATGTGAGAAGCCCTGGACTTTACACATCCCGAGCCAGTGTGATCCAGTATGATTGGGAGTCCGAGTGCCAGATGCCGGTCAGGACCTGTTATGCTGGGTCTCAGAATGCGGAAACTCTCCCTGTCCGAGGTGGAACAGTTTGTCCTTGAGTGAGGACTGGAGTCCTGAGTGACTCTTTTGATTTGATCCTGTTTCCCTCAAACCTGGTGAGCTCTATGGTGTAATAAATGGTTAAGAGTGTGAACCCTTAACCATCTCTAAGACTGGAGCCAGAATGCCTGAACTCCAGTCTTAGAGATGTGCCTCGGTCTCCACATTTGAAAGTGAGGATGATTGTGGCATCTAATTCATTGAGTTGTTGGGGAGGAGTAACTGATATGTAAAATAATGCTACTGCTGCTGGATAAGGATGCTAATATGACTGAAGCTAATGCTTTCTTTCTGCAAAGATGCTTTTTCCAAAACACACCATATTGCCTCTTTACACATTCTTCAGGAGAGGGTAGAGGCTGCATTTTCCTTGTAGGTGCGGTGATGTGGTGGAAAGCACACTTTTAGAATTAGACAGATGTGGATTCAAATAGCATTTCAGCCATTTATTAGTTTCTTCGTGCCTATCTCGGTTTTGTTTTGTTTTTTTTTTTTTGTCCATAAAAGGAAGAATGTAATGCTGGGCTTGCAGCTTTGTCCTGAGGGTCAAATAAAATGATTTAATAATATAAGCAAAGCTCAGAGGTTGGTTATTGCTGATTACTGATATTAAAAGACAACTTCAGCAAGGATGGTTGAATTTCACACTTGTGAGCGGACAGTTGAGGAGACAGTTGTAGATTTATCCTACTTGACCTTATTTGTGGTTCAAGACAGTGTTGCGAGTTCAAGAGGAGAGGGTAGATGCAAAAAGTCATCATCTTTCCTATGTTCTCTGATCTTGGGAAGGGGCGAGTGGCTCTAGTTTCCCTTTAACATCCCACTGTGTTGAGTGTGTCTATATGTACATGCGTCAGTATTTGCTTATGGAGGAAAGGAAGGAAAAAGACCAAACAGGTACAAAGCCAGCCATCTCTCAGGCTAACTTTCTTCTATACCATTTTTACTTTCTCACATTCATTAATCTGCCAAAGAGAAATTTAGAGGATGATGAAATGGCCACTTCTGACTCTGAACCAAGCCTCTGAAGTCATACACCATTATACTCTTGGTCACAAAATCAGCTGTGAGTCTAAGTAGGTGGAGGCTACACAAGAGTATAAGTACTAGGAGGCAGGGATCATTCAGGGTCGTCTTAGAGGGTGGCTTCCAGTTTCTTCCTTTTAAGAGTATGAGAATGCTCTGAGCTAGCCTCTCCATTCCATGGAATCCATAGGTCTTTTGTCAGCCACTTCCCAGTACACATTCCTGTGCCAAAGCACATGCAGAGTTTGTAGGGTCCAGCCCCACAGGGTCGGTTGGTTTCTCCCCGTGTGCGGAGACGAGAGATTGTAGAAATAAAGACGCAAGACAGAGATAAAAGAAAAGACAGCTGGGCCCAGGGGACCACTACCACCAAGACGCGGAGACTGGTAGTGGCCCCGAATGCCAGGCTGCGCTGATATTTATTGGATACAAGACAAAGGGGCAGGATAAGGAGTGTGAGCCATCTCCAATGATAGGTAAGGCCACATGGGTCACATGTCCACTGGACAGGGGGCCCTTTCCTGCCTGGCAGCCGAGGCAGAGAGAGAGAGGAGAAAGAGAGAGAGAGCTTACACCATTATTTCTACTTATTAGAGACTTAGTACTTTCACTGGTTTGCTACTGCTAACTAAACGGCAGAGCCAGGTGTACAGGATGGAACATGAAGGTGGACTAGGAGCGTGACCACTGAAGCACAGCATCACAGGGAGACGGTTAGGCCTCCGGATAACTGCAGGTGGGCCTGAGGCCCTCCACAAGTGGTGGAGGAGTAGAGTCTTCTCTAAACTCCCCCGGGGAAAGGGAGACTCCCTTTCCCGGTCCGCTACGTAGCAGGTGTTTTTCCTTGACACTAACACTACTGCTAGACCACGGTCCGCTTGGCAACGGGCATCTTCCCAGATGCTGGCATCACCGCTAGACCAAGGAGCCCTCTGGTGGCCCTGTCTGGGCATAACAGAAGGCTCGCACTCTTGTCTTCTGGTCACTTCTCACTATGTCTCCTCAGCTCCTATCTCTATATGGCCTGGCTTTTCCCAGGTTATGATTATAGAGTGAGGATTATTATAATTTGGAATAAAGAGTAATTGCTACCAACTAATGATTAATGATATTCATATATAATCATATCTAAGATCTATATCTGGTATAACTATTCTTGTTTTATATTTTATTATACTGGAACAGCTCGTGTCCTCGGTCTCTTGCCTTGGCACCTGGGTGGCTTGCCGCCCACAGAGTTACTCCAGCAGCTCCCTCTCCTGTTATCCCCAGCCATATCCGTGCTTCTGCCAGATTCCTTCTGTTTCAGGATCACCCATTATCACTTGAATGAGATCAACTGTGGGGAGGTGGGCCATATTCTGTTGTGCATAGTAATCCAAGCAAGGAATCACACAACAAAGTGGGTTCTAACCCAATCTTAGCTACTTACTCCCTGAGTGACCTTGGGCACCTCCCCCAATTTTTCTGACCTAAAATCTGTGCATTATAATAATAATAAATTTCCACGGAGGAAGTATAACCTTTTCAACAAACAGTGCTGGAGCAACTGGACATCCATAGCCAAAAAAGAAAAAGGATAAAAGGCTTTTCTGCAGTACTAATCCAGGAGAAAAATAAATGTATTGCATCTTCCTTGTGACAACTGAGGACAAAATACATGTGGCCTCTCTCTGAGGACTTTTTTTTTTAAGAGACAAGGTCTCACTCTGTCACCCAAGCTGGTGTGCAGTGGTGTTCCTGGACTGAACTGAAGGTCAGGCTGCTTATTCTCGCAGCCCTATAACAAGATGCTGATGAACTGTGAAAGAAGAGAGTTTTATTTCTGTAACCGGGTACAGGGAGAGGGCCAGAAAAATATTGCCAGACCAACTCAAAATTACAAAGTTTTCCAGTGCTTATCTACCTTCTAAGCTATATGTCTACATGTTAGTGTGCATTCATCTAAAGACACAAGTGATTAATTTCTTCTAATCTATAACTAAGGTCTGAGTTATAGACCTTGGGGACATTCCTCTGGAGCCTCAGTGATTTTACTTACTCTAGATGGGTCCAAGTGCCAAAGGTAATTACCTTATCTTGTCTCCTACTAAGTTATGGAGGTCTGGAGAGTTCCTTTAGACCCCCAATAAAACTTGTTTAATCCTAAATGGATCCTGGTATGAGGAGTGTGACCATTCCTTCATTATTTTGTCATGCTTCAAATCATCAGCCTTTGTGTTAGGGCGCTGGCTCTCTCAGCCTTTAATATTTAACCTAACCATTTAGTCAATGCTAGAACAGTTCTTATGGAGGCCTGCCTGTTCAGTTTTTGTGAGATCTGGCTTGCCACAGTGGCACAAACGGCTTACTGCAGCCTCAACTTCCTGGGCTTAAGCGATCCTCCTACCTCAGCCTCCCAAGTAGCTGAGAACACAGGTGCGTACCACCACACCAGCTAATTTTTCTTTTCTTTTTTTTTTTCTGTAGAGATGGGAGCCTCACTGTATTGCCCAGGCTGGTCTTGAACTCCGGAGCTCAAGTGATCGTCTTGCTTCAGCCTTGCAAAATGATGGTGAAGCTGCATCATTGTCTGGGGTAAATACCTGAGGTTCGTTGTCTCACGCCAAGGGAATCAAGGACGTGGACACACAAGAAGTGAGTTTAAGAGCGGAGGTTTAATAGGCGAAAGAGAAAAGAGAATAGCTCTAGCTCCTGCAGAGAGAAAAGGGCTCCCAAGTAGGACTTCCAGTCCGTGGCGAAGGGCACGGGGTTTATAGACTGGCTTCAGGAGGTGGTGTCTGATTTACGTAGGCCCCAAAGATTGGTTGGACCAGGTGTGCCAATCAGAAGCTGGCTGCCCCACCCTAATCTTTTATTATGCAGATGGAGTCCCTGTCTGACCGGGCCATGTTGTATGTTCCTTGCTGTACACGTGGTTGACAAAGAAAAGGGAAGATGGAGCTGCGATGTTGGACATGCCTGGCCCCCAGGTAGCTTTTTCCTATTGGCACAGCTGCTGGCATTCACCCGTGCAAACTTCCAGCTTGCTTATCTATGTCTGCAGCTTGATTTTTCAGGCTGCTGTTTGTTAGAAAAGAAATGACTTGGGGGCTGCTTTTCATTAAAAGGAAAACCTTACCGGGGATTTCCTTACCCTCACTATCTGCCTAAATAATTTCTTTTTAACTCCTATGTCACTTGGGATTACAGGCATGAGCCGCTGTGCCTGCTAGAGGGTTTTTTATCTTTATTCCTCAAGATTTTGCATTTAGATAATTATGTTAAACTTGGGTGTGCTAGGTAGACATACGTCTGCTGATTACCTGTTTAGGAAGAATGTGGATTCGTACGTAGGGAAAAGGAGTCAGGCTGGTGGGACCAGGGGAAAGCAAAGAGATAAAGCAAATAAGCTATAGATCTGCATTTTCTTCATGGTCCAGGATATATAAACAAAAAAAGGAAGCAGATAAGCTATAGGCTTGCTTTTCTTTATGACCCAGGACATACAGCCCTGCCGAGCAAATAATGAACGTAACTCACAAACTTCCTGCTTATCATCAAACGCACGCATCCACTTATCATCAAACACCTCGGGTGACAGAAGAATGCAGGTCAGCTCCCTGCTGCCTTGGCATTATCAATCAGCCCAGGAACCATCCTATAAAATCTCCAGCAAGCCTTTGTTTCCTTGCAGTCAGCTCCTCTTCCACTGATTCTGCCTGTTGCTCCCTGATAACATACTTTGATACTGTCTTTAATAAATCTGCCTTTCTTCACCCACAGCTGTCTTGGTAAGTTCTTTTACCTCTGTGCCACCAGCCCAAACAGTTGCTGCTCACCTGAAACAAAGAATAAATGTGGTTTTTAAGCAAATCAAAGTTTACTTAGTGACTCTTACCAAGCTTTGTAGAAGGTTGTGCCAAAAGGAGAAGCTTAAGAGATAACGGCTAAAAATAAAAAATGTTACCACCGCCCAAGGGGTTCTTCCTGCCCACTGCATAAAGAAAGACCATGGCATTGTAGTAGAGAAAGAGGTTAATAGACATGAGGCTGGCCACGCCACATGGGAAATGGAGTTCGTACTCAAATCATCTAATCCAAAGCTCTTATCTTAGAGGTTTTTCAAAGTCACTTTGGGGGAAGGGGTGGGAGTGGCCAGATAACAGGTGCTTGCTGCTGATTCGTTGGGCTGGAGATGAAATCATAGGGGGTCAAAGCTCTCCTTGTGTGGGGTGAATTGCTTCTGGGTGGTGCCACAGGAACTGGGTTGGTTAGTCCAAGTGGAACCATCAGGTCCAGGTGGAGCCATGGGTGTCAGACATGAAAAAACCTGAAAAGATATCTCAAAAGGCCAATCTGAGGTTCTACAGTAGTGATGTCATTTGTAGTAGTAATTGGGAAAGTTGCATATCCTATAACCTTTGGAATAATGGCTGACAGTTGAATAATGCTGCCACCTTAGCAGGACCCAGACTCCTCTCCTCCCAGACTGATGGCCTCCCATTAGCTTTACAAAAACAATTGAGTTTTGGGCAAAGCCTGTTATTTAAACTATAGCGTAAATGTCTTCCAAAGTTAGCTCAGCCCTATAGCCCAGGAATAATTAAGGGAAAGGCAAGATAGGTGGGTTAGCTCAGTTTACTATAATAATTTTTCTCACTGATACAGTTTTTGCAAAGGTGGTTTCATAAAGATGCCTACTCTCTTCACACATTTGTGAAATGTCGAAAAGACTGCAAAAACCTGGACGTTTACTGATGCCTTATTTTAAACAAGGCTTGTCTGGTTTGAAAAAGTGAGGGGAAGCTATCAATCATAATTTTGTTAAATACAGTGAGTTCTAAGTTTCTCCTCAAAGAATCTGTGTCAGTATGTTCAGTTCTTTGTTTTCCATTTTAAAGTTTAACTTCCTCATTCTCTTCATCTCCTTGCCCCTAGTTTCAGTAAACAACCTCCCTGCCAGTTCTGATCAGTAGTTCACATCTGTTCTCCTGGTCACTTGCTCCATCCTGAGACCCCTGGTCACCCGCTCTAACCTAAGTCACCTTTAGTCACCTATTCCGTAACCGTCTTTCCTGCCACAACTGCTCACCCCACCACTGTAGCTCTTAACCCCTGCTGTCTTTAAAATAGCCAATCGGAATTAGCTTAGACTGTGCAGTCCAACCCTAGCCAATAGGGGAACGATGCAACAGTAGGGGCTACCTGTGTCAGGGATAAGAACCCCTTCCCCTCCCTTGTTCAGGTGTGCTCTCACCATTGTTCCATCCACAAGATGCACCCTTCTGTAGAAGTAAAATTGCCTTGCTGAGAAAATTTCTGTTCGAATGCTATTTCTTTTGTGGCACCGAAAATTTATTTCTAACAATTTCAACACTCAAACACAACCCAACTACAATTTTTGTGGATTATGTTCCTTTTACTTTTTAGGAACAGTTTTCCAATGTTGCAGTCATAATGCAATTTTATCAGCTTTGTTCCTCCTTTAAGAAACCTTAATACAAGAAGTATTTTTACATGTTGCTTCATTGCCATGCAATTATTCGTTTAAAAAGTTGTATAGTTTTCAATCAGATAGATGTGAAAGGAAAATAAATCCCAGGACTCCGGTTGGGCACAGTGGCTCATGCCTGTGATTCCAGCACTTTGGGAGGCCGAGGCGGGTGGATCACGAGGTCAGGAGATCGAGACCAGCCTGGCCAACATGGTAAACCCCGTCTCTACTAAAGATTAAAAAAAAAAAATTAAGTGGGTGTGGTGGTGTGCACCTGTAATACCAGCTACTCTACTCGGGAGGCTGAGGCAGGAGAATAGCTTGAACCCGGGAGGCGGAGGCTGCAGTGAGCAGAGATCACACCATTGCACTCCAGCCTGGGCAACAGGGCGAGACTCTGTCTCAAAAAAAAAAAAAAAATCTAAGGACTCCAAAATCACTAAGCCAAGGGAAAGTCAAGCTGGGAACTATGTCAGGCAAGGCTGCCTCTCATTTGATTCCTAAATACAATAGCTATAAAGATTAAAAGCTACATACCTCCCTCACAATTTGCCCACAAGGAAATTCCTTTTGGACAAAGGACAGAAAGAATTCAAAGTCATCCCTCTGAGGCTCACCTGAGAGAAATGCATATCTGATTGCTTCCTTGGACCTAGTGTTTATGTAAAAATGCAAATTCACAGAGCCAGACTAAATTGTGTATTCAGTGGAAAGCTAATCAATAACTCAAAAGAATGCAACCTTTTGTCCCACATCTATTTATGACCTGGAAGCCTCCACCTCAGATTTTTCCACCTTACCTGACTGAACCACTGTACATCTTACACATAGTGATTGATGTCTCATATCTCCCTAAGATGTATAAAAGCAAGCTGTACCCCAACCACCTTGGGCACATGTCATCAGAACGTCCTGAGACTGTCAGTGCTTCCCTAACCATGGGAAAATAAACTTTCCAAATCGATTGAGACCTGTCTCCAATACCTTTTGGTTTACAACATACTGTTATTTATTTGACCATTCTTCTACTTGTAGCTGTGGAGTCCTGATAAGTAAGCAACAATGAGGAAGGGGCCCCAGTGGGGAAGTACAATGAACAGTTGTCCTGAGAAATGGCTAATCAAACAACAGCTCTCTCCAGGATGACCCTATAAAACTTCCTTCCAGCTCCTGCCTCTTTGCAGACAGCTCCTTCTCTCCTGTGCTGCCAGTTGCAACCTTGCAATGTATTTTCATACGTTCTCTAATAAATCTGCCTTTCTTTAGGACTGTCCTGGTAAATATGAGACTGTTTTCTTTACCGCCTTTGATACAAGCCCTATCTAGTTGCTACCCATGACAGTAGGTATATTGTTTATGTTCAACATTTTATTATAAACAATGTTTCAGCTGGGCTCGGTGGCTCATGCCTGTAATCCCAGCACTTTGGGAGGCTGAGGCAGACAGATCAGGAGGTCAGGAGATTGAGACCATCCTGGCTAACAGGTGAAACCCCGTCTCTACTAAAAATACAAAAAAATTAGCCAGGCGTGGTGGCACGTGCCTGTAGTCCCAGCTACTCGGGAGGCTGAGGCAGGAGAATGGCATGAACCTGGGAGGTGGAGCTTGCAGTGAGCTGAGATTGCGCCACTGCACTCCAGCCTGGGTGACAGAGCAAGACTCCGTCTCAAAAAAAAGTTTCAGTTAGTATTTTTTGCTGATATCATAGTTGCGTTTGTTTAATTTCCTCAAATAAAATTCCCAGCTTATATGATGCTCTTTGTCACTGGCAACTTTGGTCAGACAATTAAATGAAGCAATTGAAGGGCACAACAGGATTTTGGAAGGGATGGTACAGGATTGGGAGATAAACTAGAGATAGGAGTTTATAAAATATTTTCAAAGACAGATTGAAGAATAGGAATAAGAGTATGATATTGTGAAATATATATTTGATCTTCCTAGCATAGAACTTCTAAAATCCTTAGAAACTACAAAGTAACAGTAAAAACTCATTTTGTATGCTAATGAGTTGACAGCTGGCAACCCCTATAGAGTTTCAGGATGGGGACTGGTTATGGAAAGACCAAGACATGACTAGAAGGTTGGGACATTCAACCCCACCCCCAACCCTAAGGAGGGGACGGGATTTTAATCAACCATGCCTATGTAATGAAGCCTCTGTAAAACTCCCAAAAGACAGGGTTTAGAGAGCTTCCACCCAGCTGAACATGTGGAGGTTACTGGAAGGTGCAACACCCTTTTTTCTGTACTTTGCCCTACGCATCTCTTCATCTATATCATTTGTAATATCCTTTATAATAAACTAGTAAACATAAGTGTTTCCTGAGTTCCGTGAGCCACTCTAGCAAAATATCGAACCGCAAAGAGGGGGTGGTGAAAATCCCAATTTGAAGGTGGTGGAGTCAGATGTTCCAGAGGCTAGACTTTAGTGGGAAGTGGGAAGGGGGAGGCAGGCTTGGGGACTGAGCCCTCAGCGAATGGTGTCTGACCCATCTCCAAGTAGACGGCGTCGGAATTAAACTGGAGGACACCCAGCTGGTGCCCGCTGCAGAACTCACTGAACTCATTGCTTGCTTGAGATGTGTGGGAAACTCCCCTATATTTGGTCAGAAAAGTCTTCTGTTATGATTAGTTGTCGTTGAGATAATAGAAAAAAATGCACCTTGCGTTTTTTCCACTGATTCAGAGGGCATAACTGAAAGAATGAAGAACTGAAAGAATGATCTTAATACTCTGCTTCGCTTTTCTTGATAATACGCATTACTTCCCAATATGCATCAGTGTCCTTTATTATTAATTTTTTCCTATTGAATTCCTCCCGCATTAGAATGCTGCTCCATGAGGTGGGGATTTTGTCTGCTTGTTCACTGCTGTGTGCCCAGGGCCCACGACAGTGCCCGATACAGCAGGCGCTCAATAAGTGGCGAATGAAAGACAGGGCAAGGCGGAGAGAGAAGAAACAGAAAGGGAAAGAGAAAGCCCGGGCCGCCAGAGCGCTTAATCACACGTACATCCTACCGGGCCCCTCTCCAGCTGGCTCAGGCTCCACACTGGTCCTCCAGCTCCCTTTTCTCAGCGATGGACTCACAGCCCCACCCGGAGCGCTGGAGCGCGGACGCGGTCACTGCGCGTGCGCCTCACCGCGCTGGCACCCCGGCCTGGCAGCCTTTGGGGACCTGAACCAGCTGCGCCTGCGCAGGTGGAACGGGTGGAACGGGTGGGGGAGCGGACAGTCGAACGGCCTGAGAGGGCTCAGCTGGTCCGGGTGGGATTCTGAAGGCCAGCGGAGGTGGGCTTACTAGGGAAAGGGGCGCAGCAGTAACTACCCGCAACTGAGCGGCGGGATCTGCGGCCGCCCGGGGCCCTCGGCCAACATCCCAGCATCCTCTGCGCCGCGCCGGCCCCGGACTCCATTTCCCAGCGGCCCCTGCGGCCTGCCCTAGGGCTGCGGCGCCTTTGTGAGCGCGGCCGCCGGCCAGGATCGAGCCCTGGCCCGGGCCCTGGCCCAGCCCCGGCCTCCAAGGACCGCGCCGAAGGAGGTGCCCACTGGAGGGAGGAGGCGGTGAGGAGCGCGGGATGGAGCTGACGCCGGGAGCGGCCATGCCACCATGTGTGGGACCGTGTGTGACAGTGTGTGAGAATGTGTGAGACATTAAGGAACCGTGTGTGACAATGTGTTTGACAGTGTGGAATCGTGTGTGAGACCATGTGTGACTGTGTGAGAATTTGAGACCGTGTGTGACAGTGTGAGAATGTGAGGCCGTGTGTGAATATGTGTGTCAGTGTGAGACCATGTGGGACAAATGTGGGACTATGTGTGACAGTATGAGACTGGGTGTGAGAATGTGTGCGACAGTATGAGACCGTTGCCCCGGTGTATGCGGGAGCCTTTGACAGTATATGGGACCGTGTGGGACTGTGTGACACTGTATGTGCTTAAGACCACGTCACCATGTGTGAGACTGGGAATGTGTGACAGTGTTAAACTGTCATTATGTGTAGACCACGTGTGAACAGTGTGTAAGACCATGTCACTGTGTGTGTGACCTGTGTGTGTGGGATAATGTAAGACTGTGTGACAGTGTGTGTGACTTTGTGAACAGAGCTTGACCGTGTGTGTAGGATTAGATGAGACTGTGACAGTATGTGAGACCATGTCACCGTGTGTGAGGCTATGTGTGGTTGTGTACGGTGTGTGGCTGTTGATATGGGACCACATGAAACTGCGACAGAATTTGTGTGACAGTGTGTGAGACTGTGTCACTGTATGTGAAACTGTATGTGAACAGAGTTTTTGTTGTTGGACTAAGATTGTATGTGACAGTGTTTGAGATTGTGCATGACAGTGTGTGTGATTATGTGAGACTGAGGGAGATGGTGTGACTTAGCACTGTATGTCATCCCGACAGTGAGTGTGACAGTGTGACTGAGAATGGCCTTATATGACCCATTGTGAGAGCAGGGCGGGCTACAATGTGGGGGCATGTCCATAGGTTGCCAGGGGAGGTGCCAGAATGAGAAACTATGTGGTTTGTTGTCTGTGATTTGTGTGGGCAGGAAGCTGTGTGGGTGCTTGGAGATGCTGGTGTGCTCTGGGGTTTGGGAGACTGCTGTTGTGGTGGAGAGACAGAAAGATTGAGATAAAGGGGAAAAGATGGAGAAAGGGAGGGACGAGAGCTGAAAAGGGAGAGACAGACAGGAGCCTCAGCCTTAAGCCTGAAAAGCTGACCACGCTGGCTGCTTGTCCTCTGGCACAGTAGTTTTTCCATCCCTCTCAGTCTCTGGGGGCACGTGAGGAATTTAAAAGGAAAAAGGAATGGGAGACCTACCATGTGCTGGTTATGAAAATAAATGACAGAAAGATGAAAATTAAGCACTGTGCTCAATGCTTTATGTAGATCATTTCAGAATCCTCCCAACAATTGATAGGGAATAGTTACCATTTCACTGATAGAGAAACAGGTTTGCAGTGGTTACCTAACTTGCCAGAGGTTGTATAGGTAGCATGTGGTGGTTTGGCTGTTTGAGACCAGGTGTTCTGATCCTTAAGCCTAGTAGTTCTTACCACTGAGTTATGCCACTTCATAGGTAATGGCTTTATTCTTCAAGGCAGTGAGGTCTGCTGGACAAGAATTCACCATAGGGGGTTTGGATGACTGTTCAAGCATAGCCTGCTCCTCCCTCCCTCTCTCCTTCTTTCTGTCTGAGGAGATTGCCCAGAAAAGTCAAGAGATTAGTTTTCAGTTGTGGGTTGTCATAAGCCAGGACCAGAAGTAGGCCGTCTTGACTCTTTGATCGAGTGTCCACCACACTACATGGACCCTCTGATACTCACTCTGTGTATAGAGATGCTTTCTCTGAGAAATTTCACTTTGTAGCTTTATCTGTCATCCTTGCAGAAAGGGTGGGAACATATTTCCTTTCAACATCATGATCGGGTGGAAAGAATTAAAAGTTAGAACTGGTTTCCAGTTTGGCTTAATTATTACCATGATGCCTTGAATAATTACTCCGATGAAGAGCCTTCATGTGTGAAAGAGGGGGAAATCCTTGCTTGGTAATACCATTCTGTAATTGCTGTTTTTGTTTTAAATTATAAATGGGGAGGTAACTTAAACACAGAACAGGTATGTTGTATTCTTTTTTTTTTTTTTTTTTTTGAGACAGAGTCTCGCTCTGTGGCCCAGACTGGAGTGTGGTGGCGCGATCTTGGCTCACTGCAAGCTCCGCCTCCTGGGTTCACGCCATTCTCCTGCCTCCTCAGTAGCTGGGACTACAGGCGCCCGCCACCACACCTGGCTAATTTTGTGTATTTTTTAGTAGAGACGGGGTTTCCCCGTGTTAGCCAGGATGGTCTCGATCTCCTGACTTCGTGATTCGCCAGCCTCGGCCTCCCAAAGTGCTGGGATTACAGGCGTGAGCCACCGCGCCTGGCCCGTATGTTGTATTCTTAAGATCCAAAGCATGTGGGAAAAAGAATTGTAAATTTAGATATAAATGAATTGCTCAGTGATACCTCTAATTTACTCCTGAGGTTGGGGAAAGAAGGAGAAAGAGAAGGAAAGGTTTCTAGGCTGATGATACTGAGAGCTGCAGGGCAGGCCTGGCATTTTATGGTTTCTTTTCCTTCTCCAGCTCGACTTTCTCAGGATACTGTCCCTCTCCCACAGAGGAGCTGAAGGAGTAGGACAGAAGAACTGTCAAATTCTGGAATCCTTAAAGCCATGTCCAAGGTAAGGAAGCATTTCTTCTCTCTTCCCTAAAATGCCATCTTATTTTTTAGGTTATACGAACATTTTGTTTTTCTTCCAAAATTCTGCAACCTAATAAGGTTCCATTCATCCAGTGACTCGTTCCTCATATCTTGCTTTCCAGTAAAAGTCTCCAAAAGCCTAGTTATCTTTTTTTCCACAGCCAGCATTTTTATCTTCACTCAAGAAATAGTTCAGCACCTTCTCTGGGTTTAGTGTCTGTTAGAAGCTTTCAAGATGCAAAAATACACTCATTGGCATATGTAAACCTTCATTGTAGTAAGTTGATTGAGACTGAGGTGTATGTTCAGATGTAACCACTAGCATAAATAAAGCTTTTCCATAGACCTAGGTTTGAAAAGAAGGCAAGACAGGAGGGTTATCAGGTGGTCTTAGTCACAGAACAGGGCAAAGTCTCTTGCTCAAAGTGATCTTGAGGAGTGAGATGTGTTGAGTCTTGAATATTAAAGTGTGGGTCAGCTAGGGCAGGGATTTTTCCAGGCACTCCGTGGGCTTTGAAGAACAGTATTCCAGGGAATAATGAGGTACCATTTTAGGGACATTCTGAGTGTCCACAGCTATGTTATTCTAGGTCATCCAGTTAAGATTAGTGGAATTAATATGTAAAAAATAGCAGAACTTTGTTTTGGAAAAGACTAATGGGAGAGCACTTGAATCTGCATTAAAATAAAAGCTGTATATGTCTATAATAATGAAAACAGTTGATAGTGTGGAATGGAGCCAGAAGAAACATACAATGTTAAGAAACAAATCCAAGTATAAGAATTCCATAAGAATGGAAATCTTCATTCACTGAACATATAGTTATTAAAGGCCTTGTGCTAATTGCTGTGATAAATAAAAATAAATAAAAATAAACACCTTGTGCCAAGTGCTGTGATAAATAGGCCCTGTCTTTGTCTTCATAGAATTTAATGTATACTAGTTTATTATATGATGTACTGATATTATTTTAAATCAGTGGGAAAGGGATGGATTATTCATCTAGTAAAAAAAATTCTCTGCACTTAGAGAAAAATACATAGAGGTTAAATGCATTGTATAGGTTAAATATATATATATACACACACACACCTCTAGGTTAAAATATGGAAAATGGAGAAAGAGTAAGGTGAGGCAGATGCAGAAATCAACTAGTACAGCACTGTCCAATAGAACTTTCTGTGATGATTGACAATAGAAATGTTCTATATCTGCAGTGTTTAACATAGTAGCCACTAGCCAGATGTGGCTACAAAGACTTGTATATACTAGCATGACTGAGAAACTGAATTTTTCATGTTAATTGATTTAAATTTAGCCGTATGTAGCTAGTAGCTAGTGTATTAGACAGCACAGTCTTAGGCTTATAAAACAGTAAAGCCAGGAAGATAATTATGGGTGATCTTGTCCAAGTTTCTCATTCTACAGATGAAGAAAAAGAGGCCAGGGGAAGAAAGTGACATGTCCACGTAACCAGTTAGTGACTGAGTCAGATGTAAGAAGTTGTAATAAAAATTGAGGGTCAGTAATGTCGATGATGATGAGTGATGATATGAAAAGGGTGGTAGAAAATGATGAGGGACACTGTAGCGAGTCTGTGATGGGGCTCATTATTTCACTCCCATGCCCAGAACCTTCATTGCCTTCCTATCTTACTTGGAATGAAATCCAGTGTCCTAACCATGGCCTATAAGGCCCTTTGTGCTTCAGGTCCTGGCTTTCCTAGACCTCATTTTCTACAAGTATTTACCTCTCTTCATTTTAATCACAGTTGTGAATTTGCTGTCCCTCAGACTTACTGTGCTTTTTCTTGTCTCTGGACTTTTGCATTTGCCCCCCCATCCCCCTACATGTTGACATAGCTTGCTCCCCCATTTCATTTAGATTGTTGTTCAAACCTTACCTCTTCATTTAGACTTACCTTGACTATATTATCTACAATAAACAGCCTATCACTCTTAATCACCCTTTACCTTCTTTTGTTTTTTGTGGCATATGTCACTACCTGACATGTATGACCTTATGTTTAATGTTTTTCTCCTTTGTTAGAATATTAAGAGGAGGAACTTTGTTTTGTTCACCTTTGTATTCCTGACTCTTAGAATAGTGCCTGGTTGGTAATAGGCATTCAGATGAATTCCTTATCTGTGAGTGAGACCAGGATAGCTAGAGTTAGCCACCTCTTCTTTCCTGCTACTGATTTGGTAACAGAAGAAAGAAAAAGCTGAAAGTATGATGTGTAGAATAGGTGGAACCCATTAGCCCAAATGCTGTTTCCAGGACCCCACCCCAGACCTCCTGAATCATGGTCTCTTGGTGGCACCTAAGAAAACACATTTTTATTGGGTTTCCCAGGATGATGATTATCTTTTTTTGAGATGGGGTCTCACTATTTTGCCCAGGCTGGTTTTGAACTTCTGGCCTCCAGCTGTCTTCCTGCCTCAGCCTCCCAAGTAGCCAAGTAGCTGGGTTACAGGTATCCAGGATGATTTTAATGCATGGTTTTTGAGAACCTCTGCCTTTAAAGATTATATTTAAAGTATGCCTCTTGTAAGCAGCATATAACTGGCTAGTTTTAAAAAAGCTAGCCTGATAATCTTAATCTTTTAGTGTTTATTACATATTTAATGTAATACTTATACGTACGTGCTTAAAGCTACTGTGTTTCTGTTTGTTTTCCATTTATCCCATCTGTTCTTTTTTCCTTTGTTTCTCCTTTTTTGCTTTTTTTTGGTTAAGTCAGGTATTTTTCCTTATTATTTTAGTAATTATACATAATTTTTATTGTTCTTTTAGTGGCTTTTCTAAGATAATATTCATCCATTACTCATATGTAGTAATCCTTCTTTCTTCTGTAATCTTCCTCCTATGATTAGTACCCTTATCACTTCCTGAACAGGATAAGATGCCTATGGTGATTTAACTCCACAATATTCTTATTGCTCTATTTGTAATTACTGCTTTAGAACTCTTAATTTCTTCCTGTGTTTTCATGCTTCCATTTTCCTTCTGTATTACTAATACCTGAAGAACTCTTCGAGTATGTCTTCGAGTGCAAGCCAACACTTTACTCCCACCCTGAATTGTTTTTTCAATTCAAAAACAATTTGACCGTATCGTTGCTGGGTCAAAATAGTGTAATTAAAAATTTTTTTGAGGTTAAGTAATTTTGTGAAATCCTGGTCTCAATGGAGAGAATGACGTCTGTGAATCGATTTTAAGAAAATAATTCAAGACCTATGCAACATCATAGTAAAACATTAAGATTTATCCAGCTGGGTGTGGTGGCTCACGCCTGTAATCCCAGCACTTTGGGGGGCCGAGGTGGGTGGATCATCTGAGGTCGGGAGTTCAAGACCAGCCTGGCCAACATGGTGAAACCCCATCTCTACTAAAAATACAAAAAAATTAGCTGAGCGTGGTGGTGGGCCCCTGTAATCCCAGCTACTTGGGAAGCTGAGGCAGGAGAATTGCTTGAACATGGGAGGTGGAGGTTGCTGTGAGCCAAGATCGCACCACTGCTCTCCAGCCTGGGCGACAGAGCAAGACTCCATGTCAAAAACACAAACAGCAACAACAACAAAAATTAAGATTTACCCAACTGAAAATAAGCATGGGGGTTAGTAAATAAGATAGGGCATAATTATACTGTATAATAGTACTCAGCCAATAAAAGTGACATTATCAGTAAGTGAAATATATACATAATCATAGACATTAGTATAAGGAACCGTTTGAGCAGATTATACTAACTATAAATTATAATTGCTTTTAGGAGGTAGGGTGACATGGGAGTAGGCATGGGGGTGAAAGACTTCCAATTCTTTAACTTAAAAAGGGAAAAAATTGGCTGGGTGAGGTGGCTCACCCCTGTAATCAATCCCAGCATCCTAGCACTTTGGGAGGCCCAGGCAGGAGGATCCCTTCAGCCCAGGAGTTTGAGACCAGCCTGGGCAACATAGTGAGACATCATCTGTACCAAAAAAAAAAAAAAAATTACCTGTGCCTGGTGATGAGTGCCTGTGGTCCCAGCTGCTTGAGAGGCTGAGGTTGGGAGGATCATTCAAGCCTGACAGGTTGAGACTGCAATCAGCCATGATTGTGACACTGTACTCCAGCCTTGGCGACAGAGCAAGATCCGGTCTCCCAAAAAATAAAATTAAAACAAAGGAGTGGGGGGAAATCACTGAGGGTAGAAATACTGGAAAGTATATTTTAAGTTTCTTTAATGATGGCAATATTTTAAATTAAATCAAAGTAAATATAAAAAAATGTACAAGGTATTCATGGTCTCATTGGCTGACAGGAAAATGTCAGATAGTTAAAACACAGACTCTATTAGTTCATGTGTGCAGCTAAAAAATGTCTCAAGGACTTCATGTAGCAAAAGCTGCTTCGCTAATGTCTACAGAATAAATGATGTGTGTGGAACACTTTCCCGCACAAAATTTTAAAGAGTTTGTATTGAAGTATTTGAGTTACAGTAGAATTGATGATTAGCAGCGCCCAGGCCTATCCAGCACGAGTTTTAATTTTTAGACCTGATTCACATTCTTTTCCTTCTTTGAAGCTACAAGTCACTTCCTCAGATTTCCTTGTATTAAGAAATGTTTCAGAGATAGAAGCTTTTTAAGCAGCTGATGCGTGTAATTGATATTTCTTGGAGCCATACTTTTGCTTCCTTTATAGATAACCTCCTTAACATTTTTGTGCATTTTTCCGGCAGTAGCAATTAACATTGACTCATTTTTTTTTCCATTAAAAAGGTTTCTAAATAAAATCACTGATGTATTTGAGTATTTCTTCAATAGGAGCATTACTCTGCAAAGAGTCATATAAGAGTAGGGGTGATGTTCATATTTGACAACCAACAAGGCAAAGGCACACAGCAGAACTTATCCTAGCTGGGATCCTGGAGTTTGCTGCCATGCTGGGCATTAATCTTCAGTTGCTGAATTCCTTATGGAGAAATCTGGTGTGGTCACTAGCAGCACTCAGTGAAGTAGCTGTTTATCAATGAGTGTGGCAGTATTTCAGTATTTAAGAAATCAGTATGTTCAGGTGTGTACCATTGAATGCCATCTCTATGTCAGCCCAGCTTAAGAGCAGGCTCTGTGACATGTCAAAACCAAGATGCATATGCCTAACCATACAACAAGCCCTGATAAGTCTTGAGCTGATTTATCTTGTTAGGAAGAAGACCCATTTTTAATTTTTAGGGAGCAAACTAGGTCTTGTTCCGTGTTATCTTAAAGATCCTTAATTCAACATTCGGTAGTATTATTTGGGAGCTGTACTGTAACATTTTTAAAACTCTCTTGCTCATCAAACAGGCACAATTGTGTATGTTTCTCTAGTGAGAGCTGTAGATATTTTTTGATGCATTTTATTATCAGACTTGGAGACATTCACTAAGTAAATTAATAGTGCTTAAATTACTATTATTTTGTCTCATGTAGCATGATTATAAGTTACCAACTATCTTTACAACTTAGTGGGGTTATCAAGAGCTGTTAGGCAATCATTTGTCGCCTCTTACACACAGTCTCAGGAAAATTTTTATTTCCAATGAACATTTGTCCCATATTGAAGTAACTTTTATTGTACTTCTTTGATTCCTTCTTATCAAGTACTGATTATACAGATTCAAACATTTATTGTAATATCACTCTTCTTCTTCTCAAGACATTAGAAGTCATAGTCTTTGAGATCAACTTCATTTTATCTGTGACAAATTTTTTCTTGTTTTGATTCAGATACCTTTTTGTTTGTTTGTCTTTAGAAACGGGGTCTCACTATATTGCCCAGGCTGGACTCAAGCATCCCAGGCAATCCTTCTGCCTCAGCCTCTTGAGTACCTGGGGCTTTAGGCATGCACCACCACACCTGGCCTGATTCAGATACCTTTTGTGACACCAAGCTGCTGGTCATCTAAACCATATGCCTTCCATTCATTTAAACCATCTACAGGAGAGGAATTTGTGTAAAACAAATGTTTAAAATTCAACACACACAAGACCTAGGTTGTCATTGTGAAATGTGTAATATGAAATGTAAAAAATACGTGAGATACCTTAGGTCATCAGTGAGATGAGATGCATCACTTTGACAGCTGGTTGGCAAATGTTGTCTTTGCCACCAAGCACAAATTCAGTGGCATACTTTCACACATCAGGTGATCTGTCACTCAGCTTCTTGATTGCTCTCTGTTATGGTATACATTTAAGCCATATTTTTGCAAGTCAGTATATAACTTTGTTTACTGTTTCTATTATATATTTAATTTTGGAAAGTCAATATAAGCATCAAACATATTTATATATATTTTTATACAACCTTATTGATGTCTCTGGAACATTGACCATTCCATTGTACTGAGTTTGGAAAAATGCCAGATTCAACCATGTACACATTATAAAGCTTAGCCTGTTTCCTCCTCGAAGCTCTTTACTGCCCCGGTGTATCTGATTTTCCAATATTGAGAAATGCTCTGGCATTTAGTATGAATAACATATTTTATACTTTATTTACAGTGTTCTGTTGTTTTCCAATTTTGTGTGTGTGATAAATCCTTTCTCTACCAGTAGGATTATCTCTCAAATTGTATACTTTCCATGACAGAATATCAAAACAAAGCACAAAGAAGTCATTTAGCAATTACCTGACATGTGTTGCTCAGAACCTAAGATACTGTCAGAAAGTTTTGCTATGTGCAATATTTTTCTCTAAAAGTATAGACAATTTAACTTTTTAACTTAGGCTCATGTGAGGATATGAACACTAGTTGAGCAAGAATGTGTTTATGTCATTTCAGGATTTGGTGACATTTGGGGATGTGGCTGTAAATTTCTCTCAAGAGGAATGGGAATGGCTGAACCCTGCTCAGAGGAATTTGTACAGGAAAGTGATGTTGGAGAACTACAGGAGCTTGGTATCATTGGGTAAGGACATGTCCCCTTAATTCAGAATCTGTACATGGGACTGAGCTCCAATGTAATATTTGGGAAACCTCTGACGTGCTTCACTAAATTTCCTTTTCTTGTGCTTCCCAAAATAGGTTGAATTTGTAGAATTGGCAGCTTCATCTTCCCCATTCTTATTCCTCAGCTCCCTCCCATTATTCTCCCACCTTCTTGATGATGCAGAAACTTGATCTTATTTATAGACCTGCCTAATTCCCCTTTTGTTTTTTGTAAGCAGGAGTTTCTGTTTCTAAGCCAGATGTGATCTCATTATTGGAGCAAGGAAAAGAGCCCTGGATGGTGAAGAAGGAGGGAACAAGAGGCCCATGCCCTGGTGAGTGAGAGAGAAATAGGGAGACAGAAGCCATTGCCAGGAAAAGCTCAGCAATTCTGAAAGATTTCAGTTCATAATTGACGTTTCCTGGGTAGCTCTTCTTAAAGACTCAAAGCCTGGGAAGAAATATTGAGGCATCTTTAGTATGAGCTCCTCAATTTGTTCTCTCTGTCTATATTCTCTCACAAGTTACAGTCTTCTCTGACAGTAATCTTCTCTGATAACCCATTTTCCTATTGTTGGATCCAGATGTCACAGCATCTCCCTGTCCTTGCCTTTTAGTTTTATACAAGTTGCTTGGTTTCATTTTTTAAAAATCCAGGTGCCTGTAATCCCAGCTCTTTGGGAAACCAGAGTGGGTGGATCACTTGAGCCCAGGAGTTCGAGACCAGCCTGGGCAACATGGCAAAACTAAAAATACAAAAAAAAAAAAAAAAAAAAAATTAGCCAGGCCTGGTGGCACGCGCCTGTAATCCCATCTATGTGGGAGGCTGAGGTGGGAGGATCACCTGAGCCTGTGATCTGAGATCGCGCCCCTGCACTCCAGCCTAGGTAACAAAGCAAGAGCCTGTCTAAAAAAAAAAAAAGCCAGGTTATTTTTGTTTGTTTTGTTTTGTTTTTCCCTTTCTCAGTTACTCATTCCTTTTAGATTGAAGGATTGATGCATTTATTTATTTATTTATTCTTTTACCAAGCCTCATTGACTTTATGTTTTGAGAAGAGGATTCTGCTAAATTCTTGGGATTATTCAGAGGCTTATACACCAACAAAGAAAAAAGAAAGCCAATTTTATTTTCAATTCTGGGTAACTAGAAGATGATAACACTTAATAGAAACAATCAGAAGCAAAAGTTGATAGGAGGAAAGATGAAAAATTTGGCTGTGGACATAAGAGGGTTATATATATAAGATGAGGAGAGTTCCAAGCAAAGAAATGCAACATGCAACTGGTTTAGAAGATGGGGGCTCAGAAAAATAGAATGATTTAGAGATGTCAGTGTGAATGAATGAGATCACTGGTCTTAAGAGTTTGAGAGATAAAGCCTGATGCTGAGGCCTTTGTGGGGAAGTGAATCTTTGATAACTTTCTCAGTATCCTCCATGGTAAATGGCATCTCTATAATTTGTCTTTGGTTAATATATATATATTTTTAGATGAGGTCTTGACCTGTTGCCCAGGCTGGAGTGCAGTGGTGCACTGCAACCTCCACCTCCCAGGTTCAAGCAATTCTCCTGCCTCAGCCACCCAAGTAGCTGGGATTACAGGCATGCACCACTACGCCCAGCTAATTTTTCTGTATTTTAAGTAGAGATGGGGTTTCACCATGTTGGCCAGGCTGGTCTTGAACTTGTGACCTCAAATGATCTGCCCACCTGGGCCTCCCAAAGTGCTGGGATTACAGGCATCAGCCACTGCCCCCAGCCTGTCTTTGGTTAAATTTTATGCATTTTAATTTTTCTAGATAATTGTCCTTTTCATTTAGGTTATCAGATTTCATGAATTTGAGCAAAATAATCTACAATTAGTTTTCTTTTATATGTATAATGGTTTCCAATTTTAATTTTTTATTTTGTGTAACTATTCTTTTTTTAAAAGAATATATTGGTCGGGCGTGGTGGCTTACACCTGTAATCCCAGCACTTTGGGAGGCCGAGGTGGGTGGATCATGAAGTCAGGAGTTCAAGACCAGCCTGGCCAAGATGGTGAAACCCTGCCTCTACTAAAAATACAAAAATTAGCCAGGTGTGGTGGCAGGCTCCTGTAATCCCAGCTACTTAGGAGGCTGAGGCAGAGAATCACTTGAACTCAGGAGGTGGAGGTTGCAGTGAGCTGAGATTGCACCACTGAACTTTAGCCTGGGAGACAGAGTGAGACTCCGTCTCAAAAAAAAAAAAAAAAAAGAATACATTTATTAGGTTGCTCTACTCATAAATCAGTTTATTTTTAAAGAACTAGCTTATGGATTTATGTATTCATATTCTTTTCCAATTTTGTGTTTTTTTCTGTACTAATTCATAAAATATTTTCTCCTTACTAATTCTTTCCTTCTAATTTTCTTATTTATTTTGATTTCCATAGTGCTGAAATGAGAGCTTAATCTATTAATTTAATTCTTTTATTTAGTAATGAGATTATTAAGGACTACGAATTTTCCTCTAAGTTTATCTTTGTCTATCTCCTGTAGATTCTGATACTTAGTGTTTTTGTTACTGCTGTTCATACTAGATAATCTACCTTAAACATTTTTTTCTTTCACCCAGAGTTGTTTAAAAGAGAGTTTTCTGGTTTTATTGTATTTGATCAGACAGTGTGAAGGAATTATTTACATACAGTAAACTGGATACATATAAATTGTACAGTTTGATGACACTTGCATATACCCATGAAACTGTCACCACAATCAAGACACATTTAGTATTTCTATCACCCCAAAAGATTGCGTGTGTCTCTTTCCATCTATCCTACTCTCCACTCCCAGTTCCAAACAAACATGAATCTGATCTTTATTTTTTATTAATTTGCATCTAAAGTAAATGGAATCATTCAGTATGTATTTTGTTATGTCTGGCTTATTTCACTCAGGATAATCATCTTGAAATTTATCTGTATTGTTGCATGTATGAATGCAACATTTCATTTATCCATTCACCTGGTGATGGACATTTGGGTTGTTTCCAGTTTGGGGCTATTATAAATAAAGTTGCTATGCAGCTGTCATGTACAGGACTTTGTGTGAACATATATTTTTATTTTTGGGGGGTAAATACTTAAGATGGAAGAACTGAGTTATATGATAGGTATATGTTTAACTCTGTTAGAAACTGTCAGTTTTCTGAAGGAATTATACCATTCTTCTAGCAGTGTATGAGACTTCCAGTTAATCCACATTCTCACCAAATCTTGGTATCGTCAGTAGTATTTTTAATTTTAGTCATTCTAAAGGTTGTATTGTGGTTTTAATATGCATTTCTGGAATGACTAATAATGTTGAGCCTCTTTTCATATGTTTACTGGCCATGCATATAACTTTTATGAAAACTTTGTTCAAACATTTTTCCCATGTTTTATTGGATTGTTTATCTTATGATTTGTAAGAGTTCTGTATATAGTCTTAAAACAAGTTCTTTATCATTTATATGTATTGGCTTATATGTATGCCAATTATGGCTTGCCTTTTTGTTTTTCTGCTGCCACCTCTGTTGGAGGCAAAGTTTGCAGTTTTTGTAAAATCCAATTTATTAATTTGTCTTGGTTGGTGCTTCTTATATCTAAGAAATTCTTGCTACTCCCAGGTCACAGAGATATTTTTCTAGGAGTTTTAAGGTTTTAGCATTTATATTTAGCTCTGTGAATGATTTTGAGCTAATTTATGTGTCTTGTGTGAGGTAAAGGTTGAGGTTCATTTTTTTTTCCATATGGATATACAGTTGCCCCAAGACCCTTTGTCAGGAAAGACTTTCCCTTCCTAATTCTATCACCTATCACCTTGCTACTTTTCCTGATCATTACTTGACCACATATGTGTGGGTATGGTTCTGGAATGTCTTCTGTTCCATTGATCTATATGTCTATTGTCTCACCAGTTCCATACTGCCTTGATTACTGTAGCTTTGTAGTAAGTTTTGATACCAGATAGAGCAATTTGTAAAATTGCCTTGACTGTTTTAGATCATTTGCATTTCATATAAATTTTAGAATGAAGTTGAGAATTTCTGCTCAAAAAACTTAGATTTTTGTTGGGATTACATTGATTCTGTATGTCAATTGAAAAAAACTGACCTCTTAACATTGAGTCTTCTAATATAAGTATGGTTTATTAAGCCATTTATTAGTCTTTAAAAATGTCTTGAAGTTGGGTGTAATGGTGTGCGCTGGTAATCTCAGCTACTTGGGGGGCTGATTTGGAAGGATTGCTTGAGTCCAGAACTTGGAGACTAGCCTGGACAACATAGCAAGACTCTGTCTGAAAAAGAAAAAGGAAAAATAATAAAATTTATCTTAAGAATATTTTGCAGTATCCAGTGTAGTGGTACTCTGTTAAATTTTTTTTCCTAAGTCTGTAATAGTTTTTTGAGTGCTATAATAAATAGAATTTTTTTTAACAATTCAGTTTTCTAATAGTTTGCCACTAGTAGGCAGAAATGTAAATTGATTTTTATATTAGCTTTACATCTTATGACCTCGCTAGATTCATTTAATGGTTGCCCTCACAGTTATTTTGTAGGTCCATGAGGATTTTTTGGATGGACAATCATGCTATCTACAAATACAGTTTTTTTTTCCTTCTGATCCTTATACCTTATTTTTCTTGATATATTGCAATGGCTAGGACCTCCTATATAATGTGTAATTGAAGGGGTAAGAGGAAATGTACTTGTGCTGTTTCAATCTTAAGGGAAAACGTATTCTGTCTTTTACTATTAAGTCAGTGTAAGCTGTCAGTTTTTCTTAGATGTCCTTGATCAGTTTGAAAACGTTACTTTCTATTCCTGGTTTGCTGATAATTTTTATAATAAATGGATCAGATACTATTTCTACATCTGTTGAAATGATCATGTGATTTTTTTTCTCTTTAACCTTTTAATATGGTGAATTACATTGATTGATTTTCAAATGTGAAACCAATCTTGCATTTTTGGGATAAACTCTACTTGGTCAAGATCATGCTGTTAATATTTTCCTAGATTTCATTTGCACAGTTTTATTAAAGATTTTGCCTTATGTACATGTGCTACATTGGTCTGCAGGTTTACTTTTTTTTTTTTTTTTTTTGAGATGGAGTCTTGCTCTGTCACCAGGCTGGAGTGCAGTGGCTCAATCTCAGCTCACTGCAACCTCCACCTCCCGGGTTCAAGCGATTCTCCTGCCTCAGCCTCCCGAGTAGCTAGGACTACAGGCATGCGCCACCATGCCCAGCTAATTTTTGTATTTTTTAGTAGAGATGGGGTTTCATGATGTTGGCCAGGATGGTCTCGATTCTTGTCCTCGTGATCCACCTGCCTCGGCCTCCCAAAGTGCTGGGATTACAGGCGTGAGCCACCACGCCCAGCCTGCGGGTTTACTTTCTTATAATTTTTTTATCTGGTTTTGGTATCAAGATAATACTGGCCTTATGAAAACAAGTTGGAAAGTGTTTATCTTTCTCTATTTTCTGACAGTTTGAATAAAATGGTATTATTTCTTCTTTAAATATTTGATAGAATTCACCAATGAAGACATCTGGGCCTGAAGTATTTTTTACATAACAGCTTTAATGGATATAGGGTTAATCAGGTTATCTGATTTTTGTTGAATCAGCTTTGGTAGGCTGTGTCTTTCAAGAGATTTCTGTGTTTCATCTGAGTTTTTCAATTTATTAATGTTTTTAAAAAACAGCTGTAGGCTATGTAATGATAACTCCTCTGGTGTTGCTGATATCTGTTCTTTTTTTCTTGATAACTGATGTTTTAAAAGAACCTACTTTTGTTTTATTTCCTCTGTTGTTGTTTTTCTATATTGTTAATTTTCTTTCTTAACTTTTTCTTCTACTTTCCTTAAGTTTACTTTGGTCTTTTCCTCACTTCTTGAGGTGACATCTTAGATTATTGATTTTTAGACTTTTAGTTGTTTTCTAACATAAGCATTTGAAAACTGTAGATTTTTCCTTTAAGTACCATTTTAGCTGTATCCCACAGATTTTGATATGTTGTACTGTCATTATCAACCAAGATATTTTCTAATTTCTCTTGTATACTCTGACCCATGATTTATATAGAAATGTGTTTAGTTCTCAGATGTTTGGAGTTGACTAGGTATTATTGATTTAAAAATCAATAACCTCTAACCTCTGTTGAGGTTAGAGAGCATACTCATCTTGGTTTCGGTACTTTGGGATTTATGGAGACTTGGTTTATGCCCCAGAATATAGTCTATCTTATTTACTGAACACATTGTGTGCACTCGAATACATGTTGTACAAGTGTTTGGTGTAGTGTTGTATAAATATAAATTAGATCAAAGTAGTTAACCCTGTTGAGATCCTCTTTGTTACTATTTTTTCCTAGTTTTGTCAGTTTCTGAGCAAAGCATGTGTTAGTTGCCTATTATGACTATAGGATTACCTATTTCTTACACTTTCAATTTTTGTTTTATGTATTTTGAGGCGTTATATTAGGTGCACAGACATTAAAGATTATTTCTTTCTGATGAATTGATCCTTTTATTACTATACGTCTCTATCTTTGGTAATACTCAGTTTTAAAGTCTATTTTATCTGACGTGAATATAGTTAATCTAGCCTTATGCTTACTGTTTGCATGTTACATCTTTCTTTATCTGTATTATTAATGTATTCTTATATGTAATGTGAGGTTTCTATAAACAGCATATAATTGTGTCTTTCATTTTGTTGATTCCTATAAGTTCTGCCTTTTAACTGAATAAGGAGTTCATTAATATTTAATTATTTATATAATTTGAGTTGAGTCTACTATTGTTTTCTCTTTAATATTTCTCATTAAAAAATATTTGCTCATCTCTATCTTCTTTTGGGATGTTTGAATATTTTTTATAATTCCATTTTATTTTATCTGCTGGCTTGTTGTACCTTTTTATATTATGCTTCCAGTGGGTGCTATAGTGCAATGATGCTCAAAATGTCGTCTTGAGACCAGCAGCACCACCTGTGAATTTATTAGAAACGAAGATTCTCAGCCCTCAACCTCCACTAACTCAATCAAAAACTCTGTGTGTGGGGTATAGCAATCTGTAGTTTAGCAAGTTTTATCTAATTCTGATACACTCTAAAATGTAAGAATCATGCCTGTAACGATTATAATATCTATCCTTAACTTTTCAGTCTAATGAGAATTAGTGTTTTTACTTCCTTATTATAGTTTTATCAACTTAATTCTGGGTTTAATTAGATCATTGCTCCTTGGCAGTCATTTCATATTTCTTTTTTGACCCATCAGTCTTCAGAATTTAATTTTCATGTTGACTTTTTATAGGGCATTCATGGGTGTGATTTGCAACTGTTTAGAGAGGAAAGTGGAATTTGGAAGGGCACTGAGGCAGCACAGCGGAATTAGCAGCCTCAATTTAAGTATGTTGCCTTCAGATTCTTTTCCTTCCAAATATCATTATCCACTGTAATATTTAAGTTTAGTGGTAATATTCCATTTGGTTTCAGACATTTACCCCATTCATGCAAGCATGTCATTCTAATAAGAGGATGAATTAGTGTGGTGTTTTATGTCTTATTGATTCAGTATTTATTCCAAAGATACTAAGCACCTTCTATCTGTCCAGGCTATTTTAGGCAATGGGTGTTCAAGGGTGAGAAAAAAACTTCCTGCACATGAATGTTTACATTCTAATAAGAATAGAGAGTAAGTTAACATGTAATATGATATTAAATAAGTTAAGTGCTATGAAGTGCAAAGCAGGAGGAAAGAGAAACATAAGAGTGTGGAATACTTCATATTGGATGTTCGGCAAAGGCCATACTGAAGAGGTAATATGTGAACAGAACCTCAAGTGAAGAAGTGCAATGAGAGAAGGGATCAAGCAGATATCTGTGGAAAGTGCTTTTCAGGCAGAGAAACAGCAAGTCTGGTGCTCCTAAAGTGGAAATAAAGTGAATTCCCATATGACTGAAGTGGAGTAAGCAAGCAAGGGAGTAGTAGAAGATAAGATCAGAGAACACCAGGTCATGTAGAGTTTCATAAACCAAGGTAGGAATTTTCACTTTATTCTAAATGTAGTAAGAAACAGGAAAATCTTAAGCAGAAAAATGAAGTGATCTGATTTGGAACTGGACAGGGGAAGGCAGACTAAGTTCTGTGCTAGGTTAGTAAGACCAAGCAGTTTGATACAAAACTACTCTTATATGAAGGCATCTTAGCTGCAGGGATCAATTGAAAGTTTACATATGGTTGGAGTTTGTTACATAGAAAATGATTTTCTGGAAGACTTTTTTCTAACTACAGATGTTTACCCATAGAGTTTTATGAACAATATGAACAACCATAAAGTTTTACATGTATCCTAATAAGGATATTAATACTGCCTACTGTTGTTTTTAGGCCTGGGATTCCAATGGAGTTTTTAATCATATTAACATCATAAAACTGGCTTATAAAAGATAACTTAGCTTGAATGCAGGATAACCTATGACAAGAGAGGAAAGGTGTTTGAAGTCTGTTATTAACTTAGATATAAAAAGATGATTATGATTTTTAGAATACCACCTTCATTGTTTTGTTCTTATATTTACCTTACTGGTTGTCAATGATTATTTCCTTAATCAACTCTCTTAAATTCTTATTATTTATAATGTCATTATTTTAGAATGCATTATAAGCTTTTAAATCCTTTAACTTGTGATGTATTTTATTCACGTTTTTGTTTTAGAAATTTCTTCTAGTGAATTAAATACAAAAGTCATTTGTTTCTTGATATCTTTTAGATTGGGAGTATGTATTTAAAAACAGTGAATTTTCATCAAAGCAAGAGACATATGAAGAATCATCCAAAGTTGTGACAGTGGGAGCAAGACATCTTAGTTATAGCCTTGACTATCCCAGTTTGAGAGAAGACTGTCAAAGTGAGGACTGGTATAAGAACCAGCTGGGAAGTCAAGAGGTACATCTTAGTCAATTAATCATCACTCATAAAGAAATCCTTCCAGAAGTTCAAAATAAAGAATATAACAAATCTTGGCAAACATTCCACCAGGATACAATCTTTGATATACAACAGAGTTTTCCCACCAAAGAAAAAGCACATAAGCATGAACCACAAAAGAAAAGTTACCGAAAAAAATCTGTTGAAATGAAACATAGGAAAGTCTATGTAGAAAAGAAACTTTTGAAATGTAATGATTGTGAGAAAGTCTTCAACCAGAGCTCATCCCTTACTCTTCATCAGAGAATTCATACTGGAGAGAAACCCTATGCATGTGTTGAATGTGGGAAAACGTTCAGCCAGAGTGCAAACTTGGCGCAACATAAGAGAATACATACTGGAGAGAAACCCTATGAATGTAAAGAATGTAGGAAAGCCTTCAGCCAGAATGCACACCTGGCCCAACATCAGAGAGTTCATACTGGAGAGAAACCTTATCAGTGTAAAGAATGTAAAAAAGCCTTCAGCCAGATTGCACACCTGACTCAGCATCAGAGAGTTCATACTGGAGAGAGACCTTTCGAATGTATTGAATGTGGAAAGGCCTTTAGTAATGGTTCATTTCTTGCTCAGCATCAGAGAATTCATACAGGAGAGAAACCTTATGTGTGTAATGTGTGTGGGAAAGCCTTTAGCCATCGTGGATACCTAATTGTACATCAGAGAATTCATACTGGAGAGAGACCCTACGAATGTAAGGAATGTAGGAAAGCCTTCAGCCAGTATGCACACCTTGCTCAACATCAGAGAGTTCATACTGGAGAAAAACCTTATGAATGTAAAGTATGTAGGAAAGCCTTCAGCCAAATTGCATACCTTGATCAACATCAGAGGGTTCATACTGGAGAGAAACCCTATGAATGTATTGAATGTGGGAAGGCCTTTAGCAATAGTTCATCACTTGCACAACATCAGAGAAGTCATACTGGAGAAAAACCCTATATGTGTAAGGAATGTAGGAAAACATTTAGCCAGAATGCAGGCCTTGCTCAACATCAGAGAATTCATACTGGAGAGAAACCTTATGAATGTAATGTTTGTGGGAAAGCATTTAGCTATAGTGGATCTCTTACTCTACATCAGAGAATTCATACTGGAGAAAGACCCTATGAATGTAAAGATTGCAGGAAATCTTTCAGGCAGCGTGCACATCTTGCTCATCATGAGAGAATTCATACTATGGAGTCATTCTTGACTCTTTCCTCTCCCTCACCCTCCACATCAAATCAGTTGCCAAGACCTGTAGGTTTCATCTCCTGAATATTTCTGGAATCCACCTCTTGAATCCATTTCCATCCCATCATCCTTGTCCAATGCACATTAATATATTTGACATGGGATACTCGAGTAGCTTTCTAATTGGTCTCCTTGTACTCACCATTGTCTCTGTCAGATGTCCACATTGCAACCAAATTTGTATTTTTAAAAATATGTTTAATCTCATTTCTCCCTCATTAAAATCCCTCAGTGGCATCCCATGGTTTTTAAGTTAAAGCACACATTCTTCAAAATAGCCTAAAAACCTAGCCTCTAACACCTTGTTCCAGGTTACCTTCCAAAGTTTCTATCTTGTGTCACTATCCATCTCATTCTCTGAATACTTATCCAGGATTAAGATACATATTCCAGGATCAAAAAGACCTGGGTTCCAATCTTTGCACTTCCATTTCCTGCCCTCTAATTTGGGGGCAGCAGTTTGTGCTTTGTAAGCTTCAGTCTTATTTATAGTGTGGGAATAATAATGGTTCTACCTCAGAAGTTAATAGAAGAATGAAATAATGCATGTAAATTGCTCAGCAGCGTGCCTAGCATAAAGTAATTACTCAAACCATAATGTAAAGTAAAAAGATAACCATACTATACATAGAAAGCCAATCATCTCAGCCATGATTATCTCAGAAATAAAAAGAGATGCAGCAGCTCAGGACTGAGAGATTGTGAAGTTTTTTTTTTTTTAGGAATGGTAGGCATTTTTCTAAAAGTAGGTGAGGAGGGTATCTAACAGTAGGATTTACATTAGAGTCCATGATATAGGGTAAGATGGTGGCTTGTATCAGCATTCACTGGATATTTAACAGTTCTAAGATGCTAATGTCTTATTTTAAAAGTCTTTTTTTTTGAGATGGAGTCTTGCTCTGTTGCTCAGGCTTGAGTGCAGTAGTGCAATCTTGGCTCACTGCAACCTCCGCCTCCTGTGTTCAAGTGATTCTCCTGCCTCAGCCTCCTGAGTAGCTGGGATTACAGGCCTGCACCACCACGCCCAGCTAATTTTTGTATTTTTAGTAGAGAGAGGGTTTTGACATGTCGGCCAGGCTTTTCTCTAACTCCTGACGTCCGGTGATCCGCCTGCCTTGGCCTCCCAAAGTGCTGGGATTACATGCGTGAGCTACCGTGCCTGGCCTAAAAAGTCATTTTTAATAAGACAGTTTACTGAGATGTATTCATCATTTACATGTAAACAAAGGCAAAATCGAAATTAAAAAGAAATCTTGAAACAAGTCAGTAACCAATGATGAGTAGAAAATAAAGTATAAGTTTGAACCCCTGTTCTAAATCTGGGTGAATGAATTATATCAAATCTATGTCATTTAAAATAATAAAGGTTGTTAAATTACTAAAATTTCAAAACTAGTGAAGAAAAGAAACCAAAACTGTAGGTCAGTTCTCATAAACTGGCCCACAAACATGTTTGATTCTGTATGCATTAAGTTTAAAATACATATGAATACCTTCAGCAGACCATGTGTTTTCCCTTTCTCCAACATTCAAACCACTCCCTGATTCTTTACATCTGACCTCTTTTAATATTACTTCCTGACCCCAGAATTCTTTTGGCATATAATCAATGCAGTGATCAATTCACATGTGACTATAGATACAAACAGAATGACGAAAGTTTAATGGAGGATGAAAAAGAAGACAAATAAATATTTTATCCTTTATATGGTAAGACAGATTCACTATCATACTGATGTCAGTAGCCCATGAATTAATTTACAGATTCTACCTAACAAAATTCTAATAAATTTTGTAAGGTTTTAACATGTATGTGTGAACATACATATTCATGCTGTTACACATATAAAGAAAATTATAACAAAAGTGACCTATACCATCAGTGGTTTAACAGTTTTGGAAAAATTTATCGTGCTCTATACAACAATTCATTCCATATGTGAAAGTTACTTTCAAGTGCTTTATCTAAATGTGGAACAAACAGTGATTAGAGGAGTCTGTGACACACTCTAATCATGGAATGAGACTGGCCTTCCTAAACATGAGATTCAGAAGCCTCCCCACCTCCTGTCAACAAGTCATAGATTTGACTGTATAAGAACTTTATAAAGCTTTTATATGATCAAAGATAGTAAAAGATACAATATTTTTTAAACCTAAGAATGGGAGAAAATTATTGCAGCACATATAAACTATGGAATTCATATCCTTAACATAAAATTGCTCATAAAAATCCCTTAGGAAATGACGCTTTTCTCCAGCTCATAGTCAAAGGATATGAAGAGGCAACAGGTGACCAATAAATATGTGGTAAGTACTAAATCTCCCTAGGATCAGAAGAAATACAGTTTAGGCCAATGAAATACTATTTTTTTCAATATCAGATTAATAAAACTGCATTGAAAGCATACAAAAAGAGATACTATGCACTAATTTAAAAGAGCATGAGTTTGTACAAACTCTGGTAGGCAATTTGTCAACTTCAGAATTTTAATTGGGAAAAGTAGAATTTTATTTTGAAGTTCAAAAACTCGGCACACAATGTCTTTCCCTCCAGATTCTATTATACACATAGAACAATGTAAATGATTCTTAAAAAAAAAAAAAAGGTGAGGCTTTTGAGTGGATGAAATAATTTTGTAAAAGGCAAAACAGGGAAGAGTGTTCATGAATTGTAGCAGAAGATGCTGCATGTTATATGCGAATGACCGAAGGGTTTTAAAAATGGAATCTAGTCTGCCCAAAGGATCCCTAGAGAAGTTCAGGCTTGGAGTTGGCTTATGTACAGGCTGTGGCTTCTAAGAAGACATGATGAAAAGCCTCTTGAAGCCTTTGTATGTGAAAGTTATGTCAGTAGCCCTTGCCAAAAGCCTCCTCACTCTCCCCTCTCTTGTATAAGTAAATTGAATGGGATCCTTATTTCACACCATTAACAAGTATAAGTTCTAACTGAATAAAAATCTAAATGTAAATTACTAAAGCAAAAGTATTAGAAAAAATATAGTGGGATATGTTAACGACTTTGGTGTCAGACACGTGTTTCTAAAATATTCAAATACCATAAAGGAAAAGATTGATAAAATTGACTGTGTCAAAAAATAGTGTGCTTTGGCTGGGTGCGGTGGTTCACACCTGTAATCCCAGCACTTCGGGAGACTGAGGCAGGTGGATCATGAGGTCATGAGTTCAAAACCAGCCTGGCCAAGATGGTGAAACCCCATCTCTACTAAAAATACAAAAAATTAGCTGGGTGTGGTGGCAGGCATCTGTGATCCCAGCTACTTGAGAGGCTGAGGCAGGAGAATCACTTGAACCATGTGGCAGAGGTTGCAGTGAGCCAAGATCATGCCACTGCACTCCAGCCTGGGCGATAGAGTGAGACTCTGTCTCAAAAAAAAAAAAAAATTATTGTGCTTTTGGCCAGGCATGGTGGCTCACGCCTGTAATCCTAGCACGTTGGGAGGCCGAGGCGGGTGGATCACCTGACCTCAGGAGTTAGAGACCAGCCTGATCAACATGGTGAAACCCTGTCTCTACTAAAAATACAAAATTAGCTGGGTGTGGTGGGGCTACCTGTAAACCCAGCCACTTGGGAGGCTGAGGCAGGTGAATGGCTTGATCCCAGGAAGCAGAGAATGCAGTGAGCTGAGATCGCGACATTGCACTCCGACTTGGGTAACAAGAGTGAAACTCGGTCTCAACAACAACAAAAATTAGTGTGCTTTTAAAGAAAGTTAAAAGATAAGCAACAGGAAGGAAGAAACACATAACGGACACATGTAAGAACACATATAAGTCAATAAGTAAAGGACAACTAAGCAAGTATATAAATGTGCAAAGATGAGAATGGCCAAATTGTGGAAGACATACAGATGTCTAAGTCTCTGCTTAACCTCATTAGTATTAAGTTATGCAAATTTGCTCATTTATTATTTATTTATTTTGTAGAGATGAAGTCTCACTTTGTTGCTGAGGCTGGTCTCAAACTCCTGGGCTCAAGTGGTCCTCTTCCCTCAGCCTCCCAAAGTGCTGGAATCACGGGTGGAGAGATTCAAATTGAGACAGTATAATACCAGATATTGGTCGTGGTGTGGAGACAGGATTTCTCATCACAGCTACTTTAGAGGCAGTGAAGTTTTTAAAATGCTCACTATAGCCACTTTGTAGGGTACAGTTAGTATTTGAAACACTGAAAACAACCTAAATTTCTATCAGTAAAGTAATGACTAGGAGTTCTATGCTGGAGTTTAAAAGAATGGGCTGATAATATTGATACGAATTTGACTAAAGGACTTACTGGTTGAAAATGTAAAAATTTCGCATACACTATTGTATATTTAAAAATATATTTTATTTCTAATGCATTTATAGAAGTATGCAAATGCTTAGTGAAAGTTCTGAACAGACACCCAACTGATAAATGTTTCCTCTAGGAAGGGACTGGTATTGGATGCTCTGGTCAAAGGAAGATTTAGTGTTATTTGTACTGTTTGAAGTTTTAAACATCAATGTAATAATTAAAAAAAAAACTTTAACATGAAAAAATTGAGTTTACAACGAACTGGACACCTAGAATGAAAAGTTGGCAGTCTAAGTTAAAACTCTTTTTTGGAATTTGGAGCATCTCTCCTTGACTTGCCAGCCCTTCCCAGGCATACAGATACCCTGGTAACCCTTCCAATTTAGGCAAACAGACCTACAGTGGAAATATACAAAGGACCCCCTGGCATTTACCTATGGTAATCAAACCATGTAATACTTAAATGGCAACTGATAGCTAAGTATCATCACTTGAAGAAAACCACCAGCATAATAAGGACCAAGAGATATAATTGAATCCTGAGTGGGGAAAGTCATGTAATAACAGAAGAAAATGAAAAATTGATTTTAGCCTGCAATTTGAAACTACAAAATAAAGGGAACAATTAGATAAGAACTAAGAAATAAAAAAATACACTGTAATAAATTTAATAAAGGTTAGAAAGAAAAGAAACCTTAGATGCATAAATTAAAAAGAAAAATGAGAAAAAGGGACATGGAAATTTACAAGGTCCAATATCAATGTTTTGGGAAAAATTTCACAGAAAATATAAGAATGTATCGAATGACTGAGAATCTTTCTAAACTGAAACAAGGCAAGCATGTTCAGCTTGGGTTAGCTCACTGAATGTTGTATAGGATGAACTAGGAAAACCACAACAGGAAAATCCAGAAATATGCTTGTGAAATTTCAGAATATTAAAGAAGAAAACATTCTAAAAGCTTTCAAAAATGATTAGGTCACCTAAAAAAGAACAACAGTCAAGATGATTTTAGCCCTTCCTCCTATCATAAATATTGGATAGAATACAGAATAGCACTTTCCAACTTATGAGATAAAATTACTTTGGACCTAGAAGTCTATACTTGGCCAACAATATTTAAAGCATGAGGCCAAATATTGATGTTTTCAGTCATGGAATTTATTTCCATTATCCAGGATATTAAAGGAGTCACTCAAGCAAAATGTAGATGAAAAAGGAAGAAGACAGCAGGATAGGCTGAAGTGAACAGTGGCTGTAACCCAAGAAACTGGAGTTGAGGATTACAAGGATACCCACTTGGCAATAAGTGTAGAAAACAATCCAACCAAATTATTGGTAGACTAAGAATCCAGGGAGCCAGTGAAGAAAAACTTTTTGAAGGATGGAATGAGTTCCATTAAACAGAATTCATATGAAGTTGGAGGATCTTAGCAATATGATGGAGATAAAATTTTGTTCATACGAGAAGGAAAGAAAGATAATTACTGGCTCTGGGAAAGACAAAGAAAAAACCAAACTAGATATCATAGTCTTAACGTTAAGCAACTCCCCATGAAATGTTGCATGATTTTAGAAAACTGAAAAAGGAAAATCCATTTGATATGACGATAGTTCCCTTTGAGTGAGTACTAAGATCATAACATTGGATGTGTAGAGGAGGAATGTAATCTTTACATATTACTTGGCTCTGGCTCTTCAGAGAATAACAAATGTTGGTAGTAATGCAATGCTATTTTATTTTATACATTTAGAATATAGAAATCACTGAAGTATTATCTGTAACATAAATATCTAGTAATGTGAAAGGCAGAATATAGCTGATTGATTGGATGGTGGAAGGTAGATTGGAAAATGAAAGATTGAAGCAAGGATAAGTGGCAATAATCTCATTGTGCAGAGGAGATTCAGGAGATCTGCCTAAAGTTGACAGAATAAGAAAATACAGGTTAGCTATATTTCAAGTTAAAAATGCAACAAATGTGATAAACTCACATGGGATGACTTACATCCTTTCCTTTCATAAAAGACTTATAAAGAGCGTATAAAAATAAATCCAGAAACAGCAACAGTAGTCAGGATTGATAGAAACCAAACAAAATTAGTTTAGGAAACAGGTTATTGATTCTTGTAACTAAAAAGCATTGAACATGTATGGCATAGTGTTAGGCTGGATTTAAGTGCTCAGACTTATCAGAGGTTTGTAACTCAGCTCTGCTTTCAGTAGTTTCCTTCTCTCCAGGTTCTGTCTCTTGGTGGGAAAGAAATGGCATCTGAGGATATTAGACTTAAAATGTCCATAGAATATTTAATCTCAAAAGTAGGGCAATATCTCTGTCTCTCTGCCTCCGTGTCAATCCCTGGGAGGAAAATATGATTTGTTTCAGTTTTGGCTGTGTGCCCACTCTGAACCAGTCATTGGGTCCATGGTATGTGGGGTACTCTAGCCAGCCTGTGTCAAGTGTACATGCCTCTTCCAGAGAGACTGAATCACTGAACTGACCAATTCACAAAAAAAACACACAGAATTGGGGCTGGTTGAAGGGAGGTTGAGAATCAGCTCTCATAATGGCAAAACCTGACCTGAATTGACATGAGGGTATTTATTGACATTGATCCCAGTTAGTATAAACATTCATATCTTTTTCTTCAGAAATATTAATTTGTTCAATTCAGGGGTGCTGCCTCAGACTCTGTAGCATAGGTAAGTTACATGTCTGTGGGTCAAATGGACATAGCACACAGTGGCTTGTAATTAAACTGTCTTGCCAGTAATCCAGAGAAGGTTGCATGATAAAGTAACCCCAGCAGAAAGAGGCTGGGGCTGTGGTGACAAGAATTGGTTTAGCATCACCTGGATCCAGCATGCCAGGGGACTTCAGGGGAGTTCCTTTTAAGACACTCCACAGAAGGCCTCCCTCACAGCAAGTGTAAGAGATACAACCCACAGAAAGTGAGACAGTTCACGGGGGTTCCTTTTAATACACTCCACAGAAGGTCTCCCTCGCAGAAAGTGTCAGAGATACAACTCACAGAAAATGAGATGGTTTGCATGTATAAAGGAAAGCAGATCTGATCTATAGAGACTGTGGCCTTCAGGTAAGGAACTTCATTTTCCTACTCCCTTATCCTATTCTCCACAGCAGAGTGGTAGACTGGTGTATTCCCACAAGGAAACAAGTTTGAATATATGTGTGAGAAGCCTTTAAAAATATTTACTAACTTCTGCATTTAACAAGATGGAATTAAGTAGTTTCTGTTTGTTTCTCCTTTCTGAAACCAAGTTAAAGCAACAAGAGTAAGAAATGCATGTAGAGGCTTCGTCTTTAATGAAGTGAAGAAACATCTATAATTCTGAGCTTCAAAATCCACAAAGAGGTGCGGCTAAATGTGGTGAGAATCCTGGGAAAGAAACTACTGCTGCATTGAGGAGCACAGAATTTTCCTAAAGCAGCAGCATATCTGGAAGGGCAAAAGAAAGGGCACCTTGGTTGCAGCCACAACATCACTTCAAACATTCTGGCTTTGGAAGCACTCGTAAACTCTATTATAGTTGCAGAGTGTCGTGTGAGTGACAGGAGGGCTTAAGGAGGAAATGCATGAGTTTTAAAATATGGTTTATCATGTAATCCCAGCACTTTGGGAGGCCTAGGCGGGTGGATCACGAGGTCAGGAGATCGAGACCATCCTGGCTAACATGGTGAAACCCCATCTCTACTAAAAATACAAAAAAATTGGCTGGGCATGGTGGTGGGCGCCTGTAGTCCCAGCTACTCAGGAGGCTGAGGCAGGAGAATAGCGGGAACCTGGGAGTTGGAGCTTGCAGTGAGCCAAGATCCCGCCACTGCACTCCAGCCTAAGCGACTGATCAAGACTCCGTCTCAAAAAAAAAAAAAGGTTTATCATGTAATAGAGGAAATAAAATACTGCCAGTGATGTGCAAGAATGCAAAGTAAAGACTAATCCTTGCTACTCAAAAGTCTGCGCCATGGAATAACAGCATCAGCATCACCTGAGAGTTTGTTAAAATTCCAGAATCTTGGGCCTTAACCCAGACTTAATCATTCAGAATCTGCAGTTTTACAAGATCTCCAGATGATCTGTACACATTAAGGTTTCAGATTCACTGGGGTAAAACCAATTATCTGCTAGTGTAAAGCACTGTCCTTTGATAAATAAGTAGATCAGGAAAAGCTCATTTCATTCAAAAATTAAAAACTCCAGCCATTCGCAGATCTTATCGATAATGGTAAGCTCAAAATTACAGAACACCCCTTCATTAAAACTGAACAAAATGAAAAGAATGTGCTAGCATCATGGAATGAGAAAATTGCACTACCTCATATCACATACTTGAAAATATAATACAGAAATAGTAAGTTCACACTACAACAATGTGCCAGCATCTTTGGTAGTCTCTGCCCTCTGGGAAAAGCAGAGCGAGAGAAAGTCTCCATAATGGAGGAAAAGTCAGAAGAAAATCTGAAAAAATTTCACTGATATATCCTGATAGTTGTGTGGGGAAGGGGGGAGATGCAGGCAGCAATGAACAAACATACATAAAATTCCTCTTAAGAATCCTACTTCACTCTAGATAGTAGTTTGGATAGGAAAGACAAGTTGGTAATATATGTTAAATATACCTACGTTTTGACCCAATAATTTATTCTCTAAAAATATTGGTAAATCTTTACAAAAGCATATGTACAAGAATGTTAATTGCGATATTATTTAAAAAAATTAAAAATCCTAGATTCCTCATTATTACCGCCCTCTCTAAATGCTTATCTGAGATCTACACTTCTGGCAAAGATGGAGTCCTAGGGAATAATTTAATCTCCCACCTGAAATACTAAAAAACGACACCAGGCAATAAAATAATGATCCCTGAGAAATTAGAAACAAATGAGGTGAGTCCTATGATTTCCCCAGACAACTGCATGTAGTTTCCAGGCTGTGGTACAGATCTCCACGAATTAAGGTGATGGAGCTGGGAGTCAGGGAGATCAAGGTGGCTAGAGTTCCCAGGATAGAGAGTTTGAGAGGAGACAGCTCTCAGAAAAGGGAAAAAAAAGCATCTAGTAATCTACAGTGTGTTCCTCTTTTTTTTTTTTTTTTTTTATCTGAGTACAGATCAGAATATGGATGTGAAGCAACTACCTGAAATTGGGGAAAGAACTTAAAGAACTACAAGGAGAAATAAACAAATCCAGAATTATAATTGGAGATTTCAGCATGCCTCTCAATAGAACATATAAATAGAAAAAATAGTGAGGATATTGAAGACTTGAATATTATCACCAACTTGACCTAACTGACATTTGTGGAACTATTCACCCCAAGAAGAGTAAAACACACATTCTTTTCAAATGAACCCAGAACATTCACCCAGACAGACAATAATTCCAGACCTTAAAACACATATCAGTAAACTGAAAAGGACTGAAGTCATACAAAATATGTTTTCTAACCAGAATGGATTTAAATCAATAACAGAAAAGTAATTAGAAAACACCCAAATATTTAGAACAAAAGAGCACACTTTTCAGTAACCATATTTCTAAGAAGAAATCAAAAGGGAAAATAAATATTTTGAGTTGAATGAAACTTAGAGAAAAGTACATCAAAATGTATGGGATGTACCACAGTACTTGGAAAGAAATACAGTGGCACTAAATGCCAATGTTACAAAACAAATGACTCAAATCAGTGACTCCTATTTCCACCTAACAAATTAGAAATAGAAGAGCAATGAAACCCAACGTTAACACAAGAATGGAAATAATAAAAATCAGAATGGAAGCCAATGAAATAGAAACCTGAAAAACAAAAGCTGGTTCTTTGAGAAGGTCAATGAAATAAACAAAAAAATTGCAGACAATTAAAAAAGAGATTATACAAGTTATCACTATCTGGAATGGCAGATGTGATATCACTACAAATGATAGTTATTAAATGAATAAAAGAATGTTATGAACTTTATGCAAATAATTTGACAATTTAAAAATTCTTGAAAGAAGCTAACAAGGTTTACTGAAGAAATACTCAGTTCTATATTAGAAAAATGGAATTTGTGGCCAAGCGCGGTGGCTCACGCCTGTAATCCCAGCACTTTGGGAGGGCAAGGTGGGCAGATCATGAGCTCAGGAGATCGAGACCATCCTGGCTAACATGGTGAAACCCCGTCTCTATTAAAAATACAAAAAAATTAGCTGGGCGTGGTGGTGGGCGTCTGTAGTCCCAGCTACTCAGGAGGCTGAAGCAGGAGAATGGCATGAACCTGGGAGGCAGAGCTTGCAGTGAGCCAAGATCCCGGCACTGCACTCCAGCCTAGGCGACAGAGCAAGACTCTGTCTCAAAAAAAAATGGAATTTGTAATTTAAGCCTTCCAAATATTTTCAGATGTCTGTGTTTACTGCAACTGTAATTCTGGTATAGTCAAGGAACATAGTTTGCAAAATAATTTTTTTAATTTATCAATATTTATACTCTGTCTTGGTAAATGTTTCATGAACACTTAAAAGGAATGTGTACCCTGCCTGGATTGTTTGGAATATTTTATATTAACAAATGTCAACCAGGTCAAGTTGGTTGATTATGTTGTTGAGGTCTTCTATATCTTTTTTTTTTGTCTACTTGTTCTATTAATTACCAAGAGGAGTGATGAAGTCTCCAATGACAATTGTCAGTTTGTCTTTCTCTCTTTTCAGTTCTATCATTTTTCCTTGCAATTCAATGTGTACTCATTTAGAATTACATTTTCCCGGCCAGGCGTGGTGGCTCATGCCTGTAATCCCAGCACTTTGGGAGGCTGAGGCAGGTGGATCACCTGAGGTCGGGAGTTCAAGACCAACCTGGTGAAACCCCATCTCTACTAAAAATACAAAAATTAGCCAGGCATGGTGGCAGGCACCTGTAGTCCCAGCTACTTGGGAGGTTGAAGCAGGAAAATTGCTTGAATCCGGGTGGTGGACGTTGCAGTGAGCTGAGATTGCGCCATTGCACTCCAGCCTGGGAGACAGGAGTGAGACGAAACTCTGTCTTAAAAAAATCAATCAATAAATAAATACATTTTCCCAGTAAACAGAACTTTTATCATTATGTAATCTCACTCTTTATCCCTGATTGTATTCCTTGTTCTGAAGTCTACTTCATCTGATAGTAATATAGTCATTTCTGCTTTTTTGTTAATGTTTGCGTGGTGTATCTTTTTCCCACCATTTTTCTATGCCTTTATATTTAAAGTATGTTTCTGGTAGACAGCATATAGTTGGATACTGCTTTTTCATTCAATCATAGAATCTCTGTCGTTTAACTGGTATATTTAGACCATTTACATTTGATATTTTTAAATATATAGTTAGATTAAAATCTCCACCTTGTTAACTCTATCCTAATTGTTCTGTTCTTTAGTTTTTGTTCTATTTTTGCCTTCTATGATCTAAATGACCATTTTTAATAATTCTATTTTATATTATTGTTTACATCTCATTGAACATTTTCAGTTGTTACTTCTTTAATTGGAATATACATTCAAATAATACACAACTTAACATGTTAGTATTTTATATATTCCCATTTTCTCCGACATCCATTATGCTTATCATATTTTACTTTCATATGCTGTTTACATGGTACATTTTTACTCTAAGACAGCCAGTTACTTTTTAAGATAAGTTTTTAAAGTTATTACCTTCATGTATTCCATTTCCGCATCTCTTCATTTCTTTATGTATCTCCAAATGTCTGCTGTGTTTCATATTCCTTCTGTTTGAAGAACTTTTCTTGTAGAGTAGGTCTTCTCTTAATGTATTATTTTCTCAGTTTTGTTTCTCTGAGAGTATTTCTCTATCAGTTTGAAAGATTTTCATGAGCATTTCATGAAGACAGATTTTTTCCTTCAGCTCTTAAAAGATGCCATTACATTGTCCTCTGGCCTGCAATACTTCTGATAAGTCTGCTGTAATTTTCTTAACTTTGTTCTTCTATATGTAATTTTTTCCCCTCTCTAGCTTGCTTCAAGATTATTTTCAGTAGTTTGAACATAATATGGCTGGGGTGGTGTGTGTTTGTGTGTGTGTGTGAGTGATTTTAATATTTACCTTCCTTGAGGTTCTCTGAGCTTCATAGATTTGTGTTTTCTGGGTTCATAAATTTTGGAAACATATTGGCCATTATGTCTTCAAATATTTCTTCTGTCCCATTTATTCTGTATCTTCTGGGATTCCAATTATGTGTATGTGTTGGACCAATGGATATTTTCTCAGAGCTCTTGGATTCTCTGTTCCTTCTTGTCCTACCCTACCCCACTTATGTTTCAGTTTGAGTAACTTTTATTGTCCTAACGTCAAGTTCATTTACTTTTTCCTTGACTATGTCAAGTATATTGATGAGCCTGTTGAAGACAATTGTTCATGTGCTTATTGAGTTTTTTCATTTCTAGTATTTCCATTTTATTCTTTTTGTTATTGTTTGAGACTGAGTCTCGCTCTGTCTCCCAGGCTGGAGTGCAGTGGCGTGATCTCAGCTCACTGCAAGCTCCGCCTCCCGGGTTCCCGCTATTCTCCTGCCTCAGCCTCCCGAGTAGCTGGGACTACAGGTGCCCACCACCACGCCTGGCTACTTTTTTTTGTATTTTTTAGTAGAGACGGGGTTTCACCGTGTTAGCCAGGATGGTCTCGATCTCCTGAGCTCGTGATCCGCCCACCTTGGCCTCCCAAGGTGCTGGGATTACAGGCGTGAGCCACCACGCCCAGCCCCATTTTATTTTTATAGTTTTTGTGTCTCTGCTCAAATTATCCATCTAATCTTGCCTGTTGTGCATTTTCCATTATAACTCTTAAGATACTACTCATAGTTCCTTTAAATTCCATGTCAGTCCAACAGCTATGTATTTCTGAGTCTAGTTCTGATGAATTTTGTTTCTTGGTGGGGTAAGGTGTTCATTTTTGCATTTTTGTATGCCTTGCATTTTTTTTTTCCTGAAAGCCAAGTATCTTCTGTAGAACAATAGATATGAAGGTAAATGGATTTAATTCCTGGAAAGGGCATGTCTTTCTATGTAGCCTTTAGTGTGTGGGAGGTGGATGGGTAAGATTTTTATAATTATAGCTAGGAATTGAGGAAGGTTTATGGTTTGTTGTTGCTGTGGTTATAAGTTCACCATAGGTTTCAGATATGAATAGTGATTCCTTATCTTTAGGGTCCGAACTGGTTTTCCCAAGGGTCTATCTCAATGTCAGGGTGATCTTCAGGTTTAGGTCCCATTGGATTATGCTTCAGATAGCCCATCTATACTAATATATTTTCATTCATTCAAATACTTATTGAGTGCTAACCATTGAATTATGTGTCATTGTACTAAACGCTGGAACTTGTAACTCCCCAAATACTTTATTATTGTTTGCCATTATTTTATCCATCTGTAATTTTCTCTTTAGCTTTCCAACTTTTGTGTGCCTAGCAAATTCACATTCTTCCTTTAATATTATCTGCAAAAACAATCCCTGTCCCCATACCTCCATCACCATGAAGTTTATCATCCTCTTCTCCGTACTACCTATGCACCTTATACAGAATTCCATATTTTATTACCTGAATTCCCTGGTAAACTGTAAGTGTCTGCTGGCAAGAACAGTGTCTTATTAGTTTACATATCCACAGGATTTAGCAGTGATTGGTCCAGGGTGTTTACATGCACAACAAATGTGCAGCGAAAATATTTGCTAATGAAAGCTGGAAATCTATAGGCATCTATTAAAAGCAAAATACTGTAATAATGGGCTCTCTTACAACAGTCTAGGAGTAAAGCAAAACATTTTTCTTGCCAGTTAAGTTTTCAGGACTTTAAAAAAACACAAAGTTGATTTCCTTCTTAGTTTGGATATATTTTTTAAATTCATGTAATGCAAAATAATTTAAATAATAAATGATTCGGCCTATTAGGATATAATTGAGTTCCAAGCAGTTGGGAGGACACATGAACCCAAAGTTACTTTACCTTTATTGCACTTTCACAAATGCCTTTAAGAGCTTAAGAATAGGAGAGAATAGACAAAACTAGATGAAATGAGAATTTTTGACTGGGCCAGAAATAAAGCAGTGAGGATATGCAATTCTCACAAGTAATTCCAAGTTAAGTTTAACTGTATCATGTATTGCCATTCTAATGCTCTCTTGAAATCCCCAAGAGGAGCAAGAAATGCAATAGGCAATGAGATAAGCCTGAGGAAATTAGGTGACTGTGGGCAGGGCATTCTCTTGCTTCTCCCTAGTCTTCAGGTGTGTCACAATTCATTTGGGACTGACATGTATTTGTATGGCAGATTGGCAGAGGAATTAACAAGCTAGAGGGTGTGTGTAGAAAAGAGGGGGAAAAAAGACCTGCCTCTCCATGAGTTACCTCTGTGCTGTTTGCTCACCCATTTGCTCCAAGGGGTGGATTTTTATGCTTGCTTTACAAATACGAAAGAACAAGTTTAAATGGGAAGTTAGTTGTACTATCCTGTATGCATGCTCACCCCTCACAATTTGGATTGTTGTTTTATCAATTGTGGTCAAAGTTAGGATGACCTAACCCATATACATTCCACACATTCCACAAAGTCATCTTAAACTTAAGGTATTCTCAAAAATAACTTTTACAGAAGGAAAACTTAAACAGAAGAGCCCAACTGTGTATGATCCAATTACAAAAAAGTTATCTGATTTTATTTCTTATATATTTGGCACAAACAGCAGAGACTGAAAGCTACTACACATGTTGAACTGCTGACAGGAAAAGAACCCAGTAGATAAATCTAGGCTTTCCACTCCATATATTAGCTGGGGCTGCCATAACAAAACATCATAGACTGGGTGGCTTAAACAACAATTTACTTCTCACAGTTCTGAAGTCTGGAAGTCTGAGAACAGGTCGCCAGCATGGTTAGGTTCTCGTAGGGTTCTCTTCCTGTTCTGTAGACAGCTGGCTTCTTCCTGCATCCTCACATGGTGCAGAGAGCAAGCAGGCTTTCTGATGTCTTTTTGAGACGTAGTCTCGCTCTGTCGCCCAGGGTGGAGTACAGTGGCGTGATCCTGGCTCACTGCAACCTCCGCCTCCTGGGTTCAAGCGATTCTTCTCCTTCAGCCTCCCGAGTAGCTGGGACTACAGGCACATGCCACTGTGCCTGGCTAATTTTTTGTATTTTTTTTCAGTGGAGACGGGGTTTCACCGTGTTAGCCAGGATTGTCTCAATCTCCTGACCTCATGATCCACTCGCCTTGGCCTCCCAAAGTGCTGGGATTACAGGCATGAGCCACCGGGCTCAGCCTGATGTCTCTTCTTATAAAGGCACTAATCCCATCACGAGGGCTCCACCCTCATGACCTCATCTAATCCTAATTGCCTCCCAAATGCCTCATTTCCAAGTAACATCACATTGATGGTGAGGATTTTAACATAATTAGTTTTGGGAGGGACATAAACATTCAGTCCATAACAACTCATATTACACCACTTATTGCATACCAGTATTGTTACATGAAAATACCAATGTTTACTCATATAAATATAGATGATTTATTTCCAAATAAAACAATACTGATTTCTCCTGGCTCTGAAATCCTCATTCTTCACTATATCTTGGTTCTTTTACTGATAGCTTGTCTCAGCCAAGTTAGACGTTCACACCATGAAGATCATATATCCTCATATCCGTGGAGATGGTAAAGTAAGGTTTCTACTGTTACACACCATTATGAGTGACAACTTTATCTACCTAAAGACTCACTTTTCTTTATTCTCACCCACAAGTTTGTCAGCTGAAAGTGGCACCCTGTTTTGCCGAGAAGTTCCTTATATTTGATAATTCTAGATCTGAGAAACAGACTCAAATTCTTTTTTCTGTGACCTTAAATCAGGCTCAGAGCCCTATAATGGACTTCACAATTCTATTTTGTTGTATGTGACCAATAAATTATCTTTAAAACTATGCTGGAAGTAAAATATCGGTAATTTTTTTTTTTTTTGACACAGAGTCTTGCTCTGTTGCCCAGACTGGAGTGCAGTGGTGCAATCTCTGCTCGGTGCAACCCCCACCTCCTGGGTTCAAGCGATTCTCCTGCCTCAGCCTCTCCAGTAGCTGAGATTACAGGTGCGCACCACCACGCCCAGCTAATTTTGTATTTTTTAGTAGAGACAGGGTTTCACCGTGGTCTCAAACTCTTGACCTCGTGATCCGCCTGTCTCAGCCTCCCAAAGTGCTGGGGTTACAGGTGTAAGCCACTGCGCCCAGCCAGTAATTCTTATCAAATGAAAAATGATCTTCATTCACAATGACTGACCAAACTTCTGAGTTTCCTTCAGTTAATTTCAAATCCTGAGGTCAAAATCACCAATGACTTTTGCTCTTTGGCTTTCAAAGTGGGACATATCATCAAATGGTCCCATATACACAAAATTTACATTATAGACAAATACATATTTGCCATATGTTTGATAGCCTCATTCGTTGATTTTATAGATTTAAAACAACCTTAGGCTTTTTCTTCAGAATGTGTATTCTGATGTCGAATCAGGGATGAACTCCGACTATATGCCTTCCCACATTTACTACATTCATAGGGTTTCTCTGAAGAATGACTTCTCTGATGTCGAATAAGGTCTGAGCCACTGCTAAATGCCTTCCCACATTCATTACATTCATAGGGTTTCTCTCCAGTATGACTTCTTTCATGTAGAATAAGAGATGTGCGCTGACTAAAGGCCTTACCACATGTTTTGCATGTATATGGCTTCTCTCCAGTGTGAATTCTTTCATGTTGGGCGAGGTGTGCACTCTGGCTGAAGGCCTTCCCACACTGATCACATTCATAGGGTCTATCTTCAGTATGAATTCTCTTATGTCGTGTGAGAGATATTCGGTGGCTGAAGGCTTTTCCACATTCCTCACACTGGTAGGGTTTTTCTCCAGTATGAATTCTTTGATGTTCAATAAGAAATGATTGGCGGCCGAAAACTTTACTACATTTATTGCATTTGAAAGGTTTCTCTTCAGAATGAATATTCTGATGTATTTTAAGGTTTGCAGTTCCAGAAAACATCTTCCCACATTCCTTACACTCAAATAGTTTCTTTTTCTTTGTATGAACTTTCTGATGTTGAATAAGGGATGAATGCCGATTGCAGACCTTCTCACATTTATTGCATCTGTATAGTTTTTCTCCATTATGAATTCTTAGATGCAGAATAAGGGTTGAAAGCCGCCTGAAGAACTTGTCACATTTATCACATTTGTACGGTTTCTCTGAAGTGTGAATTCTCTGGTGAAGCATCAGGGGTGAAATCCTATTAAATAATTTCCCACATTTTCTGCATTTAAAAGGATTCTCTAAATGGTGACTTCTTTGCTGTAGACTCTGACTTAAGGCCTTCGCATTTTCAGGGATTTTCTCTCCAGCATGAATTCTTTTATGTACAACAAAGACTGATTTCTTTTTGAAGCCTCTCCCACATTTATTATATTTATGTGTTTTCTTTCCATTGTGAATTTTCTTATGAAGTAAAAGGGATGACATCTGATTGAAGGCTTTTCCGCACTTTCTGCACTGGCAGACATTCCCAACAACATGAATTTTCTGATGTATATTGAAAGACTGACATTGACTCAAGGCCTTCCCACAGTCAAGAATTTCCTTTCCATCATGAATTCTCATATGTAGAATAAGGGTTGTTCTTTGATTGAAGCTTTCCCCACATTTATTGCATTCATGGCTTTTCTTTCCACTGTGAATTCTCTGATGAAGTAGGATGGATGAGATCTGTCTGAAAGCTTTTCTACAATTACTGCATTCAAAAGGCTTCTCTCCTGTATGAATGTTCTGATGAAGTTTAAGAGAGAAGCTTCGACTAAAGGTTTTACCACAGTCATTACATTTTAAAGGTTTCTTCCCTGAATGCCCTTTCTTAGGTTTTACTAGGACTGAATTTTTGTTGCAGCCACTCTTTCGTGTAGGAGCTTTTTGTTGTGCAGAAACTAGTTTCTGGCAGATGCTTTGCCCAGATTTGTTGCATTGATTTGGAGGTAACTTCTTGGTCTCACATTTAGACCCCGAGTCTGAAAGACATAAAGGAATTAAATGTTTCTCCTTTTCCATGCTGAAAAAATGAAGATTCTACAATATAAATGTAATTATCATTATTAATCACAACAACAATTATGATTACCAAAACATAACTTTTTAGTGTTTTATTGTGGTTTTGATGACTATACTAAAGGCTTTACAGAGATATTTAATAACCAGAGTTCAGAAGAGTGTAATTTGAAAATGAATAAGATTTTATTTATACGATAACTTTTATGCCATATACGGCACATTGAACTCCACAGGTTGTTCAATGGATAAATGTATGTTTATTAGAGAATGTGTCCAGAAAAGGTAAGTCTACAGAGACAGAAGATAAGTGGTTGCCTGGGGCTCAAGGTAGGAATGGGGATTAACTGAAAATGGACATGAAGAATCTTACAGGGGTGATAAAAATGTTCTAATACTGGATCATATTGATGGTTACACACTCTGTAAATTTATCCAAAATCATTTAATTATATTCTAGATATAGTGACTTTTATGATGTTTACCTCAATAAAGTTGTAGATTTTAAAAAATGTATTCTTAAGATCAAATTTAAAAAGAACTAGTAAAAATTAGAATTGAGTACAGTCACGGGTTGCTTAACAATGGGAACATGTTGTAAGACATGCATTGTCAGGCAATTTCATCATTGTGCAAACATCTTACAGTAGATTTACATAAACCTAGATAGTATAGCCTACTATACACCTATGTTATATTGTATAGCCTGTTCCTAGGCTACAAACCTGTACATGACGTTACTGTATTGAATCCTGTAGGCAATTTTAACACTATGATAAGTATTTATGTATCTAAATATACATAAATGTAGAAAAGGTACAGTACAAATAACAGTTTTATGATCTTATAGAACCATGGCCATATATGTAGTCTGTTGTTGACTGGACTGAAACATCATTATGCAGCATATGACTGTATTTAGATATTTACAAAGGTGAAGTCTTTAGCAAGAAGCAGGAAAAGCTCAGAAAAATAGGTAAGAGATTAGACTAAAAGAAGGAATCTATTTTGTAGTAAAATAGATCAATATGGCTGGCATAGGGTGCCAAAGTCCAAGGTGATATAAAATAACTACTTGTATGGCAAACTGACTATAAACCTGAGTGAATGTGGCATGATAAACACAGGCTTTAGAACTATGCTATCCAATATAGTAGCCATTAGTCACCTGTAGCTACTGAGGAATTGAAATGTGGCTGGTTTGAGGTATACTATGAGTATAAAACATATGCCAGACTGTGAAAATTTACTACAAAAAAGTATAAAGTATCTCATTGTAAAAATGCTGGTTATATGATATAATATGTTGGATATATTAGGTTAAATACATATATTACTAAAATTAATTTTACCTGTTTGTATTAGGAAGTTCCTATATTGCTATAAATAAATACTTGAGTGGGTAATTTATAAACAAAAGAGGTTCAATTGGCTCCTGGTTCAGTAGGCTGTACAAGCATGGTGCTGGCACCTCCTTGGCTTCTGGGGAGGCCTCAGTGAGCTCTTACTCATGGTGAAAGACGAAGTAGGAGAAGGCACATCACATGGTGAAACAAGGAGAGAGAGTGTGGAGGAGGTGCCACATATTACAACGATCAGATTTTGTAAGAATCACTCCCTATTGCTAAGACACCACCAAGGGAATGGTGCTAAGCCATTCATGAGAAACCCACCCCCATGATCCAATCACCTCCCACAGACCCCACCTCCAACACTGAGGATGAAATTTCAACATGAGATTTGGTGAGAAATCCACCCCCATGATCCAATCACCTCCCACCAGACCCCACCTCCAACACTGAGGATTAATTTCAACATGAGATTTGGTGAGAAACCCACCCCCATGATCCAATCACCTCCCACAGACCCCACCTCCAACACTGAGGATGAAATTTCAACATGAGATTTGGTGAGAAATCCACCCCCATGATCCAATCACCTCCCACAGACCCCACCTCCAACACTGAGGATTAAATTTCAACATGAGATTTGGTGAGAAATCCACCCCCATGATCCAATCACCTCCCACAGACCCCACCTCCAACACTGAGGATTAAATTTCAACATGAGATTTGGTGAGAAACCCACCCCCATGATCCAATCACCTCCCACAGACCCCACCTCCAACACTGAGGATTAAATTTCAACATGAGATTTGGTGAGAAATCCACCCCCATGATCCAATCACCTCCCACAGACCCCACCTCCAACACTGAGGATTAAATTTCAACATGAGATTTGGTGAGAAATCCACCCCCATGATCCAATCACCTCCCACAGACCCCACCTCCAACACTGAGGATTAAATTTCAACATGAGATTTGGTGAGAAACCCACCCCCATGATCCAATCACCTCCCACAGACCCCACCTCCAACACTGAGTATTAAATTTCAACATGAGATTTGGTGAGAAATCCACCCCCATGATCCAATCACCTCCCACAGACCCCACCTCCAACACTGAGGATTAAATTTCAACATGAGATTTGGTGAGAAATCCACCCCCATGATCCAATCACCTCCCACCAGGCCCCACCTCCAACACTGAGGATTAAATTTCAACATGAGATTTGGTGAGAAATCCACCCCCATGATCCAATCACCTCCCACCAGACCCCACCTCCAACACTGAGGATTAAATTTCAACATGAGATTTGGTGAGAAATCCACCCCCATGATCCAATCACCTCCCACAGACCCCACCTCCAACACTGAGGATTAAATTTCAACATGAGATTTGGTGAGAAATCCACCCCCATGATCCAATCACCTCCCACCAGGCCCCACCTCCAACACTGAGGATTAAATTTCAACATGAGATTTGGTGAGAAATCCACCCCCATGATCCAATCACCTCCCACCAGGCCCCACCTCCAACACTGAGGATTAAATTTCAACATGAGATTTGGTGAGAAATCCACCCCCATGATCCAATCACCTCCCACCAGACCCCACCTCCAACACTGAGGATTAAATTTCAACATGAGATTTGGTGAGAAATCCACCCCCATGATCCAATCACCTCCCACCAGACCCCACCTCCAACACTGAGGATTAAATTTCAACATGAGATTTGGTGAGAAATCCACCCCCATGATCCAATCACCTCCCACAGACCCCACCTCCAACACTGAGGATTAAATTTCAACATGAGATTTGGTGAGAAATCCACCCCCATGATCCAATCACCTCCCACAGACCCCACCTCCAACACTGAGGATTAAATTTCAACATGAGATTTGGTGGGGACACAGATCCAAACCATATCACTGGTTTTAGATTTTTATTTGAATGTGGATACTAAAGATTTTTTCAGTACATATGTGGCTCACATTATATTTCTATTTCATAGGTGTGCTTTAAAGGCAGACATTACTGAATTAACTGAGGTGTTTTTCATTTAACTGCATAATCTTGTGACACACTTGTTAACTCTATTACCATAAGCATATTATCTTGAAAATATAGATAATAATCACGTACCTCACAAGGTTTTCATGAGAATTAGAAATAATGTGCGAGATTTCTGGCACATGCTATGACCTCTAATCTGCCATTCCAGTATTCAAAAAGCTGAGAACCAAAGTCTTCTTTCCTTTTTTCTTTTCCTTTTTGAATACATATTTGGAGTGAAACCCCATCTGAAATGCAATGAGGCTATTCATAGCCTCCATTTATTGCTCTTAGGAAGTCTAGTCTTTGCAGCTATCTCAATGTGTTTGATTTTGGGGTACTGCTCCAGCCCCTGCTGGGTATGTTATGCCACACATAGTATATGACCTGTTCACCTTTCTAAAATCTGCACCATTCTGAATTCTGAAACACATCTTGCTCCAAGGGTTCTAGAGAAAGCTTTGTGGACCTGCAGTTGCTTAATAACTGGTAGTAGCTACCATTATAATTATTATTAGTAGAAGTTCCAGAAAACAACCAGACAAAATAAGGAATTAACACAGGAAGATAATGGAAATGTTTATAGTGAAGCTAGCAGCATCAGCAAAACAAGAAACCCAAGATTCCTCCTATAGTCCTTCCCACCCCACATCCCATTAAGTCACATCAGTTAAGCTGCTTCTCCCTCTCACATTTTCCTAAAACTCTTAGCTTCCCTTCCTTTTCCTTTGTACCTTCCTTTGTTCCTTCCTGTGTGGAATACTAACATATCCCCTCAGCCCATCTCCCCATCTTCAATGTGGAAATCCTTAAACCACACCAGACACCAAAATTAATCCCAGGTAAATTAGTTCAATATAAAGTACAAAATCATTACAAACTAAAATAATATGAAATCTACCCCAAATTCTTTCTAACTATGGAAATAAAAAGAAAAATTATAATGTGAATGCCAATACTTCCAATCACACAAAAATGAAAAAAACTTTCATATAACCAAGTAGAAAAATAAGAGGTAAATAAAATAAAAAGACTTAGGAAAGAATGGGGAAATATTTGAAGTCAAATGTAATGTCATATGGTTAATGTATTTTCTATATGAAAGCTTACTATACAAGCAGAAAATAAAAAAGTCACTGCTAGATAAAAGGGGAAAGATCACGAAAAAACAATTCACGAGAATAAGTAAAAACAGAAAACAAATGCTAGTAAATCTACAAGAAAGATTTATGGCCTATCCAGTATGGGTAAACCAATATGGATATCCAGTCTATCCACAAGGGCTCAAGAAACAAACTGGTACTTGGGAGGCTGAGGCAGGAGGACTGCTTGAGCCCAGGAGTTTAAGGTTGCAGTGAGCCATGACTGCACCACTACACTCCAGCCTGGGTAACAGAAGACCCTGTCCCTGTCTCCTTAAAAAAAAACAAACAAACATGGTGACTCACACCTTTAATCCTAGCACTTTGGGAGGCCGAGGTGGGTGGATCACAAGGTCAGGAGTTCAAGACTATCCTGACCAACATGGTGAAACCCCATCTCTACTAAAAACACAAAAATTAGCTGGGTATGGTGATGTGTGCCTGTAATCCCGGCTACTCAGGAGGCTGGGGCAGGAGAATTGCATGAACCCAGGAGGCGGAGGTTGCAGTGAGCTGAGATGGTGCCACTGCACTCCAGCCTAGGTGACAGAGGGAGACTCTATCTCAAAAAACAAACAAAACAACTAAAAAGGAGAAAGTGGAAGAGCCAGATGGCCAAATAGAGCCCTCCAGCGATTGCCCCCTCTGCAGTAACGCCAAATTGAACAACTATCCACATAAGAAAACACCTTCATAGGAACCAAAAATTAGGTGAGCAATCAAAGTATCAAGTTTTAACATCGTATTCAAAGAAAGAGGCACTGAGGAGGGTAGAAAAGACAGTCATCATATGCCTGCACCACCCCTCCCCCAATGCCTGGCAGTGCAGCATGGCAACAAGAGAGAATCTATGTGTTTGGAGGAGGAAGAATGGAGTGATGGTGGGACTCTGCATTGGAACTCAGTGCTGCCCTGTCACAGCAGAAAGCAACGTGGGGCAGAATTTGGCCAGCACCCCCAGAGGAAGCATTTAAATCAGCTCTAGCCTAAGAATTGTCCACCACAGTGGTGGAAACTTGAGTTCCAGCAAGTACCCCCACCACAGACTAAAACACTCTGGTGTCCTAAGTAAATCTGAAAGGCAGTCTAGGCCACAAGGACTGCAATTCCTGGGCAAATCCTAGTGCTGTGCTTGGCTCAGAACCAGTGGACTTGGGGTACCTGCTACCCAGTGACATACCAGTGACACACCAGCTGGAGTGGCCAAGAGAGTGTTTGTATCAACTCTCTCCCAACTCCAGGCAGCACAGCTGGCAGCTCCAAGGGGAGAGGGAAGAGTAAAGAGGACGTTGTCTTGCAACTTGGATATCATCTCAACCACAGTAAAAAAAAAAAAGTGCCAAGCAGTGTCCTGAAGGCCTCATTCTAGGCCATAGGTCCTGGACAAGATTTCTAGACCTACCCTGGGCCAGAAGGCAACTCGCTGCCCTAAAGGGAAAAACAGGCCTGGAAGAATTTACCACCTGATGAATTAAGACCTCTTGGGCTTCGAATAAACATCAGTGGTAGCCAGGCAGTGGTAGCCACAGGCCTTGGGCAAGAATGAGTACTACGCTGGCTTCGGGTCAGACCCAGCACAGTCCCAGTGTTGGTGGCCATGGGAGTGTTTGTATCATCCCTTCCCCAACTCTAGGCAGCTCAGCACAGAGACAGAGAGACTCCATTCATTCAGGGAAAGTAAGGGAAAAGAATGACTTCCTGGTAATCTAGGGAATTCTCCTGGATCTTACCAAAGACCACCAAGGCAGTACTTCTGTGAGTCTACAAGAGTCACAGAGTTACTGGCCATGGGGTGACCCCTAATGCAAACATGGCTGCAGTGAACAAAGACACATCCTAGCCCCTTTGAATACATGGAGAGTCTTCTCTGGAAGGACTAGTACAAACAAGCCCAGACTACAAAGATAAGAATAAATACCTAATTCATCAATGACCAGGTACTGACAAACATCCATAAGCATCAAGACCATCCGGGAAAACATGACCTCACCAAATGAACTAAATAAGGCAACAGTGACCAGTTCTGGAGTGACAGAGCTAATGTGACCGTTCAGTCAGAGAATTCAAAATAGCTATCTTGGCCTGGCATGGTGGAGCATGCCTGTAATCCCAGCACTTTGGGAGGCCAAGGCGGGCGGGTGGATCACCTGAGTTCAGGAGTTCGAGACCAGCCTGACCAACATGGTGAAACCCCGTCTCTACTAAAAATAAAAAAAAATTAGCTGGGCATAGTGGGACACACCTGTAATCCCAGCCGCTCGGGAGGCTGAGGCACGAGAATTGCTTGAACCCAGGAGGCGGAGGTTGCAGTGAGCCGAGATCATGCCATCATTGTAGTCCAGCCTGGGGAACAGAGAGAAACTCTGTCTCAAAAAAAAAAAAAAAAAAGCTATTTTGAGGAAGCTCAACAAAATCCAAGATAACACAGAGCAGGAATTCAGAATCCTATCAGATAAATTTTAAAAAGACATTGAAATAATTAAAGAGAATCAAGCAGAAATTCTGGAGCTGAAAAATTCAGTTGACAAATTAAAGAATGCATCAGAGTCTCTCAACAGCAGAATTGATCAAGCAGAAGAAATAGTGAGCTTGAAGATGGGCTCTTTGAAAATATAGTCAGAGGAGTCAAAGGGAAGAAGAATAATAAAGCATGCCTACAGGATCTAGTATATAGACCCAAAAGGGCATATCTAGGAGTTAGTGGCTTAAAGAGAAGGCAGAGAGACTGGGGTAGAAAGTGTATTCCGAGATAGTAACAGAGAACTTTCCAAACCTGGAGAAAGATGTCAAAATTCAAGTACAAGGAGGTTATAGAACACCAAGCAGCTTTAATCCAAAGAAGGCTACCTCAGATAATTTAATAAACTCCCAAATGTCAGGGATAAAGACATGATCCTAAAAGCAGCAAGAGAAAAGAAACAACATAAAACGGAACTCTAATACATCTGGCAGCAGATTGCTCAGTGGAAACCTTATAGGCCAGGAGAGAGAATTATGATATATTTAAAGAGCTGAAGAAAACAAAAACATTTATCCTGGAATATTATATCCAGTGAAAATGCCCTTCAAACAGGAAGGAGAAATAAAGACTTTCCTAGACAAACAAAAGCTGAGAGATTTTGTCAACACCAGACCTCTCCTACAAGAAAGCCTATAGGGAGTTCATCAGTCTGAAAGAAAAGGATGCTAATGACGAATAAAAAGTCATCTGAACATACAACACTCACTAGCAATAGTAACTGCACAGATAAATACAAAATATTATAATACTGTAATTGTGATGTGTAAACTACTCATATCTTAAGTAGGAAGACTAAAAGACGGACTGACAAAAAAACGGCAACTACAACAACTCAAGACACACAGTATTAAAATATAAACAACAAAAAGTTTAAAAGCAGAGGAGATAAATTTAAAGTATAGGGTTTTTATTAGTTTTCTCTTTGCTTGTTTGTTGGTTTGTTTTTGCAAAGTTAAATTGTCATCAGTTTAAATTAATGGGTTATAAGATATTATTTACGAGCCTCATGCTGACCTCAAATAAAAAATATGTAAGAGATACACAAAAAATATAATTCAAGAAATCACTTTCACAAGGAAGACAAGAAGGAAAAAGAAAAGGCCACAAAACAACCAAAACAAATAACAAAATGTCAGTAGTAGGTCTCTACTTATAAATATTAAATGTACATGGACTAAATCTCCAGTCAAAAGCCACAGAGTGGCTGGATGAATTTTTAAAAAGACTCAATGATCTGTTCCCTATAAGAAACATGATTTGCCTATAAAGACACACATAGACTAAAAATAAAGGGAGGGAAAAAAAATCCCATGCAAATGAAAACCAAAAAAGAGCAGGAGCAGCTATATTTAGATAAAATAGAGCTTAAGACAAAAAGTATGGAAAGATACAAAGAAAGTCATATAATGCTAAAAGGATCAATTCAGCAAAGGGATATAACAATTGTAAATATATACACACCCAACAATGGAGCACCGAGATACATAAAGCAAATATTTTCAGAGCTAAAGAGAGAGACAGACCACAATACAATAATTGTTGGAGACTTAACCACTTCATTTTCAGCATTGCACAAATCATCCAGACAGAAAATCAACAAAGAAACATCGGACCTAATGGACCTAATAGATATTTACAGACAATTTCATCCAATAACTACAGGTTACACATTCTGCTCAGCACATGGATCATTCTCAGGTATAGACCATGAAATATTAGGACACAAGACAAGTCTTAAAAATCCAAAAAAAAGCTGGGTGCACTGGCTCACACCTCTAATCCCAGCACTTTGGGAGGCTGAGGCAGGTGGATTGCTTGAGCTCAATAGTCCAAGACCAGCCTGGGCACCATGGTGAAATCCCATCTTTAAAAAAAATGCAAAAATTAGCCAGGCGTGGTGGCACATGCCTGTAGTCCCAGCTACTCAGTAGGCCAAGGTGGGAATATTGCTTGAGCCTAGAAGGTTGAGGCTGCAGTGAGTTGTGATCGCACCACTGTATTCCAGCCTGGGTGACAGAGCAAGACCCTGTCTCAAAAAAAAAAAAAAAAAAAAAAAAAAAAAAACTTTCAAATTGAAATCATATCAAGTATCTTCTCTGACCACAATGGAACAAAACTAGAAATCAATAATGAGAAGAACTTTGGAAAGTATACCAACACATTGAAATTAAACAATATAATACTGAATGACCAGTGGGTCAATGAAGAAATCTCTTTTTTTTTTTTTTTTGAGACAGAGTTTCGCTCTTGTTGTCCAGGCTGGAGTGCAATGGCGCGATCTTGGCTCACTGCAACCTCTGCCTCCTGGGTTCAAGCGATTCTCCTGCCTCAGCCTCCCGAGTAGCTGGGATTACAGCCATCCACCACCATGCCTGGTTAATTTCTTGTATTTTTAGTAGAGACAGGGTTTCACCATGGTGGCCAGGCTGGTTTCGAACTCCTGACCTCAGGTGATCCGCCCACCTCGGCCTCCCAAAGTGCTGGGATTATAGGCGTGAGCCACCACCCCCGGCCTGAAGAAATTTCTTAATTAAAATTTAAAAATTCCTCAAAACAAATGATAATGAAAACACAACATATGAAAACATGCTGCAACCTATGGGATACAGCAAAAGCAGTATGAAGAGAGTTTGTAACAATAAACGCCTACACCAAAAAAGTAAAAAACTTCAAATAACCTAATGATGCATCTTAAAGAACTAGAAAACCAAGAGCAAACCAAACCCCAAATTCGCAGAAAAAAAGAAATAGTAAGGATCAGAGCAGAAAGAAATGAAATTTAAATTAGAAAACCACAAAAGAGCCTGGGCGCGGTGGCTCACACCTGTAATCCCAGCATTTTGGGAAGCCAAGGTGGGCGGATCACCTGAGGTCAGGAGTTCAAGACCAGCCTGACCAACATGGTGAAACCCCATCTCTACTAAAAATACAAAAATTAGCCAGGCGTGGTGGCGGACGCTTGTAATCCCAGCTACTCAGGAGGCTGAGGCAGGAGAATTGCATGAACATGGCAGTGGAGGTTGCAGTGAGCCGAGATTGTGCCACTGCACTCCAGCCTGGGTGACAGAGCAAGACTCTGTCTCAAAAAAAAAAAAATGCCACAAAAGATCAACAAAATGAAATTTTTTCAAAAACATAAACAGAATTGACAAACTTTTAATCAGATTAAGAAAAAAAGAGATAAGACCAGAGATGCAAAAGGAATGATTGCAACTGATACTACAGATACTCAAAGGATCATTAGAGACTACTATGAGCAACCTAGGCCAATACATTAGAAAACCTAGAAGAAATAGATAAATTCCTAGACACATACAACCTACCAAGACTGAATCATGAAGACATCCAAAACCTGAACAGAGCAATAACAAACAATGAGATTGAAGCTGTAATAAAGTTTCCCAGCAAAGAAACACCCAGGACCTGACAGCTTCACTGCTGAGTTTTACCAAATACTTAAAAAAACCTAATACCAATCCTACTCAAACTATTCCAAAAAATAGAGGAGGACAGAATACTTCCAAACTCATTCTACAAGGCCAGTATTACCCTGATATCAAAACCCAAGGACACATCAAAAAAAGAGCTTAATATTAATTCAAGAATCCTCAACAAAATACTAGCAAACTGAATTCAACACATTAAACAGATCTTTCATCATGAACAAGAACGATTAATCCCAGGAATGCCTGGATGCTTTGATATATGCAAATCAATGATATATATAAACAGAATGAAGGACAAAAAACATATGATCACTTCAGTTGACGCTGAAAAGCATTTGATAAAATTTAACATCCCTTCATGATGCGATCCCTCAAAAAACTGGTTATAGAGGAACATTCCTCAACACAATAAAAGCCGTATATGACAGACCCATGGCTAGTATAATACTGAATGGAAAAAAAACCTGAAAGCCTTTCCTCTAACATCAGGAAAATAAAAAGAATGCCCACTTTCACAACTATTATTCTACATTCAACATAGCACTGGAAGTCCTAGCTAGAGCAATCAGAGAAGAGAAAGAAATAAAAGGCATCCAAGTTGGAAAGGAAGACGTCAAATTCTTCTTCTTTGCAGATGATATGATCTTTTAGTTGGAAAATCATAAAAAATCCACCTAGAAACTATTACAACTGATAAATTTAGTAAAGTTGCAGGATACAAAATCAACATATAAAAATCCAGCAGCATTTCTATATGCCAACAGTGAGCAATCTGAAAAAGAAATCAAGTAATCCCATTTACAATAGCTACAAATAAAATAAAATACCTAGGAATAAACTTAACAAACACAGTGAAATTACAATGAAAACTACAAAACCTGATGCAAGAAACTGATGAGGACACAAAAATATGGAAAGATAGTCCATGCTCATGGATTTGAAGAATAATTATTAGTAAAATGCCCATACTACCCAAATTAATCTACAGATTCAATGCAATCCCTATCAAAATATCAGAGACATTCCTCATAGAAATAGAAAAGGTAATCCTAAAATTTATATGGAACCACAAAAGACCCAGAATAGCTAAAGCCATCCTGAGCAAAAAGAATAAAACTGTAGGAATCATATTACCTAAGTTCAAATTATACTACAGAGCTATAGTAATCAAAACAGCTTGGTACTGAGATAAAAACAGACACACAGACCAATGGAATGGAATAGAGAACCCAGAAATAAATCCATACATCTACAGTGAATTCATTTTCAACAAAGATGTTACAAATATATATTGGGGAAGGGACAGTCTCTTCAATAAATTGTGCTGGAAAAACTGGATATCCACATGCAGAAGACACTAGACTCCAATCTCTTGCCATATGCAAAAATCAAATAAAAATGGATTAAAGACAAATCTACGACCTAAAACAATCAAACTACTAAAACAAAACACGGGCAAAAGTCTCCAGGACATTGGTCTGGGCAAATATTTCTTGAGTAATACCCCACAAACACAGGCAATGAAACTAAAAATGGACTAATAGAATCATATCAAGTTAAAAAGCTTGGGCACAGCACAGGAAACAATCAACAAAGTGAAGAGACAATCTACTGAATGGGAGAAAATATTTGCAAACTACCCATCTGACAAGGGATTGATAACCATAGAATACATAAGGAGCTCAAACAACTATATAGGAAAAAAATGTAATAATCCAATTAAAAAATGGGCAAAAGATCTGATAGACATTTCTCAAAGACATACGTACACATGGCAAACAGGCATATGAGAAAGTGCTCAACATCACTGATCATCAGAAAAATGCAAATCAAAACTACATGGTATCATCTCACCCCAGTTAAAATGACTTTTATCCCAAAGCAGGCAAAACAAATGCTGGTGAGGATATGGAGAAAGGGGAACCCTCGTACACTGTGGGAATGTAAATTAGTACAGCCACTATTGACAACAGTATGGGGGGGTTCCTCAAAAACTAAAAATAGGAACTAATATATGATTCAGCAATCCTACTGCTTGGTATATACCCCCCCAAAAAAATAAATTAGTATATAAAAAAGATCTCTGCATTTCCATGTTTATTACAGCACTACTCACAATAGCCACATGACCATCAACAGTCATGCAGTAGTATTTAGCCATAAAAAAGGATGAGATCCTGTAATCTGCAACAACATGGATACAACTGGAAAACCTTATTTTAAGGGAAATAAGCCAGACACAGACAACCTTCACATGTTCTCACTCATTTGTGGGAGCTAAAAATCAAAACAATTGAACTCATGGATATAAGAGAGTAGAAGGATGGTTACCAGAGGCTGGGAAGGGTAGCAGAAAAAAGGAGATGGTTAGTGGGTACAAAAATACAGTTAAGATGCAATAAATACAATCTACTATTTGATAGCACAACTGGGTGAATACAGTCAGCAATACTTTGTTGTACATTTTAGAACAACTGAGAGAGTACAATAGGAATGTTTGTAACACAATAATAAAAGCTTGAGGTGATAGATACCTCACATACCCTGATGTGATTCTTACACACTATATGCCTGTATTGAAATATCCTATGTGCCCTGTAAATATTAATATATACACCTCTATATCCCGTAAAAATTAAAGAGAAAAAAATTTAAAAAGGTGAACTGCCAAGGCTTCAAACCTTCTACTGCATCTCCCGGACAGGAGATCCTAGGCAAGTTATTTAACATTTCTAAGACTCAAACCCTCATCTTGTCACTTGGGAATGACAGAGATTTCTACAAGTGTTGTGAGGACTAAATGAAATGCTGAACTTACAGGCTTTAGCACAGAATCTGCACAAAGTAAGTTCTCAATAAATGCTGACTGCTATTAATTCATTTTACTAAATAAAGAGAGACATTTTAATGGCAATATCCAATACTAGTGAGTATGAAAAATCAAACCCTGTTGCTATTGATGGTGCTGATTTGATAATTCTCCTTTTTAAGTTGTAGTCATGGTTATGATTTATTACAGCAAAAGGATTCAAAGCAAAGTGTGCAAAGGGAAATGGGGCAGACTCTAGAGGAAACTGGTCACAGCTTTCAGGAGCTGTGTCCCTGTGCAGTCACACAGGCTGCACTTCATTCCTCCTGCAACAAATTGCGACAACACACCCACAATTTGTGAAATTTCACAATTGTGAGACCTCGCAATTGTGAGAAATGTCTTCTAGATAAAGACCTAGTGCCTAGGGTTTTTTACTGGGGGCTGGTGATATGACAATTCTTCTGCAAAGTAATTCAGAAGTATCTAGAGCTCCCCCTCTGTGACTCAGTACTATAGAAAACAGGCAAAAGCACTTAATGCAGATACGCTGATGTTAATAATAATAAATTAGAATCTAAATGGAAAATAGGACATGAGAGACTAGTAACATAGAACATTTCTACTAAAACAAAATGTGAAAAAAGCAGAAATATATAAACCTTATAATAACGATGAAATCCAATTTCATTAAATAAACAAGTAATCAGTGATAACTCTATGTATAAACTGTTTTTGTCTTTTCCTTTTTCTAAACTTTGTTATATGACTAAATTTCTTCTAAACTTAAAAACAGTATTTTAATAAAGGATATTTCTTCATGTTGAAATTAAGATGTAAAATAATGCACGTGTCTTCTTTTTGCACTGTGCTTCCATCTGGCTTCCGTTACACACCCTCAGAACCTGGACGTCACCAAAGCCAGACGCTCGAGGTGGTGCCGTTTTCTCCCAGCCTACACCAAAATGTTGATCCCTAGCTCCTAGATGACGCATCCCATCTAAGCAGAAACTCAATGAATGCTACTTAAAGAAACAAACATACAAAATATATAACTTGGCCAACCAAAGAGGAACCTATTTGTCAATGAATCCTTGAAAAGTAGCTGAAAAGAACACTTGGAGAAAAGAGTTAAAAAATATTTTTAAAAGAATCACAAAAATCATGCAGATTTGAATGTTATCGTAAGTATTAACAGAGAGGGCAGTCTACACCTTCTCTGAAAGGAAATACGAAAGCAGAGATGCAGGGGGACAGGTGGGCATAAGGGTGTGGAGAGCTGAGCTTCTGGAAACAGGCAGAGGCTGTTTGGCGCTCTGAAGAGGGTCTGGGCCTCAAACCCTCCTCTGCTGCTCCTTCCTAGCTGGGTGACCTTGGGCAAGTCAACAAACCTCTCTGGGCCTGTTTGCTTATCTATAAAGTAGGGGTAATAACAGCACCCACCTTATGGGGTTGTTGGGAGGAAGACCCTGAACTTAGAAGAGTGCTTGATACCTAGTAAGGGCTTACTAAATGTTGCTTTTTCTTCCTCCAGGACTCATACTGAAGAGACTTGAATTCTCTGTACAGGCCTGGAGCCTTCAGTGGGAGAGGCACACAAATAATCTCTTAAAGAGATTGCCCCCTCACAATTACATGAGCTCTTATGCAGAACACCTGCCTCTATGCTGCAACAGATTGAACGTTTATGTCTCCCCAAATGCCTATGTTGAAATTTTACCATCTAAGGTAATGGTATTAGGAGGTGGGGCCTTTGGGAGGTGTTTAAGTCACGAAGGTGGAGCCCTCATGAATGAGATATCATCTATAATCACCTATAATCTCTCTCCCAGAGAGCTCCCTCACTCCTTCCTCCATGTGCAGACACAGCAAAAAGGTGCCACCTATGAACCAGAAAGCAGTCCTCACCAGACACCGAATCTGCTCATGCATTGATCTTGGACTTCTCAGCCTCCAGAACTGTGAGAAGTAGATTTCTGGTGTTTGTAAGTCACCTAATATATGGCATTCTGTTATAGCAGCCCCAGTAGACTGAGACATATGCCTTGGTTCTCTGTCACTCACCAGGAGCCCGGCGTCTTCTTACTGGCTCTACCATCCAGGGTGCTTTCCCTTTCTCCAATAAGGTGATCACATTTGGTCTCCGAAAGGAAAGACCTGTACGTGGGACAAACATGGGAAATGATCATAAATGTGGGCACCACAGAAGTCAGAGCCACGCTCTGCATCAACAGGAATGCAGGTTTAGTAGCATGAAGGGAGCACAGAGGATGTGAAGGGCAGCTGGAGAATGGGGAGTGTGATATTGTGATTTATAAGAATATGTATTTGCTTTTCATCCCTGTTTCCGGCACACAGCTCCTTAAACCCTGGGAATCTCCTGCATATGTGTCTTTTCTATGTTAATGAGAAGACTGTGACTGGGGGCTCCTGGACAGCCTTCAGATGGGGGCTGGTTGCCGATCATGTGATTAGAGGATTGGAACTTTCAGCCCCATCTCCTGACCTCTGGGGAGGGGTCAGAGGCTGGAGGTTGAGCCAATCACTAATGGCCAATGATTTAATCAACCTTGCCTACCTGAAGCCTCCTTAAAAACTCCAGTGGACTGGGTTTGGAGAGCCTCAGGGTTGCTGACCACGTGGAAGGTGGTGCAGTAGAGGGTGCATGCTCTGTGTCCCTCCCCCCATAACTTACCCTCTGCATCTCTTGCATCTGGCTGTTCAACTGCATCCTCTGTAATATCTTTTACACTGAGTTGGTAAGCATAAGTAAAGCGCCTCCCTGAGTTCTGAAAGCTACTCTAGCAAATGACTGAACTTGAGGAGAGGGTCATGGGAATCCGCTAATTTAGAGCTGGTCAGTTGGAAGGCCTGGACATGCAACTGGCCTCTGAAGTAGGGGACAGTCCTGTGGGACTGGGCTCTTACCCTGTGGGATCTGACACTATCTCCAGGTAGACAGTGTCAGAATTGAATTGGAGGACACCCAGCTGGAGTGTGCTAGAGAACTGTTTGGTGTGTGTGGGAAAACCTCCAAACATCTGGTGTTAGAGTGTGCGGTGTTGAGTTTGGTTGTTTAAATCTCACATGGAAAGGCAGGAATCTAAATTATAGCCAGTAGAGTTGTTAAATTTTAATTCGACAAAGCAAACTATTTTCCTGAGAATTGAGTCAGAAACTCCTGAGGCTGGTTATGAAGTTACTGTCTTTCTGCTCCAGACCCTCACCCTTCTATTATCTGTTTTGTGGTGCCAGGGTGGGGGCCTTGCTGTCTTCACTTCTGCTTCACCAGCTGCTTCCTGTCAACATCCACCAATAGGGGCTTTGTTGGTTTCTATGTCTGGGTTTTTTAGTTCTGTACTCCCAGAACCAGTTTCATCTGGCTCCTCAGAAGTATAAACAAACCAGGCAGCACACTGCCCCCTCCTTCAGAAGTTCTGAGTCCCAGATCCGAGGGGACCTTCCTTAAAGCGCTAAAAACCCCAAACTCTTCCCTTTGTCCCTCCAACCCCAGGAATGGTGGCAGCATCCTGCAATTACTGTCTCTGTGTTACATCAATGTCCACTATTCACCTTTCAACAACACCTCTTAAATCAATTCCTTAAATTCTATCAAAAGAGGGCTGAGTGCGGTGGCTCATGCCTGTAATCCCAGCACTTTGGGAGGCCGAGGTGGGCAGATCACGAGGTCAGGAGATCGAGACCATCCTGGCTAATACGGGGAAACCCCATCTCTACTAAAATACAAAAAATCAGCTGGGTGTGATGGAGCGTGCCTGTAATCCCAGCTACTCGAGAGACTGAGGCAGAGGAATCCCTTGAACCCAGGAGGCGGAGGTTGCAGTGAGCTGAGATTGCGCCACTGCACTCCAGCCTGGCGAAAGAGCAAGACTCTGTATCAAAAAAAAAAAAATTTATACCAAAAGAATTCAAGAGTTACCTACAGAGTTTCCATAAGACCCAGCAATTCTACCCCTAGGTATATGCCCCAGAGAAATGAAAACATACATCCACACAAAAAATTTGTATATGTTCATAGCAGCATATCAAAATAACAAGAGTGAAAACAACCCAAATGCCCATCTATTAACTGATGAATGGATAAACAAAATGTGGTCTATCCATACCATACATATTCTTTGGCAATGAAAAGAAATGAGGTATTGGCACATGCTACAACATGATGAACCTCAAAAACATTAGAAATCAAAGAAGCCACATATTTATGATTTCATATGTATGAAAGGCCCAGAGCAGGCACAACCAGAGAGATAGAAAGTGGACTAGTAGTTGCTGAACCTGGGGGGATGAGTGGCCAGGGGAGACGAAGAGTGACTGCTTATGGGTACTGGGTTTTTGGGTGGAAATAATGAAAATATAATTGATTGTGGTGATGGATGCATAACTCTGAATACACTATTATAAAAACCATTTAATTGTGTACTTTTTATGGGTGAATTGTATAGTATGTGAATTATATCTCAATAAAGCTCTTTTAAAAAAGAAACTGCAGTGGCTTCCATTTTCCTGACTAGACCCAGAGTGATGCATGTCCCTCAATAGGCTGGTTCTGGATTGTGGGGGACGAAGAGCCTTACCAAGCGAGACCAGGTTCCGGTAATTCTCCAACATGACATCTTCATACAAATCCTTCTGAATGGGGCTCAGCCATTCCCACTCCTCCTGGGAGAAGTAGATGGCTAAGTCCCCAAATGTTATAGGTGCCTGAAATGAAAAATCAAATGTCTATTCACCATGGACTTGTGCTTCCACATGGCTGGAGGAAATGGTGCACACATCTTAAACATGGGAGACACAAGGTACCAAGAATCATTCAGGAAGCATTCAGGGTTCTGAGGCCAAAAGGGGCAGGTGTATTAAATAAGTTAAATAAAATACAATATAAGACATAGCTGTTATTAAAATTATGTTGCATTAAGAACACGTGGCAACCTGGATCTACCAGGCATTTACAAAGTCAAAGCATTCTTCTAAGCACCTGACTGTACTGGCTCACTTAGTGCTCATGTGAATCAGTGATAGAGGCACTGTCAGCGGAATCACAGTATGTTACAGATGAGGAAACTGAGGCCCAGAGAGATGAGAAAACTTACTGCAGGTCTCACAGCTAGTAAATGGAGAAGCTAGTGTTCAGCCCAGACAGCTCCTGATTTAATCTCCTAACCACTTGCTCTCCAAGAAACATGTGAATATGTTACACATGACAAAAGGTTCTTTGAGGGTATAATCAAGGTTACTGATCACTTGACCTTGGCAGATTATCTTGGACTTGACCTGGCCAGTTGGTTATTGGTTCTTGCTGTCTTGAAGATGAAAAATGAGGGTCAGGTGGAAAGTGTAGGAAGGAACTGAATCTGGCCAATAACCAGCAAGTCTGGAAGAGGACCTGAGCCCCAAATGAGAACACAGCCGGCTGACACCTTGATTTCAGCCCTGTGAACTCCAAAGCAGATGACCCAGCTAAACCATGTTGTGCCTGGACGCCAACCACAAAACTGCATGATAATAAACACGTGCTGTTTTGAGCTGCCAAGTTTGCAGCTAATCTGTTACAGCAGCAAGGGGCAACTAATACACCCAACTGAAAGCAAACACATTTGTTATGGGAAACTGCATTTGAGATGCCTGTTGGAAAAACCACTCAATGATTGACAGTCGTGGAGCATGCTGACCACAGGAGGCTACGCATACAACCTCACTGCCTGCACCAGTGCAGTCAATGGAATAGCAGGGCTATGTGGTGCCTTTTAGTCTTGGGACCTTAGTTAAAGAGATTTCCTCCATGTAAATATGGGTTTTACAAGGAGATACAAAACCACACAACAAGACTAACTCCAGAGCACATGTCAAGTCCCCTCTGCTACTGCAGGCCCCACCTGGGCATTCATCTCCATGCTGAGAAATCACAGTGGCTCTCATCTTCCTCCACGGAGGACATTTCTCTTGGGGAGGGCATTTCTCCTGGCACTGGCAAAGCCCCTGGGAATGCTAAACAAACAGGCCAGTGGCCATGTGCACACTGGGAATGGAGAGAGGCTCGCTGAGCAGTTTCCTGGCTGCTGGGCCCTTCTCAGGTTCTCATCCCTCATGGCAACGGGAGAAAACCAAAGACTAGGTGTTGGATGGATCTCCAACAGGCAACAAGTCTCCATGGAAGGAAAGCAAATGGTCCACATCTCACAAGACACGATGGGGTGTTCCGGAAGGAAGAGGAATTGCCACTTACCTTGGATTTGGATTTCCCCCGTGCAGAAGGCATCCTTTCCTCCCCCTTTAGGGTCCACACTGAGAGATGGGCAGAGAGCTGGTAAGGCAGGGCTGTGGGGAGAAGACAGGTCATGAGGCAGTGCCAGAGTCCACAGGCCCCTACCTAACCTGGAGACACACACACACACAGACACACATGCACACATATGCACGTGCACACACACACACAGATGTCAGAACACCTGGCGCATTCCTGTCCCCCCTCACCTGCTCACGGTCAGGGAAGGGCACGGCCAACCCTTTTTGTGCCTAAGATCATAGCAGGTTCTTGGTCATGAGGCAAATAAGGACTGCACAGACCTCTGGCCATCCATCTGACAAGTATTTACTGAGCACCTACTGGGTGTCCAGCTGTCCCAGGTACTGGGGGGAGAGCAGTGAGTTAAAGTGGAAGAGTGCCGGCTCCCAAGCACCTTACATTCCAGTAGGGAAAGAAAGTCCATATAAAGCACAATGATGGACATGGTCATTGCTATGAAGAATAAACAGGCCAGGGCAGGGGTTAGAGTCGTGGAATGGTCAGGGAAGGTGTCTCTGAGGAGGTCACATTGAGCTGAGGTCTAAATATGAGAGCATGAGCCATGTGGGTGCTAGGGGAAGAGCATTCCAGGTAGAGGCACAGCAGGTGTCAGCGTCATGGGTGGGCGCAGGCTAGGTGTGAGGAGAGCAAGGTCTGTGTACTGAGGCAGAGTGAGTGCAGCGGGGAGGGTGGGCTAAGGCAGGCAGGGCCGGATCATGAAAGGGGTGCTGAGCAGCTGGGATTTGATCTCAAGTGTGACATCACTGGGGGAGGAGGGGGAGCTGAGAAGGGGAGTGACACCATCAGACAACATTTAACAAAAATTTGTGGCATGTCTATATGGTGGGTTAACTGTGTGTCAGAAGAGGGAGCAGGAGTGAGGACAGGACTCACTAGGTAGCTTTGCAGAAATCCGGGGAAGATGTTGGTGGCATGACTAGGGTGGGTGGAGTGGAGGAAGGAAGATGTGGTCAGATCGCCTCCTCAAGAGGGCCCCTCTATCCACCCATCTCAAAGAATCTCTGCCCTGTATCAGTCTATACCTATGCTGTCCAATGTGAATGCCACTAGCCACATATGAAAACTGAGCACGGGAAATAAAACTAGTGGAACTGAGGAACTCATTTTCTTCCCTTTTTTTTTCTTTTGAGACAGGGTCTTGCTCTGTTGCCCAGGCGGGAATGCAGTGGTGTGATCTTGGCTCACTGCAACCTCAACCTCCCCGGCTCAAGCGATCCTCCCACCTCAGCCTTCCAAGTAGCTGGGACCACAGGCACCTGCCACCACACTCAGCTAATTTTTGTATTTTTCAGAGACAGAGTTTTGCCATGTTGCCCAGGCTGGTCTCAAACTCCTGGGCTCAAGCAATCAGCCCGCCTAGGCCTTCCAAAGTGCTGGGATTACAAACATGAGCAACTGTGCCCAGCCCGGAACTCATTTTCACTCCAATCTATTCACTATTAAAACAATAATAAAATAAAATTTAAAATTATTGCTAAAATTATTAAAATTTACTGTAAATTTAAAATGAAAAACTGATACTCAATTTGGTTACCGTAAAACTTTAAAGTATGTCTGGAACAACTTGGGTATGTGACTCTGCTTTTCCAAAGGTTTTAGGAAATTAAGTACAGATCAGGTATCTCCACTGAAAATTAAGGGTCTAGATGGACCGTGTGTATAAAATTTGTATCAGATTTCAAAGACTCAGTATGAAAAAATGTAAACTATCAGTATGAAAAAATAACTATTTCATTGATAACTGTTTATATTGGCTACATGTTGAAATGTTAATATTTTGATATAGTCAGTTAAATGTTATTAAAATTAACTTTAATGGGCCAGCCCAATGCTTTGAGGCTGATGCAGGAGGATCACCTGAGCCTAAGAGTTTGAGAGCAACCTGAGCAATGTAGTGAGACCCTGTCTCTATAAAACATTAAAAAATTAGCTGAGTGTGGTGGTGTGTGCCTGTAGTCCTAGCTACTTGGGAGGCTGAGATGGGAGGATTGCTTGAGCCTGGGAGGCAGAGGTTGAGGTGGGCCAAGATCATGCCACTGCAGTCCAGCCTGGGTAGCAGAGTGAGACCCTGTCTCAAAAACAAAGCAAAACAAAACAAAATTAACTTTAATGATAAATGTGTTGCTTTTTACCCTTTTCAATGTAGCCTCTGGAAAATGTAAAATTATCAGCCTCACATTATGTTTCTGTGGGGCAGTGCTGCCACATGCTCTCTTATTGTATTGCCCCATTTTCCACATAGCACTTACCGCTTTCTGAAAACAGCTTCTTTATGTGGGTGTTTATGTGGGTAGTACCTCCCCCCTCCCTAAACACACACAATGATCTAGGCTGGAAAGCAGAGACTTTGTTTTGTTCACCGCTCTACTCCCAGGGCTGAGAACCTACCTAGCATAGAGCAGGTGCTCAATAAACACTTGTTGACTAACTCAACCAGATCCTCAGTGTGCTGAAACCCCATCCCAGAGACACAGTTCTGCTGCAGCCATTCCCTGGCCCTCCACATTTGTCTTTGGAGAGGACAGAAATGGGGACATACTTTTCACTTCCCTTACTGTGGAAAGCTTGACATCTTGAGAAAATGATACAATGAATGCCTAATTACTCTTCACCAAATGTTAACATTTTTCCTACCCTTTTTTATAAAAAGGCAGTTGTCTGAAAGTTGTAGAATGACAGTTCATCCCTAAATGTTCCAGCACACGCCTCCAAAGAATGCCATCGTCATACCCTGCTGCCAACAACAGCAGAAATATCCCCAAAAGCTTTTTGTGACTTTGTAATGAAAAAAGTACAGCAGGACACAGCCTGGAAAATGGAAATAATGGATGTTCCCTCTACAGATGTTTGTTTCGTCCCCGTAGGGGTGGAGGTAGAAGAAGATAAATCCAAGGCCATCAGGCTTGAGTTCAGAGTTAGGTAATGGATATGTTTTGATACAAAACATGGATCCTAAGATGGCCTTATCCTATTTAAGAGAAGCTAGGCAGAAGAATGCTTGGATTATTACATGTCTCTCTTTGTAGGATGAAGTTGTAGTAAGAATACGAATACTAAGATGAATTATTAACAAGATGAATAAATGTTCCATGTGCTAAGCAACACTGAGGATTATCATTTCAATTCTCACATCTGGTGGCAAGTCCAGTTCTGACGCCGTTTTCCAGATGGGAAGGTGGAAGCACAGAGAGGGAGGAATCACTTGCCCAACGTCATAAGGTAGACCAGTGGCAGAGCCAGGGTTCAAACCTAGACATTTGCCCCAAATGCCTGGCTCTTAACCCTACTGTGTGGCACCCTCCCCTCTGCCCATGTCAGAGGAAACAAGCTGAGCAGAGAAGATCAGCAGGGCAGGCTTGAGGCTGCTCTCCCAAGAGGCCTGTGTGCAGGGTCAGCCCCAGGCTGGCGTCTAAGGACCTGGCTGGGAGACCATTCCCTACACGGATATAAAACTTTTCCTGACTGTTAAGAATACCTTCAGCTTCATGGTGTGGTGCAGGGAGCATACAATTTACGCCTTATGTTGAACCCCTGCTTTCCTCCTGGGAGTCTGCAATTTTGTTATCTGCCAACCAGAGAATGCCGACGTAACCAGCTCACAATAACAAATGTGGACACTGAGTCTCTAATGGGCATGCTGTGTAGACAGCACCTCGCATGTGTTGTTCTAACTCGTTACTAAGGGAATTAGTATGTCACTCAGGACTGCACTGGGAGAGGACTCCAGGGAGCCTGGCCCTGGCTTCCCCAGGCTCTGCTCTGTGCACCCTTCCCTTTGCTGATACTGCTCTGCATTTTTTGGCTGTAATAAATCATTAGCTGTGAGCATGACTACAGGTTGGGTCCTGGGAGGCCCTCGAGAATGCTGGAACCTGGGAGGTGGCCCTGCAGACTCCGAAACATAAGCCAGTAAGAGGTAACCCCCACTCTATCACACCCCTCAGCTGTATCAGCCTTAGAATGAGGATCCAGCGAACAGTCATTCTGCAACAGATGGAGTTGAGGTGGGCACATGATCAATGTCCTGGCCCCAATGGGAGGCAGCTGGAGGTGTGGTTTCCCAGCCCCTCAGGATGGTGCCCTGAGCCACACCCCACTTCTCTGGTGCTCTTGTTAGAGGGACCCCTGGTTACCAGGCCTCTGGTTTAATAAAACATGACTAGAGTGACTCTGTCTTAAAGTGAGTAGCTAGGCGCTCACAAGGCCCCTGCTATAAGGTTAATGCTTACAGTATGAAAGTAGCCACATCCTGAGCTGACCACCTATTACAATTACAGAAAATTTATAGACACACAGAACATCTCCCACCAAGCCTGCAGAATGTCCAGATGTCCTGAGAGTGCAGCCCACTTTACTCAGAGATAACATCAATGACCAGGCTTAGGCTGAAGGATGAATGGTCATTGATAGCACAAACAGCCCTACCTTTAGTGAGTGCATCTGCACATTCCAGGTTTAATGACAGCTCCTTACAGTTTCCCATTCCTTCTCCTGCTTTCTGAGAACACCCTACTCTATAACAGGGTAGTTTCCAATAAACTTGCTTCTTTCACTGTGCTCTGTGACTCACCTTGAATTCCTTCCTGTGCAAGATCCAAGAACCCTCTCTTATGGTCTGGATTGGGACCCTCTTTTCCAGCAACACTCACTGGGCAAGAAGGGGCGGGGTCCCATGCAGGTGAGCCATGGTCCAGGAGGGGCCTCTAATTAGCACTGTGTGCCATGCCGGCCACATCATGCTAAGGGGAATACTTGACTTCATCTGCCTGGGAATGGGGTGGGGGGGAAATGAGGGCACTGTGGGCATTAGTGACTGTGGTAGACCAGAGTTATGGCCACCCCCCCAAAGATATGGACATCCTAATCTCCAGAACCCATGAATATGGCACCTTACACAGCAAAAGGAACTTTGCAGATGTGATGAAGTTAAGGATCTTGGGGGCGGGGGAAATTATCCTGAAAATGGAAAACACACAAACCATTTTTCCTCTGCTGTCACACCACAACAATCCATGACCACATGTGTGAGGAGTTTTCCACACACCAAGCAAGCAATCATTTCTGCAGCGGCCCCAGCTGGGTGTCCTCCAACTCAATTCTGACACTATGTTCCTGGGGACAGAATCAGATCCCAGAGCTTGAGGTCTCAGCCCCCAAGACTGCCCCACCTGCCCCACCTTCAGATACCAGTTGCAAGTCTGGACTTCAGGAATGTTTGACTGACTGGCTTTAAGCTGGGGTTCCCACAATCCCCTTTTGGGTTCAATTATTAATAATTTGCTAAAGCAGCTTACAGAACTCAGGCAAATACTGACATTTACTGGTTGATTATGAAGGCTATTCCGAAGAATACAGAGAAAGAAATGTGTAGAAATACAAGGTATGTGTGAGGTGGTGTGGAGCTTCCATGCCTTCCTTGGGAACCCTCCAGGAACCTCCATGTGTTCAGCTATCCAGAAGCTCTTCAAACCCTGTCCTTCTGAGTTTTTATGGTGGCTTCATTACACAGGCAAGATTAAACTACTGGCCCTTGGTGATCAACTTAACCTTTAGTCTTTCTCCCCTCCCCAGAGGTTGAAGGGTGGAGCTCAATGTCCCAACTGTCTAGTCCTGCCTTGGTCTTCCTGGTGACCAACCCTATCCTGAAGCTACCCAGGGGCTGCCAGCCACCAGCCATCTCATTAGCATACAAAAGACATGTAAAAGAAAAGGGCATGGTGCCTCACACCTGTAATCCCAGCACTTCGGGAACTGCTTCAGGCAAACCTGTTTCCCATTTTATTACTAACCACGTACCTCCCTCACAATATGCCCAAAAGAAAATTCTTTTTGGACAGAGGACACACAGAACTCATGAGATAAATGCATACCTGATTGCTCCCTTTGCCCTATTTCACTAAGCCAGACCAAGGCATAAGTGACTACTCCTCTACCCTCCTGTCACATGTAAACTGTGTGTTCAGTGAAAGGCTCATCAGAGACTTGAAGGAATGCAACTGTTTGTCTCTTATCTACCTATGACCTGAAAGGCAGGGCCCTTGCTTCGAGTTGTCCCACCTTTCTGGACCAAACCAACGTACATCTCACACATACTGGCTGATGTCTCATGTCTCCCAAAAACATATAAAACCTAGCTGTGCCCCGACCACCTTGGGCACATGTCAGGACCTCCTGAGGCTGTGTCACAGGTGTGTCCTTAGCCTTGGCAAAATAAACTTTCTAAATTGACTGAGACTTGTCTCCGATATTTTGGGTTCACAGACATCACTTTAGAAATTGTAAGATTTCAGGAGTTTTATGCCAGGAAACAGGCTAAAGGCTAAATAGTTATTTCTCAATAGCACAATCCTGGATTGCCCAAGTGGGCTCAACATAATTACAAAGGTCCTCTTTATAAAACGGAGGCAGGAGGATCAGAGTCAGACAGAAAAAGAAATTGCAAGATGGAAGCTATGCTGCTGGCCTTGAAGATGAAGGAGCACCTGCTGCCATGGCTTCGTAGCTCTGCCTTTCAGGACTGTAAGAGAATAAATGAGTGTAGCTTGAAGCCATCAAGTTTGCGGCAATTTGTCACAGCAGCAAGAGGAAATGAACACAGTGACCCTTCCACTATTTCCTTCCAGTCCTCATGCCCAATAAATGGGCTTCTTTTGTCAGTGACCTGGTGCTGAAAACATCTGTAATTCAGGGGAATTACAGGGCTAGGGTGAGATGAAGAGGTCGGCTGGTGATCGCTGAAGCCGGCCTGTGAGGCCACTCCAAGAGGCAGAAAGGAGCGCTGAAACATCAGCCCTGCCTGCCTCCCTCTTGCACACGTGCACACACACCCACGCACGCACATCCAGAGCTCCCTCATGCTGAGGAAGCTCAGGGTCCTGCCTTGTTTTAGCCAGGGTCAGAGGGAAGGGTGAGGCGGCCCCCAGTGGTGGTAAACACATCACTCTGGGGTCAGACTGAGGGTGGCAAGTGTTCCTATCAGCTGTGTTACCCTGGGCAAGCCACTGAACCTCTCTGTGCCACAGTTTCCTCACCTCTCAATTGGGGACAATACAGAACCTACTTCTGGAGGGAGTTGTAAGAATGAAGAATCACGTTTGGGTCCTACACCCCCACCCCCATGCCAGTGCCTCCCTGCTAGTCCCTGAAGGGGCTGCCACAGCCCCACCTCACTTCCTTCAGTCTGCTCAAACCTCACCTTCTCAGCAAGCCTCACTAACCATTCTATTTAATAATGCAAGCTGCCCCCCACCACCCTTCACGGCTGGTTCAGATATTTTTTTTCAGCAGCTCTTATCGTGGTGTAACTCGCTGCAGAATTTGCTTATTATGCTTACTGTCAACCGTCCTGAGGACAGGCAACTCTGTATTCCAAGTGCCTTAGACCAGCATCCAGCACACGGAAAGGGCTTAAGTGTTTGCTAACTGAATGACTGAATGGCTTTGTAATAAATATTAACTTTCTTTACCAACACTTTTTCAAGGAGCCTTCCCTCACCCACTAAACCGGGGTAGGGGTATGCTTCACATGTATCAGGTGCCACTTCTTCACAGCGGAAACACATTCCATTGTGAGCACATTTGCCTTCTGGCTTTATCTCTTGTCCTCCACCGGACAATGCATTGACCAATGTTCTCATGTGTGCAGCTGTGTGACCTTGGGCAAGTTACTGAACCTTGCTGGGTCTTTACCTCCCTCCTTTACATCTGCAAAGGGAGGACAAAGGGCTGCTGGAGGATGAGATGAGATCATATCAGTCAGTGCTCCGTTAAGGTAAACTCTATTTACCCTCACTGCTGTTGAGGTTACAAGTGCCAGGTGGGGCCAGTTCTGTGGGATGTGAGTTTGGGAAAAGGTCGCATTGACCGTCCTTAGCCCACATGCTCTATGCACGTGCTCAGGTGTGTGTGCTGAATGTGCTCCATGCCTGGGCAGCAGCGTCACCTCCTCAGTTAATGACGATGAGAATGAAAGCTGTGCTGGCTCCTTTCTATGCATCACACCATCTCCTTTAACCTTGAATGGCAAATCAACCACCCAGGGTCCTCATCTTCCATCGCGGGGATGAGAGAGGGACGATGACCCGCCTGTTGTCACAGAGCTTTAACTGATGGAGCCTGGATTTGAGGCCCTATCCACAAGCCGCACACTCTGCACTCCTCACACATGGCAGGAGTCCACTATCCACCCTGGCAGGGCACGGGAGGCATCGGTGTGGTGAAATGCTTCCGGAAAACATCCCCATATGTATGTTTCTGTCATAGTAGAGTGGCCACAGGAGTTGGGGAAAATTTGAGCATATCATGTTAAGACTGAGGAGCGAGGGCTCGGTGACGAACTGAGCAGACTGGCCTTCGATTCTGACTTTTCTGAGCGAGGTTTCCTTCGTACAGAGATGGGGACCAAGAGGCCTGCCCTGAATCCTGGACACCTGAATTCTGGGCTGTGTTAGACCCTAGGACAACGGTGTGCTGGGGAATGTTTAATAAGCAGCTTGCTGCAGGGGTGATTTATAGTGTTTACAACTTCCATGGAGTAAATACTCTGATATGGTTTGGATCTGTGTCCCCATCCAAATCCCATGTTTAATTGTAATCCCCAATGTTGGAAGTGGGACCTGGTGGGAGGTGACTGGATCTTGGGGGTGGATCCTTCGTGAATAGTTGAGCACCATCCCTTTGGTGCTGTTCCCGTGATAAGAGTTCTCACGAGATCCAGTTGTTTAGAAGTGTGTAGCCCCACCCCCCCTGCCTCTTTCTCCTGCTCCCACCATGTAAGACACCTCCTCCCACTTTGCCTTCTGCCATGAGTAAAAGTTTCCTGATGCCTCCCTGAAGCTGCTATGTTTCCTGTACAACCTGCAGAACCGTGGGCCAATTAAACTTTTCTTTAAAAATTACCAGTCTCAGGTATTTCTTTATAGCAGTGTGAGAACAGACTAATACACACTCCCACCACAGCAGGTTGTAAGCTATTGAACTGATGTCACCTGGCATGGGGCTGAATGGCTTGGGTGAGCCAGCTCCAGCACACCACTGCTGCAGGGCCTTTGAGAACAAAGCCCTATTCTTTGCCTGGGAATTCTTAAACTTTGGGCAGATATCCCTGAAGAGTACAGGAGGGCTAATGCCTATTTCTATGGTTTGAGATATATCCCAAAGCAGCTGCCCATAACAGAAAACTCTTTTGATTTCTTGTTTTGAAACACGTTCATTTGTGCATATTACTTCATAATAAATCTGGGTTTGTGTTAATGTAAAAATCATGTTTTAAATGATTTACCAGATAAGCAGATCAGTTGGCTTTCCCCTTCCAATTACTTAGGTAAAATGACTTGTTCCAGGAAGTTGTAATGCATTCATCCCGCAGTTTTCACAGGTGTGTGCACTCAGCCACGCACCCCAAATTTGAGAAGATGATTCTTGTCTGATATGGTCTGGCTGTGTCCCCACTCAAATCTCATCTTGAATTATAGCTCCCATAATTTCCACGTGTTGTGGGAGGGACCCGGTGGGAGATAACTGAATCATGGGGGCGGTTTCCCCCATGCTGTTCTCATGGCAGTGAGTAAGTCTCATGTGATCTGATGGTTCTGTACAGGGACTCTCATTCTCCCTGTGGCCATGTAAGACGTGTCTTTCACCTTCCATCACGATTGTGAGGCCTCCCCAGCCACGTAGAACTGTGAGTCTGGGTATGTCTTTATCAGCAGCACGAAAACAGACTCATACATTGTCCATAAAATAATTTTCTTCAAGGAACTCGGCACTACTGGGGAAGAAAGAACAGCAGTTTGATATTAGGTAATCCTGGATTCAAAGCTTGCCTCTGCCAATTACTGGCTGTGAAAAAGTTACACAAAGCCTGTTTGCTCATCTATACAATGGGGTAAAGAAAACCTACCTCACCTCTGCTGTTAGGATATTTACATGTGATGTCTTCGGTAACTGGAACATGGTCATTGCTTGCCTTCCTTTTCCTTTTCAACTCACAATACAGTTGACCCTTGAGCCATGTTAGTTTGAATTGTGAGGGTCCACTTATATGCAGATTTTTTTCAATAGAAGTTACACTGAGTGTGCCTACCTCTCCGGCCTCCCCCTTCCGGCTCCTCCACCTCTTCCACCTCTGAGACAGTAAGACCAGCTCCTCCTCTTCCTCCTCAGCCTACTCAACTTGAAGGCCATGACGATGAAAACCACTCTACTTCATGAACAGTAAATATATTTTCCTTATGATTTTCTTAATAACATTTTCTTCTCTCTAGCTTATTGTAAGAATAGAGTATGCAATACATGTAACACACAAAATATGTGTTAATAGACTGTGTAGGTTATTGCTTAGGTGTCAGTAAGGTGACCAGTAGACTATTAGTACTTAAGTCTTTGGGGAGTGAAAACTCTATGTGGATTTTCTACAGTACAGGGGGTTGGTACCACTAACCCCTGCACTGTTCAAGGGTCAACCACATACCAAGCATCCAAGAGACCAACGAAGACTGAGACCCACTAAAAAGGCTGAGATTAGAATTCTTATCCAGTGCTGGAGGAGATAAATTGGTGTAAATTCAATGGAGGGCAATTTGGCAATGTCTTTAAGACCGAAGATACACGTTATTTACCCCTGTTGTACTCTTTAATCCAGCAACCTTATTTCCTGTACATGTCTTCAGACATCTTTGCACATGTGCACAATGAGAGACACACAAAGGTATTCACAATGGCAGAGTTTATAGAAAGGGGCAGTACATTTCCTTGGGTAAGGGGTGGGCCTGCAGCAGGCTGTCTATGTTCAGTATTTAACTCTGCCGTCCGCTATCTGTGTGGACTTAGACACTCTATGTGTCCTCTCCCGGCCTGAGCTTCCTCATATGTAAGATGAGACAAAACACAGTAATGACTTCACAGGGTTGTGGTGAAGATCAAATGAGTCAAAATACGTAACACATTTAGAGTGGTGCCAGGAAGCAGGGCCAATGCTAAGATTTTCATTATTACTACCACCATCAGGAGATTGGAAACAACCTAACAGCCCATCAATAGGAGAATGGCTAAGTGAATATTACATGCATATAATGAGACACCACATATTAAAAGAAACAAAGTAGAACCATAGTAGTGATTCCTAACTGGGGGTAATTTTGCCCCCTATGGGAAAACTGCAATGTCTGAGGCTATTTTTGGTTGTCACATCTGGGAGTAGGGGTGCCCCTGGCATCTAGTGAGTGGAGGCCAGGGATGCTGCTCACCATCCTGCAATGCACAGGACAGCCCTCCAGAGCAGAGAAGGATCTGGTTCAAAACATCAACTGCGCCAAGGCTGAAAAACCTCCAAGATAAAATGGTATTATAAGGGCAAAAACATAGAAAAGTCATTTAGAAAAAAACAAAATATAGTATACAAATACATGACTTTGAAAAGGCTCTGGAAAGATAAACAAAAAGTTTGTAGCAGTGACTGTCCCTGAAGAAAGGAACCAGGTTATATGTGTGAGTATGGAAAAATCCAAAACCCGCTTTGGCATTTTGTGTCATGAACGTATAATTACATCTTCAAAACAACAAATGAAATAAAAGAAGGCTGGATCGCACATACCACATCAAGGCAGGGCTGTAAACCTGGCTCGTCTTCCGAGTCCCTGATGATAGATGAGAAAGGGCTTTGAAAGGCACAAAGCTATGTCCTCCTGAGGTGAGGACGGCTGGAACCTGGATGGGAACATGCTTCAAAGAGTTACTGAACCGTGGTTGTGCCTCCCTTCTGAGGCAAATAACTGAGGGGCCTTCCCCTCCTGCCCTGGCACCCCTTTGAGCCTTGGGGGCTGTGCTGGGTATTGAATTGGGGGAGGGTCCTGATATACTGAAAACCAGCCATTAAATGCACTGCCACAGCCTCATTGCCTCCTTTGGGCCAGTCAGCTTTTGCTGTACCAGCTGTCAAATATTCAAAAATCACTCCTGGCCTGAACCTGCCAGCCCCAGAGGCCAGGGACATACGTAGGCAATTTCTCCAAAGACGTCAGCACAGCTGTCACAGGAAGAACACAGGCTATGCATATGCATGTCTAGCCTGCCATTTCCCCACTTTGCCCGGGAACACATTAGGTTACCTCACTTGCAGGATGGGGCTAGGAATACCCCTACTGCAGGGAAGTGCAGCTGTGAGGACTGTTTTTGATAAGATAGCCAAGCAGAGGTCACTTGCATCCTCCCCCTGACTCCTCCAAATCAATTTATCTCATTCCCAGAGGCCCCAAAGGAGCCTGAGCTGCAGGCACTCAGAGCTGTAGCTCTTAACCCTGTGCGTACATTAGTCTCTTGGGAGCTTTCTAATAAATAGTCACAGCTGATGGCAGTTCACTATGCCAGACCAATTAAATCAGAATCTCTGGGGATTGAGTCTGACCCGCCCTTTTTTTTCTTTTTTTAAATAAAGCATTCCAAGGTGAGAGTAACATTGAAGGCATCGTTTAGAATAACGTTCGAGTCTCAGAGTCTCAAGGACAGGGCTAGAGATCTGACCTCTTTCTGTTGAAGTCCAGACCTCAGTGAAGAGAAAAGTCTTTGGTTAAGATCAAAGTCAAACTCTTAGATTCCCCAATCAAGTGATACCAAAGGGTCACTGCTGGTGGTCCTTCCTGGCTCTGGAGTTGACCAAAATGCCCATGGGAGACCTGGATGTTGACTCCAAAAAGAACACCTGCCAAACACCCTGTAATCCCTTTACCCTGCTTTACTTTTCAAAGTACCTATCAGCACCTATTATAGACTTTATTTTTGTCTCTCCTACTAAATGCAAGTTCCAGCTGAGTAAAAACCTTGCCTGTTTTGTTGAGAGACTAGCACAGTGCCCAATCCATGGTAGGCACTCACTGGCTGAATGAATGAATGCATCTCGGAGCTTACCCGGGCTGCAGGCCGTTTCTTCTCATCTCAGAACACTATCCTTTTATCATCTCTCCGTGCCCCGCCTTCCCCAGCTCCCTTACTCTTCTCCCTGTCATCATGCCTTCGGTCTGTCCATGCGCTTGCATCACGGTCCTCTCAATCAGAGTGATTTTGCCCCTGCAGGGGACATCTGACAGTGTCTGGAGACATTTTTTTTTCGCTTGTCACAACCCAGAGGGAGGCGCGGTGTGCTACTGGCCTGGTAAATAGAGCCCAGGGTTGCTGCACAACATCCTATAATACATAGAATAGCAGCCCCTCCCACCTCCCAACAAAAAACTATCTGGCCCCAAATGTCACAGTGCCAAGGCTGTGAAACACTGGTCTGGACAGAAACATTTCCAGACCCATGTGTTATATGGAAACATCCCTTAGTCCCTGACACTTCAAAGTTCTGTTCTTGACCCCATGGGCTCCCTAGGGACATCTCCATCAGGAAGATCCTTTGTTCCTGACCCCACCTCCTCTACCCTAATGCTGCCCTCCCAGGACCCTGCCTACACAATTCTGAACCTAAGCCCTGATCTAGACGTCCAAGTTATTTTACCTCTGGACCTGCAACCCTTACTCTGGGGCTCATCCTTTTGCATTTCTACCTATGGATTTTATTCTCCAGGTGTGGGACGCCTGCGGTTATTATGCTAATAATAAAACGATGATCATTGATGTGGCACTTCCTTGTGCCAAGTTCTACTTATGCTCACCATAAACCTGAGGTTGGTTCTGTTATTACTACTGTTTTACAAGTGAACCGAGGAGTGGTGGACTTAAGTAAGCTCTCTCAGTCACACAGCCAGCCAGTGGTGAAACCAGGAGTCAACACCAGACAGCGGGGCGCCACAGTCCATGCTCTTATTTTTCCAAGCTACCTTGGTAGGAAGGGGACACAACCATACTTAGCGTCAGTGGAGGGCTCTGTCCTCCACTCAAATGTACACATGCAGAAAACTGACGACGCAGGTGGTTGGCGGGGGCAGCGCACCACTGCTCAACTGGAGATGGTCAGATGCCCTGGTATGTGGACAAAGATAGCCCAGTCCGAAGCTCAGAGATGCAAAGTCCTCCAGTATTCACCACTACCTCTGCCTCTGTATAGGGTCAAAGAAAAACGACCACCAGCACCATAACCAACACCTAAACACGGTGATTAGTATGTGACAAGCTCTGTGCAGGGTGTTTCAGCTACGTCATCCCATTTAATCTTCCCAATAACACCCAGGCAGGTGCTATTAATATGCTATTTTACCAAGGAGGAAAGTCATGCACAATTAAACAGTTCCACAGATTTCCAGGGCAGCCCATCACATCTTAGAGCTGCTAAGAATTCTTCCCCTGTGGGCCTCCATTTCCATGGTTACAGTGAGATATACACCAGAAAGGCACAGTCACACACTCATAACCGCAAAGCCACTGACGCTAAGTGGCAGACAGACGCCCAGGCAAGTCACACAGTAACCCAAGGCTACAATAAACGCCCACATCAGCCTGACACTGACACACGCACACACTCCAGAAACACAAATCTTCACAGTCAGCGTCACACACCCACTCCCGGCTTCCCAATGGCTCCATTGTTTCCTTCGCGTGGGTCACGCAGCGATACACATCCGCGGTCCCGACATAGCTCCCTCACACACAGGCACACACGGCTCGCCTCACACGCGGCGCCAACTTCACACTTGGGCGCACAAGCCCCGAGAACCACAGCAGCGAAGGGCGCAAACCCCACGCCGTGGCGGGCCGAGAACCCACGCAGGCGCGAGCCCACCGCCCACGCAAGCACCCGCGCAGACGCCCACGCCATCGTGGATGCGCAAACCCACGCGCGCCTTGGCAGGAACGTCCACGCAGTGGCGGGCGCGCCGCCCACGCCCTCAGACACACCCACACTCTCGCCAGCCCCCTTACCTCGGTCTTCCCGGGCTCAGACCCCGGCGGCGACCACCGAGACAGCCGAGCAGGGACTCAGCGCCTGCGCACTCCCCTCCGGGACCCCGGGACCGCGCGCTGCACCCCCCTTCACACACGCACCACGCATGCGGGCGCGTGGCCCCGCCCCCAAACAAGGCCACGCGGCGTGCGCTCACCCGCCTCTCGGGGACAGTACCACCAGCCCCGGCCTGAGGCCCCGACCCCTCAGCGCCACACGCACAAGCGCGTTCGCACGATTGGTGCAGGCGGACGCGCGAGGTCCCGCGCCTGCGCACACCCCCGAGGCTGGCACGCACACCGGTCTCCTAGGGGACTGGCGCCTGGCCCTGCTTTTCATCCTCTCAGGAGATCACGTGTGGACACTGAGGCCCTTCCTCGAGCTCTTTAACCAAACCCAACCTCCCCAATTCGCCGCCTTCCCCGCTCCCACAACCACACGTTCCCGTGTGAGGGCTTATTGCCTCCAGCCAGCCAGCGTCCTTCGCCCCCACATTCACGAGGTTTGGAGCCGGCCTCACCCGCGGAGGCGGACACCGCCCACCCGCGCGTGCGCACTACGCAGTCATCCTGCGACCTCCAGAATCCACCGGGGTGCAGCGAGGCTGTGGAAAGTCCCACCCAGAACGTGAGGTGAAGAAGGCTTGGGCTGCGCTGGTTCTGCTCTGTCCGGGTCGGAGATGAACTGACCCGGGAGAGCAGCGGAGGGATGTTTCTTTTGGCCAACAGTGGGGACTCACCTGCACGTTTTGCGAAGAGGCCCACAGTCCTTTGCGTGGCGCTCGGACTACATTTCCCAACGGCCCCTGCACGCCCTGGGGGCTGTTCCATGCGGTGTTGCGCCTGCGTAGCCGGCGGGCTGGCAGTGAGACTGACTGCGTCGGGGTTGAGACTGGGTGGATGAGGCTCACCCCGGCGGGGAGAAGGGACGAGGAGGGGCGGACAGCGGAAGGTCCGGGAGTGTCCGCCATAAAGTCGTTTGAGGTGACCGTTGCGTAATTGTGAGTCTGTGAGAGAAGATGTGAAGTATGGCCTCGTCCCGGTCATCTGGGCGTGCGGGTCCCGGGTTTTGATCGCGCGTTTGTGTAGGTGAGACCCACATTGTGTTACCCTGAACATGTGTGAGGACGAACCTTTGTGTTTTCTTATACGTGTGTCTCTGAGGCGATTTTTGTGGTTTTGTACGTGGCGGGGGGCACTGATTTTGAATATGTGTGTATGTTCTGGACATTTGTTTAGCTTCTGCATCCACTTCTGCGGAAGGGCAGAGTTGAGTAGGTGGGAACAGGTACTGTGTGGCCCCACAAAGCCTGAACTATTTACTGTTGACTCTAGAGCCCAGTTTTTGCGGTGTGTACGTCTCTGTGGGGAACCACACATTTTGAATATGTATACTTGTGTATATTTACGTCTATTCTATGACTGCTTTTGCACAATGGCAGGGTTCAGTACTTGCAGCAGAGATCTTGTGGCCCATAAAGCCTAAAATACTATCCGACTAAGGTTTCGAGCCGTAGCCAGTTTTTGTGGATGAGTGTTGTGTGTGTGTGGGAAGCCAGTGATTGATTGATTGATTGATTGATTTGGGACGGAGTCTCGCTCTGTCGCCCAGGCTGGAGTGCAGTGGCGCGATCTCGGCTCACTGCAACCTCCGCCTCCAGGTTCAAGCCATTCTTCTGCCTCATCCTCCCTAGTAGCTGGGACTACAGGCGCCCGCCACCACGCCCGGCTAAGTTTTTTGTATTTTTAGTAGATTCGGGGTTTCACCATGTGGGCTCTTGACCTCGTGATCCGCCCGCCTCGGCCTCCCAAAGTGCTGGGATTACAGGCGTGAGCCACCGCGACCGGCCAAGGAAAGCCAGTGTTTTTGACTCTGTGTGTGTGTACCCGCCTGTGTGTTGAGACCCAGTTTTTGTAGTTGCATAGGTGGGTATATGTGTGAGGGGAACCCAGGGCCTGTGATTTCTTTCTTCCCAGGTGACTCTGAGCAAGTTTTGGGGACTAGGTAGTAGGGAGAATGTGTGAGGAACTAGTTTTGGTTTCCCATTTCTGTGATTAGGTAGTAGCAATAATAAAAATAAAAGCTAACAGATACTACTATTAGGACTTTTACCATTACCTCTGTGACTAGCAGCTAGCACTTACTGATTGTTGTCCCTGGTCAAAAGTGAATTTTTCCATTTAAGGTTTTCTTTAATCCTGTAAGCCGTTCTCTGAGTTGTTCCTTGGAGCAAGTTTCTTTCTAGACTGGAGATTGTTCTAAATACCTGGTAATACTAGAATAAGGGGTGTGGTCAAGAGATCCAAGAAATCTTAGGATAAATCTGTCACTTGGCAGTTTCTTTGTTTTCTTTAAACCACCTCCCAAGAAAGTATGTCATCCTTTCTGCTGTTTTAGGGGCATGTTAGTGCGAAAATCTGGGAAAAAGCTTTATGCCTCAGACTGTCCTAGTTCAGAGAAACCAGAGTGTGTGGGTCGGATGTCTTGGCTCCTGATCAGGCTCTGTTGTGCCCATTCTCCGAATAAAGCAACTATCTCCCAAGACACCCATGAGTTTTCTAAGACAGTTTGTCCCAGAGCCCAGGTCCAGAATCTAGTCCTGGTCTTGGATTTGGTCAGACCTTCCCTCACTCTCACCTCAGGACTCCCCACCACTTCCCCCCCTGCCCCAGGAACCCATGGGAATTACAGGCATAAATTAAATACCTGATCCTATGACAGCTCCAGAGTATCTGGAATCTTTTTTTTTTTTTTTTGAGACAGTGTCTTGCTCTGTCGCCCAGGCTGGAGTGCAGTGGCGTGATCTCTGCTCACTGCAAGCTCCGCCTCCTGGGTTCAGGCCATTCTTCTGCCTCAGCCTCCCGAGTAGCTGGGACTGCGAGTGTCCATCACCACACCCAGCTAATTTTTTTGTACTTTTAGTAGACACGGGGTTTCACCTTGTTAGCCATGATGGTTTCACTCTCCTGACTTCGTGATCTGCCCGCTTCAGCCTCCCAAAGTGCTGGGATTACAGGCGTGAGCCACCACGCCCAGCCCAAGATTTAATTTGTTAAAAAAAAAAAAAAAAAAAAAAAAAGTAGGGTAAAGACGCTAGAAAGTCTAGAGAGGAAGGAGGGATTATTTTACACAGGATGGTCAGGGGAGGCCACTTTGATAGGTGGCATTTAGCAGTGAGGCTTCCTGAACTCAGCATGACTGCTCCGCTTGGCTCAGATTCCAGCTCTGTCCACTGTAGTTGAGGAATTATCCCTAGACAGAGAATGGGGAGATAAAGAGGCTCAGCTTGTTAACAGGTTCCCCTCTCACATGAATCTTTTGTCCACTGCCTCAAAACTGCCCCGATATAGTTTAATTTCGTAGTATGCTATTGTGTCATGCTGCAACTCTTTCAGCTCCAAAAGGGATGGCACCAGGTTCAAGAGGCTGAAGAAGAGACTCAGATCCAGGAAATGAGGCATAGGTTATATGTGAGATGGAACTTACATACAGAGTGGTCCAGTGGTGGTAGGCTGAACAGGAGAACTGCCACCGCCTGCAGAAAGCATGGACTTTGTATAGCATTTTCACTTAATACTCTCCTCCTAACAGCATCCACATGGCAACCCTCATTTAACCCAAGACAAAGAGCCTCAGCCCCCATAGGGCCAGCGTTCCACAGGACAGGCCAGGGACTCATTTAACCCAAGACAAAGAGCCTTAATCCCCTATAGGGCCCACGTTCCACAGGACAGGCCAGGGACTCAGGCATTTATCATAGATAAAGATGAATCTCCATGTTGGTCATATTTGGAACTCCGAACATGTATTCAGGTGCGTCTGCCATGCTGGGTCATTTTCAGAGTATGCTTAAGTTATTGCTATCAGTGTCTACCATACACAGTTGGATCTACCATACATAGTTGCATCTGCCATATGCTATGATAGGAAGACTTGTCTAGTACAAGCTTCTGTATCATAGCCCATAGCAGAACTCATATTTGTGAGTATTGTTTGAAGGGATTAAGCAGAGAGAATTGAGTCAGGATATCACTGGGGAGGTATACAGTTTATTTGTGGGATTTCAAGGGCCTGAATTGTGACAACAGAATAAAGTTCTTGTGGGAGAAATATTTTCAGAGGATTTGAGAGCATGGTGTTGAAGAGTTAAGGAAACAGCATATATCTTTTCGTGCTAGATGCTTACATGCAAATGAATCTCCTTATGCTGTCACAAATGTATGCTTCTCTCTCCCTCCCTTTCACTTATCAGTCACATCCCACTAGTCCTGGAGCTTCTCCTACCCTGAGGTCAGGCATGAACCCTGGTGTGTAGTTTTGCTCAAATGCTTACGATCGATAACCCAGTTGTGCACCAGGTTTCTTTATATCTTGAAGTTATCTACTGAACACATGAAAAATAAATTCAGCAAATTATAGAAACTACGAGACACTGCTGTCTACCCTTTGACAAACATTTACTCAGTGTTGTGTGCTGGCTTATTTGCATTGTGTTTTGCAAAAGTCTTAAAATCACAGTCATATCTAGGTTTTTTTCAAGCAATTCTCCTGCCTCAGCCCCCTGAGTAGCTGGGATTACAGGCACCTGCCACCATGCCCGGCTAATTTTTGTATTTTTAGTAGAGACAGGGTTTCACCATGTTAGCCAGGTTGGTCTTGAAATCCTGGCCTCGATGGTATACACATTCCTATGGAAGGCAAGCATTATCTTGTGAGGTACATAGCTGATATGATGCTTCTGCATGGTCTTCAAAGAAGGGGGGCCTTATCTTTCAAGAAACTGAATGAAACTCTTCTTAAAGCAAAAATAAGGCTAAAGAGAATATGACTGTTTAAGATCTACAACTTCATCTGCTTATATGTCCCATCTCCGGTCCTAAAGCCAACTCTTTCCTCATCAAGGGTCCAACTTTGGCTTGGGAGACTTGTGTAGTTGAGAAATTGAGCCTGAGTCACCTCTTCCAATAAGTGCATATGCTCGGACTTGAGCTCTGCCTGCCCTCTGACTGCAAGAGATGACAGTTTCTTTAAATGCTCCTTTTGATATTCACGCTTTAGAATGCTGATTAAGGTATCTGAGATTGTTATTTTCTCTGCTCTTTGCATTAGTAGCACTTTTTAAAAGGCACCTATTCCACAGTCCTAATGGTTGCTATTTCTGCTGTACTAATCAAAGGCTAGAGGTACTGCACATGGCAGGGCATTCTTCTGCACCTATATCCCATCACAGTATATAATCTTAGCAATTGTACTGTGAAAGCTGGCCAGGAGCTGTCTGTCCTTTTGATGTCCGTTTCCTTGATGCTTAGTGATATAGAGCATTTCTCATATACCTGCTTGCCATTTGTGTGTCTTATTTTGAGAAGTATCTATTCAGGTTTTTTCCCATTTTAAAATCAGATTATTTAGTTTTTTGCTATCGAATTGAGTTCCTTACATATTCTGAATATTAATCCCTTGTTAGATGCATGGTTTGCAAATTACTCTTTCCCAATCTGTAGGTTGTCTCTTTACCTGCCCAAGGCTTATGGCTGCCAGTGAATTGATTTGAGGCTGCCTGCCAGTGAATTGATTTAGGGCTGAGGCCATTTTAGTCAGCCAGCAGTGAAGTGGTCTGGGACATGGGACCCTCCTGTGTGGGTGGCAGATTCTCTTCTGGCCTGGGGTGGATCTAAAATCTCTGTTCATGGCCACCATTCTGTACTCAGGGGCCTTGAGGTTCTGCCCAGTGCTGTGTTTTACTGTGGCAGGGCAAGTACTTGTACCATGCACGTTTCCCTCTCCTTCCTTTAAGGCCTTCCGTGCTATGCTGCCTAGGGTTGGAAGAAGGGAGGTGAGGCCAGTGGGAGAGTATCCTTCTTACTGTCTTCAATTGTCTTTCCTTGTTATGCTAAGACCAGGTACTGTGATCTTTCATCTAGTTTCCTTAGCTCTTGTGAATATATTTTCTTGCATGGATAGTTGTTGAAATTTATTTTCCTGCCTGGGGGTTTGCTGAAGTGTTCCTTCCTGCCATCTTGCTCCACCTCTCTGTTCCTTGACCTTTTCTAGTGACCATGTCTTCTACCCCATCAGCCACTCAACTAAAAGATTACCCCACCTGTGTTTCATTAATAATGTATGTATTTCCACCATCATTTCAATGTCACATATCTATATTTTAAGAAAATGTGCATTAGCAGCTACTCCATTTCCACAGTACTTCAACTCGAGAATTACAATTGAGTGATCTACCTTCATCTTACTATCCCTTTCCTCTCATGAGCTAATTTACTTCATAGCCCACATTGAGATGCTGAAATTAATTACTTTAGTCACTTTAATTACTTTAGTCACTTCTTTGCATTTTTTGCTAGAGAGAATTCATCTGATAAACACTAATCCCAAGTAAACTCAACTTTAAACATGACAGGAGATGAAACCAGAAAACCTTGCTTACTTATCTCTCTTTAACCTTAATGTCCACTTACACCAAGACTTGTTGCCTGAGAAAACATCATACCTTATATTTCTGCTTTACCTTCAGTAGCTTCTTCCAATCTTCTCTTTCATCCGATGACCTTGAGGCACATTTAATGAGTAAACCAGGATGGGTCAGGAAGAAGTTCCACATTTCCCAACAGGACAATCATCCCCCTGCCCCCTCCCATTACTGTGGATGAGCTGTCCATGTTCCTGCTGAAGGGCAACCACTCATCTGAGGCTCACTTTTCTCACTGCTTTGCTTACTTGCTCAGGGTGTAGCTCTAATAATTATGAGCATTGTCTGCTGTAATAATTATGAGCATTGTCTGCTCTAATAATTATGAGCATTGTCTTCCACATAATTTTCCTACTCTCTTAAATCATTCTAGAATAATAAAAATGTTCTGGAATTTCCCTTAATTTAAAAACACTGTTACTCTAAGTCATGCATACTCTTTAAACAACTCCCCCATTTCTCTGTTCCCCATTTCAGAAAAGATCCTAAAAAGAGTAGTCTTTGTTCTTTGTCTGTGGCTCCTTGATAACATTTTTCCTTGAACACACTGGGCCTCTAACGCCACCATTGAAATTGCTCTTATAAATGTCACCAAAAGTTGTCCATGATGCTAAATTAAAGGATCAATTAGTCCTTCTTCTACCTAAATCTTTACCAAGATGTGAGGTTGCTGATGAACCCCCCATCCTTGAACCTCTTTTTATTTGGCCATTTGATGATTGACACCATCATTTTCCACGTGGATTACTTCAACAACTTGTTAACTCATTCTGTCACTTTTTTATAGTCATGTATTCTTAACATATCAGGTAGATTAATTTTATAAAACCTTAAGTCAGATCATGTTCTGGTCTCCTTTAACTTCTCCAGCGACTTTCTACCTCACAAAGAATAGAATCCAGATTCCTCACAATGGCCTAGACAACTCTAATGAAACCCCACACTGTGATCTCTCAGATTCCACTTTAGTCCCACTGGCCTCCTGTGTTCTTCCTCAAACGTGGCTGGTTTGCTTCCACATCAAGGTTTTGTACATTGCTGTTCGTTTACCTGGAATGCTCTTCCCTTGGGGAGCCCAGCAAATAGGTCAATATCATCCTCTCCTTGAGGTCTTCCCAACCACCCCATTGTAGACTGCAGGTTGAAAATGGAATCTTCCCACCCTGTGAAGTCAGCAACCTCATTCTTTCCAGTGCCCACTGTGTGGTGAGCATGTTTAGGCTTTATTACAGGGTCTCAGATGAAGGTTTGACCTGTAATAAGTCACATGTCTGCCCTCTGTTTTTCTCCATAGGGGTTCTATTCAGCCTCTTTGGTGGGATAAACATTCCTTATTTTCAGTATATGTGAAGAAAGACTCACTCCACAGGGCTAGGGCCTAGATCAGCACTGTGAGCAGAAGAAACTCTCTAAGAAGAAAACGTGAGAGTGCTCTACATGATGAACAATATCTAGAAAATGAGTGTGGCCAGGCCTGGCACGGTGGCTCATGCCTGTAATCCCAGCACTTTGGGAGGCCGAGGCGGGCGGATCATGAGGTCAGGAGATCAAGACCATCCTGGCCAACACAGTGAAACCCCGTCTCTACTAAAAATACAAAAAATTAGCCAGGCGTGGTGGCAGGCGCCTGTAGTCCCAGCTACTCGGGAGGCTGAGGCAGGAGAATGGCGTGAACCCGGGAGGTGGAGCTTGCAGTGATCCGAGATTGCACCACTGCACTCCAGCCTGGGCAACAGAGCGAGACTCCGTCTCAAAAAAAAAAAAAAAAAAAGAGTGTGGCCAGAGGCCAGATGGTTTCCCAAGATATACACTATTCATTAACAATGCTCTGTTTTCAGAAGTCTTCTTCATAATCTTAAAAATACTCCATTTCTTAGTCATTCAAAGTCATGAGCCACTTATGTTATTTTATAAAGTCAAATATTTTTCTTGTCTCATGTCTTAGTGTATCAATAGAAGAAGGGAAATTCAGTCTTTATTTCTTTCACATCCTAATACTAGAACTCTTACCTTTTCTCATGAACCATCCTTTACTGTGATGCATATAGTTATCAAGTACCCATTTATGGCTAGTGTTCCATTATTGGAATGCTAAGCATGTGGGAGTTATATCCTACTGTTCAAGTCATTGCCAAGGTCTGATTGCAGAAATTCAAAAAATTGCAACCTCAGGCATAAATGGTAAGGAATAGTTGCTCATTTTATTATCTTTCATGGTCTGGAAGGATGTGTGCTTAATGACTTGAGTTCAGTTCTTCTGGGCTTAGTTTCTTGCCCAGTAATTGGCTGATTATCTCTACACTGGCTCTTATGTCCTAGGATGAGAACCACAAGAGAGAGGACATGAGGGTAAATACAATGGGGAAAAAGAAAACAAACAGTGGCAGCAGAGAATGAAGATGAGGAGGAAAGAAAAAATGAGAAATAGGAAGAGAATGAGTTTGTTATGCTCGTCTGGCAAACGTGTAATCTGAATAAATGATAGAGAATAGTGTTTATAAGAGAATGCTCTTCAGAGGCAAATAGACTGTTTAAATGCCGTTAGATCTGAGTGTCCTTGATACATTCTTAGCCTGAAAACTAGAGGAACATGGGCTGGCAAACCAACACTGACATAAATAAATGGCAAGGAATATTAAAAAAGAAAACAAGTTTTGAGAGCTACGGGAACATATAACTTTAGGATATTAATTATTTCAGAAAAGGCTTTTATGAAGTAGTGAATTTTTTTCATTCTTTCTTGAATAGTTTTATTTTTAAATAAGTTTGGATTACCAAAGAGCTGCAGAGATGGTACAGAGTTTCTATATACACATTCCCCAGCTTTCCTTAATGCTACCATCATATAGAACCATGGTACCTTAGTCAACCTAAAACCTTCACATTGGTACAATACTCTCAGAGAAACTGCAGACTATTCAGATTTCCACTGTTTTTCCAAGTATTATCTTTTTTAGTTCCAGGTTCTAGTCACAAATCTCACATTTCTTTAAGCCATCATGTCCCTTAGTCTACTTGGGTCTGCAATGATTCCTCAGTCTTTATCTTTTATGACCTTGTCACTCATCAGGATTTTTATCAAATGTCCCTCAGTTTGAGTTTGTGTGACTTTTGTGTGTGTGTGATTAGTCTGAGGGTATGAATTTTTAGGGAGATTATATGCTAGATAATTTTAAGCTGTTTTGTAAAGAATTAGTCAAATCAATGCAAGGACACCATAAATTTTTCTAGCAGAAGAAACAGCAACAGCATAGATGGTGAGTGGGAAATGATTATGGTGTATTTTACCTCTTTTAATCCAACTTAAATCTCTAAGATAGAGCTATCTTTCAACCAAAATGACCAGCTTTCCTAATTTTGTATATCACCCATGTAAATGGACTAGAACAGAAATGATAGATTCCCCAGTTTTCCCTCTTTTATTTTCTTCTCTACCCCATAAATGGTTATTAACTGACTCTTTGTGAGATTTGCAAAACAGTTCTTTAGAGTGGGATTGTCCCAACCACTCTGAGCAAGGGACAAGAAAACCAAGAGAGGCTAGAACAGTAGGTTTCACAATAGACGAAAACTGCCACCTGAGTTCAGACACAGAGATATACTCCTCTCTTCTCATCCTGTAAAACTCAAACCTTGGTTCCCCTTGAGGAGAGCCCGGCCTTTAGCTGCCCCAATGCACATTGACTGAACTTTAAGCTCTATTTCAGCCACTTTTGATGGCACCCATCCCTTTCTGTGCATGTCTTTGAATATTGACGTGCTCCATCCTTGCTGGAATCCAATTTCCTGTCAATCTTGGAATATATAAATACTTCTTGCTCCATTTTTGAAGCCCCCTCAAAGCCCCATCTTCCTTCCCACCCATTCCTGACACTGCCTCTGGGTTTCTAGAATTCATCAAAATTTTCCCTAGAATTGTTGATAGCCCTCAGCATGTATATGTTAAGCTCTTCCTCAATACATGCATGAAATGTTGCCAGAGGAAATAAGAAAATTGAATAAATAACATTTGCCACCTAACTGGAACAATGAAGAAAAGGCAGACAGCGACCATCCTTGATCTTCTCACTGGGATAACCTTTGAATGGGACAGTGGAATAGAACCATTAATGGAGGGAAGATAGCTGTGAAATGGTGTGAAAGAGAGTGAATTTTGGGGAAAGATGGTTACCTGATGCAGTTCCTCACATGCTACTATCAGGACATTCTTTTTTCCTCTCATTTGTAGCCAGCCATGAGTGTGGTCATACCATGAGTCATGAGTCACTGTGAGAAAGATGAGGAAAAGAGGTGATGGGTTTGATTGTCTGCACAGTTGCAGCCCACTGTATGCATGCCATAAGTAGTTAAGGAGCACATGGGTGAAGTGAATGGAAATCCTTTTCCCTTTTTTCTCATTTGCAAGAGAAATAGAATTCTGCCCTTACTGCCTAGATACAAGGCAGCAGGTGCTGTGTGAGATCGAGTATTGAAGATAAGTTTCACCTCTACCTGTGAAGTGGATTTTCAATTATGAAGAAAATTCAGTTAGCAAATATAGGAGCTAAACTTCATTGTTCTTTTTTTTTTGAAGTCAATGACTTTGTTGTTTCTATCATGAATTTAGTTGCTTTCTCTTATGCCAGAAAATGATGTAATTAATGGCTGCTAACACATGTTTTTTGCTTATCTTCTACCCACCAAGAAGGTTTTTCCTCACATTTGCACTGTATTCAGATGACTGTGGCTGGAGGGGTCATGTCTCAAGGGATCCTGTTACTTGGATATTGTTGACATATAGTGTGGGGCATCTGACACATGCACACCAGCATCTCCCCTTGATATTTTTAGTCTTCATATCAAGAGTAAACTTGCTGTTTCTCTCTGTAAATCTGGACAGTAAAATAGAAGAACTAATATTCAGGAATGGTCAGCTTGCTTTCGGGTCATACGTAATAGAAACCTATGCTGAAACATAAAAAGTGAAACATTCAAGCAGAAAAGTGCAGAGATTGAGGGAATTCTGTTTGATTCCACTGCTCCAGCTCATTCTAAGGAGGTCGAGTTGAATTCTTATGTAGGATTCATTGAAAAAGCATAGTGTTTTCATAATTGCCCTTTTGCTCAAATTATTTACATTTAATATTTCTTGCAACTAAAGGTTTGGCATAATTCAGTAAAAGCTATGGCTGTGGACATGATGGTGCTGAAGTGCAAATAATGAAGTGATCTGCTCAATTCCATGTAGATCATATACCCCAAGAACTTCAAATACCAAAGTGGATGCTTTTAAAAATCTTACAATAAAGATGCCAAGTATTTTTACATTTTTTTTTAATTTTTATTTTTTGAGACAGAACCGTGCTCTGTCATCCAGGCTGGAGTGCAGTGGCATGATCTTGGCTCATTGCAACCTCACTGCCTCTCAGGTTCAAGCTCTTCTCCTGCCTCAGCCTCCCAAGTAGCTGGGATTACATGTGCCCACCACCATGCACGGCTAATTTTTTTGTATTTTTAGTAAAGACGGGGTTTCACCATGTTAGCCAGGCTGGTCTTTAACTCCTGACCTCAAGTGATCCGCCTGCCTTAGCCTCCCAAATTGCTAGGATTACAGGTGTGAGCCACTGCACCCAGCCAGAGATGCTAAGTATTTTTGTAACATGGAGCAGCTCTGAACACTTTGGTCAATAAGAAAATTGAGGCTCGTAGAAGTTAAACCATTCTTCTGCTGAAAATAGCTAGTAAAAGGTTGAATAATCGCTGTTTGAATGCCGACATTGGGACCTCTGAGAGGAGAGCATTTATGCAGGAACATGCTAGATCATGGACTTTGGGAGCATGTTATGCTGCTATAGCAAAAATTGTACTAGTTAAAAATATGGTTACTCCATGAATTACAAGGTAATCTCACAAGATGCCAGATAATTGCACAAGCTGGCAGAAAGAAAAATGATGTTTTAAATTTTTTATTTTTGGCATGATAGCCTTTAAAAATAACTTTTATGGAAGTCCACCCTTTAAAAACAATATTTTAAAAAATTGAAATACAGGTTAAATTTGAAGCTCTTTAATATAGTGATTAAAGCTGCACATGATGTTGACCATGCAGATATTAGTACCTTAATGCCTTCACCACACCTAACTCCCATCCTGGTTCTAAGCTGTACCAGCTTTTCTCACCTCATGCAGTTTCCTGAGTTTGTCCTTCAGCTTGGTTCCTTGGTAGCCTAGTCTACAGGTTTTTCTTTATATCTTATTTTTTTTAAGTTAACAATGGATCCTGGAGGCCACTGTGCGGTGATGTGGCAGTATTCCCTATTCCTGTTTTAAGTTGGGTACTATTCCAGAATATTGTCAGTGGCAATTTTGGTTCTTTCTTGTTTGCTATTTCAAGTAAAGAACATTTGAATAGTTTTGTAAATCCATCTTTTTTTGTGTTTTTGCTTTTGTACTTCTTCTGTTTGATAAGGGGGAATTCTGCATGAACATGTAACTGCAGGAACGTGAGAATTTGCAAACTTTTCCTACATAGATTTATGTCATTTTCCATCTAACCACCAATATATGAGCATGCCTGTCTATGAGAGTCTCACCACTAGGGTGATTGGAATGATCTGAATGCTAGCTGTGGTAGGCAGCAGGTCCCCCAGTACACACACACCAAAGATGTCCATATCCTAATCCTCAAATCTGTGAATGTGTTACTTTTCATAGCGCAAGTGACTTTGAAGGTGTGATTAAAGAATCTTCAGATGGGGAGATTATCTTGGCCTATCCAGCTGGAGACAGTGTAATCACAAGGGTCATTTTAAGAGGCAGGCATAAGTGGCAAAAGCAGAGAAAGAGATGTGATGACAAGAAGGATGTGGCCATGTGACGAAGTGAGGGCAGCCTCTAGAAGCTAGAAAAGGCAAGAGGTAGATCCTCTCCTGGAGCCTCAGGAATGGCAGGTAGCTAGGCCCACAGATTAATTTTAGCTCATAAGACATATTTTGGAATTCTGAACTGCAGAACATGGCAGTTTAAACAAAACTGCTTAGTTTTAACTGCTGTATTTGTGGTAATTCATCACAGCAGAGAGAAACTAATGAACCTCCTAGTGTGATAGGTGAGAAATGGTATCTCGGTGTGGTTTGAATTACACTTCTCTTATTTTGAGTATGGTAAGTTGTATTTTTAAATGGTCACAGCACTTAGAATAATTTGGAGGGACAAAGCATGTTCACTGAGATTCTGTTGCTAACTGGAGGTACCAGAGATTTAACCAACACCTAGGTTTGGAGGGCAAAATTTGTTTAAACCATGAGACAGTAAGACCTGGACGTAGAAACTCCACCATTCTTCTAGGAACCCCTATTTTGAGTCATAGTCACCATGTCCTTGAAGAAACCATTCAAAATATTCTTCAGATGACTCTGGATTTTTGACCATCCTTATTGCTCTCCAGAAATAGTAACTAGAAATAACAGCATCTCTGGGATTTCTCACTATGTAAATAATCGTAAATGAAAAAGGGGATATTGAGAATAAATATATCCATTTCCTTTGCTCCAGGATTTTTGCAAGTGGATAAAAAAATTTAACTCACATTAGAGTCTTTGGCTGTAGCTCAGCCTTCTTTAAATCATTCATTTAACAAAATGTATTGAGAACCTACTATGTGCTAGACATACAGCTATAATGGATCAATGAAAGAAGTCTGCGTCCGAGTCCTCTGTACATTTATGGCTAAGGGCTGGGCTGTACAGGCATGGGGCAAGATCACCAGAATTTTACCAAATAGTAGTGACTTCTAACAGCTTCTTAACACTCCTGTTATCTAGCTGAGTCATTGAAAGCAGCCAGCTACAAACAGACACATTCCAGGCAGTGGAGAAAGAGGAGAAAAATGCCCCCTAACTTCTCATCAGAAAAACAAAGGCCTAATGAAAATGGAAAGTTGTCTTTAAAGTGCTGAAGGGGGAAAAAAAACCTTCATGCTAAATATGCTTCACGTATGAGGATGAACTCAAGGTAATCTTAGAAACATGAAAGCTGTGAGAATTTATTGCTGTCAGCTCTACACGACAACGAATTCTAAAGTCCTTCAGTCTGTGAGGAATCATAGTGTATGTCAAGGGGGAAGGAAGGAAGAAGCCAAGAAACAGTAAAGGAGTAAATTTAAAAGACATTTTCTTTCCTCTTCCAATTAACTTAAAAGACAGCTGAGTGTTTAAAGCAAAATAACCCCGTAGACAGTTTTTGCAATGTAGATAAGAGTGAAAATTGTGAGGGAAATAGTACAAAGAAAGATGGTGGGTAAATGGAATCAGTTAATAACTCCAGATTTTCTCCTCGTTCAGCTTGACAAAGTCACCAAATCCTCCATCTGCATAACTCCATCAGTAAACACTGCATTTAATCTCCTGGGACAACCAATACTTTTTCTGTATTTTTCTCCCTGCCTCACCCTCTTTACCTATCTATGATATTTCTTAAAATAGATGTTTTCACCAACTGCACCCTGGGATCTGATACTAAGCTAGGCTGTCAGTAAATGATATTGTCACCACAGAAACCAAGTATATGTCTACTCTTTGTCGTGCCCAAATACAAATCTGTAAATTCCCTTAATATGTGGGTTGGGGTCATCTTAATCATCACCTTTTTCTCAATCCTGTTTCAGAGCCTGACACATGATAGGTGCATAATACTTAAATGTATGAAGGAATAAAAGGCATGAATGCATACATAAGTTAATTAATAATCAGAAGTGAGTACATGGAAGAATCAGTACTGCCAGTTTAAACACACAGAAACTGTGCTTCAAAGACGCTGCACTATTTGCCAGTAGACAAAATGTGGAACCAAGGTTCAAACTGGAATTTTCTGAGATAAAGTCACAATCATATTACAGAGCTTGGTCTTGGGCTGTTTGCTTGGGCTATTTGTTTTCTTTTTCATTTATTCATCCTATATTTTCTTAAATCTCTACAACGTTTTAAGCACTTTGCCAAATTAGTATAAAACAGTAAAAATAGTAAGATAATAAACATGGTCTTCATAATCATGGATGTCACGGTAAAATGAATCAGCCTGACAGTAAGTAAGCCAGCAAATGAAACATAGCACAGTAGTAATACAATGTGATAGCATAATACTGTAATACCTTTTTTTTTTTTTTCCTTTTCTTGAGATGGAGTCTCTATCTGTTGCCTAGGCTGGAGTGCAGTGCCGTGATCTCGGCTCACTGCAACCTCTGCCTCCCAGGTTCAAGCGATTCTCCTGCCTCAACCTCCCGGGTAGCTGGGATTACAGGCATGTGCCACCATGCCCTGCTAATTTTTGTATTTTTCATAGAGATGGGGTTTCATCATGTTGGCCAGGCTGGTCTCAAACTCCTGACCTCAGGTGATCTGCCCACCTTGGCCTCCCAAAGTACTGGGATTACAGGTGTGAGCCATCACACCTGGCCTATAATATCTTGATAATACTGCTACTACCACATCACCTAAGATGCTTCAAGGGAGTTTCATACAGTTTTGATGGTTTTAATGCCATATGATTTAAACTATAATCTATGATGAGTACACATTCACATTTTATAGCACAGGGTCACTCAATGCTAGAGGTTTTATGTAGAGCTCCTGAAATGATGCATCTGAGTCCTTTCAGCTGGGAAAGACATGGTCTGAATAGGTAATATCATGGTTAGAAAAACCCAATTGGGTTTCACATGTGAGTACCAAACCTATATTTCCTCTCAAATAGAGGTACTGGCTTATAATTGAGGTGCTTCCCACATGGGCTTGTCAACATTGGGTGCCTCTGTGTTGAGGGTGCAGCCAGGATTTATAAAACTGAAGACTGAATATTCTCTGGGGCAATACCAGGCAGATTCTCTTGTATATGACATTGTAGCTTAGAACAAGATTTTCTAATCTGCTTACTTTACTGAATCACATTTTAAGTTTGTTTCTAAAACAAAGATATTGAGGGCAGTCAGAAAAGTAGTCCACATGGACATTCTTTTTTTTTTTTTTTTGAGACGGAGTCTCACTCTGTTATGCAGGCTGGAGTGCAGTGGCGCAATCTCGGCTCACTGCAACCTCCGCCTTCTGGGTTCAAGCGATTCTCCTGCCTCAGCCCACCAAGTAGCTGTGCCACCACACCCGGCTAATTTTTTTGTATTTTTAGTAGAAATGGGGTTTTACCATGCTAGCCAGGATGGTCTCGATCTCCTGACCTCGTGATCTGCACACCTCGGCCTCCCAAAGTGCTGGGATTACAGGCGTGAGCACCATGCCTGGTGGACATTCCATTATTAACTCACCTTGGCCTTGGAATTAATGACTTGGAGAAGACCTGAATGGGGAGGGGAGAGCAGTAGAAGCATGAGCCTTTCTGACTGTCTACATGTTCTTGCCCAGTTTTAACTTCTAGTCATGGCGAATGATCGCAGGAGAGCACAGACTGGACCCTGCTACGATCTCTCTTGGAGTGGATCAGACTGATGATCACCAACAACCAACTCATTCCCGGATAAGGAAGAAGAGAGTGTCACCTACTTCAGTGTGGTTTCAACCCTACTTCTGCATCTTAAAGACACTGTATGGTTTCAGCAGTAGTGCCCCTGTTCATTAGTCCCCCTGATGTTTTCATTCCTCATCTCATCTTTTTCTTAGCAGCATTCAATGAATCCTTCATTCTAGAAACACTCTATATCTTTGGTTTTCATGAGACCATTCTCACCTTGTTTTGTCCTGTGACTTTTTTGAAAAAAACAAAAACAAAAAACCCTTTTTTTCTTTTTAAATTCTGGTAAAAAACACAATGAAAATTTGCTATCTTAACCATGTTGAAATGTGCAGTTAGTAAAGTACATTCACATTGTGGTGCAAGCCATCACTACCATCCATCACTAGAACCCTTTTCATCTTGCAGATCTGAAACTCTACCCATTAAACGACTTCCCATCTTCCCATCCCCACAGCTCCTAGCAACCAACATTCTACTTTCTCTATCAGTTTGACTACTCTAGGTACCTCATATGAGTAGAATCATACAGCATTTATCCTTCTCTGCCTGGCTTATTTCACTTGTATAATGTCCTCAAGGTTCATTCATGTTGTAGCATGCATCAGAACTTCCTCCCCTTTTAAAGGCTGGATAATATTTCATGGTATGTTTAGATCACATTCTGTTTATCCATTCATCCATCAGTGAACACTTGTGCTCCTTCCAACTTTGGGCTGTTGGGTGTCCTGCCACTGTTGCTCCTAGTGCTCAATCTCGTTTATTCCCTCCTAATCAAGTGTACAACGTTGGACACTGTGCAGGATGATGCCACTTCATCTTGGATGCTAATCTGCCATGTTGACTTCTGATTAACCCCAGGCCCAGGAATGCCTCAAGATTTCTACTTTACTTACTGTTGCTTGTGTAAGCCAAGACAACCTTGATGTTATCATAAACATGTACTTACCTAAGTCCTGTCCTTTGGCAAATTATGGGCTATGAGACACAGCATTCTTGCCTTTCCCTGAGGGGTCAATTTCAGCGATCCTACACATTCCTTCTGAAGCACTTATGCTCTTTCTATATGGTATGTAAGCTCTCGGTCTGGGGAGTAACAGTGCAGAGATCTACCTGTCTTGTTGCCACATGTTTCTAAACTTTCCAATAAATCACCTTCTACTGACAAACTGGATTTGTCTTCCTTATTCTTTGGTTTCTTGGTTCCTTTTTGGTATGGATTTGCTTTCCCTATGTGGTTCTTTCATGAAACTGTTGGTGAGCTAGCCAGGAGGAATTCAGGAGCCAAAGTATGGGCAAGGGAAGGAAGCCTCAGTTGGGGAAGTCTTGGGGCAGCCCTCTGTGTGTGTGGGGTGATATTGCCCGTTTGCTGGATGCCTGCAGACCACCGCCTGAGTACGGGGATGGCCCAGAACACTACAGGGTCTAGAGTGCTTGTGAGAAGAAAACCACACCATGCACTGAAGGTCCCTGAAGGTGGCAACAGAGGGGTGGCCGCTATTATGGGTTGCACATGTGACCCCAGAAGTACAGTTAGCAACCGAGACAAAGGTACAGAAGCTAGAGAAGTAATTACAGTTAGAGAAGGATATGAGGATCTCCACATCTGTGTTAGCATCTAATTTGGTGCATAAGCTTGAAACTCAGGAGGTGCAGGTGGAAACTGTTGTCTGCCGCTTTTATGCAGCTGCGAGGACAAAAACTGCACTGGTTGCAAGTGTGAGCTGTCCTTGCTAGACCAGACCAAGATGCTGAGACCTGGAATCCTTGGGAATCGACTTGTGAGTCAGATGAAGACAGAGGTTATCTCAGAGTAGGAGGATTGTCCTCCCCTTTTGAGGGCAGGAGGAAAACAAAACCCAACAGATACAGCTGTACAATAGCAAGCAGTCTTTTCACAGCAAAGCTTAACTCTGAGAGTACACCTCAGCAGAACTATTGGACACAGCAAGAACTCTTAAAGCAGCTGCCAAGAGACAGCATAGCCACATGGATGGTGGTGTGGCTATGCGAGAGGCCCAGTGAAGGGGACTTCCCAGGTCAGACACTGGCATGGTGGTCTCTGGAGGAGGCACAGAGCAATTCAGGGGAGCTGGGTATGCAGCAGGCCATCTATGACCAGCAGTTGCAGTTGTCCCCTTGTAGGACAAGATGTATATTATGTGCGGGATGCCGTAGCTGGTCTTGGAGAAACTGAAAGGGGAAGGGATAAGGTCCAACTGGTTACCAAGGGAAAAGAAAAGGAGATAGCAAGTCTGTTGGACTTGAAAAAGGAGGTCTAAAAGACCCAGTTAGGATTACCAGAAAACAAATGTGGTACAATCTGATCTCAGCTGGGATAAACCAAGAAACGGAATCAGCAACCTCATGCCATGTTGGTGGGCATTTGAAAGGACTTAACTCCCGCCCAACTGTTTAGACCTTTTCCCAGCATCCGGCCAGAAAAGGAGGATGGAGGAGATGAAACTATGTATTAAAAAAGAACTCCGGTCTCTGCTCCAGCCTTGGACTCCTATCCAGCCTACAGACTGCGGGGCGGGGGGCGGGGGTGGGAGGGGGCGGAAGGGGGGCAAGGTTGCCTCTAGGGATGAGCAGTAGAGGGTGACTAGAGGCTCCATGTGGAGCTCACAATATCAGAGTTGAAAAACACATGCAGAGGACACTAGTTGTAGTGGACACAGGTGCAGAGTGCACCTTAGTTCTTGGAAGCCCAGAGAGACACGCTGGTAAGTGGACAGCTCTAGATGGTTACTGGGGACAAACAATCCAAGTGGAACAAACTCCTCCCCTTCTTGGTATTGGATGGTGGAGTTTCCCTGCTTACTATACTGTCTTTATCTCACCTATTCCAGAAAACATGTTGGATATGGACATCCTTTAAGGATGCACTTTGCAAACGTCCATGGGGGAATTCCACCAATGAGTTTGGGTGGTAAACACTATTTAAAGAGTGGCAGTGAAATAGGCACCTGTACTTTTTCCTCCCCCATGATGTATCATCAGTGTGAAGTAACAAATTATTTTCTTGGCAGAATAAAAGAAATGACAGCCACCATAGAGGAACTAGCCAAAGTTAATATTAGTCGGCCAGCCCAGAGTCCCTTCAGGAGTTCTGTGTGACTGGGAAAGGAAATCTGACAGCACCGGGCACGTGACAGTAGACTACAGGGAATTCAATAAGGTATTTGCTGACATATACCCTGTTGTGCCTAATATCATCTAAGTGATAGAACAACTATACAAACTATAGGTACTTATCATCTGTATTAGATTTAGCCAATGCCTTTTTTTTTTTTCTTGAGAAAAGGTCTTGCTCTGTCACTCAGGCTGGAGTGCAGTAGCACCATCATAGCTCACTGCAGCCTTGACCTCCTGGGCTCAAGCGATCCTTCAGCTGCAGCCTCCTGAGTAGCTGGGACTACTCAGGAGGTGTGCCATCAAGGTGCGCCACCAAGCCCAGCTAACTTTTCTTATTTTCTGCAGAGATGAGAAAATAAAGAGACCAGGCTGATCTTAAACTCTTGACCTCAAGTGATCCTCCCACCTCAGCCTCCTAAAGTGCTGAGATTACAGGCACATACTAGATTTGTCTACCTCATTCTTTGGTTTCTTGACTCCTGTGTTGGGGAATGCTTTGCATATACAGCCCTTTCACAAAAGAGACCCCACAAAACAATTGATCTCATTCTGTACATCCAGCTAAAATCACATGTGTACTAGCTGATAAGGCAGAACAAAAGTAATTAAGAGGTTTTATTTACTTAAATATATAGTGAGTCAAAGAAATGTGGATGAGCATTGATTTGAAGGCTATTTATAGATCATGAAGGTAAGCCTGGTGTTCACCCATGTTGAGGGTGTATCTTCCCCACTCAGTCCACTGATTTATAAGCCAATCTCCTCTGGTAATACCCTGAAGACACAGCCAGAAGTAATGTTTACCAGTTACATACATATTCCTTAATCCATTCAAGTTAATACCTGAAATTAACCATCACATCAACCCATGTTCTATGGTACAAAGCACTGTGGATGCATTATCTGTTTACACAAGGAAACTATAGGCTCAAACAGGCTTAATCAGTTTCTAAACTGACCCTTTAATTTAGTGGGATATGTTGAATCAAGGACATAGTGATGCATGCTACAATCTAGATGCGCCTTGAAGACATTATGCTAAGTAAAAAAAAAAAAAAATCAGACACAAAACACCACATATTGTGATCTCATTTGTATGAAATGTCCCGAGTAGGCAAATAGATAAACAGAGGAATTAGATTGGTGGTTGCCAAGGACTGGCGAGAGAAGAGAATAAAAAGTAATGGCTAGTGGGTAGGATTTCTTTAGTCGTTAAAGTATTCTCAACTATTGTGGTGGCTGTTGCATAACTCTGATTATAACAAGGCCACTGAATTTTATACTGTGAAAAATAGGCTAGGCGCGGTGGCTCACGCCTGTAATCCCAGCACTTTGCGAGGCCGAGATGAGCAGACCACGAAGTCAGGAGATTGAGGCCACCATGGCTAACACAGTGAAACTCTGTCTCTACTAAAAATACAAAAAAATTAGCTGGGCGTGGTGGCACACTCCTGTAGTCCCAGCTACTTAGGAGGCTGAGGCAGGAGAATGGCTTGAACCCGGGAGGCAGAGGTTGCAGTGAGCCAAGATCGTGCCACTGCACTCCAGCCTGGGCGACAGAGCGCGACTACATCTCAAAAAATAATAATAATAATAAAGTAAAATAAAATAAATAAAAAATAGCCGGGCACAGTGGCTCACACCTGTAATCCCAGCACTTTGGGAGGCCGAGGCAGGTGGATCACGAGATCAAGAGATAGACCGTCCTGGCCAACATGGTGAAACCCCATCTCTACTAAAAATACAAAAATTAGCCAGGTGTGGTGGCAGGTGCCTGTAGTCCCAGCTACTAGGGAGGCTGAGGCAGGAGAATTGCTTAAACTGGGGAGGCGGAGGTTTCAGGGAGCTGAGATTGTGCCACTGCACTCCAGCCTGGGCGACAGAGGGAGACTCTGTCTCAAAAAAAAAAAAAAAAAAAAAAAAAAAAGAACTAGACTTTTATGCTATGCTATGAGGACTAAGCTCTGATATTTTTATGTTGCCCAAATTCCTACCTAAGGGGTCTAAGGAGTCATGCCCTACAAACTATAAATTCTCATCAGATGGGTTTTGTCTGGCCCTACGCATCACGAGTTACTTTTCAGTATAACTCTGGCATAACATTATGAGACCAGGAAAAAAATATTTAACCCCAAAATATATTTCCTTGCCATACCTTGAAACTGCCCTGCTAAGTCTCTTTTGGGAAAAATCCACATCCTATAGAGAATCTCCTTTCCCCCTTGTTTTCCTTCATTTCTTTCCAGATCCAGGAGATAATCAACTAAGAGCCAGGTACCCTTTTGGGCTTGATAAGAAACATTTTACAACCTGCTCTCTCTCTCAAGTCTGCTGAGAACTTCCTCTGCACAATAAAATTTGGCCTCCACAATCCTTTATGTTATCCTGAACATTCCTTTCTATTGATCCCAGGTGTTCAGATAAACTCAACCAATTGTCAACCAGAAAATGTTTAAATTTACCTATAGCCTGGAAGCCACCACTCTGAATTGTCCTGCCTTTCTGAACCTAAACAATGTATTTCCTAAATGTATTTGATTGATGTCTCATGCATCCCTAAAAATCTATGAAACCAAGCTGTACCTCAACCACCTTGGGCACATGTTCTCAAGACTTCCTGAGGGCGGTGTCACGGGCCATGGTCACTCATATTTGGCTCAGAATAAATCTCTTAAAATATTTTACAGAGTTTGACTCTTCGTCAACAATAATCTGGCGCCCAAACGTGGGGCCTCAGAGAAGACTCAGGACCCCTAAGGAGTTGCCTGAAACCGGAGCTAAGGTACCAGCAGGGGCCCATTGAAGTCCCACTGAGTTCAAGCTTCTCCTCCGGTGGAACTGGTAAGTCCTCCTGAGCCCCAGACCTCTCCTTGACCAGACTTTTCTTAGGCTTCCCTGAGCCCTCTTCTTGAGTAGGCCTGGACCTTGGATTTCTGTGTCCATCCTTGCTGCACCCAGTTTTAGCAAGAATCCTGTTAAGTAGGTTTAGTGAGAATTCCCTTATCCTTGATCAGGTTCCTCATCTTCCACCCTTAATGTCTAAGTCCTTGGCCTGCCTTTAGCAGGATTCTACCCTTAATACCTAATCAAGTTCCTGTTTGTGATTTCCCACCCATTGACCCCCTTACTCTTATAGTTGGCTACAAAACCAACTGTTGTTGCTATATTGGGGAGTTGAGTTCACTGTCTCTCCCCCATTGCAATTGTCTTGAACAGTATTACTTACCGTTTACACACGTGTATTCTTTTCCTGTTTCCCTCATTTGCATGAGAAATGGAATTCTGCCTTTACAGCCTTGATACAGAGCAGTGGGTGTTGTGTGAGATACAGTATTGAAGATGAGTCTCACCTCTGTCTGTGATGAAATAGATTGTGAATTGTGAAGAGAATGCAGGTAGCAATGTAGGAGCTAAACTTAAGTGTCCTCTAATTTAGAGTCAATGACTTTGTCGTTTCTGCTGTGAATCTGGCTACTCTCTGCTATGCCAGAAAATGATGTACTTAACTGCAGCAAACACGTATCTTTAGTTTATCCTCCACTCACACAAACCTTTGGGACAGCACATGTTATCAGGAGTTTTCCCCCTCACATCTGTACTCTCTTCAGATGAATGTGGCTGGAGGGTCATGTCCCGAGGAATCTTATTACTTAGATATTATTGATTTTTGCAGAGTGGGGCATCTGACGTATGCACACCAGTGCCTCTTCTCTTGACATTTTTGCTCTTTGTATCAACAGTGAACTTGTTTCTCTCTGTATATCTGGACAATAAAATTGAATTCCTCATACTCAGAAATGGTCAGGTCACATTCAGGTCATGTGGGCACAAAATAATAGAAACTTACACTGAGACCTAGAAAATGAAACATTCAAGCAGAAAACTGCAGAGATTTAGGGACTTCTGTTTGATTCCACAATTGCAGCTATTCCTGAAAAAGGTGGAGCTCAATTCCTACATTGGATTCATTGAAAAAGCACAGTGTTTTCTGTTTCCCTTTTGCTTGAATTCCTTGTCATGTCTAATGTTGTCTGCAACTCAGGGTTTGGAATAATCCAATAGGAGCTCTGATTGTGGACATGATCTAACGTTCTAATAACCAAGTGATGTGTTCAACCTGATATAGATAATAAACTCCAAGACCTTCAAAAACCAAAAGGAAGACTTTTTTTTCATCTTACACTGAAGATACCACATTATTTTTATGCATGGAAGGGGTCTCAGCACTATTTCAATGAATACAGTCCCAATCCCCATTTGAAAAATAAGAAAACTGAGGCTCATAGAAGTTATGTCATCTTTCTGCCGAAAAACAGCTATTAAAAAGTTGGATAGTCACTGTTTGAATGCAGACACTTGGAGCTCTGAAAGGAGAGCATTTATGCAGGAACATGCAAGATCATGGACCTTGGGGCCATGCCATGCTGCTATACCAAAATTGAAGTAGTTAAAAATATGGATACTCCATGGGTTCATAGGGGAACCTCGCAAGATGCTGGAGACTTGGATAAGCTGACAAAACTAGAACACGTTTTAAATTTGGGGGCGGGAGCATTACAGCCTTTAAAATATCTTTTATAAAAATTCCACTCCCAAAATCTGAGAGTACTTGTCAGAAACAGTATTTTTTTAAACTCGGAATACAGGTTAAAATCCAAGCTCCTTAATTCTGTATTTAAGGCTGTCCATGATATCGACCATGCAGACGTTAGTAGCTTCATGTCTTGACCACACCTGACTCCCAACCCTGACTCCAAGCTGTGCCAGCTCTGCTCTCCCTGTGCAGTCTTCTGGGTTGTCCTCTGTCTTGGTTCATTGGTAGAATAGTCACAAACTTTGTTCCATACCTTAATCTTTTTAAGTTAACAGGGGATCCTAGAGGCCACTCTGCAGTGGTGTGGCAGTATTCCTTATTCTTGTTGTAAGTTGGGTGCTGTTCCAGGATATTGTCGGTGGGAATTTTGGTTCTTTTTTGCTATTACAAATAAGAAACATTTGAATAGTTTTGTAAATCTACCTTTTTCGTGGTTTTGCTTGTATACTTTTTTCACTGGAGAAGGGGGAATTCTGCATGAAAATGTAAATTTTAAGTGTTAGAATGTGAGGATTTGCAAACTTATCTTACACAGACTTGTGTCATTTTCCTTCTAACCGCCAACATATGAGCATACCTGTCTACCCAGGGTCTCTCCACTAGAGTGATCTGAATAATTTGAATGCTAGCTGTGTGGTAGGAAGGAGCCTCCCCACCGCTCTCAACACCAAAGATGTCCATGTCTTAATCTCAAAATCTGTTCATTTGTTACTTTTCATGGCAAAAATGACTTTGCCAATGTGATTAAAGGATCTTCAAACAGGGAGAGCACCATGGACTATTCAGGTGAAGGCACTGTAATCACATGGGTCATTATAGGAGGGAGGCTGAAGTGTAAGAAGCAAAGGAGACCTGATGACAAGAGAGATGCAGCCTTGTGACAAGAAATGAGGGCAGCCTGTAGAACAGGAGTCCCCAACCCCTGGGCCGCAGACCGGTACCAGTCTGTGACCTGTTAGAAACTAGGCCACACAGAAGGAGTTGAGCAGCGAGCAAACGTCACCGCCTGAGCTCTGCTTCCTGTGAGATGAGTGGCAGCATATTCTCACCGGAGCGTGAACCCTATTGTGAACTGCGCATGTGAGGGATCTAGGTTGAACGCTTCTTATGAGAATCTAACTAATGCTTGATGACCTGAAGTGGAACAGTTTCACCTTGAAACCATTGCCCCATCCATCTTCCAGAAATCCCATCCCTGGTGCCAAAATGGTTGAGGACCACTGCTCTTGAAGCCAGCAAAGGCAAGAAGTAGATTCTCTCCTGGAGCCTCAGGAATGGCAGGCAGCTAGGCCCAGACATTAATTTTAGCTCATAAAGTATATTTTGGAATTCTGAACTACACAACATAATTTTTTTGTTTTGTTTTGCTTTAACTGCTATGTTTATGGTAATTTGTTACAGCGGAGATAAAAAAATGAATACACTTCTCAGTATGATAGGTAAGAAATGGTATCTCAGTGTAGTGTGAATTACACTCCTCTTATTTTGAATGTCATAAGTTATCTTTTTTAATGTTCATAGTACTTAGAATAATTTGTATGGACAAAGCACGTTGACTGAGCTTCTGTTGCTAACTGGAGGTATCGGATATTTAACAACACTTAGAAGTTTGGATGGCAACATTCATTTAAACTGTGAGACAGTAATACCTGTTGAGGTGCAGAAACTCCACTACCCCTTCAAGAATCCTTTTTTTTTTTTTGAGACAGAGTTTTGCTCTTGCTGCCCAGGCTGGAGTTCAGTGGCGTGATCTCGGCTCACCACAACCTCCGCCTCCCAGATTCAAGCGATTCTCCCGCCTCAGCCTCCCATAGCTGGGATTACAGGCATGAGCCACCACGCCCGGCTAATTTTGTATTTTTAGTAGAGACAGGGTTTCTCCATGTTGGTCAGGCTGGTCTCGAACTCCCGACCTCAGGTGATCCTCCTGCCTCAGCCTCCCAAAGTGCTGGGATTACAGGCGTGAGCCACTGCACCTGGAAGAATCCATTTTTTTTTTGAGACAGGGTCTTGCTCTGTTGCCTGGGCTGGAGTGCAGTGGTGTGACTATGGCTCACTGCAGCCTTGAATTCCTGGGCTCTAGCAATCCTCCCACTTCAGCCACCTGAGCAGCTGGGACTACAGGCATGGGCCAGCATGTCCAGCTAATTTTTTTGATTTTTAGAAGAGACGAGGTCTTACCATTTTGCCCAGGCCAGTCTCAAACTCCTGAGCTGAAGCAGTCCTCCCAGCTCGACCTCCCGAAGTGCTAGGATTACAGGTGTGAGCCACTGCACCTGGCCAAGAACCCATATTTAGAGTCAGACTCACCATATCCTTGAAGAAACCATTCCAAATATTATTTAAATGACTCCGTATTTTTGACCATCCTCATTCTCCAGAAATAATAACCAAAAGTAACTATATCTCTGGGATTTCTCACTAGGTAAACAATCTTAAATGAAAAAGAGAGATAATAAGAATAAATGTATCCATTCTTCTTGCTTCAAGATTCTTGCAAAAGGCAAAAAACATCAAACTCCCATTAAAGTTTTGGCTATAGCTTGTCCTTCTTTAATTCATTCATTTAACAAAATGTATTGATAACCCACTATGTGCTTGACATCTACTTAGACACTGTAGAAGGAACAGAGGACAAGATACGGGTCATTTCTGCCCTGAAGAACATTATAATATAAGGCAGGGAAGAGGCTAACTAATGTTTGGACAATCAAATGATGTTACTACACTTGGGCACCACTGTTTAAGAATCCCTGGGCTGTAAATCAGGAACTGTGAGTTTGTTGGGATTCTGCCAGAGACTCTGACTCAGTGCTACTCCAGGAATTTTATCTTTCAGACCTCTCTTTCTTTTTGTAGGAATTCCTACTCTATCCCATATAAGCAAATCTCAGGGACTAAGCAAGTAGATGTTAGCAGTCAACCATATGTAAGATTCTTTTATAAAATTCAACATGATGGCGTGAATAAACTCACTATGCTACCACTGGTTGTGAAACCTGAAGAGATTAAACAAACTTTGCATTTTCTCAAAACAAACAAAAAAGAGTTTGTTAGAATTAATAAAGCTGACCCCAAGCTAGGATAAGTTGGATCCAGTGTCATACAAGGCCATTTCCAATTCTAAACAAATAACGTTGACCACATGGAGCCTGTGGGGAAAACTGGTCAACTCTCACCTGAAGTTCCAAAAGTTGAGAATATCATATTCTGTCCCAGAAATTAATTTGTAATCCAAATTCACCTGGTCACCAACACTGTTGTTAAATTTGATATTCTTCAGAAAGGAGTTAAGCTTAAAAATAGTGCACTGTTACAGGATGGAAAGAGTTCTGAATTTGGAAAGAAGAAACTTGAATTAGAGTAATACCTTTGAAACTTATTAGATGTGTGGCTTTGGAAAAAGTCCCTTATTGTTTAAATCTTCAACTGTAAAGTTAGTTATTCAATTTTATTTTTACAAGAATTATGTGAGATAATACCTTTGATGGCCCATGAACAAAAATGTGGTATATATAAAGTAAAAATTAGATAAAGAAAACATTATATATGTAATGTAATGATAATTTAATATATAGTATGATAATGGAAATACCCCTTACTTCCTTGGTGGGATGAATGAGGACAGAAGAATCAAAATAATCTCTTGTTATTGGTTGAATTTTGTCTGCCCCAAATTTTGCATGTTGAAGTCCTAACTCCCAGTACCTCAGAATGTGACTGTATTTGGATATAGGATTTTTACAGAGTTAATTAAGTTGAAATGAGGTCGTTAGGGTGGGTCCTAATGCAATCTGACTAGTCTCACCATGTCTCCATGGGTTTTCTCTGGGTACTCCAGATTCCTCCCACATCCCAAAGATGTGCACAGTAAGTTAACTGGTATGTCTAAGTTGTCCCAGTCTGAGTGAGTGTGGGTGTGTAGTAGGCTACACAATCTAGGTTTGTGTAAGTACACTCTATGATGTTTGCACAACAAGGTTCTTAGGAAATTGCCTAAGAACCCATTTCTCAGAATGTATCTCCATCCTTTAGCGATGTAGACTGTATTTCCATACTGTAAATAGTCCCCTTGTGGTGGATTTCAATCTACCAATATGACATCACTGAATGTGGAGTTAGAAAGAAAGGTACAGTTCATGGCTCTCAGTTCCTACAGCTCTTTTAATTTCCTAAATGACTGCAGCAATAAAGTATCTTTTGTTAAAATATCTGGCCTTTTGTTCCTGGTTCCTGAAAAAGCTCCAGAACAGCTCCAGAGCCATAAAGGTGAAAGACAGTATTTCAACCACACATGAGTTTATGTTAATGAGGTGATTTTTGGAAACTCTCAAGATAATCCCAATATTTGGGGGGAGTGGTGGCTAGTTGCCAGAGGAACCAGCCATGTGCTCAGAGGACTGGAACTCACAGCTCCACCCTCTACTTCTGGGAAAAGAGAGAGCCTGAAAATTAAGTTGATCGCCAGTGGCCAATGATTTAATCAATCACATCTACATAATGAAACCTTGAAAACCGAAAAGGCCTGAGTTCAAGCGGCTTCCAAGAAGGTAGACAAAAACACATCCTCGTGCTGGGAGGGTGGTGCACCCCAACTCCACGGGCACAGAAGTTCCTGCACTAGGGATTCTCTCGGACCTTGCCCTACATGTCTCTTCATCTGGCTATTTGTATCCTTTAAAATATCTTTTATAATAAACCAGTAAACATAAGTGTTTCCTTGAGTTCTGTGAGCTGCTCTAGCAAACTAATGGAACCCAAGGAGCCGGCTGTGGGAGCCCCAATTTATAGCACATCTCTCTGAAACACAGGTACAACAATCTGGAGTTTGGAATTGGCATGGGAAGTGGGGGACAGTCTTTTGGGACTGAGCTGTCTAACCTGTAGGATCTGATGTTTTCCAGGTAGCGTCAGAATTGAATTGGAGTAGCGGTCACCTGGCTGGTGTCTGCTGCAGACAGGTTTTTTTGACATGTTAAGACATTATAAGAGACAATAGAAAAAATGTATACGATACAACCTTCTCTGAGTTATATTTCTCCATAGCCCTTTTTACTGTTCATCAGACTGTTTATCTAACTCATGAATTTGTGGCTTGTCTCTCTCCGCTTCAAAGTAAATTACATAATAAGAGGACAGGGATTTTTTTTTCTCTGCTGTATCCCCCTGAATTGCTTTTCCTTATTTGTCTCACCTTCCAATACTAATTCTACAGTTCTCCTAGTCAGGGCTAGTCCCCTAAAACGGGGACCATTTCCATTTTGTTAAGGGGCTGAACGCGGTTCAAGCCTAGCAGATTGGTTCCAAAAACGTCGTGTTATTCACTGCCTCTGATCAGTGACATTCCCATTTGCAGCTGAAAGAGGTATTAATTCGCCAGAGTCACAACACGGTCGGGGTTCCTCGTCGCTGTCTTATTCCAAAATAAGCTTAACACAGAAAGATAATGACACTCCCACGGACTGGCACAGAAGGCCGCGCTCCGAATGACATCGCGATCACAGAGGCACAGACAGCGTCACAAAGCCCCACGCGTACTCACACCGAAGGCTCAGCCGTCGCGCGTTTCCCTCCCAGGCCCCAGGAACTAGTAACTAGGGACGCTTCTGGTCTCTAGGCGAGGAGAGGGGGAGAGCGCAATCTTTGCGCCTGCGCACACTCCTGCTCTTACCCGCCGGAACCCTGGGCCACGCCCGGCTCGCGTAATCACGCACTGCGCAGGCACCGCCCGCTCTGCTCTAAGGTCCCTCTCACTCCTTCAGCAGCCCGAGGACAATCCCCTCAACACTAGGCCACGCCTTGTCTCCGCCCCTCTCGTCCGACCCCTGGAGAGAGGCTGGCGCCTGCGCGATGGGGGGTTCCAGCGTCGACTCACGGAGTCCTTCGGATGAGAGCGTCTGGGTGCCAGACGAGGCCGGGGGTTTGTTTTGGGTGGTTTGGGAGTCCGAGCTCGAGGGCTGGGCCAGGAAGGGCAGGCGAGGCGGGCGGCTCCGACGCGGGTCGCGAAGGCCCAGCCGCGTCCTCTGTCCCCAGGACGACTACATTTCCCAGAGGCCAGCGGGGCGCGCGTACTCGAGTCTGCGGGGCGGAGGCCGCGGCTCGGGGCTGCTGGGCGTTCGGGGCGGCTTGGGGCGGCGGGACCACTGGAGTGAGCTGTGGGAGAGATGGGGGTGTGCCTGTGTGTAAAAGATCTGTCAGAGTGTGAGGCTCCGTGAGAGGGTGTGGTTTCTGTGTGTGTGTGTGTGTGTGTGTGACAGACCGAGAGTCCAGTGTGAGACCAGGGTATGTTCGTGTGTGACAGAGCGAGACGGGCCAGTGTGAGAGACCAGTGAGTGTGAGAGAGATAGGGATGTGCCTGCATTTGAAAGAGAGCGTGTGAAGCTCAGTGAGAGGTTGCGAGGTGTGTGGGTGTGTAAGTGTGTAACAGACCAGGTGTCCAGAGCGTGAGACCAGGATGTATTCGTGTGAGAGAGTGAGACGGGCTGGATGGAGTGTGAGAGACCAGTGAGTGTGAGAGATGGGCGTGTGCCTGTGTGTGAAAGGCCGGTCGGTCGGTGGGTGAGGCTCAATGAGAGGCCGGTGTGTGTTCGAGAGAGAGAAGAATCACCATGTATGCGAGACTAGACTGTGCAAGAACAGAGTGTGAGACTGTGGTATGTTAATGTGTGAAAGGGAGACCAGTGAGTGTGAGAAATGGGTGTTTTGGGTGAAAGACCCGTCAGTGTGTGAGGCCGTGTTATGTGTGTCTGACAGACTGAGAGAGACCAGAGTGTGAGACCAGGGTGTGTTCGTGTGTGAGAGACAACATAGCGTGAGACCAGTGAGTGTGAGAGAGATGAGCACGTGGCTGTGTGTGAAAGACCAGTCATTATGTGAGGCTCCTTGAGAGGCTGGTGTGTGTGTATGAGAGAGAGAAAGAGACTAAACTGTGAGAGTCCAAAGAGTGAGACTAGGTTATGTTGTTATGAGTTTGTGAGAGAGAGGGAGGCGATCAAAGTATAGGACAAAGTTATGTTTCCTGGCTTACGACTTCTAAGATCCTTGGAATCTCCAAAGTATTAAGTGTCTTTTTGCATGCTAATGATTGGTGGGCTGGCAGCCTGTAGGTTGATCACGGTAAGGGATGGTCACAAGAACAATCTAGGCAGGATTAGAGGGTTGGGATTACCTGCCCCATCCCTCAATCTCCAGGGAAAGGAAAGGGAGCCACAGGTTAAACTGATCATCAGTGGTCAGTGATTTAACCAGTCATGCCTACATTATGAAGCTTCCATAAAAACCCAAAAGGACTGGGTTCATCAAACTTCCAGATAGCTGAACACTGGAGGTTCCTGTAGGATGAGCCCCTTCCTATATAACCTTGTCCTATGCATTTCTTCACCTGCATCCTTTGTAATATCCTTTATTACTACAAACGTGTTTCCCTAAGTTCTGTGAGCTGCCCTAGCAAATTAATTGAACGCAAGGAGGGGGTCATAGGAACCCCGATTTATAGCTAGTCAGAAGCACAAGTAAAACAACCTGGGGTTTGCAACTGGCATTGGAAGTGGGGAGCAATTTTGTAGGGCTGAGCCCTCAACCTGTGGGATCTTATGCTGTCTCCAGGTAGATAGTGTCAGAATTGGGTTGCCCTAGAGGTCACCCACCTGGTATTCACTGGGTTGCCCTAGAGGTCACCCACCTGGTATTCACTGAAGAACTTATTGCTTGCCTGGTGTGTGTGTGTGTGTGTGTGTGTGTGTGTGTGTGTGTGTAGATCCCCACACATCTGGTCTTAGAACTGTTTTGTGTTGTGTGAGTGGAGTAGGAGAAACAGTTTGTTTTTCCTCTTTGTCACCTGAGTGTGTTATCAGGGACTGGATTGTGAGAATCCAGAGTGTGAGACCAGGGTATATCAATGTGTGAGAGAAATAGATGTGCCTGTGTGAAAGATGAACAAGTATGAGGCTCCCTGGAGTCTGAGAAAGATCATGTGTGTGTCTGAGTAAAAGCAAGAGACTAGACTGAGAGTTCAGTGATTGGGAGAGACTGGGGTATGTTGGTGTGAGTGTGTGAGAGACCAATGGGTATGTGAGAGACTAGAGTATGTCTCTGTCTGGACTGGTAGGTTGTGAGAGGGTGTATCACAGTATGAAAAAGATTGGAGTGAGAGTGACCAGTATGTATTTTGTGTGCATGAGATAAAGCAGTTGGAATATGAGAGATCAGAGTGTGTTTGTGTATCTGTGTGAGACACTGGAGCATTTGAGTAACTGAGGCCTCTTTGAAAGATACCATTGAATGTGTATGTATGAGAGACCATCATGTTTATATGTGTGAAAGAGGGAGAGAAAGACTAGTGATGTGGTTGTGTGAGAGACCAAAATGGGTGAGAAAGAAACTATGTGAACCATGGTGTGTTATCCAAAAGGCTTTACAAATATAACCTCTGTGAGGTTGTGAAGCATGCATGTGTGAGTGAGACAGAGATAAGGGACAGTGAGCTGTGTGTGTGAGAGAAGTAAGATTGGGGGTATGTGTGAAGGTGTTGGTGAATCACCACGTGTGCTTATATTCATGTCCTCAGGCAATGGAAATGTGACTGTGTATATGTGCTTGTTTTGGGGTGCTTGTGATTGTGTCCTCCGTGTGACCATGAAACCTGTGTTAGTGTTTGTATGTCACCCTGTATACCCATAATTGTGGCCCTGTATGACTGCTGTGTATGGAGAGACTACTTGGAAGATTGATAGGATTGGATTCTTTATGAGTGTGGCTGTTTGGAATTGTGTGTTGCCGGGATAGGAAATGTGGAATAGAATTCCTGTCCCCAGTCCAAGGGTTTCAGTAAGAAGCAAAGCTGGGGTGACTGAAGCTCCTAACTGAAGCAGGAGACACCCTCACTTCTGTGTGACAGGAGGGTAATTAAGGGGCTGGGACAGAGGTGAGAGTGAAAGTGGCAGAATTGAGTGCTAAAGGTTCCATCGTTTCAGGGTGAGGAAAGTGAAACAGTGCCGGGGGGTGGGTCAGGGATGCAGTGGTGGGGATTGAGTGAAGAAGGAGGATAACCCTGGCCTCTGGTGGCATTTGGGAGTCAGATTTTCCTTTTTCTTTTGTTTTTTTTTTTTTCCCAAAAACCCCATCCATCTGGCCCAGAAAGGAGCCAGATTTTCAAACAGTAGACTTTCAAAGCATGAAGCAGAGACCCAAGAAGAGAATGACTCCACCTTTACCTGTAAAATGGAGGAAATGACTATTTTATAGGATTATTTGAAAAATAAAGTGAGATAATCTAATCTATGCAGAGTACCTAATGCATCTGAATGGGAAGGTAGCTCTTTGAAAAAGATTAAATTTAGGACCTCAAGCATGAAAAAAAAAAACCGTTATGAGTTTTAGCCCTTCAGTGGCCATAGGTTGCTCATACCCAGTTATGGGATCAACCAAAGCTGGGAAGAAGAAGACAGTTTTAGGCTAGTGATTCTGGGAGTGCAGCATCTCTGGCCTCATCTCTCTCTAACCTTTCCCTTCCTTCAGCCTTGCCCTCCCAAGACACTGTTCTTCAAGAGAAAGACCAGAAGAGAAGGCAAAAATGAATGTTGAAGTAGTAAAAGTCATGCCCCAGGTTAGTGGATATTTTCTTTCTCTTCATGAAAGGCAGTCTTGCTGTTTAGGACTTTTTGTAATGCTTCTTTTCTTTTGAAAATTCCCTGATTAACAGTCCAGGAGCCTAGTTCCCACTTCTCTCAGGGGCCACTGTCTTTAACTCTAATTACCTAATGAGTGAGTAATAGCTTAGTATAAAAAGTCATGGAGGTCCCTCTGAGATTCCTCTTCCCACCTTGTGTACATTTTAAATTTAGTGTTGACTCTTGTGAAAAGACTTGATTTATGTTGTGTGGAATATACATGTGGATATGTTAGTACTAGTGAGTTGGGCTCCAGGTTAAATGTGCATGCAGTGCGTTTCCTATATATAGAATGCATTAGGAATTATTCCTCTACCTGAAGTTTTCTCCAAATCTCTAATTATGTCCTTAAGATAAATTCTTTAAAAGTTTTTCTTTACATTTTAAGTATGAATTACCAACCTCATTCGTTCACCTGAAAAATCTTATTCTACTTAATTTTTGCAAATTTTATAAATTTAAATAGGTGAGAAGTTGACATGGTACAAAATTTACAAACAAATTTCACCCTTAACTCCCAGTTATTTTAAGAAGTTATTCTCACCATGTATCTCATTCAGAGCTATGTTATGCCTTTGCGTGTATACAAAAATACTTTCTTCCCTTCAAAGTTAATGATTTTTCGTGTCTTGTTGATGAAATTTTTGTCTACCTTTAGGTCCTATTTTTCTTCTAAGATTTGTTTTATCCTTCACAGTTAAGTTTCTGGTAAGCTTAGACTTGATTTTTGTGGTTTTCTATCATGGTAGGGCTGAAATTACATTAACTTTTTATGTTAAATTTAATTTACATTAGATTTTTACATTTAATTTACATTACATTTTTACATTACATGTATAATTTATAATAAGTGAGGCAGAGATTTATTTTTTCAAGTTGGCACAATGGCATTAATTGAATTATTCATCTCATTCTCACTAATTTGAAATGCCACCTATATCATGCACTAAATTCCTGTGTGTATTTGGTTCTGTTGCTGTACTACACTCAGTTTTACTTGAATTTCTGCTTTTAATCTTTTAATTTTTAAATATTATATTGCACATGTATAAGAAACAATGTATAAAAAGGAATCCTTAATTCTCCCACTGTGAAATTCCCCTCCTCACATTTTTTCTAAGTGGAAAATGTGTTTTCATGACATACATGAGTGTCAGATGTCCATAATTAATGCTTAATTAATTTATATGCTTCATATGGAAAGTTACGTTAAATTAATTTTGAAACACTGCTTTTTTTTCTTGTGCTGTCAGAGTTCATGAGATATTAAAAAACATTTACATGGATTCTGGGCATCTGTGTCTTCCTCAGCATTAAAACCATTTTGTGAGTTACCTAACATAATTTTCCAAAGATACAGACCTTTTAGTTTGTGTGCCTCATGTTGTCATTAAAATTCTACCTGAAGTCACAAGCACCATACACAACAGAATTAGTCCCCTCCAATTTGCCCTATAGAAGTAAGTTGGGATCTCCACAATACAACTTACTGTCTTTAGTTTTGATATTTAACCTCATACTCCTGAATAATGTTCCATACACTATTTCTTGATTATTTTAGTTTTAGAAATGATCCAGTAACCTACTACTATAGATGATAAAGATGCAGTCCATTAACCCCACCACCTGAAATGCACACACACATGCTTATTTGATAGACTGTAAACATTATTCACTATTTTTGTTTTAAGTCAGTGTTCAGCGTAGCTTGGTGTCTTTCATCAATTTGGAAATTTTTCAACCACAAATATTCTGAAACTTTCCTCTTTTTCTAAGATCACAATTATATACATAACTGACACTGTTTTATATGTCACTTATGCTTTAATTCTCTCTTTAATTCTCTAATCTCCTGTTAAGCCCATAATGGAATTCTTAACTTCTGTTATTGCATACTTAGTTCTAGAATTTCTATTTAATTGTTTTATGTAATTTTCTATTTTCTTCCTGAATTCACTACCTTTCCTTTTAGCTCCTTAAAAATATTATCATAATATTTTGGTATCCTTGTTGGATAATTCCATTATCTGGATCTCTTATGTGTTTCTATTTTGTGATGTTTTGAAAATTATCTTGTTTTTTGTCTTAAATGCCTCATTTTGGGTTTAGTGCTAGACTTTATATATTTTTAAAAGATAGTTTGAAGCTTTGATGTCCTCCTCTTGAGAAGGTCTACTTAAAAAATAAATTTTATTTTTTAGAATAGTTTTAGATTTGTAGAAAAATTGCAGAGATAGTGTAGAGAAATCTTATACCACACCAAGCTTCCCCTATTAATATTTTACATTAGTGTGGTACTTTTGTTAAAATTAATGAACCAATATTGATATGTTATTAGTAACTAAAGTCCGTGCTTAGTTTAGATTTTCTTTCATTGTTTTAACTTTTTAATTTTTTTTTTTTTTTTTTTTTTGAGACAGAGTTTCACTCTGTCACCCAGGCTGGAGTGCAGTGGCAGGATCATAGCACACTATAACCTGCCTCTCCAGTTCAAGCAATTCTCGTGCCTCGGCCACTCGAGTAGCTGGGATTATAGGCATGCACCACCATGCACAGCCAATTTTTGTATTTTTGGTAGAGGTGGGGTTTTGCCATGTTGTCCTTGCCATGCTATGTAGGCTGGTCTTGAGCTCCTGGCCTCAAGTGATCTACCGGCCTTGGCCTCCCAAAGTGCTGGGATTATAAGTGTAAGCCACTGCACCCGGCCAGGCTTTCTTAGGTTTTATCTAATGTTTTTTTTCTGTGCCAGGATTCTATCTAGGAAATTACATTACATTTAATAGTCATATTTCCTAAGACTCCTCTTAGCTGTGATAGTTTTTCATACTTTGCTTATCGATGACCTTGTCAGCTTTGAGGAATACTCAGTTATTTTGTAGAATGTCTCAAATCTGATGCTTTTTCATGATTAGACTAGGGTACTGTGTTTTGGGGAGGAAGACTGCAGAGGTAAAGTTCCTTTTTCATCACATCAAATCAGGGGTGCACACTGTAAACATGATTTATTACTGTTGATGTTAATAGATGTTAACTTAATTAACTTTGAGGTAGTGTTTGTCAGGTTTCTCTATAATAAGGTTACTCTTTTTTCCCTCACTTTTCCATACTGTACTGTTTGTAAGGAAGTCACTATGCACAACCTACACTCCAGAAGTGGGAAATTATGTTCTACCTCCTTAAGGGCAAACATAAATCATTTGAAAGATCTTCTAAATGAGATATTTGCCTATTTTCCTCATTTATTTATTTAGTCTTAATTTAGTCACTTACTCAGTATTAATCCTCCTGGAAATTTCATAAATTATCTGATACCTTGCAATAAATGGTTGTGTCCTTAAAAAGAAAAAAGAATTACAAGCTCTTCAGATGCTATCCATTGGGATTTACTTCATTGGTTATAGCATTATCAGTTAAAAAAAATCACTACATATACATGCATACATATATGTAAAGTTATTCTATAGATATTGGTAAAATTCTGGTAGTATATATACTAGATTACTAACCATAAGTACCAGGATCAAAAGCAGTTTTTTCTGTGGGAACAGCCAAAGCTCCTCTGTCCTTAATAGTCAGCAAAATTATCCTAAATATTGGAAAGAATGTGAACACCTTTTGCTTGCATTGAGGAATACATCTCATTTTATAAGAATATGTGAAATGATGGTTCTTAGTTCTCAACTCACTAGAAGGTGAAAACTAGAATTCAGTAAAACTGTGAGTACACAGAGAAATGTAAACAATTTTGTAATTCTTTTATATGAAAAATATATTAAACATTTTCCTAAAGGTATGTATATCTTCTAAAGTCCCGTACATTGAATATCTGTTTAAAATGTGCTTTTAAACACTAATCTTCAGAACAAAGACATGATACAGAGATTACTGTTTAAAGCGAATTAAAATGTGCTCATAACCTTGTCTTTAGTTATATTTTTGATAACTTTGCAAATCAGGCACTAAGATTAAGAAGATATTCATTTTCAACGGAAGTAAATCTGAAGGTGAAAAATGCCCACAATAACTTTTAAAATTTCTTACAAGCTGCTGGTGATTATAACTGGTCATTAATTTTTCTCTAAGAATATTTAAAAGTTATAACTTCAATTTCATTTTGTTCTGCAACTGTGGGTTCTACCAACCGTGGGTGGAAAACACAGTATTCACTGATGCAGACCTAAGAAAATTGCATTCTTAAACATGTTTTTATTATTTAAGAAAAAAAAATCAGCTACATTAGTTCAATGCCTTTCTCCAGCCCCTGCCAATAAAACTTGGATCCCATGGAGTATCATTTGAAAAATATCAGTTTAGATATTCCTTTTATGCTTTTGAAGATTCAACACAGGTGTGTGTTCTCCCTTGAAGCCGTCTTCACTGCCTTGTAGTTATGCACCCATATTTCCCTATGTTCGGAATCGATTGGCCCCATTGTACCCAATGCAGTTAAACACTTCCATAAGTACTGTTTTGGCTTGGATCTTCCTATTTATGTTTTTTCTCTTCTATGAGTTATTTCTCACCTAAAGTAGAGACACTTTGGATCAACTCAGAGTTATCTTTGGACACGAGCATTGGTTGGTTAAGAATATATTTGTCACTTCAGGACTTAGTGACATTCAAGGATGTGGCAATAGATTTTTCCCAGGAAGAATGGCAATGGATGAACCCTGCTCAGAAGCGTTTATACAGGAGTATGATGTTGGAGAACTATCAGAGCCTGGTATCACTTGGTGAGGATCTTTTCCCTCCTGCATAATCTACCTTTAAGGAACTTTTTTGTCTATATATTATTAAATTTGCTTTTATTATATGTAGGTCAGAATGGAATTTGGGAATGGAATCTGAGAAACAGAGGATATTGAGGGACTGAAGAAAACTTGAGATTTAGAGTTAGTGAATTTGGAGAATATCAAATATTCCATGCATACACCCTTAAGGCAATTGGGAACACAAGACACAATGTGAATCTCACCAGTCTCCTCAGTTTCCTTGTTCTCTCTCTCCTACAGAATTACTATCACCACTAGACAACAACAAGGTTCACAAAGAATATATAGCTAGATTACTATAAATTCAGAATATCACTTTTAAAATCTGTATCTTTGTATTAAGTAACAAACTGAAGACACAAACTGAAAATGGCTTCAGATCACTTACTGTTAGGGAAATTCCTATGGACCTTTCTTCTAAGCACTGGGGCCACCCCATTGGCTAGATTAGCTTTCTGTTCTCCAGAAGCCCTTTTGATTATGCTTGTGGTTCATTGAGCTTCTTGAAACTAAATTTATATCTTAAACCAAATTTGGGAGATTTTTAGCCATTATTTCTTCAAATCTTTTTTTCTGTTCTTTTCTGTTTTGGACTTCAGTTACACCTATGTTAGATTGTTTGATATTGTGCCCTAGGTAACTAAGGATTGTTTCACTTTTAAAAATCTTTGTTCTGTTTTAATTTTAATTTTTCTCTCGCTCTCTTTTTTTTTTTTTTTTTGAGACAGTCTTGCTCTGTTGCCCAGGCTGGAGGGCAGTGGCGCAATCTTGGCCCACCACCTCCCAGGTTCAAGCAATTCTCCTGCCTTAGCCTCCCAAGTAGCTGGATTACAGGCACCCACCACCACACCCAGCTAATTTTTTTTTTTTTTTTTTTTTTGAAACGGAGTCTCGCTCTGTCGCCCAGGCTGGAGTGCAGTGGCACCATCTCGGCTCACTGCAAGCTCCGCCTCCTGGGTTCACGCCATTCTCCTGCCTCAGCCTCCTGAGTAGCTGGGACTACAGGTGCCTGCCACCACACCTGGCTAATTTTTTTGTATTTTTTTAGTAGAGATGGGGTTTCACCATGTTAGCCAGGATGGTCTTGATCTCCTGACCTCGTGATCTGCCCGCCTCAGCCTCCCAAAGTGCTGGGATTACAGGTGTGAGCTACTGTGCCTGACCTAATTTTTGTATTTTTAATAGAGACAGGGTTTCACTATGTTGCTCAGGTTGGTCTTGAACTCCTGACCTCAGGTGATCTGCCTACCTCAGCATCCCAAAGTGCTGGGATTACAGGCGTAAGCCACTGTGCCCAGCTCAGATTGGATAATTTCTGTTGATTCATAGTCAAATTCCCTGACTCTATCCTTACCCTCAATGTTTGGTTAGGTGCATCTAGTGAATTTTTAAGTTTCAGATGTTATATTTGTTAAATTATATAATATTTATTTGGTTCTTCTTGTAGTTTCGTTTCTGAGATATCCTGTGTGTACATTTATTTCAAGCATATTTGCCTTTATATTCTTAAGTATTGATATAATAATAGCTGTTTTTAAATCATGTGCTATTTCTTCTTCGTTATTGCAGTGTGAGCGTCTATTGCTTGCTTTTTCTAATGGGCATGATTCACTTTTTCCTTTTCTTATGTCAAGTAATTTTGAATTTTATCATGTATACTTAAATAAAACATTGTAGAGCCTCTGGATTCTGTCATATTCCCCTAAAGAGTATTGATTTTTTTCTAAAGCAGGCAATTATCTCAAAACTTCAAACTGTTTCTAGGGACCTTTTAAAATACCTCATTTACTACTGTGTGATAATATTCAGAAAATGTTGGGCTAAATTTCTGCCCTCAAGCCCCTCATAAAATAGTTCACAGAGTTAACTGTTAGCAGTCTTACTAGGCTATTCCAGAGTTTTATGTAGTCTGTCCTTCAGATGTGCTTTATCTCTTATCTAGTATTCCTACTATATCATTCCACCAGAATTAAGGTACTGGCTTTTAGTTCTGAAATAACCCAAAACATGACCAATTTTCATGTCTTTTTTTTATATGTAGGTCTTTGCATTTCTAAGCCATATGTGATCTCCTTATTGGAGCAAGGGAGAGAGCCTTGGGAGATGACGAGTGAGATGACAAGAAGCCCATTCTCAGGTGAGTGTGGAAGAACCAGAGAGGGGAATCTTTTTGACATAATGGCTCAGCCATTTTTAGAGGTGATACCTTCTCACTTATGCATCTCAGAAACTCTTCATAAGCCTTACAGGCCTGGAGAGAAAACTGAAACTTTATGCTTCACATGGGCCCCTCAAATATCTTCTCTTCCACTTGACTGTCTTCTCTCTAAGAACTAATATTCTGTAGAGATTAGAGAATCTTAAATCTCTAAGATTTTTGTTTTGCAAAAATCATTATCCAGCTCCTTACCATCCCGTCTTTCGCTTTGCCATACAGACTTATATAAACTTCTATGTTTCTTAAATCTTTTCTTAACTCTTGAATTAGGTACTGCTTACAAATTATAATGTACCCTGCTGCTCTTTCATTCCTTTCCTGTAGCAGATAGGAAAAATCTAAACCCTGTTAGCCTCTTCCTGATCAGCTCCTTCCTACTTCTATAACCTCATTCTTTATTACTTTTTAGCTTTTTCATTATACTTTAGTCCAGAGTTTGCTAAATTATGTGAGATACCCAGGGTATGTTTCAAGTGAGTTACAGGTATACCAAGCTACTGAGTCTCTCAAGAGCCTTGGGAGACTAGATGGCTCCAGAGGTAATTCCAAATCTGATTGCCTCTGAGTCACAGGCAGTATCATTCTTTTGCCTGCTCCACCTGTGTTTTACAAATGTCATATTAGGGTCAACTTTTCTGAACTCACCAAGCTTTTTACTGACTCAGGCATATGCACTTCCTGTTTCCTCTACCCAGAGTGTTCCTCTCCTGGGGTCTGTCTATCCTGAATATCAAATCAGAGCTAAAAAATCATCTCATCAGAGGCCTTCCCTAACCACCTTATGTGATGAACATTTCCCCATCCCAACCCAATAACTGTCCACCAAGCCACTGTTTATTTTCTTTCTAACACTCAGGAAAGCCTACAATTAACTTGCTTATGTTTAATGCTTATATTCTGCCTCTCCCACTGAAATTAAAGTTCCAAAAGAAAAGGGCATATCAATATATGCCCTTACAATTATGGCTTAAAGCATTCTCCTTTCCCTTCTGTAACAGTGTTTGATCTTTTGGAATAATTTGGATCCTAAATTTCCCGTGTCCTCCAAATACAATAGTCCCCCTATTCAAGGTTTTGCCTTCTGCAGTTTGTTACCCACAGTCCACCACTGTCCAAAAATATTAAATGGAAAATTCCAGAAGTAAACAATTTATATGTTTTAAATTGTGCACCATTCTGAGTTGTATGACGAAGTCTTGCACCTTTCTGTTCTGTCCTGCCCAGATCATGAATCATCCCTTTGTCTAGCACATCCATGCTGTATGCCCTACCTGCCTTTTAGTCTCTTAGTCTCGTCTAGCTTTTCAGATCTGTTGTGTGTAGTGAATATAGGGTTCAGTATCATTCCGGGTTTCTGGCGTCCACTGGGTCTTGAAATGTGTCCACTGTGGATAAGGAGGGATGACTATACCCACACATCAGAAGGGAAATAGACCCTGCTTGGATGTACTTTATACTTTGGTTTTGTATGAAGATGCCATCTGCCTCAAATAGAGAAACAGAAAAGAACTTTCCTGATAATTGGCCCTGTGAAGAACAAGTGGAAGAAGGGAAAAGGGGAAAAGGAAGAAGCTATAAGTCTGGTGGGATGCTGAGTCAATGTGTAGATATAAGTATTATTGTATGCATAAGATATCTTAGTGTCTGTTAAAAAAGGCCAGGAAATGAGGAACAACCATGGCTCTCTGTAGGAAATTGGAGTTGAAGACAATCTTCATGTGACAAAAAAGTAAAATGTGAGAAAACAGTAGATGATGGACTCAGCATTCTGTGTCTTTTTCTAGTATTGTTCTCTTCAGTCTGTCTACGTAGGAAAAATTATAGGTGATTAGTTCATTAACCCCACATTGCCTCAATTCTTGAAGCATGGGTGCCCTGGTCTGAATGTTTGTGTGCCCCTGAAATTCATGTTGAAATCATCTTCTCTAGAGTGCTGGTGGTAGGTGGGGACCTTGGGAGGTGATTAGGTCATGAGGGCTCATGAGTGGGATTATTACCTTTATAAAAGGCCCAAAGGAGCTTCCTTGCCCCTTCCACTGTGTGAGGAAACAGGAAGAAGGCACCATCTGTGAGAAAGCCAGCCCATGCCATGGGCCTTGATCTTGGATTTCCCAGTCTGCAGATCTGTGAGAAATAAATTAGCCATGGCCGGCTAATTTTTTATAAGTGTATTAGTCTGTTTAGTTATAAGTGTTGTTTGTAAGTGTATTAGTCTGTTCTCAAGCTGCTAATAAAGACATACCTGAGACTGGGTAGTTTATAAAGGAAAGAGGTTTAATTGACTTTTAGTGCCACATGGCTGGGGAGCCCTGACAGTCATGGCAGAAAGCAAAGGAGGAGCAAAGTCACTTCTTACATGGTGGCAGTCAGGAGAGAGCTTGTGCAGGGGGACTCCCATTTACAAAACCATCAGATCTCGTGAGACTTATTCACTGCCAGTGAACAGTATGGGGGAAACTGCCCCCATGATTGAATTATCTCCACCTGGCCCCACCCTTGACATGTGGGTATTACTACAATTCAAGATGAGATTTGTGTGGGGACACAGCCAAACCACATCAATAAGCTACCCACTATGTGGTACAGTCATGGGCCACATAAACAATGTATCTATCCATTATGGACTGCATATAAGACAGTCACACAAGATTATGATGGAACTGCCCTATACAGGTATAACTTTAAAAAAATCTCTTCTGGCTAGGCGTGGTGGCTCATGCCCATAATCCCAGCACTTTGGGAGGCCGAGGCAGGCAGATCACGAGGTCAGGAGATTGAGACCATCCTGGCTAACATGGTGAAACCCCGTCTCTGTTAAAAATACAAAAAAATTAGCTGGGCATGGTGGCATGTGCCTGTAGTCCCAGCTACTCGAGAGGCTGAGGCAGGAGAATGGCATGAACCCGGGAGGCAGAACTTGCAGTGAGCCGAGATTGCGCCACTGCACTCCAGCCCGGGCAACAGAGCAAGACTCTGTCTCAAAAAAAAAAAAAAAAAAAAACTCTTCTATTGCTGGGCATGGTAGCTCACACCTATAATCGCAGCACTTTGAGAGGCTGAGGTGGGAGGATTGGTTCAGCAGGAGTTCCAGACCAGCCTGGGCAACAGCAAGACCTCATCCCTACTAAAAATAAAAAATTAGCTGGGCATGGTGGCATGCACTTGGTACTCCCAGCTACTCAGGAAGCTAAGGCAGAAGGATCACTTGAGCCCAGGAGTTTGAGGATGCAGTGAGCCATGATCATGCCATTGTACTCCAGCCTGATGACAGAGGGGACCCTGTCTCAAAAAATATATATAAAATGTCCTCATAGCATATTTTACTGTACCTTCTTTATGTTTGTATATGTTTAGATACAAAAATACCATTGTGCTTCAGTTGCCTATAGTATTCAGTGGTAACATGTTGTGCAGGCTTGTAGACCAGGAGCAGTAGGCCATATAGCCTAAGTGTGCAGCAGGCTACACCATCCATCAAGGTTTGTATAAGTACGCTCTGTAATTGCCCATCCGTAATGATGCATTTCTCAGAGCATTTCTCCATCATTAAGTGACACAAGACTATTTTGTTATAGCAACCCAAGTTATTCAAGACACTGGATATTCCTGATACCATGAAGACCTGGACTACAAAGCATGTTAATACCTCAAAACCTTTCTTGACTGCTCTAGTGGATTTGATCTCTCCCATCTCTGAACTTTTATAACAATTTAATCTTTATCTCACACTTGATTATGTTTTGTATTATCTTCTCAAAACTTTTTTTGTTGGTCTTGTCTTCCTAAATTACTTTCTAAACTTTTCAAGAACAATTCCTTCATTACTTTGATATCACAAATGCTTAGTGCATAATGTATAATTGCTTAGGAAATATTGGATTAGTCGATGATTTGCTATGGATGACATAGAAAAGGAAAGCCCTTCCTTTGCCTTTTCTTGAAACCACCTTTTCCCTCAGGTTTTCTCTCAGTATCATCTCTTCAATACAAATTTCTTTATATTTTACTGATAACTTTGTATATATGCCCAGATTTCTTCTATCTATGGTAAGTGATGTAGCAATATATTTTTTCTTTTTTTCTTTTTTTTTTTTTGAGATGGAGTTTCATTCTTGTCACCCAGGCTGGAGTGCAATGGCACAGTCTTGGCTCACTGCAACCTATGCCTCCTGGGTTCAAGCAATTTTCCTGCTTTAGCCTCCCAGGTAGCTGGGATTACAGGCAGGTGACACCATGCCCCGCTAATTTTGTGTTTTTAGTAGAGACAGGGTTACACCACATTGGCCAGGCTGGTCTCTAACTTCTGACCTCAGGTGACATGCCCGCCTTGGCCTCCCAAAGTGCTGGGATTACAGGCATGAGCCATTGCACCTGGCCGATGTTGCAATAATTTTTAAAGCACATTTATTCCTTCTGTAAACTTATATTCTAGGTCAGGAGTTAAGAAAGTTACTCGTGGTAGTAAATAAGAATGTGATTAATAGTAGTTATATCAACCTACATATCATTATAAAATTCATTTCTTCAAAAGGGGAAATGGTAAAACCCTGTTAAGCAGTGGCTTAAGGTGCTGGGTGCAGTGGCTCACACCTGTAATCCTAGCTACTCAAGAGAAGGTGGGAAGATTGCTTAAGCCCAGGAGTTAGTGAGCCATGATCATGCCACTGCACTCCAGCCCGGACAACTGAGTGAAACCCTCTTTTTTTTTTTTTTTTATAAAAAGGTGGTCTAAGAGGTGATAATTTTACCAGGCTGTTGAAAGTAAGATGAAAGGGAAAATCTCTTAATATGCAGATTAAAGTTCAGGGAACTCTGAGAATTGGAGAGTTTGCTGTATTGAAACATGTAGATGATTTCATAGGAACACCATTTTCACATTATGAAAAGATAACCATAGGATTTCACCTAAATCCTAAGATAATCACAAGCCATAGGGTATATGGTTACTGGAGATCTCCAGAGACTTTTCAGCAGCAGTAGTGATACGATATTGGTATTTAAACAAAGTTAACATAACTGTATATGAAAACCAATTACAAGTGGAAGAGAGTAGATGAAGAGAGCTTAATTTATAGTCTGTTAGGTCAATACAGGCATGAAATATTACCATTGCAGACTACTTCTCTAGGATTTCATCCTACATTGAGGTTTTTGTTTTTGTTTTTTGTTTTTGTTTTTGTTTTGAGACAGGGTCTTGCTCTGTTGCCTAAGCTGGAGTGCAGTAGGGCAATCATGGCTCACTGCAGTCTCAACCTCCTGGGCTCAAGTGATCCTCTGACCTCAGCCTCCTGAGTAACTGGGAATATAGGCATGTACCACCATGCTTGACTAATTTTTGTGTTTTTTGCAGAGATGGTGTTTTGCCATGTTGCCCAGGCTGGTCTTGAACTCCTGGGCTCAAGCAATCCACCTCAGCCTCCTAAAGTGCTGGGATTATAGGCCTAAACCACTACACCTAGCCCATTTCGCTTTCTTAGTCACCTCTCCCATGTTCCTTCATGAGCTGTCTTTCTTGGGGTCTCCCTGAATGTTTTCCAGTTGACATGCCTGTACATAACAGGTTTTGTGAGATTTATTAAATATTTTTAAATTACCTTTTTCACAATGTCTCCTTTGTTGTAGCCCATGATAAAGGGAACATTCACTTTTTTTTAATATCTTTCAGATTGGGAATCTATATATGTGACACAGGAATTACCTCTGAAGCAGTTCATGTATGATGATGCATGCATGGAGGGAATTACTAGCTATGGACTTGAGTGTTCCACTTTTGAAGAAAATTGGAAATGGGAAGACCTTTTTGAGAAGCAGATGGGAAGTCATGAGATGTTTAGCAAGAAAGAAATAATCACTCATAAAGAAACCATCACTAAGGAAACAGAATTCAAATATACTAAATTTGGGAAATGTATCCATCTGGAAAACATAGAAGAGAGTATTTATAATCACACATCAGATAAAAAAAGCTTCTCCAAAAATTCTATGGTAATAAAACACAAGAAAGTCTATGTAGGAAAGAAGCTTTTTAAATGTAATGAATGTGACAAAACCTTCACCCATAGCTCATCCCTTACTGTTCATTTTAGAATTCATACTGGTGAAAAACCATATGCATGTGAGGAATGTGGAAAAGCCTTCAAGCAAAGGCAACACCTTGCTCAACATCACAGAACACATACTGGAGAGAAACTCTTTGAATGTAAAGAATGTAGGAAAGCCTTCAAACAAAGTGAACACCTTATTCAGCATCAAAGAATTCATACTGGAGAAAAACCATATAAATGTAAGGAATGCAGAAAAGCCTTCAGACAGCCTGCACACCTTGCTCAGCATCAGAGAATTCATACTGGAGAGAAACCCTATGAATGTAAAGAATGTGGCAAAGCCTTCAGTGATGGCTCGTCTTTTGCTCGACATCAGAGATGTCACACTGGCAAAAGACCCTATGAATGTATTGAGTGTGGGAAGGCTTTTAGGTATAACACATCTTTTATTCGTCACTGGAGGAGTTATCATACTGGAGAGAAGCCTTTTAATTGCATTGATTGTGGGAAAGCCTTCAGTGTTCACATAGGACTTATTCTGCATAGGAGAATTCATACAGGAGAGAAACCTTACAAATGTGGTGTGTGTGGAAAAACCTTCAGCTCGGGTTCATCCCGTACTGTACATCAGAGAATTCATACAGGAGAGAAACCTTATGAATGTGATATATGTGGGAAAGATTTTAGCCATCATGCATCACTCACTCAGCATCAAAGAGTACATTCTGGAGAGAAACCGTATGAATGCAAGGAATGTGGGAAAGCCTTTAGGCAGAATGTACACCTTGTTAGTCATTTGAGAATTCATACTGGTGAAAAACCCTATGAATGTAAAGAATGTGGAAAAGCTTTTAGAATCAGTTCACAGCTGGCTACTCATCAGAGAATTCATACTGGAGAGAAGCCTTATGAATGTATTGAATGTGGAAATGCTTTCAAACAGAGATCACACCTTGCCCAACATCAGAAAACTCATACAGGAGAGAAACCTTATGAGTGTAATGAATGCGGGAAAGCCTTCAGCCAAACTTCCAATCTTACTCAACATCAAAGAATTCATACTGGAGAGAAACCCTATAAATGTACTGAATGTGGAAAGGCTTTTAGTGATAGCTCATCCTGTGCTCAGCATCAAAGACTCCACACTGGCCAAAGGCCCTATCAGTGTTTTGAATGTGGGAAGGCGTTCAGAAGAAAGTTATCCTTAATTTGTCATCAAAGAAGTCATACTGGAGAAGAACCTTAAGAATGTAGTGCATGTGGCCAAGCCTTTAGTTATCACCAATCCCCTACTGTTAATCAGAGATGTCCCACTGGATAAAAAACATATAAATGTAAGAAATGTAGAAAAACCTTCAGCCAGGAGGCTGGCAAGATGGCCGAATAGGAACAGCTCTGATCTGCAGTTCCCAGTGAGATCAACGCAGAAGGTGGGTGCTTTCTGTATTTCCAGCTGAGGTACCTGGCTCATCTCATTGGGACTGGTTAGACAGTGGGTGCAGCCCACGGAGGGTGAGCTGAAGCAGGGTGGGGCGTAACCTCACCTGGGAAGTGCAAGGAGTCGGGGATCTCCCTCCCCTAGCCAAGGGAAGCCATGAGGGACTGTGCCATGAGGAATGGTGCACTCCGGCACAGATACTACGCTTTTCCCATGGTCTTCGCAACCCACAGACCAGGAGATCCCCCTTGGGTGCCTATGCCACCAAGGCCCTGGGTTTCAAGCACAAAACTGGGCGGCCATTCGGGCAGACACCGAGCTAGCTGTAGGAGTTTTTTTGATAGCCCAGTGGCACCTGGAATGCCAGTGAAACAGAACCGCTTACTCCCTTGTTAAGGGGGCTGAAGCCGGGGAGCCAAGTGGTTCCCATGCCCACTGAGCCCAGCAAGCTAAGATCCACTGGCTTGGAATTCTCCCTGCCAGCACAGCAGTCTGAAGTCAACCTGGGATGATCAAGCTTGGTGGGGGGAGGGGCGCCAACCATTACCAAAGCTTGAATAGGTGGTTTTCCCCTCACAGCGTAAACAAAGCCATGGGGAAGTTCCAGCTGAGCAGAGCCCTCCACAGCTCAGCAAAGCCTCTGTAGCCAGACTGCCTCTCTAGATTCCTCCTCTCTGGGCAGCGCATCTTTGAAAAAAGTGCAGATAAAACCCTCATCTCCCTGGGACAAAGCACGTGGGGGAAAGGGGTGGCTGTGGGCACAGCTTCAGCAGACTTAAACATTCCTGCCTGCCAGCTCTGAAGAGAGCAGCAGTTCTTCCAGCACAGCGCTTGAGCTCTGCTAAGGGACAGACTGCCTCCTCAAGTGGGTCCCTGACCCCCATGCCTCCTGACGGGGAGACACCTCCCAGCAGGGGTCCACAGACACCTCATACAGGAGAGCTCTGGCTGGCATCTGGTGGGTGCCCCTCTGGGACAAAGCTTCCAGAGGAAGGAACAGGCAGCAATCTTTGCTGTTCTGCAGCCTCCACCGGTGATACCCAGGCAGATATGGTCTGGAGTGGACCTCCAGCAAACTCCAGCAGACCTGCAGCCGAGGGGCCTCACTGTTAGAAGGAAAACTAACAGGAATATAATCAACATCAACAAAGGACATCCACACAGAAACCCCATCTGAAGGTTACCAGCATCAAAGACCAAAGGTAGATAAATTCACGAAGATGAGGAGAAACCAGTGCAAAAAGCCTGAAAATTCCAAAAACCAGAATGCCTCTTCTCCTCCAAAGGATCACAACTCCTTGCCGGCAAGGGAACAAAACTGGATAGAGAATGAGTTTGACAAATTGACAGAAGTAGGCTTCAGAAGGTGGGAAATAACAAACTCCTCTGAGCTAAAGGAGCATGTTCTAACCCAATGCAAGGAAGCTAAGAACCTTGAAAAAAGGTTAGAGGAATTGCTAACTAGAATAACCAGTTTAGAGAAGAACATAAATGACCTGATGGAGCTGAAAAACACAGCATGAGAACTTCGTGAAGCATACAGAAGAAAAACCTTCAGCCAGATTGAATGCTTTACAGGGAAGAATTCATACTGCAGAGCGGTCTTAACAATGTAAAGAATGTGCAAATGTCCTCAGACAAGATGCACACCTTGCTCATTAGTGAGTTCATTTCAGGCAGCCAGCTCTTCCTCACCCACTACATCACCAAGTCCTGTGGATATATCTGCTAAATATTTTTGGAATTTATCCACTTCTTTTGGTTCCCCAGTCCAAAACACAGTCATTTCACCTGGACTATTTCAATCATTACACAGGTGTCCAACCTTTTGTCTTCCCTGGGCCACATTGGAAGAAGAAAAATTGTCTTGTGCCACACATACAATACACTAACATTAACAATAGCTGATGAGCTAAGAAAAAAAAAAAGTCTGTGCATAGTTTTAGTGATACACCACCTCCGATAAGCAAAAAAGTCCTCACATTCAATGGGTTGCATACCCATGAATTCTAAAACTTCATCCTCTTTTGTCCCTTTCGAGTTAACATTACAGCCACAGTGACCTTTCAAAAATGCAAATTAAGTTACTCTTAAAACTCTAGTTAAAATACTTGATGTACATAAAGTGCTTAGCAAAATGACCAACTCATACTAAGTGCTTAGTAAATGTTAGATAAGTATTCTCCAGAATTGATGTAAATTATTTTTAAACAGTGCATTCTTGAAAGCAGTATGGCAGTCATAAAAATTTTGGAACCAAAACAGTATCTTTTTTTAAGCTAAAAAAAAAGTTTTAAATGGTGTCTTTCTATGTTGCCCAGGGTGGTCTCAAACTCCTGTGCTCAAGTGACCCTCCCACCTCATTCTCAAGTGGCTGCAATTACAGGCAACCAGCCTGACTTAAAACAGTATCTTAAGGTAGATGGTGATTAGCACATGTAGTATGCTTAACATTTAATATTATAATAAGACATCACAGCGGCTGTCTCATGATTAAGGCTGTGTTCCCTTGTTGGTGAGGAAATTAATTATGACTTGATAAATAGAACATGTTTTAAGAAGTGGCTATATAGCTCTGGATAAAACGAACAAAAGAATTAGAATTCCTGCGGGGAATATATACAAGACTTTATTTAGTCAAGTAAAAAAAAATCACTAATGTTTAACTGAAGAAAGAGAAATTGAATAATATAGTTCTATTTCAACATGTGGGTTCACAGATTTATTCTAACCTTCCAAGTAAAGTTGTTCCACTAGTAAAGTTGTTCTGGAGTATATTTTTTTTAAAAAAAACACTTAAAATGTTCCACTTCTTTCATGAGGCTAAGTCAACTCTGATATCAAACCAAGGGGAAAGAAATGAAATTATAGGTGAGTTTACTTAGTTATATACAAAAGGAAATTATTAGCCTCTGCTGATGGAGAACAGAGGCTGTGAATAAATGGAGATCCATAACATGATCCTACATGAATGTTTCAATATTGTAATCCTGTAAGTTACTTTTACATTGACAGTTCTGAAATTCATGTTGAGTGTTAATTAGGCAGGAATCAGAAGGGAGGTTTTGTAGAAGGTCGTATCCATGGGTTTTTTATATTTGAAAAGTGTTTTCGATGTATCATTGGGGGAGATTAAATGTCTTTGACAGTTGTCCAACTAGAAATAAAGTCAGCATCCCATTTGACTCCTTACACAGAAGTTCATTCTATACTCATTACAGATGTAAGAGGTTAAGATGGTAGAGGAGAATGTAGAGTATTTCTGTGCCTTTAGGTTCAGGAGGTCTTTGATAAGCAGGACAAGGTCCAGAAGCCATGAAGAGAGAATGACAGGACTGTGTAGAAGATTTAAACCTTTTTCATGGCGTAAGATACTGTATGCAAAGTTAAAAGGCATATGACAGGCTGAGAGATATCTTAAACATACATTAGAAAGGATATAGCCCTTGAAAAAGGGCTGTTGGAAAGCAGCAAGGATAAGGTGCACAGTCTTGCAGAGCATGTCAACAAAATTTATTGGATGAAGAAATTAAAATGGTTAAATAGAAGAAGTTCTCAACCTCACTAATGATCAGATAAGTGCAGATTGTAAAAGTCCTCATCCCCACCAACACAAACCAGCAGAAATTTTATGTGAATGTGAAGTTTGGATAATATCCAGTATTGTCGCAGGTGTGAGAAACCGTATTTTCAAATATTGAGAGGGTAAATTAGAGGAAAGCCATTTTAGAGGGCAATGTGGTGTTACCTGTCAGCATTTTGAATATAATTACCCTTTGCCACAATTCTACACCTAGTCAGTTATGTTCTCAAAAAGCACAAGTGCAGAAATATAGATGCATAAGCAAATGTGTTGCAGAATTGTGAAAAATTTGGAAAAAATGTTTAGTGCTATTAAAGTTATGGGTTACTTAAGTTACAGAAAATCAGTTTAGTAGATCACTGTGTAGTTACGGAAAATGAGATGGATCTCTACTCAAAGATGTCTTGCAGTTTATGAACTGAGATGTAACTTCATGACTAACATGATGACATCGTTATTAACTACATAAACTTTATAAAGCTTAAAAAATGCATTCATAGTATCTTATTTGTTGTTTTTGTTTACAATACAAATAGAAACCATGCACACAGATACAAGAACTCCTTCCCTGTTGTTTGTTTTTGTTTTGTTTTGTTTTTGGTAGCGGGCGGGGTGAGCTGCTCTCATGTTATTCCATGAGTTTTTTTATGTGTTGCTTGTTGTGCATGGTTCATTTTTTGTTTTTATTTTTTGAGACGGAGTCTCGCTCTGTCACCAGGCTGGAGTGCAGTGGTGCGATCTCGGCTCACTGCAACCTCCACCTCCCGGGTTCAAGCGATTCTCCTGCCTCACCCTCCTGAGTAGCTGGGACTACAGGATAGTCTCGATCTCTTGACTCATGATCTGCCCACCTTGGCCTCCCAAAGTGCTGGGATTACAGGCATAAGCCACCGCTTCCAGCCTGTATATGGTTCATTTAAATCAAATGAGATACTCCTTGAGACATGGGGGAAGTTGAATGTGAGTTATCCTTTGGCCAAGACTTAAAGATGGTATATGAGTTTGTCTGCTGTGCTCCCTAGACCTGACCCGATTCATGCTTCTGCCAGGTTGTAAACCTGTTTTGTCCTGCTGAATTGGCAGAGCAGTCCCAAAAGAACTGTAACTAAGGTATGCACATACTGAAGAAAGGGATATAGTATTTCTGGGAGAGCCCTAAGGAAGGTAGACTTCTGTTGCAGTCATTCTGAAGAATTATGGGTGGTGATTCTTGCACAAGCCCAGCTCATACATCTAGGCTAGATGATGCTTAGATATCTTTATCAGTGCCTGGGGATGTTTTAAGGCCTCTGGTTGGGTTTAAGCCTGCTGGGAGAAACCTCGGCTAAAAACAGTTGAAAAGCTTTTCCTGATCCTGTGCTTGAGAGCAGCATTTTACCTCTAGGGAGTGCTTTACTTGCCATCCATAGGATGCTAGGCACATTTCAAAGAAGGACTGTTTTAGGAAAGTGGTTTCTTATCTCTTAAATGTATTGAGGCTCATTTTATGGCCTATCATATGGTCTATCTTGGAGAAAGTCCCATGCGCTGTTGAATACAATGTGTATTCTGTGGTTGTTGGATGAAATGTTCTGTATATATCTGTTAAGTCCATTTGTTCCAAGGTATAGTTTAATTCCATTGTTTCTTTGTTGACTTTCTTTTTTTAAAAGTTTGAGATGGAGTTTCACTCTTGTCACCCAAGCTGGAGTACAATGGCATGATCTCAGCTCACTGCAACCTCTGCCTCCCAGGTTCAAGTGATTCTTCTGCCTCACCCTCCCGAATAGCTGGGATTACAGGTGCCTGCCACCACACCCAGCTAATTTTTGTACTTTTATTAGAGACAGGGTTTCACCATGTTGGCCAGGCTGGTCTTGAACTCCTCACCTCAGGTGATCTGCCTGCCTCAGCCTACCCAAGTGCTAGGATTACAGGCATGAGCCACTGTGCCAGACCTCTTTGTTGGCTTTCTGTCTTGATGACCTATCTAGTACTGTCAATGGAGTATTGAAGTCCCCCACTATTATTGTGTTGATCTCTATCTCATTTCTTAGGTCTATTGGTAATTGTTTTGCAAATTTGGGAGCTCCAGTGTTAGGTGCATATATGTTTAGGATTGTGATATTTTCCTGCTGGACAAGGCCTTTTACCATTATATAATATCCCTCTGTCTCTTTTAACTGCTGTTGCTTTAAAATTTGGTTTGTCTGATATAAGAGTAGTTACCCCTGCTTCTTTTTGGTGTCCATTTGCATGAAATGCCTTTTTCCACCCTTTAAGTTTATGTGAAGTCCTTATGGGTTAGGTGAGTGTCATAAAGGCAGCAGATAGCTGGTTAGTGAGTTCTTATCCATTCTACAGTTCTGTGTCTTTTAAGTGGAGCATTTAAGCCATTTACATTCAATGTTAGTATTGAGATGTGAGGTACCAGTGCATTCATCATGCTCTTTGTTGCCTGTGTACCTTGGTTTTTTTTTTTTTGGCTTTTTAACTTTTTTTTTTTGTATTATAGGTCCTGTGTGATTTATGCTTTAAAGAGGTTCTGTTTTGATATGTTTCCAGGATTTGTTTCAAGATTTAGAGCTCCTTTTAGCAGTTCTTATAGTGGTGCCTTGGTAGTGGTGAATTCTCTCAGCATTTGTTTGTCTGCAAAAGACTGTATCTTTCCTTCATATATAATGCTTAGTTTCACTAGATACAAAATTCTTGGGTGATAATTGTTTTGTTTGAGGAGGCTGAAGATAGGGACTCAATCCCTTCTAGCTTGTAGGGTTTCTGCTGAGAAATCTGCTGTTAATCTGATAGGTTTTCCTTTATAGGTTGCTTGTTGGCTTCTGTATCACAGATCTTAACATTATTTCCTTTGTCTTAACTTTAGATAACCTGATGACAATGTGCCTAGTGATGATCTTTTTGCAGTTAATTTCCCAGGTATTCTTTGTGCTTCTTGTATTTGGATGTCTAGATCTTTAGCAAGGCTAGGGATGTTTTCCTTGATTATTTCCCCAAATATATTTTCCAAACTTTTAGATTTCTTTTCTTCCTCAGAAACACTGATTATTCTTGGGTTTGGTCATGTAACATAATCCCTGACTGCTTGGAGGCTTTGTTCATATTTTCTTATTCCTTTTTCTGTCTTTGTTGGATTGGGTTAATTTAAGACCTTGTCTTCAAGCTCTGAATTTCTTCTACTTGTTCAATTCTACTGCTGAGACTTTCCAGAGCATTTTGCATTTCTATAAGTGTCCAATGTTTCTTGCATTTTTAATTTTTTTTCTTTATGCTATCTATTTCCTTGAATATTTTTCCCCTCAATTCTTGTATCACTTTTTGGATTTCCTTGCATTGGGCTTCACCTTTCTCTGGTGCCTCCCTGATTAGCTTAATAACTAACCTTTTTCAGGTAAATCAGGGATTTCTTCTTGGTTTGGATCCATTGCTGGTGAACTAGTGTGATTTTGGGGGGTGTTAAAGAGCCTTGTTTTGTCATATTACCAGAGTTGGTTTTCTGATTCCTTCTCATTTGGATATGCTTTGTCATAGGGAAGGTCTAGGGCTGAAGGCTGTTGTTCAGATTCTTTTCTACCATTCTTTTTCTATTCCCTTGACGTAGTACTCTCCCCACTTTTCCTATGGATGTGGCTTCATGTGAGCCAAACTGCAGTGACTGTTGTCTCTCTTCTGGGTCTAGCCACCCAGCAAGTCTGCCTGGCTCTGGGCTGGTACTGGCCATTGTCTGCACAGAGTCCTGTGATGTGAACCACCTATGGGTCGCTCAGCCATCGATATCAACACCTGTTCTGGTGGAGGTGGCAGTGGTATAAAATGGACTCTGTGACAGTTCTTAGCTTTGGTTGTTTAATGCTCTATTTTTGTGCTGGTTTGCCTCCTGCTGGGAGGTGGCACTTTCCAAAGAGCACCAGCTGTGGCAGTTTGGAGAGGAACCATTGGTGGGTGGGGCTGTAGAACTCCCAAGATTATAAGCCCTTTGTCTTCAGCTACCAGGGTGGGCAGGGAAGGAACATCAGGTGGGGGCAGGTCTAGGTATGTCTGAGCTCACACTCTCCTTGGGCAGGTCTTGCTATGGCTGCTGTGGGGGATGTGGGTGAGGTTCCCAGATGAATGGAGTTGGGTACCTAAGAGCATTATGGCTGCCTCTGCTGAGTCATGCTGGTTGTCAGGGCAGTGGGGGAAAGCTGGCAGTGACAGGCCTCACCCAGCTCCCACACAAACGAAAGAACCGGTCTCACTCCTACTGTGACCCCCCAACAGAACTGAGTCTGTTTCCAGCCAGTGGATGAACCAGGCTTGAGAACTTGCCCCAGGCTACGAGCCTCCAAACTGCAAAAGAAAAGGGCTTCGTTCTTTCCTGCCTGCAGAGTCTGCACACCTGATCTGTGCCCTGCCTCAAGTTCTGACCAGGAGGCTTCTCACCCAGTTCAAAGTGTCACAAAGTGCAGCTGGAGATTTCCTTCTCCCTTTGGTGTTTTCCCCCTCTCACCTGAGTGCCCTCCCAGTGGATCCCTGTGGTGCCAGGCAGGAATGGCCTGCCTGGGGTCCAGCAAGCTCCCAGGGTCTTTCCCGCTGCTTCCTCTATCCCTGTATTTTGCTCAGCTCTCTAAATTGACTCAGCTCCAGGAAATGTCAGAAACTTCTCCCACAAACAGACCTTCAGTTTCTCCAGTTGGGGTGGGGTATGTTTGGAAGAGGAGGATCTCTCTTTCCCATTTCCGAAGTTGGGGCACTCACAGTATTTGGGGTGTCTCCTGCCTCCTTCAGAGGGTCTGTGGGTACTCTTGGGATTTCTGGTTTGTTCTTGCAGTTGATCTGGAGCTAAAATTCATAATCGGAAATGGTATTGTATTTTGAATTTTAGTTACTGCCTGTTCATTGCTCTGAAGCAGTGTTTTTCTCCCCCCAACTTTTTTTCCTTTGTGCTTCAGATTGGATAATTGCCATCAATCTCTCTTCAAGTTCACTTAGTCTTACTTCTTTTGTTTCCATTCTGCTTTTAAGCCCAGTGAATTTTTTATTTCACATGCTGTGTATCTCAGTTTGATGAAGGCCAATTTATCACTCTACTGCTTTTAAAGTAGGCTCACAAAATCTAACCTAAGTGAGGTTTCACCTCTTGGTCTGAGGCTTTTTTTTTCCATTTTCCAATTAATAATAAGTTATGAGTAAATATTATTTATAATAAAAGACAAAGTCTATGCCACTGCTTTCCATTTTCAGGACTACCTATGGAAACCTTTGCTTTCCAGTCTGATGTTGACAGACCATTTTAACCAAAGCTGAATGAAAGTATTTGGGGTTTATAATAATTTTATTCCATCTTCTTATCCAAGTAAGGAAGCTCTCCACCATTCCTAGTTTGCTAAGGCTTTTTCTTTTTAAAATCACAGGTGTGAGCTGCATTTTATCTCAATCATCTATTGAGATGATTCCAGGAACTGTTTCATCCTTATTTATTAATAGTGGTGAATGATATTAACAGGCTCCCCACCGTGGCACTCCTGTGATAACTTCTTGGCAGTATGTACTGTTGGTTACCTGCTTGGCATCCAGTCTCCTTTTTGTCTTTTCTAACAAAACTCAACTTGTGCTCAGGTGTCTCTTCCACCCTCAGATGATTCATCGAAAGCTGACTGAATTCCCAGTGACAGGAGTAGACTGCCCTTCATCTTAGCCAGATATCACAAGGCTATTCCTGAGTGACTAAGGAAAGACTTATGTCCCATGATGTGGTAAGGCCCTATGGACATAAAACATAAAATACCTCTCCAGAGAAAAATATAGAATCAGAAATTATGATTTTATAGAAAATTCATATTTTTAATCAGTAGATTCCTTGGATAACTAAATTCATTGGACTAAGTATTATTTCCCAAATCAAATGTCATTATGTTGTACATTCTGTTTGTTAAACATCTGACACCTAAGCATATGACATCCTTTCTTTGTGCTATAAATTTTATTTTTGCCTATTGTGAGTATATATTACTCTTTATACTGAATTTTTAAAAAAATTAATAAAACAATTTATAAATATGGCAAATGTGAAGATTGGCAGTAGTTCATAAGTTGTATCAGCTTAATCTAAATGATTCAGCCGGGAGATTATTCATCTTTCTTGTTGGTTTCTGTTTTTCAAAAAGCTATAGTTTTGGGTTTATAAAAAAAGCACAGTGTAACTCCTGGTGGTTAAGATGAGATATTTTGTCAACTTCCTGCTGCAGGAGAACTTAATAATGAAATTATTCTTATAGCTCTCTAAAAATTTGGATATATTGAAATATTTTTCTTCATAATTCTTTAGTGTGCTTCTGTTGCTTCTCTGCTAAATATGAACAAGGACGCATATAGCCCCATATAATAGGAAAATAGGATATAGCAGTCATTTGAGGATAAGTGACTGCTACAATAAGATAAAAAAGGTATTGTCAACTCTGTCAATAAAGAAGATAGATTTTATTGCCTTCTCAAGTAACAGCTTCCCATGTAGGTAGGTAGCAGGTCAAGGCAAGAAGACAGCTTTGCTCCATGATGTCATCAAAGGACCTGGTTCCTTCTATGCCATTTCTCCATCAACTCAGGATGCTGTCTTTATCCACATAGGTGATGCCTCTACATTCCAGAACATGAAAGTATTCTGACATATCTTCCTTGGACATGACATATTTTTCTATGTATTGCTGGACTTTGTTTATTGTCACTTTAGGTAGGATTTTAATGTGTATGTTGTCCCTGAAGATTGGAATTCTTTCCCTACTTAAATTCTTTCCCTACTGTCCTTGTCCAGTTTTGGTATCAAGGGTGTCTAGTTTTAAATTCTCCAGTATAGTTTTATAGGATAAGGATTATTTATTGCTTTGGTATTCATGGAAAAGCCTGAGAACTTATTTAATGATTTTCCATTTCTTCTTGAGTCAGTTTTGGTACTTATAATTTTCTCTATGGTAAGCCCCTGCATATGTTTTAAATATATTGAGATAAGGTGATCACAGTATTTGCAAAATTCTAAAAATTTCTGTGATTATGTCCACTTTTTCATTTCTAATACCATTTCTTTGATTGTTTATTTCTCTTTTTTTCTGCTAAGCCATCTTTAGCATAACTTTCATCCTCATGATGCCAAGGTGGCTGTTTGCAGCGGACCCTATCCTTGTTGGACTGAACAAAGGATGACAAACATGGGAATAAAGACAAAGACAAAAGAGTATATTTGGAAGAAGAGGTCTGGGGGCTCCTTGCTTCCAGTGAACACAGGCCCTGAGCCTTTACAGCCCTTCGTATTTATTAGAGTGAATAGGGAGAAGGGGGGTGGTTGTCGGTCAGTAGCTTGATTTACAGCAGGCTTGCAAGACTGCATTCGTCAACCAATAGGCTCTAGATGTCCCATTAGATAACCTCAAGGAGCATGACACCAGGGAGTGATTGCCTTCAGCAAACCTTCTGGTGGCTGGAGCAGAAGCGACTTTGCCCACATTCTGCATTCATGATAAACAGTTTGCTGTTTGATCATATAGCCTCCAGTGGAATGTTGAGTTGGCCACGATCCCTTTGCCAGCTCTCTACAGCTGTTCTACCTGTTGACATCCTGTGTCATACCCAAGCAGGAAGAAGGTTGTGTGAGATGACAAAAGGCCAGAGTTACATGCCAGCTGTGTCTCTTTCCACACATCCACCAAACCCCCAGCAAATGTGTACTTAAAATTCATTGGTTACAGAGCCACTACTCCTTACAAGGAGACTGGGGAGGTGAGTATTATAAGCTGGGCAGATGGCCACTTGAAGAGCATCAATGTTCTGCTGTGGAAGGAGTGCAAAATAGACACCAGAGAGACCATTAGCAGTGTCTGCCACAGCTATTACATGGCTAGGTCCACCTGACTGAAACTAAGCCTTTTCTATGAGACTGAAGTGCTTTGAGAGAAATGCTGACCTTGTCCTTTCTGCAGCTTGCGGCTTTCAGTCACCCTTGGATTCAGAGATAGAAGTCATCTTAATTCCATCACTGAGGCCAGGAGACCTGAAAGAAATCAATTCAAGAGTAAGGAGACCAGGCGTGCAGTGTGACTGGGCGTGCAGAGGTCAGTGCATCTGTGATGACTGGTGTAACAGCATCACTGCCTGTGAGCCAGCAAGGCCCTTGGCTCCCAGGATGAAGCTCTCCAGTTCTGATAAGGCCCCTGGGGGAGAGACCGGTCCTAAACATGTTCAAGAATAAATCCATCAGCTAACTTCAGACCGTGATTCACACAGGAAGGGAACTTTAAGAGGTCGCCAGGGCTGGTATTTTTGAGACGTTAGGCAGCCCTCTCTGAGGCGATGACAAGTGAATGGCATAAAGGAGCCAGCCCAGACGAAAATTTGGGGTTAGACTATTTCGACCCAGGACGTGCAAATACATAGGTTACAAAATGGAAAATGGTATTTTGGAGGATGGGAGGCCCGTGTAGCCAGAGATAATGGGAGAAGGTGAGGGGGCACCCAAAACAATCCCACAAGCTCTCTACATCCCCCTTCCTAGCCCACACACATCACCCATCAGAGTGATCCTCCGGACTCCGGAGGCCCCCAAGATTGCCTTTCCCTTCCCGGTCGGCAGTGACGCTCCCGCAAGGAGCTGACGCCCAGGCCCTTAGCACCTGTCACAGCCAAGCACCCTTTTACTCCGGCCCTGCGGTCCCACCCCTCGCCGCAAGCCCCGCCTCACCCGGTCTGCCGCTGCGCCTGCGCGACTCCCAGAAGCCTTTGGGGGGTGGGTGTGTAGTCAGAGCGGCCTCTGCTTCCGGCCACACCCAGGCCCAGCGTTGGCCACCACTTATGCGGCGGCTGCGGTCCAGGGACAAGTGAGAGCGACCCGCAGAGGGCAGGACGGACGGGCGTTGCATAGGCCCGGGGCCAAACCGTATCTTGCAACCTGAGCTCCGAGGGCCGCCGCATCCGTCCCTGCTTGGGACTACGCTTCCCAGCGGGCATTGCGCCGAGGCCACGCCCGGTTCCGGCGGCGCTGCCTGCGCACTGGAAGTGGGAAGCGCCGGGCTTCTCTAGGCTGAGGGGCGGGGCGGGGCGGGGCGGGGCGGGGCGGGGCGGGGCGGGGCGGGGCGGGGCGGGGCGGGGCAGCGGGGAGGGGTGGGGAGGGGCGGGGCGCGGCCGGGGGCGGGGCGGCTCCGCGGCGCGGCCCAGTGGATGCCGGGCCATGGGGGAGCGCGCGCGGGGCTGTTCGCTGGGCGTGGCGGGCGGGTGTGGCCAGGGGTGTGGGTCTGTGAGGGACCGGTCGGAAGGGCGTCGCGCGGCCTCGGGTGACATGCGGGGGGCGGCGAGCGCGAGTGTCCGCGAGCCGACGCCGCTCCCGGGTAGAGGCGCCCCCCGCACAAAGCCCCGGGCGGGCCGAGGCCCGACTGTAGGGACTCCAGCCACCTTGGCCCTCCCTGCCCGGGGAAGGCCGCGCTCAAGGAATGGCCTCGCATCCAAAGGCCAGCGAGGAGCGGCCCCTACGGGGCCTGGGCACAGAGGTGAGAGTGACAGGTGTTTGGGGCCGAGCGGACAGGGACGAATTCATCTCGGGATGAGATCTGGGAGGGGGTTGGGCTCTCGGGGACCAGTTGCTGGAGAACTGTGCCCCTGGTCTTTGAAGCTGGTGGAGTGGGAGAATCTGAAGATTTGGAAGCTCAACTGATTCAGAGCAGCAAGCCGCGGTAAAAGGGTGTTGACTTTCCCAGGGTGACTCTAACTAGACGCTTTTCCTGTTTTCGTGCTCCCAGGGAGGAAAAAAACCTATCTCCACGTTGTGGCAGTCCCTAGGCAGGGTAATGATCTGATCCCACCTTTTCATGCAGGAAGGGACGTTTCTAGGCTGGTGATTTGGGACTGTGGTGTAGACCTGGTCTCTAGCTACTCCTTTCTCTTTCAGCTCTGCCTTCCAGGGACACTGCTCTTCCCCAGGAGAGAAACAAGAAGCTGGAGGCTGTGGGGACAGGAATTGAACCTAAAGCCATGTCCCAGGTGAGTTGGCATTTCATCTCTTGTCTCTGAAATGCAGTCTTGCTTTTCGGGACTTAATGTTGCTTATTTTCTTGAAAGTTTTCAGTTTAAGAGACCTGTTTGGGCGCGGGTTTCTATTTCTTCACGTTCTAGTGAAGTGATGGGCTACGGGGAAAAGTTTAAACTGCCCGGGGCCTCGATGCCTGCTTCTTCTTCATCCCAATCAGCCTTCATTCTTGATTGATGAAATGATTCAGCCTCTCCCTTGTACCGCTTTTCTCAGAGGGACTCTGATGGAGGAATTGTGCCCCTTGAGGAACACGGCAGACTCTTCTGCTATACATGGTTTGTTTGGTGACCACTTTGTGCCAGCCACTGAGCAAACCAATAGCTAAGCCCTAGTCCCTGCTCTGGAGCTCACAGCCTGTTGACCCAATGTCAAGGAAACAAGCAAGATTCTAGAATGTGATCATCCTTGGGCCAAGTATTATGAGCGAGGACTACAAGGCGCTCCTGGCTTCCAGCCTCCTGTAGCGGAAGGGTAGGCCTATTTACCAAGGAGGTGATTTTTGAGCCTTGCCTTGAAGGGAGAGAAGATGTTTGGGAGGCACAGTAAAGAAAGACAACATTTTAGGGAGAGGAGGCGCAATATGAAAGGCTTTTCCACTTGATTTTGTGGCTTTAAAACATGCCAGTAAATAGTTGTGTTTGTTTCGGTTGGCTTCTCCTATAAATATCATAGCTAGCTCATTAATAGATGAACCATTTCACTTCCACTGAGGCCTCAAAAAATATATGTACAGATGAACCAGCTTCCAGTTGTCCTACCCAAACTGCTCTTGAGTGGGTTACTGTGATCTTCACATTACCAGATGCAGTGCTCAATTCTTAGTCTTTTTTGACTATCATTGGTATTTGAAATAGCTCAGAGGCTGGCAAACTTGTGCTGGATGAGGCCACAGCAGAAAATATGTTAGGCTTTGAAAGTCCTGCTGCATCTACTCCTTTCTGCTCTTATAGAGCTAAAGTAGCCAAAGACAATATGTAAATGAATGGATGGGCTGTGTTCCAGTAAAACTTCAGTTACAAAACAGGTGGCTACCTATCCCTCAAATAGCTCATCCCTGTCCTTCAATAGGCCCCCTTTTTTCCCTTGGCTACTGGGATCTCACACTCATCTGACTTTCATCTTCCTGACTGCTCAGTTTTTGCCACAGTTCTTACCTCCGTGACTTGAACAGAGTGTGCCTCAGCACTCTGCTCATGGCCCTTTCTTTTTTTGTCTGCATGCTGTCTCCTGGGGATAGTAGCCTGTTCCTTGTCTGTACAACCTACCCACATGGTGGCTCCTCCCAGATTCACATTGTGAGCCCAAACCTCTCCTCTGAGCCGCCGGCCTGTGTATCCTGCTCCACTCCTCTGCCTGAGTGTCTGATGGGTAACTCAAGACAGCCTGTCCAGACCCGAAGTCCTGAGAGTCTCCCATAAACCAGCTCCTCCCACAGTTTGAGTCTTAGTCAGTGGCCGTTTCATCCTCTCAGTTACTCAGTCCGGAAGCCTTGTCATGATTGGCTCATTTCTTGCCTTTTCCTTCCATATTTGGTCCTGATGCAAATCCTGTCAGTTCTATTTGCAAATTATGTGCAGAATCTGGCAGTTTTCATCACATCTATCACCAGCAGCAGGTCCAAGTCCTCCTTTTACTGTGGGCTTCTTGACTGTGCTTCTGTGACCTCCTGCTTCTGCTCACGCTCCCCACAGCCCCTTCCCGATGAGCAGCCAGAGGGGTCTATTCAAACATGTCACCTTGTGTCACGCTGTGCTCAGGACCCTCCAGTGGTTTCTCTGAATAAAAGCCAAAACTCTTCCTGTTACTGACCAGGCCCTACATGACCTGGCTCCTTGTTACCCCTGACATCTACATCACTCTCTTCTTTCTGAAAAATCGCCTTCTCATTTTCCTGCTCACCCTGTCTAGAATTTCAGAGCCTCCTACCTGTTCTTCACATCCCTCTTCCCTGCTTTGCTTTTTTCTTTTAGTACTTTTCTTTTGAGACAGAGTTTTGCTCTGTCACTCAGGCTGGAGTACAGTGGCGTGATCTCGGCTCACTGCAACCTCCGCCTCCTGAGTTGAAATGATTCTCCTTCCTCAGCCTCCCGAGTAGCCACCACACCTGGCTAATTTTTTTTTTTTTTTTTTTTTTTTTTTTTTTTAGAGACAGGGTTTCACCATGTTGGCCAGGCTGGTCTCGATTTCCTGACCTCAAGTGATCCGCCCACCTCAGCCTCCCAAAGTGCTGGGATTACAGCCATGAGCCACTGTGCCTGGCCCTCGTAGTACTTTTCAACATACTATATACAGAAATCCCACGTATACCAAAATTTGCACTTATTCATCAGCCATGTGGAGCCTGCAGATATGAGAAGTCAGCCCTCAGTGGACACAGGTTTTCCATACCACAAATAATCTTTTTTGAGACAAGGTCTCACTCTGTCACCCAGGCTGGAGTGCAGTGGTGCCATCACGGCTCACTGCAGCCTTGACCTCCCCAGGCTCAAGCAGTGCTCCCATCTCAGCCTCCGAAGTAGCTGGAATTACAGGCATGTGCCACCATGCCCAGCTAATTTTTGTATTTTTTGTAGAGATGGGGTTTTGCCATGTTTCCCAGGCTGGTCTCGAACTCCTGGCCTCAGGCAACCGCCCGCCTTGGGCTACCAAATTGCTGCGATTAGAGGTGTGATTCCCCGCGCCCAGACAATAATTGTATTTTCAGTCTGCATTTGGTTGAAAAAATTTGCATATAGGTGGACCCTTGCAGCCCAGATCCATGTTGTTCGAAGGTCAAATGTATTTTACTTAATTTATCTCAGTTTCTCTTGTCTCATTTCCTTACTTCATAGGCAAGGATTTGGGGCAGTTTTGCCTAATGTCTGATACAGAAAATATTTGGTGGATGAATGTTTGAATATAGTCTTAAAGTTCTCTTGTGGCCAGTGTTTTGATATTTAGTATAGTGTTAGAATAGTCATTTTTATACCTGAAAATGTGCTTCGTCCCTGATTTTTTTATTTTGTTTTTTTGCTTTTAGAGACAGGGTCTCACTCTGTCACCTAGGCTGGAGTACAGTGGCACAGTCATAGATAATTGCAGCCTCAAACTCCGGGCCTCAAGCAATCCTCCCACCTTGGCTTCCAAAGGAGCTGGAATTGTAGGTGTGAGCCACCATGCCCAGCCCCTGATTATTTTGTATGAATACATTCCTAGAAGTTTTTCTTGCCTCATGGATTAAGGTTTCCTAAGCTTATGTGAAATCGGAATACTTCTAAAATTATTTTTGGATAGAACAGCAGTGGTGCCTCAAAAGCTAGAATTCATGTTTTGAAAAAAATGTACACTTCATCAGGAATAATAGTTATTACCAAATAAATGTTTATTTGTATGTTTTAAAAATTAACTGAATTGAATTTAAACAAATCTTTTTAGTGTATTTTTTCTATAAAGTACTTCATATTCATTCTTTTCTATGAAATTTCAACAGAAAGATTTTTCTGTAAGTATAAAGTTGCTTTTATTTTTTGTTGGTATTCTTTTAATGTCTCTATCTTTGTGTGTGTGCGTGTGTTTATATATTATATAGAATATATTATATATGTATATTTTATATATATATTAATATATGTATATTATATATATATGTATATATAATTTTTTTAAGAGATGGGAGTCTCACTGTTTTGCCCAGACTGGAGTATATTGGCTATTTTCAGGCACAGTTATGGTGTACTACAGCCTCAAACTCCTGGGCTCAAGGAATTCTCCTGCCTCAGCCTTCTGAGTGGCTGGGCCTATAGGCGTGTGCCACCATACCCAGTTCATATGTATATTAAGATGAGTTAACTTACATCAGATGCCTATATCAGGAGTAGATTCTGTGCCTGTATAATGTTTTCTCTGTGGTATAGTGTAAAAATGTGAAACCCATTTTGAAGTCTGCATATTTATGTTGCAGCAACAGGAATAAGAACAGGACCTGCACATTTGACAATGTTTTGTCTCCACCTAAATTAAGTAGGTTGATCCAGACATCAGTTAGGGAAAGTTCATTTTATTTTTATCTGAAAACATGTTTTCTACTGGAACTTGTTTCACTGTCAGGGTGAATGGATACTAAGTATTACTGCTATTATCAAAGTGGAACCTTTTAATAGAAGTAGAATGGCAAAGTGGTCAAAGGTCATGGACTAGGTTCACATGCTAGCCCTAGCATCTAATCATTGCGTAACCTTCAGGCAACTCAAGTGACCACATTTTCTTCATCTGTAAAATGAGGAAAATAATTGGACCTGCCTCAAGCAGTTCTTGTAAGGATTAAGTTAAGATGTGTATAGTGCCTGGATTGAGGTACCTGGCACATAGTAAGGACTTACTAGTGTTAGCTGGCAGCATCCTCATGTCATCATGACGGTTTTAGAAATTTACAGGCAAGACACTTAGATGGCGTACTTCAAAAAAAGTGTTTAATATAGGACCGAACTGGGCAAATTATGGCCTATAGGCCAAATCCAGCCCACCACCACCTCCTTTTGTGTGGCCCACCAGCTACAAATGAGTTCTACATTTTTCAGTGGTTGAAAAAAATCAAAAGAAGAAGAATACATGAAAATTAAATGAAAGTCACATTTTGGTGTCCATAAAAAAAATTTCATTGTAGCACAACATACTTGTTTGTTTATGTATTATCTATGACTGCTTTTGTGCTACAGTGGCAAAATTGAAGAGTTGCGGCCAAGGCTATTTGGCCCACAAAGCCTAAAATATTTACTTTCTGGCTCTTTACAGAAAAACTTTGCTGACACCTGAAGTGGAGGTTAAGAGCATGGACTGTGGAGTCAGACTCCTGGGTTCAAAACCCAGCTCTACAGCTGACTGTCTGTGATCCTGGGCACATTACAGCTCAATATTTTCTCATCTGTAAAATGGGAATAGTAATAGTACTGACTATTAGGATCGTTGTGAGGATTAAATAAGCTAATATATAAGTATATAGAATTGCGTCTGAAGTGTTGTAAGTGCTTTCAGCTATTGTTATTGCTGTTATTTACAGTAAAAGACATTTTTAAAACAAAAGTCATTGATTCTATACATAAAGAGCTGTCCGAATAAACAGAAAATGTCTTAGGAGGATATATGTATATTGCTAACGTTGGGTCCCTCTACGTGATTACATTGAAGGCATTTAACAAACCACTGGTACAAAAGCAGATCACTAATGCATAGCATGATCAACCTGGGAAACTAGGGTTGATTCTTCTTGGCAAGCAAATAAGTTCCTCTTCTTTTATGCCAAGATGCTTCAACTTGCAAAATTATTGCTGAGAGCTGACCAGCATTTGTTTTAGACTAGCTTCCTCAGGTAGCCATATTAGTGTGTCTTTTGCTCAAGGACATTAAGCAGTTCTTGGCTGTTTCCTGCAAGTATTACCTCATGGTTTACACTGCAGGGGGCCTTTCAGTCCCCAGCTTAGGAGACTTCTCCATGATGAGTTTACCATCAAGAGTGTAGCTCTGCAGTTGACTGATTCAACTCCCTCTGCAGTTGATATTCACTCAAATTGGGATATCACTTACAAAACCCTTTTGACCTATTTTTACACAATTCAGTTACAAATGTCCTTAAAGTTTGGTAGCAGGTTAAAGAACAAGTGATTGTATATTATTCAGCAGATATCAAACCTCAAAGGGACTTTTGTTTCTAGTAGAATAATGTGAATCTTTAAAAGGTTCAGCTCTTGGTTGGTGTTGTGGTTTGTTAAGTGAGGTATTTAAATTAGGTTTTGTGTAGTCAGATGCAGCATGGTGAGGGACACTTAGAGCAGAATGGCAAAAAGATTGTTTATTACTCACAGATTCCAGAGAACAGTGGCCAGCACACCTTGCAGGGCTTACTGGAAGGGCTTGGAGACATTGAGGACACACATGCCCAGCCAAAGGGTGGGGACCAAGAGAGAGGGAGGGACCTGTGGGCTGGAGCCTTTATTGGGGTTCAGGGCATTATCTAGGTGAGTTTCCCAAGACAGGGTTGGCTTGGATACTTTGAAGGGAGCTCAAGGCTCAGTAAGGGAACTTGAAGGCTACATTATCAGGTTCACCAGGCTTCATGCAGAAGGACAGTAGTCATTTCATAGTATGGGGCCTTTTCTATCTAGAACACACAAATGGGGACTGGGTGAGGACTGCCTGAAAATATATAGGTCAAGGGTGACAAGCAGAGGCAGCATCCCTATGGATGAGAGTTATGACAGTCAGCATCATTACAAGTCATGTTCACTGCATGCTTCCATTGTGCCTTGCACGTTCTAAGTGCTGTGTATGTGTTGCCTCATTTAATCCAAAACATAATCTACAAGGTTGGTATTGTTGCCTTTTCCATTTTATAGCTGGGGAACTGAGGCACAGAGGCGTTAGGTAACCAAGTGAGGTTTCAGAGCTGGTGAGTGCTGGAATTGTAATTCAGCTTTTGGGGTAGTCCAACTGTTTCGCATGTTCATTTCAGTTTAGACTTTGAAAATCCCACAGCTGCTAGTCAGTTAAATCTGCCTTCTGTTAGCCACAGGTTCCTGGGATTAGAGTTGCAACTGAATAGATGTTTAAAATACATTGGAACGTATCAGAGTTGTAGGCTGAATTTGTAAAACTATGCTCCATAAAAATCTGCCAGCAGGAGCTGAGCAGCCCCATCTTGCCAGTTGGTCAAGAAAATCCTGCTCATGCCAAGCTGTTAGCAAATGTGCTCCTGATAGCTCCTCATAATGCCTAGCTTCTCCAAGATGGCACCTTGGTTCGTAAAGGCATTTCATTAATTAAAAACATTATAGTGCTTTTTGTTTTTCATTCTTATTACATATTCATTTTAGAAAAAAAAATTGCTAGATTTTTTTTTAATGACCTCTACTGAACACTGAGAGTAAAAATAGAAATTCTTAGAACCCAGTTTAGTCATGAATAATATTGATGCTTTGAGGTTCATCTCAAGTTTATTGCCCAGTTCTTGTGCTGCTTCAGGCCACTCACATGTCCCCATGTTGGACAGTGCTGTAGTACCTGTTGTGCATAGAACAAGTTAGTCTTTGTTATTTATAGTTTTGAATTGATGTCAGGGGTTTTTCTTGTGGCTGCCTCCTTTCACCTCCACAAAACTGCAAGTTCTCCAAAGTCAGGGGCTGTCTCCATATTTTTCTCTTTTACCTGGAGTTTAAGACAGAATGAGGCTAGCTGTACAATACCTAACTAGATCTCCACAGTTCTGAGTTTATAGTCTCTTACTCAAAATGAAGACAAGGAATCTTTAGATCCCTATATTAGTTTGTTAGGGCTGCCAGAACAAATACCACAGAATGGGTGTCTTAAACAACAGAAATTTCTTTTCTCAAGCTTCTGGAGGCTGGAAGTCCAAGATCAAGGTGCCTGCAGGTTTGGTTTCACCTGAGGCCTCTCTCCTTGGCTTGCAGACGGCCGTCTTCTCTCTGTGTCCTCACGTGGTCTTTTCCCTGTGCCTGCACACCGTGGTATCTCTTCCTGTTTTAATAAGGACACCAGACAGATTGGGTTAGGGCCCCACCCATATGACCTCATTTAACCCTAATTACCTCTTTGTAGGCCCTGTCTCTAAATACAGTCACATTCAAAAGTACTGGGGATTAGGAGTTTAATGTAGGAGTTTTGTCAGGGGACACATTTCTTTCTATAACAAACCCCCAGTCATGTGGGGGCATGAGCACTGGTTGAGCAAGAACATGGTTATATCATTTCAGGGCTTGGTGACATTTGGGGATGTGGCTGTAGATTTCTCCCAAGAGGAGTGGGAGTGGCTGAACCCCATTCAGAGGAACTTGTACAGGAAGGTGATGTTGGAGAACTACAGGAACCTGGCATCGCTGGGTAAGGGCTCCCACCCCTTTTCCCACCCCTCACCCTACCCACGTCCTGGACTAAGAAGCCTTTCATGCCTTTATCACCCAGACCTGCACTGCCCTCTTGCGTCAAGCCAAGGGGACTGCATCTCAGTCTGGACAGCCACACAGTATGACCAGGTTGTTTTTTATGTGTCTAGGACTTTGTGTTTCTAAGCCCGATGTGATCTCCTCGTTGGAACAAGGAAAAGAGCCTTGGACAGTGAAGCGAAAGATGACAAGAGCCTGGTGCCCAGGTGAGTGTGGGAGAACCAGGTAGGGTGAGGCCACTGCTGGTCATAGTTCAGCTGACTCAGACACGCAACATCTTCAGCAGACTCTTCCTAAGCCTCTTGCTTAGGAATATCTGTTATTTTTACTATTTGGGAATACAGAAATTTCAACTACAGTATTATTTCCAGAACAGCAAATTATTAAGACAAGGAATTAGAATTATAGATTTCTTTCAGAGGTTTTATCCTAACAGGAAATGGTTACAGTTTCTAAAGCATTGGGAATCTTACAAGGTTTCTTTGTTCAATTCACACTTCAAAGGAAACGCTTGCATTGACAACAGGACAAGTTACTGACAGTTATAAATTAAAGTGACTCACATGGGTCATCATATAGCATAAGAGAACAAGAATGTGTGAAAGTTTCCAATTTAACATCATATGAAATCACATACTTTGAGCTAGTTTAATGAGATAGAACTGTTTTTTCTTCCTGCAGATCATTCATCTCTTCTTGAGACTAGTTAATTGTGAAGACTTACATTTTTAAGGCCAGGATCTGGACTTTTATTAGTTAGCATCGTAATAAAAAAAAAGGAGGTATGTAGAGATAGAGATGAAATTTTTTCTAGATGAAATGGACAAGGAGTGAAAAAGAGTTGACTTAAAGCTGAAATAAGGATCATATGGCAGTTTTCTTCTATAGCCTCCACTTTCTCTTTATATTAGACATTTTATTTTACATTTAAGTCTTTGTGAGCTCCCTTATCTCTTGATTTTTAATTGCTTTTTCCAGTCTTCTGCTAAAAACATAATGTGAACTCTTATTCAACTTTTAGGTGGGAAAGGTCTTATTGTGGCCTTTAGGACTATGGCTACACAAATTTAGGAATGTAGGGTTGGTTGAATATTGCTAGTAATATAAGAAAGCTTTCAAAATGATATGCTTTTCATTTTCTTCCATAAAAATAAATGACTATATGCTTTTTTGTGGCTTTTAATTTAACGGTTGCATTTTGGAATTTTTCTTCATACTAACACATGATAAAAGATAAATTTACCTTCTTTACGTCTTTCAGACTTGAAGGCTGTGTGGAAGATCAAGGAGTTACCTCTCAAGAAGGACTTCTGCGAAGGAAAGCTATCCCAGGCAGTGATAACAGAGAGACTCACAAGCTATAATCTGGAGTACTCTCTGTTAGGGGAACACTGGGATTATGATGCTCTGTTTGAGACACAGCCGGTAAGTCACAAGACAAATTTCAGGCAAGAGGAAGGATCCTTCATGAGGAAACTCTTCTTGAGGGAAGAGACCATGACTACAACAACTATAAGAGAAGTTTTCATTTGAATACAATGCTTCTTATAGACAGATTATCCCCTCAGAACAGAGAGTGCCTAATCTCCATACACATAAGAACAGTGGAGGGGGAAATTGAGTTGTAATGAATTACAAACAAATCTGTCAAGGTCAGAAATGTTTGACTTGTGATGAATGTAAGAAAGCTTTGAGCAGAGGCCAGGCGCGGTGGCTCACGCCTGTAATCCCAGCACTTTGGGAGGCCGAGGCGGGTGGATCACAAGGTCAGGAGATCGAGACCATCCTAGCTAACATTGTGAAACCCTGTCTCTACTAAAAATACAAAAAATTAGCCGGGCGTGCTGGCGGGCGCCTGTAGTCCCAGCTACTCAGGAGGCTGAGGCAGGAGAATGGCATGAACCCGGGAGGCGGAGCTTGCAGTGAGCCGAGATCGCGCCACTGCACTCCAGCCTGGGTGACAGAGCAAGACTCCGTCTCAAAAAAAAAAAGCTTTGAGCAGAATATCAACCCCTCCTTTTCATCAAAGATTTCATACAAGAGAAAAACTCTGTGGACTTGTTGAATAATTTGTATGAATATGGGAAAGCCTTCCGTCTGTTAAAAGGTTCATACTGTGTGTAAGTTCATACTGTGTGTAAGTATGACAAACTCTCCATAGCAGAAAGTTTCTCCTATTTTTCTGTGTTTTTCCCCAAACATGTATGCTATAACTAAGCCCTGTCATTATTTGACCTGGTGTACCAGAACTTAAGTTGCAGTTCTTGGTATGGAGTGCCTTTTTTGCAGTGTGGACACAGTCCATCCCACTGAGACCAGGTGAGTTCACGAACATGGTTTGATTTAAAAAACGTGCTTTTACCATTGCAGGGCTTGGTGACTATCAAAAACCTGGCTGTTGACTTCCGCCAGCAGCTACACCCAGCTCAGAAGAATTTCTGTAAGAATGGGATATGGGAGAACAACAGTGACCTGGGATCAGCAGGTAAGGATGTCCCTCTCCCATATTTGAATCTATCGTCGGGTACCTCCATTTCCAAACTTCAGTTTTGAATTATGGAGGAGGGAGGGGGTGTCTTCTGACATGCTGGCCTGAATTTTGTGGATTCCTAAGATAAGAATTTGGCATTTGTAGAGGTGAAAGTTGGTGTCTTTGTTAGGCTTGAAGCGTTATCTTCTTGTGTCTTTCAGATCCTACTCACCTGTTTTTCTGTTTCTTTCAGCAGTAACACTTTTCTATCAACAAGGAAGTGGTTCTCAATTTTAGGATGCCAAGACTATTGGCCAAACCTCATCTCTTTTCACTTTTTCAGGACATTGTGTGGCTAAGCCAGATTTAGTCTCTTTACTAGAGCAAGAGAAGGAGCCCTGGATGGTGAAGCGAGAGCTGACAGGAAGCCTGTTCTCAGGTGAGTGCAGGAGAGCCTGGTGTGGAAAATCTACTGCAAGAGAGAGCGGAGCTTTTACCAAAAAGGCTGCATCCTCACTAATATACAGTAGGAAACTTTACCCAGGGTCTCTGGGTCTGGAAAGAAAATTGAACTCTGGGAGTTCCAAATAATTCTTTCCTCCTCCTTTGCCCCCTTCTCTCCAGTAACTGCCATTTCCCTGAAGTTCCTTCTTTTCTTGGCCACTGGGACGTGTATCATCCACTTGCTTCCTTAAATGATCTTTTCTGGACCCTGATGCACTTTTGAGCTGACTTCCAAAGGTTTTCTCTTCTGTGGTTAAATGGCCTATTGTTTTCATCATGCATCCATTCCTGTGAGAACCACAAATTGAAAGTTATGGGATTGAGCCACTCTGCTGAGTATTGGCAGGCGATTGGAAAAAGGGAGAATTACACATAAATGTAAGCCATCAGTGAATTACTCTAATGGAAAGGATAAGACATGTTTATGGATAGCTTGCATGAAGTAGAGTTTGCAGAATTTCAAATAGGGCATTATAGAGACAAAGGAGATGTTGTTCCCAGTGGTGTCTATGTTTTAGTAGGACAGGTGGGTAGAAGTTGAATTGCAAGAAGGTGGAAGTAAAGGATCTTTTCCTCTTGATGCACAAGGGAAAGAAAGGAAATTTCCATAGAAAATAATGGTTTGTAGAAAATGTAATTGTTTACTGTTTGGCAAAAGAATATAAAACCGTGACGTTATCACAACATACACCTTAGATCCATTTAAGTCAGGATAAACACACATTTTTTCACATAGTAGAAATTACAGTGTATATTCAGTTACGCATACACGTTTTTCATGTGGATTCCACGTTGTATATACCATTGCTCACTTAGGTTGCTTTACATTTCTTAGTATTAAAGATACAATTATAATAGATTTTTTTCAAGTTAAGTGAAAACTACACATTTTGGGGATTGCTGTATTCCTGGATATGAGCACCTGCTAGGCTCTGAAAGTTTTTTTGTTTTTGGTGACTAGCAACAATTAGATGTATGAGTTTAATTGCATCTTGAAAGTATTGGTTATTTACATGAAAACTTTTGCTCATTATTTGTTGAAAGATTATACACTAAAATTATTCTTTTTTTATGAAAGAAGTTGAACATTTTTTCGTAAATTTGGTTTTTCTCTTATCTTCTTGTAAAATGTCTGTCATTTGTACCCAGTTCTCTCTTGTGTGTTAAATATTTTCTTAACAGTCTCAGTGACTGCTATGTATATAAGCATACTAATTCTGTGATATATTGTCTCAAACTATTTTCACATATGGCAATAAGAGTTTTAATTTTAATTAGGTCTTTTAAAATTATGACATGTAAAAATTTTCAATTTTTATATAGTCCAGTATATTATTTCTAATGTGATTTCTCCTATTTGTGTGGCTAACAACTTGACACATATAGTTCTATTTCATTTTTAATGACTATTTAGTATTATATGAATATATATAATTTATTTAAATTATTTACTGTTGAGTATATTTAAACATTTAGGAGGTCTTCTCCAGTTTTCACCTATAATCAACAGTGGTCCAGTTTGTACATATCTTCTTGCTTACATGTCAGAATATTTCTTGAAGATATATGCTTGGAAATGAATTTGCATGGTCGAAGTATATGTATTTTTAAAGTGTCATGGATATTTTGCTGTACCGTTGGTAAAGAATATATGAGAATACTGTTTCTAGACATCATCACCAATATGGGTATTTTGTAGTTTAAAAAAAATTTTGCCAAGCTGCTAGATGAAAAATGTTTTATTTAATTTGCATTTCCCCAACTACTTACGATGTTGAGAATATGTGCTCTTAAATCTGTTTAGAGTTTGTATTCTATTCATAGTGTGTTTATACTCATTAGTCACATTTCTATTGGGTTGTATATTTTCCTGTATTTATGCAACATTGATATGAATGCTATTTTTTAATAAGTTTGATAAAATTTTTCCCCAATTTTGTGTGGTCTAGAAGTTTGCATATGGTATTTCTTACTATATAGTAGCTTAACTTGGGAATTATCTTCATTTATAGAAGCACGTACTTTGTTGATTTTTTCATTTGTTTCACTCCTATCTCTTAAAAAATGAATAGATGTATAGTCCCATTTGAATCATATAATACATTTGTTTGACCTTCTGTAACTTAATTATTTCTCTCTCCTTTATCACCTTCCTTCCTTTTCTTTCTTTCCTTCTCATTTTTCCCTTCTTTCCTTACCTTTCTCTTCTGTATTTTGCTGTGTGGCCTGTTTTTTGTTTGTTTTATTTACATATTTTTATTATAGAAGAGTACACATAAAATTTAACCATTTTGAAGTGTACAATTCAGTGACAGTATATTATGTGAGGTGATATGGTAATTAGCTTGATTGTGGCAAACATTTCACCATGTATAAGCATATCAAAACATTTTATACCTTAAATATATACAATTTTTATTTGTCAACTATGCCTCAATAAAGCTGGAAAAATATTGCCAAAAAGAGAGAAATTGCAAGGCTTCATTATAGAATGGCCAGAGAATTGAGGATGTTTTCAGGCTTGTGGAAGTAACCAGGAAAATGTGAAAATAATTGTTTTTTTTTTTTGAGTCAGATTCTGGCTCTGTTCCCCAGGCTGGAGTGCAGTGGCTTGATCATAGTTTACTGCCACATCAACCTCCTAGGCTCAAGCAATCCCCCTGCCTTTGCCTCCTGAGTAGCTGGAACTACAGGCACATACTACCATGCCTGGCTAATTTTAAAAAGTTTTTTAGAGATAGGGTCTTGCTATGTTGTGCAGGCTATGTTGTCCTGGCCTCAAGTGATCCGCCTCAAGTGATCTGCCTCAGGTGATCCACCTCAGCCTCCCAAAGCACTGGGATTACAGGTGTAAGCCACTGTGCCTGGCCCTAAATGTAATAGTTTTTAGAGCTGTAAAATGTATGTTGATGAATTCACCAATTAGTGAATTAATTCACTAGTTTTCCTTTTGGCAGATTCCTTTTTCCTAGCACACGAAAAAGGAAATATGTGTTTTCTTGGTATCTTTCAGGCCAGCGATCTGTACATGAGACCCAGGAATTATTTCCAAAGCAAGATTCATATGCTGAAGGGGTAACAGACAGAACCTCAAACACTAAACTTGATTGTTCCAGTTTCAGAGAAAATTGGGATTCTGACTATGTGTTTGGAAGGAAGCTTGCAGTAGGTCAAGAGACACAATTCAGGCAAGAGCCAATTACTCATAACAAAACCCTCTCTAAGGAAAGAGAACGTACATATAACAAATCTGGAAGATGGTTCTATTTGGACGATTCAGAAGAGAAAGTTCATAATCGTGATTCAATTAAAAATTTTCAAAAAAGTTCAGTGGTAATAAAACAAACAGGCATCTATGCAGGAAAAAAGCTTTTCAAGTGTAATGAATGTAAGAAAACTTTTACCCAGAGCTCATCTCTTACTGTTCATCAGAGAATTCACACTGGAGAGAAACCTTATAAATGTAATGAATGTGGGAAGGCCTTTAGTGACGGCTCATCCTTTGCCCGACACCAGAGATGTCACACTGGCAAGAAGCCCTATGAGTGCATTGAGTGTGGGAAAGCTTTCATACAGAACACATCCCTTATCCGTCACTGGAGATACTATCATACTGGGGAGAAACCCTTTGATTGCATCGATTGTGGGAAAGCCTTCAGTGACCACATAGGGCTTAATCAACACAGGAGAATTCATACTGGAGAGAAACCTTACAAATGTGATGTATGTCACAAATCCTTCAGGTATGGTTCCTCCCTTACTGTACATCAAAGGATTCATACCGGAGAAAAACCATATGAATGTGATGTTTGCAGAAAAGCCTTCAGCCATCATGCATCACTCACTCAACATCAAAGAGTACATTCTGGAGAAAAGCCTTTTAAGTGTAAAGAGTGCGGAAAAGCTTTTAGGCAGAATATACACCTTGCCAGTCATTTAAGGATTCATACTGGGGAGAAGCCTTTTGAATGTGCGGAGTGTGGAAAATCCTTCAGCATCAGTTCTCAGCTTGCCACTCATCAGAGAATCCATACTGGAGAGAAGCCCTATGAATGTAAGGTTTGTAGTAAAGCGTTCACCCAGAAGGCTCACCTTGCACAGCATCAGAAAACCCATACAGGAGAGAAACCATATGAGTGCAAGGAATGCGGTAAAGCCTTCAGCCAGACCACACACCTCATTCAACATCAGAGAGTTCACACTGGTGAGAAACCCTATAAATGTATGGAATGTGGGAAGGCCTTTGGTGATAACTCATCCTGTACTCAACATCAAAGACTGCACACTGGCCAAAGACCTTATGAATGTATTGAGTGTGGAAAGGCATTCAAGACAAAATCCTCCCTTATTTGTCATCGCAGAAGTCATACTGGAGAAAAACCTTATGAATGCAGTGTGTGTGGCAAAGCCTTTAGTCATCGTCAATCCCTTAGTGTACATCAGAGAATCCATTCTGGAAAGAAACCATATGAATGTAAGGAATGTAGGAAAACCTTCATCCAAATTGGACACCTTAATCAACATAAGAGAGTTCATACTGGAGAGAGATCTTATAACTATAAGAAAAGCAGAAAAGTCTTCAGGCAAACTGCTCACTTAGCTCATCATCAGCGAATTCATACTGGAGAGTCGTCAACATGCCCCTCTTTACCTTCCACGTCAAATCCTGTGGATCTGTTTCCCAAATTTCTCTGGAATCCATCCTCCCTCCCATCACCATAGCCTCGAGACGTCATTTCTGTTTGACTACTCCAGCAGTTTAAAACCCCATCTCCCTGCCCTTTTGTTTTCTTTTTGTCCCTTATTAGTTAGTTCTTCACATAAGTGTAAATGTAACTTATTCACTCCTCTTGTAAAACTTATAGTTTCTTTAAATTGGTTAATGTGTGAGATGTGCTCAGCACAGTGCCTGGTCCATAGTAAGTGCTCAGTAAACTTAGCTGTTTTAAAAACTTTGTATTTGAACATTGAAAAGTTACAGTAGTCAGCTCTGATAAAAAAATGATGCAGTAGGGTGAGGGTAGGAAAAAGCACATTTTCTATCAGGAACAGAATTCTCCAGTAGTGGGTGAGGTTTTGCCTTTGTTGGTTTTAAAACTTGATTCTATAATGCCAAGTTAGTTTTGTGGCTTTCCATCTGACCCTATGTGAATGTAAGGTGATGTGACCTTGTTGGTGAGAAAATTAAACTTTACATTTGACTTGATTTGTTTTAGAAAGTCTAGGGACCATGAATGAATAGGCCAGCTGGGACAAATGAATTTAAAAAATCAGAAAAATGCAAGATTTATATGCATGAAGTTAAAACAACTGACGTTACTCAAGAATTAGAAAACTTTGCAAGATTTGACTTGTTTAAAAATCACATTTATAAGTGAACCGTATTAAAACTTTTAAGGAACCATTCATTGTGAGGTAAACTGATCCAGAATAGGGGTCAGCAAACTATGACTCATGGCCACAGTCTCACTGACTGTTTTTGTATGGTCCATGATCTAGAATTTAAAAAAATTTTAAAGGGTTGAAAAAAGTGAAAAGAATATTTTCAACATGAAAATTATATGAAATTTAAGTTTTGGTGTCTGTAAATAAAGTTTTGTTGGCTTCAGCCACACAGTGATTTACACCTTGATTGTGCTGCTTCCAGGCTGTAGCAGCAGAGTTGAGCAGTTGTGACAGGAGACCATGTGGCCTGCAGAGCCCAAATATCTACTGTCTGATCCTACACAGAAAATGTGTGTGATCCCTGCTATGGAGCAGAGGTTATCAAACTAAAGCCCATGGACCAAATCCTATCTGCTGCTTGTTTTTGTAAATAGAGTTTTATCAAACCACAGCCATGCTTACTTGTTTAGCTATTGACTATGGCTGCTTTAGACAACTGTGACAGACTATATGGCTCGCAAAACTGCAAATATTTCCTATCCTTTAACAGAAAGTTTGCCAACCTCTGCTCTAGAGTAGAGAAAAATGTATAAAAGATTTTAATTTTATGAGGGCAATACAACTGTCACATCAGAAACAAGAAAACAAATGATAAAGGAACTCATTTATCAATAGAGGTGAAAGGAAATTATTAAACTATATTGAAAAATAAAGATGTCAATAAAAGGAGAAATGATATTTTTCTAGATGAAATACTCAATATTGTTAAAATGTTTGTAAATTATAATTCAGTCCCAGTAAGATATATTTACTTTGACGGTAACAGGGAAGCATAATTAGGCAAGAATAGCAAGAAGTTTTTTTTGTTTTGTTTTGTTTTTTGAGATGGAGTCTCACTCTGTTGCCCAGGCTGAAGTGCAGTGGCGTGATCCCGGCTCACTGCAACCTCCGCCTCCCAGGTTCAAGCAATTCTCTGCCTCAGCCTCCCGAGTAGCTGGAATTACAGGCACCTGCCACCACGCCTGGCTAATTTTTGTATTTTTAGTAGAGATGGGGTTTCACCATCTTGGCCAGGCTGGTCTTGAACTCCTGACCTCGTGATCCACCCGCCTTGGCCTCCCAAAGTGCTGGGATTACAGGCATGAGCCACCACGCCCGGCCAAGAATTTTTTTTTTTTTAAGAGATGGAGGCCTCACTCTATCATCCAGGCTGGAGTGCAGTGCTAAGATCCTAGCTCACTGTAACCTTAAAATATTTTTTTTGTAGAGACTGTGTCTCGCTTTGTTGCCCAGGCTGGTCTTGGGCTCCTTGCCTCAAGTGATTCTCCTGCCTCACTCTTCCCCAAAATTTTTGAAATAGATTTCTTTGCATATGAGATTTTAGTATATAATGGCACTATTATTTCAATATCGGGAAAATTATGTTTTGACAATTGGTTATCCACCCTCTCCAAGAAAAAAGTTAGAAGCACATTTACACCTTACAGAGAAATATGACTATCATATTTGACATATCTAATCATAAAATAACATGTTAGAGGCAAATGTAGAAAAAAGGAACGTATTATCAAGTAGGACATGGAGTCCTAGAAGCCATAAAGAAATCGAGAACAAGTTGGGCTATGCAACGATCTAAAACTTCAGCATGGTGAAAGGCACCAAAAACTTGTAAAAGACAGTTGAAGGGAAATGTATACAACTTATAGAAAATAACAGAATGCTGTTACATATACAGAGCAGTGGGGAACAACTTGCCATGCACACTGATAGGCGAATCACCCTGAAGAATCCAAATGGATAAAGAAAATTCGTGAAATTCTTAACCTCATTAATCAGAAGAATATGAATGAAACCACATTTTCCTGGCTCTTGGTAGATTACAATATAAAATTTGGATAATATCCAGTAATGGTATTAGTGTGGGAAAACAGGTACTTGATCACTATTAGCAGTGTAACTTCGTCCCCTATCTCCTCGGATGGCATGACCTATCAACATTATAAACGTGAATTTTTTTCAAACAGTAATTCCAGATCTAGGAATTTTATCCCATTGGAATAAATAGGTAGATATAAATATTGTTTTCTTGTAGAATTGTTTCAATTATGACAAATAAGAATTCAGCGCCCTGCCAAGTGGATTGACTAAATTGTAGTTATTCAGTACTGTGTTGTGCGATTAGTAGAAAGCAGTTAAGCTCTACATACACTTCTATGGAGTGGCGTCTACAACATATTTAATGAAATATGTGGTTTACAGAACCTTACAGGTAAAATGACCTAGTCATAGAGTCAAAATTAATACTGAATATATATGTGTGTATGTACATACAAACACATGCACAGCCTCAGTATCTATGTTGAAATCTGGTTTTGTCTTTAACACACAGACTTTTCCTAGCATTTTGCGGGCACTTTCCCTTTCTTCATTCTGTATTGTTCTGATGAACTGTCAGTGACACATGCTCCAAGTAAGACAACCAGATTCATTCTCTGTATTTTGATTAGAGACACAGGGACAGGAACAGGGCCAATATTCAGCTTTATGAACCAGTATGGCCAGAATGGATGTTTTGTTTTAGTCAATATTCATTTTGATTGGTGGGACCTTTATTATACCTGCTGTGAAGTATGTGGGATATGACTCCTAGGCTGGAATTCGTTTGAATTAAGTCATCCTTTGGCAGCAACCTAAGGATTCCTCCACCTGTCACTGAGATCCATTGAGATGATTCCTGCTTTCTCACATCTTGGTTTTGAGTTAAATTCTTTGAGTCTGTGAACTACCTGGTATTCTAATATTTCTCATTTTAAGTCAGAGTCAAATACTTTGGTTCTCAAGCAAAGAGAGCTAGCCAATGCAGAAATTTATACTACAGAATGATTACTAGACTGTAGAGAAGCAGAGTATTCAAGATGGATGTCCAGTGAGACAGATCAAAGCACAGATGAATTCCTAATCCTATTTTGTGCTGTGAAAGGATATTCATGATATAGCAGGATCCTAAGCCCATTGTGCACTAGGGTCTGGATAGCTCCTACCAAAAACAAAGGTATTGAGGAATACTACTTCCAAAAGTATATATGATACCTGTTTATAATGAAATTGGGTAATTAAAATTTCAAGGCTACTTGAAATTCTGGCCTTAAGGAATTGAATCAGTACCTGTATGTCTGTGTTGGGAAGAATCTCATACTCCTTTTAAGCATGGGGCTGTATTTGCTAAAAAAGGCAGCAGTAGATGCAGTTATTTGCTCAACAATGATGCTTACTGAATGAAGGGGTGGCCTGCCCCTCCACACCTGTGGGCGTTTTTCCTTGGGTGGGACGAGAGACTGAGAAAAGAAAGAGACACAGAGACAAAGTATAGAGAAAGAAAAGTGGGCCCAGGGGACCAGCACTCAGCATACGGAGGACCCACGCCTGCACCGGTCTCTGAGTTCCCTCAGTATTTATTGATCATTATCTCTACCATCTCAGAGAGGGGGATGTGGCAGGACAATAGGGTAATAGTGGGGAGAGGGTCAGCAGGAAAACGTGAACAAATGTCTCTGTGTCATAAACAAGGTTAGAAAATGTGCTGTGCTTTGATATGCACATACACAAACATATCTGGTGCATTAAACAGCAGTATTGCCGCCAGCATGTCTCACCCCCAGCCTTAAGGCGGTTTTCTCCTATCTCAGTAGATGGAACACACAATCGGGTTTTACACCAAGACATTCCATTCCCCAGGGACGAGCAGGAGACAGATGCCTTCCTCTTAACTACAAAGAGGCCTTCCTCTTTTAATAATCCTCCTCAGCACAGACCCTTTACCGGTGTCGGGCTCAGGGACGGTCAGGTCTTTCCCTTCCCACAAGGCCATATTTCAGACTATCACATGGGGAGAAACCTTGGACAATATCTGGCTTTCCTAGGCAGAGGTCCCTGCAGCCTTCTGCAGTGTTTTGTGTCCCTGGGTACTTGAGATTAGGGAGTGGTGATGACTTTTAACAAGCATGCTGCCTTCAAGCACTTGTTTAACAAAGCACATCCTGCATAGCCCTAAATCCATTAAACCTTGAGTCGACACAGCACGTGTTTCTGCCAGCACAGGGTTGGGGGTAGGGTTACAGATTAACAGCATCTCAAGGCAGAATTTTTCTTAGTACAGAACAAAATGGAGTCTCTTATGTCTACTTCTTTCTACATAGACACAGTAACAGTCTGACCTCTCTTTTCCCCACACTGAATTCACAACCGTGTCACTTCTGTTAAGCAATTAGGGAAATACTGGAATTTGGATTATTGGAATGAGACTAACAAGAAGGATTCAAGGATCTTACAAAACTTTGACTCTCCCTTGACTCTCCCTCTCAACCCTTAAGCAACCTCCCCACTGATTCTCCTCTCCATGCTTCCCTTGTGACTGGAAACAAACCTTCCTTCCTTCCTTCTTCCTTTCCCTTTCCTTTCCCCTGCCTTTCTTCTTTTCTTTTCTTTCCTTTTCTTTCTCAGAGTCTTGCTATCCCCCAAGCTGGAGAGCAGTGATGTAATCATGGCTTGCTGCCGCCTTGATCTCCTGGCCTCCAGCGTTCCTCCCACCTCGGCCTCTTCGAGTAGCTGAGACTACAGGCGTGTGCCACCACACCCAGAATTTTTAAATTTTTTGTGGATAGTTGTGCCATGTTGCCCAGGCTGGTCTTGAACTCCTGGGCTCAAGTGATCTGCCTGCCTCGGCCTTCTGAAGTGCTGGGATTACAGGTGTGAGACACCATACCCAGCCTGTGACTGAAAACTTGATTGTCCCTTTTCTCACATGGTCACCATTATTGCTTGGCTGGTAACCAAAATCAGAGCTTAGTATGACCTGTAGTTTGAAATACAGAAAGTTAGGAAAGAGATTAATCTCACCCAGAAATATTTAATTTCCTTCATTAATTGTAACATCTAAAATCTAGGGAACATTGTTGCAAGTGTATTTTCAGGGTTAGAAATTACTTTGCGTAATATAGATGGACTGAAAGAATTCAGAAGTTTATAATGCTGGATTGGATCATTTATGTCCATGCCCTTCACTCATCTGCAAGTTCCCATCAGGGCCCAATAGCCTTTCCATATTCCTTTGACATGAAAGAAGCACTGAAAAATGTCCCTATATCTCCACCTTTAGGTGCAGAGACTTTTCATGAGTGATTACATTTGAAAAGGGTATCCGATTTGTGTAGAACTGTGGCATGTGTAGTGGCTGGATTATAGGGCAATCATTAACTATGAGAAGAAAGTAAAAAGGTTATAACAAACCTCAGAACTCTAGAGTGTTCTGATTTCTGATATTTCCACTGTAATTAATAATTGATCCCCAGCGTTGAAACTGCACTAAGGTTTTATTTTAATTAAAAACACTCCATGGCATGGCATCCAAATCTCACATTGACTTAAATCAGTGGCACAGGACTGGGTCATTCAGGAGTCTGAATGACTGTAATTAAAATTTCTATGAACAATTCCATGGGAATTCGAAAAAGACTTGCATTTATGCAGAGTGAGGGCTTATGGAAGAATTCTTATACAAGCGTAGCTTAGAACAAGGTCTATTGAGACCACAAATGCATACTGTGGCTATTTTTCCAGGTCCTGGGTGTGCATTTGTTAATGATATCTATGATATGAGATGTGACTAGATGACCACCAAAAGTTTGTGTTCTTTTCTATTGTCTGGAATTGATCCTGGGATGTGTCTGCCCAGGCACCTTTGCTTCCAGTTTTGTCTATCAGATGAATTTTCTTCAGTGTGGTGTGAATAGAAGCAATATGGCACTCAGGGCTTGGTTTTTAAGAAAAGGATGTTCTGTCCAGACGGAAGTAGAATCTTAATCATATGGAATGGCAAAGCTGAAAGATAGAACTCTGTGTCCCTAAACCACTATTTGGAGGAAAGCTCCCCAGTCATCAAGGAACACCAGCAATGGATTATTATATGAGTGAGAAATAAACTTATATTGTGTTAAGGTAATGATATTTGGATTTCAATTGTAATAGCAGCTACTATAATTCTAATCAATATAATACCTTTGACTAATGATAGAATTCCTATTTTCCCTGAGTTATAGAGTAGGAACTGTGATGGCGTGTTAGTTGCCTGTTGTTGTAACAAATTATCCCCAAACCTTAGTGGCTGAAAACAGATAGACGTTCATTACCTCAGTTTCTTTGGGGAAGGAATCTAGGCACAGCTTAGTTGGGTGCCTCTGGCTCAAGGTCTCTCAGATGGCTACAGTCTTAGCTGTGGGCCAGTGCTGCAGTCATCTGAAGATTTTGTTAGAGGATAATCAGCTTTCAAGCTCAAGTAAGTGGGCAGGACTCAGTTCCCTACAGGCTTTGGCTGGACATGTTGGTTCCTTTCCATGTGGGCCTCTCTGTAGGGCAGCTTACAATATGGCAAGTGGCTTCCTTGAAAAGTGAGTGAGCAGGAGAGGATGCCCAAGATAGAAGATGAAGTCCTTTTGTAACCTAATATTAGAAGTGATATCCCCTCATCTTTGTATTTGGTTAATTAGGAGTCACTAGGTTTAGCCTACCTTCAAGGGGAGGGGATTACAAAATAGTTTGAGTAAGAGGAGGTGGGGAACTTTGAGAGACATCGTAATGGCTGTCCACCACAGTCTTCCTCCGTCCCCACCTCCCAGTGATTCATTTCCCTTCCAGATGCAGAATACACTCACTCCTTCCAAGGCCCCTCTCAGAGTCTCACCTCATTACAGGATCACCTCAAAGTCAATAATCTTGTCATCTAACATAGGTACAGGTGCTAATGAAGCCCATAAGATATACTTTCTTAAGTATGGGTATTGATCTGCAGACCTTTAGACTTAAAGAAAATAAAGAACAAGTTATCTGTCTCCCCTCCTCCACCACCCCTAACCGATACAGTGGAATCACTGCTCCATAGCAATTCTGAAATCTAACCAGACAAATGTTTGGAAATTCCTTTATTAGGTCACATGGCCTGGGATAATTATCCACCATCTGAACTCTTGGTTCTGCCCTCTGAATCCTTTTTTCCTGCAACGCATTTGCAGTTCAATAGCTTTTTTTTTATTATTATACTTTAAGTTTTAGGGTATATGTGCACAACGTGCAGGTTAGTTACATATGTATACATGTGCCATATTGGTGTGCTGCACCCAGTAACTCGTCATTTAACATTAGGTATCTCTCCAAATGCTATCAATAGCTTTCTTAGCTTGCTTACTAGAGTTTTAGGAATCTAGTGGCGTCTCTTCATTTTGTGCTGTCTCTGTCCCTCTCACTCCAGTTGGCAGAGTTTCTACTGAGTCTTCTGAAAATGTTGTGGGCTTCATGAGAACCTCATTGGGGTTCACTGCACAAGACAAAAGCCACAGCCACAAATCTCTTTGAGATAAGCTTCTTAGAGGCCTAATTATTTGAATAAGAGTGTCTGTCAGGTCGCCTTAATCTCTTTACAGAGCTTTTGTGTGGTTAAATAGTACTGAGATACCAGCTTTGGTCTTTCTGAGGTTCTGGATTTTACAGCCATGCCCTTAGTTTTTATCTAGACCAGTTTTCCTAGCAGTAACTTGGATTTCATTTTTGCTTGGAAGCCCTTTCTTGTTTTTGGCATTGTTTGCCACCTACAGAGGCTAAGAATTTTCAAAATCCTAATGTCCTCTTTGTTAACAGTTATTCCCTCAATTTATATCTCTTCTTTTGCATGTTTCTGTAAGCAGCAAGAAAACAACAGCAACAGGACATTCAGCACATTCCTTGAAAATCTTAGCTACGTCACCCAGTTCTTCTTCCTGCATTAGCTGCAAATAACAGGCTGCTAAACTTTCTGCCATTACATAACAAGGACCCTCTTTCCTCCAGTTTTTAATGGAGTATTTCTCACTATCCTTTTAGCCTTCACCAGCACTTAAGACCCAAAATTTCTGGACAGTCCCTTTTCTATACAAGTATTGGACAAACTCCAAGCATCCCAACAAAGGCTTTAGCATTACCTGTCTCAGTGAGACAAGAGTTGGAGATTGAGTTCAACACAGTGAACTGCCTACTAAAAACAAAATTCAGACGGACTTTTTGTCTGTAGAGACAACAGAGTCTCTACAGTGTGTTACTCATAGAGTAAGAATTATTAGATATGTGAAAACATAAGCCACATTCAAGAGAAGAAAGCAATACAAATCCTTAAACACTGGTATTAGCAAACAAGAATGATAAAGCCCCTATTATAATTATTCTGAATGACATAAAGGAAAATGCTATTAATGGATGAGCAGATGGGAATTTCAGCAAATGAGTAAATCAGTTTGAAAATGGGAATTCTAAAACTAAGAAATACAATGTTTGAAAGTAAAAATCCACTGGATAGGTTTAACAGGAAATTTGAGGTGGCAGAATAGTTAATGAAGTTGAATATAGATAGAAATTATTTAATCTGAAACAAAAAGGATTGAAAGAAATTAAAAGGACTGAATAGTGCTGGTGATAATGTCAAAAGGTGACTTGTGATAATGCTTTGTGTTCTCTGATCTTCCTAGATCTGTGGTTTGGTGTTTGTTTTCTTGCTTTTAGAGACAAGGTCTTGCTTTGTTGCCCAGGAGGGAGTGCAGTGGCAGGATAATGGCTTGCTCAAGCAATCCTCCCACCTCAGCTTCTCGAGTAGTTGGGACTACAATTACACAGCACCACACCCGGCTAATTTTTGTATTTTTTTAAAGATGGGGTCTCACTATGTTGCCCAGGCTGGTCTCAATCTCCTGGGCTCAAGCAATCCTCCCACTTTGGCCCCCCAAAGTGCTGGTATGTATCACAGGCATGAGCCACCACACTGGCCTGGTGTCCTGTCATTAATTTTAGAAAATTCTCAGTCATTATTCAAATATTTTCTCTCCTTTCTCTCTTCCCCTCCTGGTATTCCAGTTACGCATATATTTCACCTTCTGTAATTGTCCCATGGTTCTTGGATATTCTGTTCTTTTTCTTTTTTCATTCTTTTTTTTTCCTCTTTGTATTTCAGTTTGGGAAATTTCTATTAACATATCTTCAAGCTCACCCATTCATTTCTCAGAGTGTCTTAGTCTGAGGGGCTCACTAAAGGTAATCTTCATGTCTGTTACAATGGTTTTCAATTGCTAGGATTTCCTTTTGATTCCTTCTTACAGTTTGCATCTCTCTGCTTACATTACCCATCTGTTCTTGCATGTTGTCTACTTTTTCCAAGATGCTTCTCCTTCTGTGGGCTTCCCTAAGAACTCCTTCTTAAATAGAGTCTGTGCCTTGCAGTTTTCTCTGTTGTAATCTACTGTTATTGACCAGAGCCCCATTAGTGTGGCAGTGAGGTACAGTGGGGAGGGAAGCATTCTATAATCTTATTATTAAATACTATTTTTCTAGTGGGCTTGAGGCCTTGGACTGTGATCTTCAGAAGCACTTCTTAGCCTTTCAAAAATCCTGCCTTACTGAGACAGACAGGCTATAGAGGGACTGGAGCTGGCCAATTGCCTCTCCCCAAGGTCCAACAAGACTCTAGTAAGTAGTTTTTCTTGGAGTGCAGGTGTTTATTATGGAAAATGTGGTGCTTACTTTTCTCCTCCCCTTGCCCAAAAACCTGAGATTTTTCCCCATTCTTCACTGAGAGAATTTGATAGGGTTTCTGGAGGTAAAATTCACGAAAGTGTGGGGGCCCATCTAAGATTGGGCCCCTAGGAGTTTTTAACTCACAAGTTAGCCCACACTAAGCCTCCAGCAATTCATCAAAATTATAAAAAATAAAAGTTTTTACCAGTTTATAACTCCAGTGGCTTCTGCTTCAAGTAAGCTAATCTTGGCTGTAATTTTATGTATTTTTCTTTCTCGGGATTTTGGGGTGTCAGTTACCTTTCTATCTTCAGTTCTCTGATGGATCTAAGAAAAGTTGATTTTCAGTTTGTTGAATGATTTTGTTGTTGTGAAGATGGGAATGAAGGCTTCCGAGCTCTTTATATGCCAGAGCTAAAATGAGAATATTATCATTTTCATCCAACTCAAATAACCACAAACGTTACAAGCTCTAAGATGATATTTGCTGTTTCATAGTTAAAGTATCTTCACAGCTAGACTTGGCTTTATTATGTTGTTTATGATGTCTGACATAAATTGGATCCAGGAGAGTCCAGTCTAGATGTCACTGTGTGGCCTTGGGTGATTGAGTGTGACTGGGAGGGTGAGTTAGTTTCTGGTGAGCCAGTATCTATGATGCTGTATCTTGGTCAGCTGGGGCTGCTATAACAAAATATCATAGACTAAGTGACTTGACTAAGAGACTTTATTTTTCACAATTCTGGAGGCTGGGAAGTTAAAGTGCTGGCACATTCAGTTCTTGGTGAGGGCCCCGTTGGCTTGCAAATGGGTTACATCCTGCTGTGTCCTCACATGGCCTTTGCTTGGTGGTTGTGTAAACATGGAGACCCCTCCTTCCTCTTTTTTAATAAGTGCACTGACCCCATCATAAGGGTATCACCCTTATGACCTAATCTAAAACCAGTTACCTCCCCAAAGTCCCACCTCCTAACGTCATCACACTAGGGGTTAGGGTTTCACCATAGTAATTTTGGGAGGACATATTCAGCCTATAACATGTTGTGTCATGGTGAGACTGGCAATGCTAGATTTCGTGATTTCCTAAAAAATAAAATAAAAATAAAAAACTAAGCACCTACTATGTGCTGTTTTAGTCACTGAGAATATAACCCTGAACAGGACGGAAGCTGTGTGCCTTCTTGGAACCCTCCTTCCAGCAGGGAGAGATAAAATGGGGTGGGGGGAGGTGAGGGGCGTACCGTATATCAGAGAGCAGTAACTAGTAGGCATGAAATAAAACAGGTTCCACACGCGCACCATCAGAAAGTCACAAGTGTGCAAAGCAGACAAATCCCAATCTCCTCACTTTTCTATCGCGTAGGCCCCGCCCGCGCCCCAAGCCCCGCCCTGTCATGGTTTTCCTCTCCAGAGGGTAGCCGCTACGCCTTACCGACTGCGTTTCAGTGCTGTCCCACTGCTCCTGCACACCCCACGCCTGCGACCCTACCCACCACGGACAGGCGCTCCTGCGAGCTGGAAGCCAGTTCTCTGCGTCCTGAGCCTGGCAGCTGCATCTGAACACTCGGAGCCTGGCGATGGCTTCCAGAAACCCCTGCGCCGTGGGTCGCTTCAGTGAAGGGGCCTGTACTTCGGCGACCCAGACTCCGGGCTGAGAGGCCTCCTAATCCAACCAGGAGGACCAGGAGAGGCCCAAAAGGGGACACAGGGCAGTGACCGCCAGGCTTGGAGAGGAGCCGCTCCTGGCAAAGCCAGCGCCCTATTTCTGAACGCCGCCTCCGTTCCGGACTACACTTCCCAGGGGCTATTGCAGCGGAGGACACGCCCACTTCCGGAAAGGACCCAAAGCCGGGCGAGTGCACGTCCCGCCGGTTGCTGAGGAGAAGGGAGGTCTGGGCGGGGCAGCGGCCGAGGCTGGACTGGGGCGCGGCGGGGGCGGTGTCCTGGTTCCTGTGTGGGCGGCGGGCGTGAGCGTGCGCGTGTGGCCTGGTGGCTGTGAGTGCCCATACGTGGTGAGCGTGCGGTGCTGTGCTGAGGAGGGGCGAGCGCGCGCGGGGATGGCGGCCCGGTGTGTGACTGTCCGGTGCGTGGCCGCGAATCTGCGCCTGCGTGCATGGCCCGGCGGCGTGCGGAAGGCGGTGTGTGTTGGAATGAGTGAAGCACTTTAAGTGGCCAAGAGCAGGAAACCCGGCCGGAGGAGGCTTACCCCGTTCTCCCCTGTATCGACTGCGTAGAGCCCAGTGTGGGCAAAGTCCTAGAGCCCGGGGAAGTTGCCCGGGCGGGGCAGCCTCGGCTGAAGCATTTCCTGTCAGCCCTATCTGGAAGGGGCAGAGCCCAGGACAGGGCTCCATGTCCACAGGACGGCGAGGAGCGAAGACCATGGGGACTGAGTACACAGGTAAGAGTGACAGATGACGGATGTGGCTGCCGGAGTGGACATTGAGGTTTTGGGTGCTGTCTTTCGGGGTTCAGGTGCTGGAGGAGGATGTCCCCCGTTTCTAAGGCTAGTGGACCTGGAAGTCGAAAGATTTGGAGGGTCACCTTGGGTCAGAGTGGAGCTGGGTTTAGTTAGGGAGGGACCTTGACTTGGCCAGAGACACCTAACCAGATAACCTGACTCAGGTCCTTGGTATATCACTAAGGGCCCATGGGAGAGAACACTACCCGTAATATTACCCATTATAGCATTACTTCTGGGTACTCTGCTGCTGTTGAAGGAATAGCTCAGCATTTAGATTTTTACCCGTCAGAGCCTTGTCCCATCTATCACTGTAGGATTTGGGAAGAAGGCGAGATTCACAGCTTCACCCAGAAATGCCGAGGCATTCCAGCCTTTCTATGGCTTAATCACGTTCTAGTCAATAACGGAAGATATCCCCATTCCTTGGGCTTCTCTCCCTCCCCTCTGGCCTCCCACTCCAATAAAGAGAAAGGGGGAGGAAGGGCTATTTTTAGCCATATTGTTCTGTGCTTGTTTAGTTTCCTGCATGCTATAGTAATAGCTAATGTTTAATGAGTGTTTATTATGTGCCAGACACAGTTCTAAGACCTTTTGGGAGTATCAGCACCAAACTTCACAACATTATGAAGTAGGAACTACTTACCTCTTTTTTACAGATGAAGACACAGAAGCATAGAGAGGATAAGTAATCACTAGCAAGTGGAAGAACCGGGATTCAGATCCAGAACAGGCTGACTCCAGAGTCACTGGCTGTCATGTAGTTTCCTCAACTACTGCCTCAGGTAGGTTTCTTAGCCACTTTTGACAATTAAAGAAACTGACTCTGAAAGGGTTAAATAACTAAATAGTTCATATGCCAGAACCTCCACTGAGCAGGTTTGGGGTTTTTTTCTTAAAAAGTTTATGACTCTAAGTTCTTAGGTAAAATGGAGATGGTAATATTATATACCTCACAGTACTGTCATAAGGATTAAATGACCTCATACATGTAAAGCACTTGGTATAGTCCCTGCCATGTAATGTGTTCATTTTTATCATCATTATGATAATCCTTTGAGAAGGCAGTGGAATTTAGATGAAAGAAACTAGAATTAATTCAGATACTTTATCCTCTTCCTTCCTAATTAAGGAAACATGGCTCAGTGGAGTCAAGGGACTGCTTCAACACTGTAGTTTGTCACAAAACAAAATGAGATCCTAGGCCTCATGAGGATTTTTTCATTTGGTTGTCTGCAAGTCACATGGACTCTGTTGTAACGAAAGGAATGCCTCTCTCTGGAAAAGATGGAATTCTCCATGGAATTTGTCTTATAGAATGTTCACAAATCCTGGCCAACTGCACAGAGGACTTATTTTCTGTTATTTTCTGGTATATGAGCAAATAACTTCTGTGATAGAGTCAGCCAGACCTAGGTTGGTGACTAGGTTATTTACAAATTTGTGTGACTTGTGGAAAAGACTTGACTTCCCAGAGCTTTCTTGTGTAAAATGGTGACAATATACCCGATTCTGTTTGAAGATTTTGGAGATTTAAAGACAGTATTAATATATGCAGCACAGACATGGTGGCTCATGCTTGTAATCCCAGCACTGTGGGAAGCCAAGGCAGGAGGATTGCTTGAGGCCAGGAGGTTGACCAGATACCTAACTCCAGGAGGTTGACACCTCCTGGCCTCAAGCAATATAGTGAGCAATTGGGCAATATAGTGAGACCCCCATCTCTATCAAAAGTAAAAAAACTAGCTGGGCATGGTGGCACATGCCTGTAATCTTAGCTACTTAGGAGGCCTAAGCAGGAGGATCCCTTGAGCCCAGAGTTTGAAGATACAGTGAGCTATGATCACGTCACTGTACTCCAACCTGGGCAACAGAGTGAGTCCCTGTCTTAGAAAAAAAAAATGTACACACACACAGGCTAGTATTAATAAATCTGTTGTTAATGAATTGGTGGCTGATGGGGAGAGGGGGTCAAGAGATATTATGCTCATCCTGAAAACCCAGAGCAGAGGGGAACCCCAGCTATATATTTCAAGTCTCCCAAAGAGCATCAGGACTGTGGGGTGGGGGAGTTGGAGTGAGGACTGTGAGTGAGGACAGAAGAAGCTGAAGGGAAGAAAGCATTTTCAGACTTTGATTATTAGTGCTACTTGGTTTCTCACTACTTCTTTTTCTCCCCAGCTCTACAATCCCAGAGTAAAGCTCTTCTCCAAATGAAGAGCCAGGAAGAGGTAGAGGTGGCAGGAATTAAACTTTGTAAAGCCATGTCCCTGGTGAGTTAGTATTCCCCCTCTCCCCACTAAAATAGTTTTGCTTTTCTGGATTTGGTAATACTTGTTTTCTTCTGAAAATATTGTGCTTAAGAGTTCCACCCTGAGGCCTGTTTCCTGTTTCTTCCCTTTCTGATATGTGATGGGGTTGTGAGTGAGGGATAGACTCACACAGCCCAGTGCCCTCTCAGAGGTTCCTTCTCTCCTTCCTGCTCATTGTTTATTTTTCATTCAGGAAATGACCCAGTCTGAGCCCTTCCCTTGTGCTCAGTCTTTTCATAGGCATCTGACAAAGCAGAAGTACAATCCTCAGAGGAAATTTCCATGCCTGGTTCCTAAGTCTCAGTCCTGATTCTCAGAGAGGTTATAATCTGCTGGAGAAATGAAAAGGCAGCAAACACTTACGCAGTGTGAGAAGTGCTGCAAGCAGAGAGTAGACTCACAGTGGAATACTTGGGAAGGGCCATTAATAGCCCATATGATGTCTTTGGGTGAATTAGAAAAAAAAGTGCCCCTTCCTCTCTACTGATGAAGCTCTGTAACAGGCCGCACAATATGGCAAGAGGAAGTCTACCGTATTTTAGCTCCTTCCTGCCTCCTTGGTGAGGGATCCTTGAGCAGGATATAGCCTGCACCATCCTACTCACTGCTGAGGGCAGGAAGGGTTGGGGGGACTTCACAGAGGAAGTGATTCCTGAGTTACGCCTTGAATGAAATGGAGGAAGTGCAGGCATATGGGATTGATGGCATTCTGAACAGAGTATGCAAAGGTTTGTTCTCCCCATTTGACCATGGAGCCGTGAACATCTTAAAATGCCAAGGAATGTTTTACATCCTTTCTTCTTTCTAGGTTGAATACCATAATCTGTTTAGTCAGTCCCTTGTTGTTCCGTAGGTAAATTGTTGACAATTATCTGCTGTTAATAGAGTGTTGCAGTAATTATTCTTGTAGTTGAATTTTTGCCCTCATCTCTGATTATTTTCTTTGACTAAATTCCTAGTTTTTCATTCCTTGTGGATTAAAGTTTCTCAAACTGACCCTACCCTAGAACATTTTAAATTTTATTATTTTTATGGCCAACAATAGAAGCTTCAGAGCTACAGTTCATGTTCTGATTAAGATAAACTGTTAATCTAGTTTCACCAGCAAATTGCTTATTGTAAGAAAGTATTGAATTTGGTTTACAAACTTAGAAAATTAAAATTTTTAAAATGGAGTAGTTAAGTTTTCTTTTTGTTTTTTGTCTTTTTTTTTTTTGAGATGGAGTCTCACTCTGTTGCCCAGGCCAGAGTGCAGTAGTGCAATCTTGGCTCACTGCAACCTCCACCTCCCAGGTTCAAATGATTCTTCTGCCTCAGCCTCCCAAGTAGCTGGGATTACAGGCCTGTGCCACCACACCTGGCTAATTTTTTTTTTTTTTTTTTTTTAAGTAGAGATGGGGTTTCACCATGTTGGCCAGGCTAGTCTCAAACTCCTGACCTCAAGTGATCTGCCAGCTTTGGCCTCCCAAAGTTCTGGTATTCCAGGTGTGAGCCACTGTGCCTGGCAAAAATTTTTTTTTTATAATAGGCATAACAACTTATGGCCAGAGCATGACACCTTTTCTTAGGTATAATGCCATGAAACATACACTACCAAGGTAACTTGTTTCTTAGCGCATTTGGACATTTTAAACAAAAGCATTCATGTCAGTTGCCAGAGGAAAATATTTTAAGAGTGGCAGAATTTGTCATAAAGGTTAAGATGGACTATGCACACTCCACTCTTTTTCCCAGTGAAAGTTGCTATAAAACCAGGACAGCATGCCTGGAACAGCAATCTGAGGTCTCTGTAAAGTAAATAGTAGCAGGCAGACTGGACACAGTGACTCACACCTGTGATCCCAGCACTTTGGGAGGCTGAGGCGGGTGGATTACCTGAGGCCAGGAGTTCAAGACCAGCCTGGCCAACATGGTGAAACCCTGTCTCTACAAAAAAAAAAAAAAAAAAAAAAAAAAAAAAAATATATATATATATATATAAATTAGCCAGGTGTGGTGGTGCATGCCTGTAATCCCAGCTATTCAAGAGGCTGAGGCATGAGAATCACTTGAACCTGGGAGGTGGAGGTTGCCGTGAGCCAAGATTGTACCACTGCACTCCAGTCTGGGCAACAGAACAAGACCCTGTCTCAAAAAAAAAAAAAAAAAAAGTAGCAGTCAGATTGGGGAAAAAGCCCCAGATTTGAAGTACCACCAGACCATGGTGCGTTTACCTTCAAGAGACTCAAAACCTGCAAGTGGGTAATGATGTGGACAGAAAGAGCTGCAGGAGAAGCCTTCTAGTTGATAATCAAACTGCTGAAAACTAAAGACAAAAAAATCTCAAAAACCAGCCACTGAAAAACGATGAAGAACTGTCAACCTAGAATACTATGTCCAGGGAAAGTAGCCCTTAGGAATGCAGATAAAATAAAGTTACTCATAGGAAAGAAAACTAAGAACATTCACTGCCAGAATTCTGCAAGAATCACTAAAGGGAGTTCTTCAGATAGAAATTATACCAGAAGGGAACTTGGAGCATCAGGGTGAAGGAAGTGCAACAGAAATGGGAAATATTATATGTAAATACAATAGACTGTTCTCTTGAGTTTATAAAAATATCTTCAATGGTTAAAAACAAAGCTGATAGCTTAACTAAACAGAACAGTATTTTAATATAGGTAATCTAGATTCAGAGACCATGTCTAAACTATTGTAGCATACTACAGTTAGGTAAAATAAGATGTAAGAATTATGATTGAAATACTAAATGAAATGTTTCACCTGTTCTTCTTGGCCTTCTCTTCTTCTCTCTCTGTTTTTTCCCTTCTGTCCTTCTTCATCCTTATCATAGGCAACAATTCTTAAGCAATTACATCATGCCAGGCATTTTAGATCTGTTTCTTCATTTAATTTTCACGGTGCTGCCATGAAGCAAGTACTATATTTCCATTTTTCAGATGGGAAAACTGAGGCACAGGGAAGTTAAATTTGGCCAACCTCACCCAGCTAGTCAGTACTACAGACCAAATTCATTGGAGTAATCTGACCTTTTTTCTGATTTATTCAAAACTGGTATTTATTTAAAAGTCTGATGTTGATATAAGTGAAGTCATAAAAAAATTGAAAATCTCCCAGTAACAGTCCAGTGGATCACTTTGTGGGTTGGTTAGGAAATGGAGCTCATGTAACAAAACACAGGTTGCTTGATATGTGCTCACATCACATTATTTCTCCTGATAATTTCCCATTAGATTATCAAAAAACAACTTTTGGGCATGTTGGCTCAGGCCTATAATCCCAACTCTTTGGGAGGCTGAGGTGGGAGGATTGTGAGAGGCCAGGAGTTTGAGATCAGCCTGGGCAATATAGTAAGACCCTGTCTCTACAAAATGAAGAAGTAAATAAAAAAGGAAAATGAAAAACAACTTTTCAAATGTGTTCTTCTCTCCTAATACAAATATACTTTTATTTCAGAAGAAAAGACTATAGCTAGGTGTTTTTTTCCTTTCATTTTTTAGGCATACCTCTTAACATCTCAAGAACACTAAGATTTCTTAGAAAATATTGTGGAGATTGAAATCATGTTCATCAGGTCAGCATCCTTCCTTGCAAGTTTTTCTCACAGTTCCAGAGCTCTTTAGCTTCTCCATGTAGAGAAGTGATTTAGCTCCTAACATGAATAGCATTGCGTTAGCACTTGATTATATCCTGTTTTGAATGTAGTCAGCATTTTTTCATTGGTAATGTATTCTCGCCACCTAGAATTGCAAATGTTTGAAGAGCAAGGAGTATCTCATTTTTTTCTTTTTCCTAATATGTACAGCATAACTAGGCAGAAAAGTTGTCCAATAACTTACCTGACCCGGATCATTTAGACCCTTAGTGCAGTTACTTATACATAGTGTTTTTAATCCCAAAGTGAGAACAGCATAACTCTTTACCCTAGAGCTGCATTGGAATGTGAACACTGAGTGAGCAAGATCATATTTGTGTCATTTTAGGGTTCAGTGACTTTCACAGATGTGGCCATAGACTTTTCCCAAGATGAATGGGAGTGGCTGAATCTTGCTCAGAGAAGTTTGTACAAGAAGGTGATGTTAGAAAACTACAGGAACCTAGTTTCAGTGGGTAAGAGTATCTTCCTCCTGTTGCCTCCCCATGACTCAGTAGTCTTTTATGCCATTATCAGAATTTCCCATAGTTTTCCACAGCATAGGCAATTTTTATATGTCTTTTTACATGCAGGTCTTTGCATTTCTAAACCAGATGTGATCTCCTTACTGGAGCAAGAGAAAGACCCTTGGGTGATAAAAGGAGGGATGAACAGAGGCCTGTGCCCAGGTAAGTGGAGGATACCTAGAGATAAAGGAACTGTTCTCAACATGTTCTTGTCTCTGAAGTGTGTTGGAAAACACCTCTCAAACTCCCTCCCAAACTGAAACTTGTTCTTCTAACACCAGTTTTTGAATGGTTATTCTCTTCCCTACTAGTGTAACTTGCCTCCTTTACCTTTATTGATTTCTTATGCATACCAGGGTCTATTTCTGAGCTCTTGTTTTACTGATGTTTACCTAATTCTACTCAAGCACCATATTGTTGTCATCATCCCTGACTTCAAACATTTCTGAATCCTTTAGACAAGCTGATGTTTAGTTTTTTGAACTGGTTTAAATATTTTCCTTTCCTTAAAAGGTGAGTTTATTGAGTTAACATGTATTACAGCTATTTTCTTCCCTCTGCCTTTTTCTTTTTTGTATTTCTTGTGTTATTTATTCTTGTTTTGTTGTTTATTAGGTCTGTTTTTTTCTCACTCTCTTCTTTATACCACCCCACCCTTTGAATTAGAAAAGTTTTTAGTTCTACAAGTTGTTACCTTTATGTATTTATATATTTTAAGATCTTTTAGAATTTTTCTGCTTGGTATTCCAAACATTGTCTTCTGATACCCTTACAAAAGATGAAGAAATTAGCTCATGAATATTACTTTCTTTCCCTGTGTACATCATTTCCCCACTTATATTGTGCTCACTGGGATTTTTGACGCAGGGTATTTCATTCAATTTTTTTTTTTTTTTTTTAATTTTCTTGCCTTGCTTTGTAGCTGTTTTACTGATTTAGAAAGCTAGATAAGAGACGACAGAAATATATTGCAAGAAAATGAACCTCAAATGAGATGGTCCTGGTTTAATCTGTGGCCTGAAGCGTAGACTTTTCCTACTTTCAGTTCTTCATTTTATTTTATTTTATTTTACTTTTTAAAATTAGAGACAGGATCTTGCTATGTTACCCAGGCTGGAGTTGAACTTTTGGGCTCAAGCAATACTCCCACCACAGCTTCTTGAGTAGCTAGGACTACAGGAATGCATCACCACACCTGGCCCTACTTTCAGTTCTTATAGTTTCAACAAGAGGATTGTGGGTTACTTGTGGTCCTATGTACATTAATAAATAAGAAATAATGAAAATCAGTAAGCATCTGATTCACAATATTAGAAAAAGAACAAAATGAATTTAAGGAAAGCCCAGATAAGTTATATGTAGTGATTTATACGTCTACAAATAAAAGTAGGAATAAATGAATTAGAAACAGTAGCGCTACTGAAAATAAAGTATTGTACATACTTCATTAGAAAACCAACACAGTATATAAACTAAGGACAAATGAGAGAAAACACAAAAACAAAATAATTATAAATAACCACACATGCATAAGAACTTAAAAGAATCATGTGAATCTATTTTCCTCAACTCTCCATAAAATAATTTGAAAAAATAGATGATATTCTAGAAGAATATAATAATGTAGGTTACCATAACTGATACCAAGAGGAGATACAACATTTAAACAAGTAAGTTACCATCAGAGAAATGTAGAATGTTGTATAGGAACTGCCTCCCCCAAGAAAAGAAGCCACATCCCCGAATAGTTCTTTAAGGAAAAATATCATCAATGTTGTTTAAATTGTTCTGGGATAGAGAATAAAAAGAGAGCTTAAAACATTTTTGTTTATGAATACAGCATATCCGATGATACCAAAATTACCAAAATAGCACCAAAAAGAGAAATTAGAGACAAACCTCAATTATCAATATTGGTTCAAAATCTTAAAAGGTCATATTGAAATAGTATACCATGGCCAAGGAGGATTTATTACAGCAGTGCAAGGATGGTTGTATCACCTAATCTTATGTAAGAACCATAAAAACATGTACCTCTGCTTGTGGGTTTCAATAACTATGTGATTCACATTTTCATTTTCGAAATTTCCATTATTCTAGCATTTAATAAAGGAGACATTTACTTTCTTAATATCTTTCAGACTTGGAGTGTGTGTGGGTGACCAAATCATTATCTTTAAACCAGGATATTTATGAAGAAAAATTACCCCCGGCAATCATAATGGAAAGACTTAAAAGCTATGACCTTGAATGTTCAACATTAGGGAAAAACTGGAAATGTGAAGACTTGTTTGAGAGGGAGCTTGTAAACCAGAAGACACATTTTAGGCAAGAGACCATCACTCATATAGATACTCTTATTGAAAAAAGAGATCACTCTAACAAATCTGGGACAGTTTTTCATCTGAATACATTATCTTATATAAAACAGATTTTTCCCATGGAAGAGAGAATATTTAATTTTCATACAGATAAGAAAAGCTTAAAAACACATTCAGTTGTGAAAAAACACAAGCAAGACCGTGGAGAAAAGAAACTTTTAAAATGTAATGACTGTGAGAAAATATTCAGCAAAATCTCAACCCTTACTCTTCACCAAAGAATTCATACAGGAGAGAAACCCTATGAATGTATTGAATGTGGAAAGGCCTTTAGCCAGAGTGCCCACCTTGCTCAACATCAGAGAATACACACAGGAGAAAAACCTTTTGAATGTACTGAATGTGGGAAAGCCTTCAGCCAGAATGCTCATCTTGTTCAACACCAGAGAGTTCATACTGGAGAGAAACCTTATCAGTGTAAGCAGTGTAATAAAGCATTCAGCCAGCTTGCACACCTTGCTCAACATCAGAGGGTCCACACTGGAGAGAAACCCTATGAATGTATTGAATGTGGGAAGGCTTTTAGTGATTGCTCATCCCTAGCTCATCATCGAAGGATTCACACTGGGAAAAGACCTTATGAATGTATTGACTGTGGGAAAGCTTTCAGGCAGAATGCTTCTCTTATACGTCATCGGCGATATTATCATACTGGAGAGAAACCCTTTGACTGTATTGATTGTGGGAAGGCTTTCACTGATCACATAGGACTTATTCAGCATAAGAGAACTCATACTGGAGAGAGACCTTACAAATGTAATGTGTGTGGGAAGGCTTTTAGCCATGGCTCATCTCTGACAGTACATCAGAGAATTCATACAGGAGAGAAACCTTATGAATGCAATATCTGTGAGAAAGCCTTCAGCCATCGTGGGTCTCTTACTCTTCATCAGAGAGTTCATACTGGAGAGAAACCCTATGAATGTAAAGAATGTGGGAAAGCTTTCCGGCAGAGCACGCATCTGGCTCATCATCAGAGAATTCATACTGGAGAGAAACCTTATGAATGTAAGGAATGCAGCAAAACCTTCAGCCAGAATGCACACCTCGCGCAACATCAGAAAATACACACTGGGGAGAAACCTTATGAATGTAAGGAATGTGGTAAGGCCTTCAGTCAGATTGCACACCTTGTTCAGCACCAGAGAGTTCATACTGGTGAGAAGCCTTACGAATGTATTGAATGTGGGAAGGCCTTTAGTGATGGCTCATATCTTGTTCAACATCAGAGACTCCACAGTGGCAAAAGACCGTATGAATGTCTTGAATGTGGGAAGGCATTCAGGCAGAGGGCATCCTTGATTTGTCATCAGAGATGTCATACTGGTGAGAAACCTTATGAATGTAATGTTTGTGGGAAAGCCTTTAGCCATCGTAAATCCCTTACTCTGCATCAGAGAATTCATACAGGAGAGAAACCTTATGAGTGTAAGGAATGTAGCAAAGCCTTCAGCCAGGTTGCCCATCTTACTCTACATAAGAGAATTCATACTGGAGAAAGGCCCTATGAGTGTAAAGAATGTGGAAAAGCCTTCAGGCAGAGTGTACATCTTGCTCATCATCAGCGAATTCATACCGGAGAGTCATCAGTTATTCTCTCCTCTGCCCTCCCATACCACCAAGTCCTATAGATTCAATCTCGTAAATGCTTCTAGCATCCATCTGCTTTTTTCCAGCACATGTCCCATCATCATAGTCCAAGACGCAACCATCTCATCTGGATTTCTGCAGTAGCATAACTGTTGCCCCTTTTGCTTCTATCAACTACATGTTTAACACTGTAGGCAGCCTAACCTTTTAAAAATAAAAATACATAATTTATGTTATTTTCCCATTTAAAACACTTGATTTGAAAAATATATTAACTAATCCATTTCAAGGATTTAGCACACACTGGCATATAGTTATTGCTAAATAAATGCTAGCCATTAAGGTAAAGGTTTCCTTACAAACTATCATATTAAGCAGCAAGTAAACCAAACAGTAAGTCTAAGACTAAGATTTTAGAGCAGACAGAAGACTACTCTCCTGGTAGAGAGGAAAGATGAACAAACTCAGAATTGAAAGATTTATGGTACACAAGGTAACATGGTGGCTTATCACTCCCTCTGTGACATTGTTGATGAGCAACTCTCACTTTACCTGACACTGAGAAGTGAGAATCAGCCAATTAGAACAAAAGCTTTTAGCTGGGTGCGGTGGCTCATGCCTGTAGTCCCAGCACTTTGGGAGGCTGAGGCAGGCAGATTGCTTGAGCTCAGGAGTTCGAGACCAACCTGAGCAACATGGTGAAACCCTGTCTCTACAAAAAATACAGAAATTAGCCAGGCGTGGTGGTGCACACCTGTAGTCCTAGCTACTCAGGAGGCTGAAGCAGGAGGATTGCTTGAGCCCAGGAGGTAGAGGTTGCAGTGAGTCATGATCACACCACTGCAATTCCAGCTGGGCAGCAGAGCCAGACACTGTCTCAAGGAAAAACAAAGAACAAAAGCATTTGGTAGAATGTAGGACTAACCAGGGTAGGTAGTAGTAAACCAAAAGTAACAAGCCAAAAAAACTTGAATAGATTAATAGCCATGAAACACTGAAAAGGGTAGTTCAATACTTTGGCCTTTATAAAAGTACCACAGACAATTCGTGTGGTATTTAAATTGTTCTAGCATAAAATAAAATGCAATAAGACCTTCCATCTTGTTCCATGAGATTGACAAGACATGCCAAAACATAAAAATATGTACACTGCAATTAGTTTCTGAATGTAGATGTTACAACTTAAACTTATTTTTAAAATATTTAAAAATAGGAAGGCTAGACATGCCTCTGTATAGAAAATCTGATAAAAATATTTCTCCCTAAATTGTAAATTCATTGATATTCCAGTAAAAATTTCCATATTTTTTTAGTTGAGAAGCTGATTCTGATCATCTGTAGAATTTTGATTTTAACGAGGAATGTAGTTTACATTAGGAATGTAGTACTAATACTAATTGAACATTTGCTAATGTTTCACACACTATTTTAGGTGCTGGGGGATACAGTAAGGTACAAGATGGACAAAAATACGTGCTCTTACAGATCTAGTAGAACAGAAAAAATTAAATGCATGCTATGTGATAAGTATATGATATGTCCCATAAAGAGAAATGATATAAAAAAGAAGCTAGGGAGTGCTGGATCAGGCACCTTACTATCCCCAGAACATGTTGGTATTAGAGGATGAGGGAAGAACTAGAGGTAACTGTGAGACACAAAAGGCATAATGAAAATAGTCATGATAGTCCCAAGGCAGATATTGTTTATGATGCTTTGAGTGTTGGAGGAAGGGAGGATTGATGGTTTAACAGAGATCATGGCAGTTATGTTCACTCATATAAATGTTGATTTAGAAGCTGGTGGAAGGGTATTTTTTGAGTGACAGCTTTATTGAGACAAAGCAATTCTGGAGAACACCCATATCCTTCTCTCTGTATCCATCAGCAGAAGTGAAGAGGGAGCCCCAAAGTTCCACTTAAAGTGTACAACTTATGGCTTTTAGTTCATTCACGGAGTTGTGCAACCATCACCACCATCAATTTTAGAACATTTTCATCACCTCAAAGAGGAATCCCTTGTCCTTTTGTAGTTATGGCCATCCCTGGAAGAGTACTTTTTTTTTTTTTTCAACTGAAGCACCCAGAGCTCTTGGGTTCCCTCTTAACTGCTTTCTGTGGAAGTATAGAGGGCCATGTGAGGGAAGCCGTTATCCAGAGTACATGACTGCTAGAAAATGGAGTTTGGGGCTCCCTCTTCACTTCTGCTGATAGAAGCATAATGGCTAGGGGATGGGTAGTCTCACCAGAGAATGTGGAGCTTTCAGACTCTCCTTATATATGATAAAAAGGATTTTTCATTGTAGTGGGGAAAAGGTGGTTTGATCAAATGGCATTGGGAAACTTAGCTCACTGGAAAAACAGATCTGTACCTTTCACACTAATGAAATGCCTGAGATATTAAAGGTCTAAATGTAAAATTAAAGTACATGAAAAACAGAATAATATATATGTACCCTCGGTTTGAAATAGACTTTAAGCACTAATGCATAACCCCAAAGCTGACATTAGGCTTTTATATGGTGGAAAACATCATAGTCAATAGATAAATGAGAGACTGACACAAAGTGTTTGCAACAGATATAATAAAGGACTGTAATTCGTGATATTCAAAGTACTATTACAAACCAATAATAATCTGCAACTTAGAAAAATGGACTAATGTCCCATTCACAAAAGATGCAATAAAAGCAGTTAATGAAAATTATCCAATATCACTAGAAATCAAGAAATGCAAATTAAAGTGATTATCTACTTTTTCCCCAAAAGACTGACTAATCGAGTGATAACATTCAGTATTGGTGAATGTGTGGAAACAAGGGAATTCCATTGTTGATTACATATCTATTGCTTTATGTATATACCCTTTGAATTAATATTCCTTGGAAACCAACATATACAAAGGTAGATAAATGTATTAGTGGCAAAAAAATTAATGGTAAACTATTAAAACAACAAGTGTCCATCAGGGTAATAAATAAATTAATTATGGTATATATCCATTCAATAGGAATTATGCAGCTGTTGAAAAAAAATCAATGTGTGTAGTCATAGAAAGATAGCTGTGCTATACTAAATGAAAAATTGCAGACCTGTATTGTAGTATAGGCCCATAATTGTGATATCAAAAATAAAAATCAAAATATATATTATAGTAGGCATTTGTTTTTCTCTGCCCAGTTTCCCTTGCCTCCTCCTTTTGGCTGCACTATCTCATCTTTTCCTTTTGAGTAACTGGCCATACCCTACCATATGTTTTTGATGGACGTGGCCAATAAAATTGTCTCTGAATTTCAAAAGGCATTTGGATCTGTGTCATCCAATGGCAACTCCCTAAAAGCTGATGCAGTTATTCTTTTGATTGGTCCTTGGAACCACCCTGGTTTTTGTACTTTCCAAGTCTGTGATTCCTCAAACTACCCATTGTCTTTCCGGTACTTGATTTTTGCCTCCTGTTGGTCAGTTGCTTGCAAGTAAAGAAACAATCATACAGAATTTGGTACGAAGATTGGGTAATGGGCATTAGAATCTTTGGAAAAATCAGGTATTGGGAGTTGCTTTTTGGATGAGATGGGGCGAATAAGACTTATATTCTAGACTGGAAAGCATCTCATGGTGTGCGATGAGCAAACGCCTGATTATTCATTATAGTCACCTGGGATGAATAGAGGTCTAGGGTTCTGGATAATGATAATTTAAGGAGGATGGAGAATGCTGAATCCAAAAGGTATATGTAATACTGGTATCTAACTGCTTGGAATAACTTAAAGTTTAGCTCTTGAATTTCTAGCATTAAGGCAAAAAAAATTCACCTAAGGGATTTTGTATGATATTGTTGAAAGATGTCTTACATTGTTTAAAGTCATAGGGTTAAGATGGCTCATAACCAAATTTAGAGACTATTTTTATGCATTGTTAAAGTGGAATGCTGGTTAAATTTTATACTTTATTCACAAGAGTCACTGTGAATTGAATTGTGAATTCAGTTCTGAATTGTGTTCCCACCAGCACCACCAAATGCTGGCCTCTACCACCACCAAATTTACTTGTTGAAGTCCTAAACCCCAACATGACTGTATTTGGACATAAGGCCTTTAAGAAACTAAGGTTAAGTTAGGCCATAAGAGTGAGGCCCTAATCCCATAGGACTAGTGTCCTTATAAGAGGAAGAGACACCAGAGGTTTGTCTCTCCACATGTGCACAGAGGAAATGCTGTGTAAGGACACAACAAGAATGCTGCCATCTGCAAGCCAGGAGGAGAGACCTCACCAGGAACCAGCCCTGCCAGCACCTTGATCTTGGACTTTTAATCTCCAGGACTGTGAGAAAATAAATGTTGGTTGTTTAAGCCACCCAGTCTGTGGTATATTGTTACGGCAGCCTGAACTGATTAATGCAATTACCATATAATTTATTGTTCAAACTGGGACATTTTTGAGAGTGAAAGGAGTAGCTAACTGCACAGGGCACTTGACAACAGGTGTTCATATCCTCAGCAAAGCAGGATATATGGTCATACTTCTTGTGTAACAGAATATTGAACAGAAAAAAATATAGCTCTACTATTGGAAAGGTGATATTGGAGATGAGCCAAAGGATTGGAATATACTGAACTTCCGGATTCGTGTGATATACCACCTATTAACATCTGTTTGCATAGGTACATATGGCTGTTCTGAAGAGACAGCTAACAGTTCATCTTATTCCCCCATTCCATTGTTGCTCACATGGAATAACAAAGTGAATTTAACATGACCATAACATTAAATGCAAAAATCAGGCTGAGCACAGTGGCTCATGCCTGTAATCCTAGCACTTTGGGAGGCCCAGGCAGGAGGATCATTTGAGACCAGCCTGGGCAATGTAGCATGACCCTATCCCATATCTAAAAAAAAATTAAATTTTCCAGTCATGGTGGCACCTAGCTACTCGGGAGGCTGAGGTGGGAGGATTGCTTGAGCCCAGGAGTTCGAGGCTGCAGTGAGCCATGATCACACCATTGCAATCCAGCTTGGGTGACAAAGCCAGACCCTGTTTGAAAAATAGATAAATAAAATCATACATATGTACAAAATTAAAATAGGGCAAAGAGTAACTGTATCTTAGAAGAATTTTCGGCAGTTAGTTTACTAGTGTAGATTAAGAAAAATCTAGGGCATTTGTGGAAGTGAAATTTGAGGAGGCTGAATATATTGACAAAGTAGCTTGAGTAGCCTGCCATGGTTCTAAGAATTTGTTGAACTCATCCATGTACCAAATGCTGGCCGCTAATAAATTACATTATAAGGCCAGAAATCTCTTAACATAATGTAAAGGATGTTGTTCAGACTTCAAAAGGCAGGATTGCTGGATTGGTTCTTGTGTTGCAACATCAGGTCTCCTGACAAGAGTCCAGAAACCTATACATTCATTCTTCCCGTGAGAAAAACACCATTTGTCTAATGGATTTTAAAACCATTACACCGACTCTCTGGCAGATCAAGAATGCTATGTAGAGAGGTTGTAACTGAAGGAGCATCTCTGATCAAAAGACTAATTGAAATGGGAATGACACCAAACTGCCCCACCAGGTGAGCCTCCTCTGGGACTAATGTGACTTCAGAGAGAGCCTTTAACTCAGCATGGCCTGAGAGTCCTTGGGCAGATTGGGGCCTTGGGGAGGTTTTTTGGGGCTCCTGGTGGCAGAAGCAAAGAACAATTTAAAAATAAGGTTTAAAAAATTCTACCTACAATAGCATCAAAAGGAATTAAATACTTAGGAATCAACAAAAGTACAAAAGTTAGATTCTGAAAACTATAAAATATTGTTGAAAGAAAATCCCATATTTATGCATTGGAAGGCTTAATATTATTAAGATGGCAATGCTTCCCAACATTATCTACATGTTCAATGCAATCTAATTTCCTTTTTGTGGGAATTGATAAGCTGATCCTAAAATTCATATGGAAGCACAAGGGACTCAGAATAGCCAAAACAATATTTAAAAAGCAAAACAAAGCTGGAGAGTCACACTTTCCAATTTTAAATCAAAACTGTAGTAACCAAGACTATGCAGTACTGGCATAAGGATAGTTATAGAGATCAATGGAATAGAAATTAAGGTCCAGAAATAAACCCATACATTTATGCTCAATTGATTTTCAACAAGGATGTCAAAACAATTTAATGTGGGATAAGAAGAGTTGTTTCAGCCGGGCGCGGTGACTCACGCCTGTGATCCTAGAACTTTGGGAGGCTGAGGCAGGTGGATTGCCTGAGCTCAGGAGTTTGAGACCAGCCTGGAGAATATGGTGAAACCCAGTCTCTACTAAAAATGCAAAAAATTAGCCGGCTGTGGTGGCGTGCACCTGTAATCCCAGCTACTCGGGAGGCTGAGACAGGAGAATTGCTTGAACTCGGGAGGCAGAGGTTGCAGTGAGCCGAGATCGCGCCATTGCACTCCAGCCTGGGTGACAGAGTGAGACTCTGTCTCAAAAAAAAAAAAAAAGGAAAGTCATTTCAACAAATAATGGTGGGATCACTGGATATCTACTTGCAAAAGAATGAATTTGGGGCTGGGCGCAGTGGCTCACGCCTGTAATCCCAGCACTTTGAGAGGCCGTGGCGGGCGGATCATGAGGTCAGATTGAGACCATCCTGGCTAACACGGTGAAATTCCGTCTCTACTAAAAATACAAAAAATTGGCCGGGTGTAGTGGTGCGTGCCTGTAATACCAGCTACTCGGGAGGCTGAGGCAGGAGAATGGCATGAACCTGGGAGGCAGAGCTTGCAGTGAGCCAAGATTGTGCCGCTGCATTCCAGCCTGGGCGACAGAGCAAGACTGTCTCAAAAAAAAAAAAAAAAAAAAGAAAGATTGAATTTGGACCCCTACCTCACACTATATATGAAAATGAATGCAAATAGATCAAATATCTAAATGCAATAACCGAAATCGTAAAACTCTTAGAAGAAACATAGTGGTATATATTCATGACCTTGGATTTGGAAATAGTTTCATAGATATAACTGTCAAAGTACAAGCAACAAAAGCAAAACAAGTTGGACTATTATCAGAATTAAAAACATCTATGCTTCAAGGCTGGGCATGGTACCTCATGCCTGTAATCCCAGGAATTTGGGAGGCTAAGGTGAGAGGATCACTTGAGGAAAAGTTTGAGACTAGCCTGGGCAACATAGTGAGATCTAGTCTCTACAAAAAAAAAAAAATTAATAGATGAGTTGGTGCATGCCTGTAATCCCAGCTACTCGAGAGGCTGAGGTGAGAAGATTGCTTGAGCCTGGGAGATCAAGGCTTCAGTGAGCTGTGATCGCACCACCACACATCAGCCCAGGTGACAGAGCAAGACACTGTCTTAAAAACAAAAAAACAAAAAAATCTATGCTTCAGAAGACACCATCGAGAAAGTGAAACAATTCACAAAATGAGAGAAGATATTTGCAAATCATTTATCTGTAAAGGACATGAATCCAGAATTACAACTTAACAATAACAAGACAAATAACCCAATTAAAAATAGGCAAAAGGTTTGAATAGACATTTATCCAAAGAAAATATATGAATGAAAAACAAGTATATGAAAAGATGCTCAACATCACTCGCCATTAGGGAAATGTGTATCAAAACCACGATGATCTGCCCCCTGAAAGGGCCAGACAGGGGAAGGAATGCTGCGGTGGGGTTTTGTCATCCTGAGGATGGATAGGTGACAGAGCCTTCCCAATGTTCTCACTCTCCAATGACAGCTGGAAATGCAGTGTTTTGTTTTGTGAAAATGAAGGCAGATGAGTCATGAGAAGAATGGGCTAAAAATCCTGTAACGTGTGCGCACATATTTATTCCATCTTTATTTTGTTCTAACAAAACACCTTGTATAAAGGAACCAGCCACGTATTCCTTTGTTCCCACTGAAAGAGTTTTTTCTTTATTAAAAAGAAGTGCACACATATTGATCTACTTTAAGCACACACACATCGATCTTTACATTCAATGTAATTCAAAAAAAATCAAAGTAAGATTTTTAATTGACGATTGTAGACTGATTCTGTTACCACAACTGGACTGGGAGTTCTTTGGCTCTCATGTAAGTAGAAATTAACATCATGCCAAACAGAAATTTTCTCAGGCAAGGTTTAAGAGGCTTGAAGCTCAAGCTATGCAAAGTCACTTCCACATTTTTCGGTATCTTTTCAGCAGCACCCCACTCTACTGGTACCAATTTACTGTATTAGTCTGTTTTCATGCTGCTGATAAAGGCATACCCAAGACTGGGGAGAAAAAGAGGTTTAATTAGATTTACAGTACCACATGGCTGAGGAGACCTCAGAATCATGGTGGGAGGTGAAAGGCACTTCTTACATGGTGGCGGCAAGAGAAAATGTGAAAGAAGCAAAAGCGGAACCCCCGATAAACCCATCAGTTCTTGTGAGACTTATTCACTATCACGAGAATAGCATGGGAAAGACCATGCCCCATGATTCAGTTACCTCCCTCTGGGTCCTTCCCACAACACGTGGGAATCCTGGGAGGTACAATTCAAGTTGAGCTTTGGTTGGGGACACAGCCAAACCATATCACTATCCTTTGGGAAACATAAAGTTAGGTTGCCAACTTTATAGCACTTCCCAGTTTAAATTGTAGGAGGACAAGTTCCCTTTTTTTTTTTTTTGAGATGGAGTCTCGCTCTGTCACCCAGGCTGGAGTGCAGTGGCGCGATCTCAGCTCACTGCAAGCCCCACCTCCCGGGTTCATGCCATTCTCCTGCCTCAGCCTTCCGAGTAGCTGGGACTACAGGCGCCCACCACCATGCCCGGCTAATTTTTTGTATTTTTAGTAGAGATGGGGTTTCACTGTGTAAGCCAGGATGGTCTCGATCTCCTTGCCTTATGATCCACCCACCTCGCCCTCCCAAAGTGCTGGGATTACAGGCGTGAGCCACCAGGCCTGGCCGACAAGTTCCCATTTCTTACTAAAGAGAAGTCTTGGCAATAACTGAACAATGTCTCTGGCAGTTTACCCCAGAAGGACAAACTTTGACTTTTACAGGAAGCTGGCCAGGAGTGACATAGGAGCCATCTGTTAAGTTGAAGGAATTGACATTTCTAGATCACGGTGGAAAAACTCCCACCACCCACCCAATGTGGCCTTCACACTGACATGTTTGTTGTGTTCCTTGTATCCAAGGAGCCTGGAACTCAGAATGCATGTACCTCATGGAACATTAAGGAACAGTCTTCATAAGGGCATAAGGGCTGCTGTCCTTGTGACTAAGCACTATTAATACAGTGCCCAAACAGGGACAGTCTGAGTTACACGCAATTTAGAGTCACTCAAATTGATCCCTCAGTTTTTGATTAATAGCATATTGGTGTTTTAAATAAAGTATTTTCAGAAGAGTACAAAGGGCTTTAATTAAATCTGAGTAATTTTAAAGGAAATATATGATCAAAAAAGAGGAAAAATGTGCCTCAAAATAGACATAAATGGCTTAAATGAATGCTAAAACTGAAAATCAAAATAATTTAGAATGCACATACTAATTTGGAAACAGGTAAAACAGACATAAGAGTTTTATTTGTAGGGGGAGGGTCTGTAAAGTTAATTATGTGAACTTCTGCGTTGTAACTATGTATTTTTACAATCTACTCTTTGACTATTTCCTTCTTTGGGGAACAATGATTTAGATATCCTGAAAATGCCACATCAGTAAGTTGAACAAGAAGAACGGGAGCTTTAAGAACAAGATTCAAGATGAAACAACACAAGTGTTGAATATTTTATAAATAGCTAAAGGCAGAAAACGTTGCCAATTATCTCAGACTTCCAGAAAGTGAAAACAAACAAACAAACAAACTAAAGTCTTAATTGAAAAGAAGAAAGAAAGACATGAAGAAAGAAATAGAGAATGCATGTTGAGAGTGGGGACAGGTAAGTACCAGCTGGACTCTTACCCTGGGCTGTTGGTCCTGAGGATGCGGTATAGGTTCAGCCTAGGCACTGGCTCCACCCCTTGAAATAGTTTGGATATTTGTCCCTGCCCAAAATCTCATGTTAGATTGTAATCCCCAGTGCTGGAGATGGGGCCTGGTGGGAGGTGTTTGGATCATGGGGCAGGTCCCTCATGGCACGGTGCTGTCTTCTCGATAATGAGTGAGTTCTTGTGAGATTAGGTCCTTTAAAAATGTGTGGCACATTTCGCCCCTTCTGTCTTGCTCATGTGTTTTTGCCATGTGATGTGCGGCTCCCCTTTCACCTTTTGCCATGATTGTAAGCCTCCTGTGGCCTCCCCAGAAGTCAAGCAAATGCCAATGTCATGTTTGCTGTACAGCCTGCAGAACTGTGAGCCAATTAAACCTCTTTTCCTTATAAATTACCAGGTATTTCTTTACAGTAATGCAAGAATGGCCTAATACACTCCTCAAGGACCTCATCTCTGAGAGATCACACAGTTCTTAAATCAGAGGGGCAGTTCGTTGCTGAATCCAGGAAGACAGGCCCCAGGTCCAGGTTCTGGAATGAGTCCTGGAGGCAGTAAAGGGTCTGCTTGCCTGGTGGGGAATATTCAGAGGGCATCACTGAGGAGGGGGCCCACTCTCTGAGCAGGTGAGGACCAGCAGCCAGAGCTCCCACCAGCCCACAGGGGCAAGGAGGGAGGCCACCTTGGGCAAAGGAGATGAAGGAAAAGGAGGTGAGGGTGCTGAATGAAGGCTGCGGTCCTGTCCTCTGCCTCACCCCCAAAACCCAGAGGTCAGCCTCCAGCCCCTCACACTCCACAGAGAGGCCTTGGGAGGCTTGATGGAAACCCACTGAGTACTGAGCTCCAGGTCCCAGGAGAGCTTATAGCCACCCCCAAGTCACCACCACCTGCTGCTCTGGTAGGGGCCCTGGCTTCTGCCTCCAGGAACCCCTAACAAGCCTCCTCAAGGCCCCCAACAACCTGCGCAAGGACTCTCGGGAAATGCTGAGTTAAAGGCTCTCTGAGGTCACACTAGTCCCAGAGGAGGCTCACCTGTCAGGGGAGGTTGGTGCCATGGTCTGGAGGCTCTGGGTTGAGGATGAGCATTGGAGTTGTGGGGCCCAGGGAGGCCAGGCAAGCCCCCATTCAGGAGGAGGTAGAGACTGAACCCCCCTCACAGACCCAGGAAACAAAGACCACCATCCTTGGGTGTCCAAGTTCCGGGATCTCTGGATCACGGACATTCAGCTGCTGGCTCAGAGGCGGGAGGAGAGAGGGGCAGAGACCAGAACTCAGAGAGGACTTCAGGGGATCCCCCAAGACTGCCCCCTTTTCAAATCTGAGCCTGCTCCTGCCCGCTCACTGGGAGAGGTGAGAGGGTCCCATTCCAGCTCAGCTCGTGGAGTGAGAGGCCCACACTCCATCCCTTGTGCCCTCCCTAGAACCAATTCCGTACCTGGCACATGCACTGACAGCCCGTTAATTCAGTCACATCATCTGACAGTAGGTCCTCTCTTTACCTGAACGTAGCACCTCCCTGTATCCCCCATCTAGGCATCTCTGATGCTCAGGGAGCAGTTATAGGTTTGGGGGTGCCCCAGGAAGGCAAATGGGCTCTGGGTCTCCTCCTACATTTTGTGGGGAGGGTCATTGTGGCCACTGGATCATTCAAATTAAAAACGTGGACTCGGCACCCCTGAGCTGGAAAAACGTCAGACAGGACATTCTGGGGGAGGTTAGAGGCACAGGGCATCAGGACACACAGGCCCTCCTGCACCTACACTGAATTCCTTCACTCACAGCTGGAATCGTGGATCCTGAGCCAGGCACTCTGGAAGAAACATCTGGGGAGGAATAGCTGTGGTTGGTTCCAAAGGACCAACAACCTGGGGCCCCAACAACCCCTCCCTTCTGAACCTCCCTTGGGATCACTCACACTCCCTGCATCCCCACACACACATAAAGCAGAGGCCACAGCAGCAGCTCAGTGGCATCTCTATGCTGGAGAACCAGGCCCACCCCCATACCATCCAGTTCCTCTTTTGGGGAAGAAAGAGGAAAAGCCCCACTGGAAGCCACTGGGAAGGGTCAGGATGGCGATTGAACCCAGAAGGGAAACTTCAGATACACAGTCCTTGGAAATCAAAGAAGATCTAAATAAATTGAGAGAGATTCCATGTTCATGGGTAGGATGACTTGGTATTGTTCAGATGTCAGTGCTTCCTAACTAATCTATAGACTCAACCAATCCCAATCAAAATCCCAGCAAGTTATTCTGTGGATATTGAGAAAGTGATTATAAAGTTTATATGAAAAGACAAACATGCTCAGAATAGCCAACACAATACTAGAGAAGAACAGAGTTGGAGAGCGGATACTACTCGACTTCAAGACAGAGCTATTGTAATCAAGACAGTGTAGTGTTGCCTAAAGAATAGAGAAGGAGCAATGGACCAGAATAGAGATCCCAGAAATAGAACCACATGAATATAGTCAGCTGATCTTTGTCAAAGAAGCAAAGGCAACTTAATGGGGAAAGAACAGTCTTTTCAACAAACAGTGCTGGAACAATGGGATGTCCACATGGAAAAAACAGACACATTTTTCACAAAATTAACTTAAAATGGATCATAGATTTAAATGTAAAAATGCAAAATTATAAAACTCCTAGAAAGTAACAGGAGAAAATCTAGGTGACCTTTGGTTTAGCAATGAGTTTTTAAATACAAGATTGAAAAGCACAATCCAAAATAATTTAAAAAAAGAAAAAAAAAGCACAATACATGAAAGAAAAAAATTTATAAGTTGTTCATTAAAATTAAAAACTACTCTGTGGGCCGGGTGCAGTGGCTCACACCTGTAGTCCCAGAACTTTGGGAGGCTGGAGGCGGGTGGATTACCTGAGGCCAGGAGTTCGAGACCAGCCTGGCCAACATGGTGAAACCCTATCTCTACTAAAAATACAAAAAATTAGCCAGGTGTGGTAGCAGGTGCCTGTAATCCCAGCTACTCGGGAGGCTGAGGTGAAAGAATCGCTTGAACCCGGGAGGTGGAGGTTGCAGTGAGTTGAGATCGTGCCACTGCACTTCAGCCTGAGCGACAGAGGGAGACTCTGTCTCAAAACACAACAAAACAAAAAACAAACAAAAACTTCTCTGTGAAAAAATACTGTTAGACTTAAAAGACAAACCACCATTGGGAGGACATGTTTTCAAAACACATAGCTGCTAAAGGACTTACATACAAAATATACAAAGATCTCATAAAACTCAACAATAAGAAAGCAATGCACTTGAAAAATGGGCAAAAGATCTAACAAAAACTGCAAAGAGGATATACAGATGGTAAATAAGCATGGAAAAAGATGCTTACCATCATATTACCATCATATGTCATTAGGGAATTGCAAATTAAAGCAACAAGATATGACTACACACTTATTAGAATGACTAAAATCCAAAAAGAACTTTCAATATCAAATGGTGGCAAGATTGTGGACAGCAGTTCTCATTCATTGCTGTGGGTATGCACTTTGGAAAACAGTTTGGTGATTTCTTACAAAGCTAAACATACCCTTGCCATATGATCTAGCAATCACACTCCTGGGTATCTGGCTAGGATTTGGAAAAACTGCTCTCATAAATTGATGCCAGGAATGTAAAATGGTACAGCCACTCTGGAAAACAGTTTGACAGTTTGTTAAGAAGAAAACTAAACATACTATATGACCTAGTAATTACATTACTGAGCATTTATCCCAGAGAAATGAAGAGTTATGTTCACACAAAATCCTGTAATAAGAAAACAATTACCAGTGGGAAGAGGCAGCTTACTAATTGGGAGGAAATATTTGCAAACCATATATCTGATAAGGGGTTAATATTCAAAATATATAAGGAACTCCTTCAGCTCAATTACACTAAAAAACAAATTACCCGATTTAAAAATGGGCAAATGACTTAAGTAGACATTTTCCCAAAGAAGACATATAGATAGCCAACAAGTATATGAAATGATGCTCAAACATCACTGATTATCAGGGAAATGCAAATCAAAACCACAGCAAGATATTACTTCATCCCAGTTACAATGGCTATTCTCAAAAAAAAACAAACAAACATAACGTGTTAGGCTGTGGAGAAATTGGAACCCTTGTTTACTGTTGGTGGGAATGCAAAGTAGTGGTGCTTCTTGGAAAACAGTTTGGAGATTCCTCAAGAAATTAGAAGTAGAACTACCATATATTCCTGCAATCCCCATCTGGGTATATGGCCAAGGAATTGAAACTAGGATCTCAAGGAGATCTCCAGGAGGTTGCAATGAATAATGCACTTCCATGTTCATTACAGCATTATTTACAATAGCCAAGAGATGAAGACAATGTACATGTCCATTGACAGATGGACAGATAAAAAAAGTGACACACACAGACACATACACACACAATGGCATATTTTTAAGCCCTAGAAAAAGAAATCCTGTCATATGCGACAACATGGATAAACTTTGAGTACATTATGCTAAGTAAAAGAAGCCAGTCACAGGACAAATACTTTATGATTCCACTTACATGTGGAATCTAAAATAGTCAACCTCATAGAAACAGAAATTAGAATGGTGGTTTCCAGGGGCTGGGGGAGGTGAGAAGACGTTACTCAACGAGTATAAAGTTTCTGTTATGCAAGATAATTAAGTTCTCTCTATACAGCAACTTGAATATATCTCCAGAGAATTGTGCTGAATGAAAAAAGCCAATTCCACCATTCACATACTGTATGATTCCATTTGTATAACATTCTTGAAATGACACAATTGTATATATGGAGGATAGACTAATGATCGAGTCTGGAGGAAAGTGAGTGTGGCTATAAAAGGGCAAGATGAAGGATCCTTGTGGAAATATCGGAAGAGATCCTTGTGATGGAAATGTTCTGTCTCTTGAATGGACCGACGTCAGTATCCTACTTGTGATATTGCAAGATGTTGCCCTTGGGTGAAATTACCTAAGAGACATAGGTCTCTCTGTATGATTTCTATATTATGTTTTACAACCTGACGTGAATAAATCCACATTTATCTCAGAATAAAATATTTCATTTAAATACATCATTAATCACCACCTAAGGCTAGCTGCTGTTGATGGTTTTGTGGCCACTTGGACATTCAGCAAATGTTTTTAAACTTGGCTTTGTGGTTTACTATAGAAAAGGGTCTCAGCCAGGCATCTGGTTCCTACCTTTCCTCTTGTGTAAGCTCCCCTGTCTGTATTACCCAACTAATCTGGAAAGTAGCTTGGCTGTGAAGATTGTTTATAAATCATAAAATGTGGAGACCAGGGGTCAGAACAAAGGAAACTCACAACAAGGATTAATGCTTTTTTTCTTATATCTAAAGATATAGGGAATTGACATTTAAAGATCTAGTTGTTTTTTATTTGCAATTCTAGAATCCAGCCACACCTCCTTCTATAAAATAGAACTAGTGTTCTGGTGATCCAAGCAGAGGAATATGGCTTCATACACAGAAACGGGCTGAGGAAAGCAGAAACAGAGAACAAGAGTGGATGGGTCATTTCAAAGTTACTTTCCCTATCATGGTTAAAGCAAAGGGGATTTCTTTTATCATGCCTGCTAAACTGGCCTGTTTGGGACTTGGCTATTATCTCTCTCTTTCTCTCCTGAGAGGAGGTCAGGTAACAACTTAGTTGGAGTTGGTGGCCTGGAACTTCAGCATGAGTAGCTCCATTTCGATTTGATCTGTTGGGCCTAGTGCAGGAACTCAGTCCAAACCGATAGTCTCCTATACATTTTATTCTACACCTATGCTCATTTTCTTCTTTGCACATCTGTATGCTTAAAAAGTGTTCTTTAAAGATAAGCATGATTATCAGGTTTAAAGTTGCCTGGGATGGTCCCTCAGGCCAGTCCATTGGCTGGACTGCAGAAATGTCTGCAGCAGATGTGACACGCCTCTTTTATCCCCCTCATTTCTCTGCCTCCACCCATCCCTTGTCCTTTTCTGTTTTCCTTCCTCCCTCCTCCCTCTCCTTACCCATTCTTTCCTCTCTTCAGCCTGTCCTGCCCTCCCCAACTCGACTTCCTCTTTCTTTCCTCCTTTTCCCACCCTTTTCTTCTTCCTTATAGTCCTTTCCACCTTCTCATCCCCCTTTCCACCCTTTCTTCCTTCTCCTCCTTGCCGTCTCCATTCTCTTCCTTTCCTGCCTCCCTGCCCCTCCCTCCTCCCACCCGCTCCCTCTTCTTTCTGTTGGTTCCTCTCCTCTCTGACCTGTTCTTTTCCCTTAGTCTCTCCCCAGCCCTTCCTCCTTCCCCTCCATCCTTCTTCCAACCCCTCCTCCTTCTCCATCTCTTCTTCTTCCTCCCCAGCTCTCCTCCCCAAGTCCCTCTCCATCCTCTCTCTTCTCCCCGCTCCTCCCCATCCCTCCTCCCCTTCCATCCTTCTTCCCACCTCTCCTACTTCTTTTCTCCCTCCTCCCCCCTTCCCTCCTGTCCCTCCTCCTCGCCCCTCCTTTCCCTCCGTCTTTCTTTCCACCCTTCCTCCCTCCGTCTCTTCTCTCTCCTTCCCTTTCCCTGCCTCCTCCCCCTCAATCCTCCCTCTCGCCCCAGCCTCCTTGGCCGCGGAGTCCTCTGTGAGATGGAGGAGCTCAGTTGGCTCCGCTCGGCTCCACTCGGCTGGGCTCGGCTGAAAAAAGCCGGGGGGAGGTGGCGCGCGCGGGTTTCTGGGAAGCGTAGTCCGGCGCAGTCCGCGCAGGCGCACTGCCGTCGGGCGGGCCTAGCGGGCGCGGTCATTGTCCTGGCAGAGCGGCGAGCCGGTGAGTGTGGCTGCGGGGTCGCGCCCACCCTCTACCTGTGCCGGGGGCCGGAACCTGGCCCCGGGGAGGGCGCGGCCTCGGGGAGACGGCGTGCAGGCCCAGGTACGGGGAGTGCAGGGCTGGGTGCTGGTCCAGGGCGTGCGGGCGCAGGAGAGGGCGTGCAGGCCGGGACCGAGGTGCGCCTGGAGAGGCTGAGCGGCCGAGGAGAGGCTGAGGGGAAGCTGAGGGGCTAAGGAGAGGCTGACTGGAGGCTGAGGGGCTGAGGAGAGGCCGGGGCCAGGGAGGGAGAGGCGTGAGTGGGTTGGAGGTAGGAAAGTTGCATGAACACGAGGGCCATCCTGGGGGGAAGGTGGCCTGTGTGAGAGACAGGCAGTGCATATCATCCTGAGGATGAGGCTGTGTCTTTGTGGATATTGTGAATGTGTCTGTGTGTGTGTCTGTGTGGGTCTGTATGTGTGTGTGAGACAGATTGTGTCGTCCTGAGGGTATGGCTGTGTCTCTGGATATTGTGATTGTGTGTGTGTGTTTGTGTGTGTGTGTGTGTGTGTGTGTGTGTGTGTGTATGAGACAGAGAGAGAAACTGCGTGTCGTCCAGAGGCTGGGTCTGTGAATGAATGTGAATGTGTCCATGTATGTCCGTGTGGGTCATGTGTGGTAGCGTGTGTGTGTGTGTGTCCCACTTCTTCAGAGTCTTGGTCTCTCTGTGGAGCTGTGTCTCTCCAGGTCTCTGCCTATGCATGTGTGGTGATATCTCTGAGTGACTGCCTGTGTCCTTGTCTTTGGTGTTGTGGGTGTGTCAGCCTTGATCTCTGTCCATGAGTGTCTCTGTGGGAGGGTGCCCTCTGGGTGTCCACTATGTCTGCTCTTTCCATGCATGTCTCTTGGCATGAGTGTAGGGCTGTGTCTTTCCAGGGGCCAGTCCTGTCTGGATCTTTCCTATCTCTGTGTGTCCACCTGTGTCTAGAGTATTTCTTGATGTTTGCGTGTGACTCTGCAGGGGTGGGTGCGTCTGGGTGTGCCTCTTCCAAAGACTATATGCCTGGACAAGGGAGCCTAGCAGAGCCACTACCTTCTCACCCTACGCTTCTCCTAGTCTGCCTGCCCACAGTTCCCTGGCTTTTTCCTGCCCATAGAAGGCTCTGGAGGCGTAGGGGCCTGGGAGTGACAGGGGCCGGGTGGAGGAGGGGAAAAGGAAGGCTGTTTCTTCTGCCTCCCACAGGATCTTCTTAAAGTGGGATCAGACTCCCAAAGGGTCTCTGTGCCCTACTCTGTTCTGACCAAGGAGAGGTTGATTTGTTCAGGGAATGTGTATGCAGCCAGTGCTGGCCATTTATAGATGTCCCAGTAACTCTGAGGTAGAGACCATCATCATCCTTATCTTACAGATGGGGAAACTGAGTCTCAGACTAAGTGACTCACCCAAGGCTACCTCAGGCATCCAGGTTCCAGAGCCCCCACAATTAACCACCAGACAAATGGGAGATCCCTTTTTTCCCTTTCCGCTCAGCTGACACAAGGTTGCAGGATTTTCCCCGAGGGAATCCCCGCTTGGAAACAATGGAAATGGAAGAAAGGAAGGAAATGCCAAAAAGCTCAGAGGAAGAAGAATCCAGATCTAAGGCCAAACTGGGTTCAACAGCCACTGGCCATACTCTTGGGCAAGTCACTTCCAGGGCCGCTGCATGATTTTTAAGGGTACTTTGCCTTCATGGGCCCCTTGCTCCATTGTTTTTTTAAAGCACTAAAAATTACATTTTGTTATTTCATTAATAGGAAGACAAATGTAATCTAGGCTGGATTAGATATTTTCTTATGATTTTAAAAGAAATTAAGACCTTCCTATGGGCCCCTAAAGGTTTCATGGGCCCCATGCTCTGTGCCTACTGGGTAAGTGGGCTCTGGTCACTGCTGTGATCTGGCAAAATGGGCCAGTGTTCTTGACCTCACAGGACAGGGGTGAAAGAGACCACTATCTGCAAGGAATTTTTTTTTATATTAAATTGTGTTTCAAAAATGTTGATGGTAATATGAAGTTTCTACACCCAGGGAAACAATTCAAAGGAAGAGAAAGAAAAAATAATTAATAACTTCTACCCCCTTCTCATTCCCACTCCATGCCCTCCAGACACCAACCCAGCCTCATTCCACAGCCTTCCCCAGGCTGGAAGATGCTGTACAGATGTGTCCACATCCACATGTTTTGGTTTGTTTTTTCACAAAGGGGCTAAAGGTATGCATAAAACTGGGTAACTTGCTTTTCTCACTTAGTGAAACCACAGACATGTCAACAGATGCAGAACTAACTCTGCTTCGCAGAGGCGACCTGATACTTCATACTATGGAGACCCTACCCTCGATTTGATTCCTTTAGTAATGTTTATTAATTTTGTTTTCAGGGTTTTTTTTTGCCTCTAGAAACAATGCTGCCATAAATATCTTTTTTTCCTATATGTAACTTTTACACGGAGCTTTTATTGGTGTGGGCAGATTCCCAGGAACAGGGTTGCTGGGTTATGGGATTTGTGTATTGCCAGCTCACTTTCCAGAAAAATGTTGAGCGACTCACATTCCCTCACCAGTGTGTGAGAGGGCCTGTTCCTTTCAATCCTGGCCAGCACTAGAAGTTAGCTCATCTGTTCATTCAGCTTGATGTCTAAGTGCCTCCTGTGTGTTAGACGTTGTCCTAGATGTCGGAAATACAATCTGAAAGTGATCATCCCTGCTCCCTGGGGGCTTCTGTTCTCATGGAGGGAAGACAGATGACAAACTTGAAAACAACTATTTTAAAAAAGACAGTTGTCAATAGTGGTTTGTACTGCAAGAAAATAGAGGGGGAGAGAGTTGCTGCTTGAGGTCAGGTGATTGGGGGTAGAGGACTTCTCCAAGGAGGTGACGTTGGAGCTGACCAGGAAGCAGGGGTAGTCATGGGAAGAGCATTCCCTCCAGAGGGAACAGCAGATGCAGAGGCCAGGAGGCCTGGGGCCAAGCATGGGAGAGGGGAGTAGAGGAGATGGAAGGGGAGAGGCCATCAGGGGCACATCATAAGGGCTATGTGGGCAGCAGTGAAGACTTTGAGTGATTTCTAATGGTGGGGGAAGCCAACGAAGAGTTTTGAAGAGTTTTAGCCCAGAGGACATTTTCACTGAGTGATTACAGTTGGCCAGGTGTGGTGCCCGGGTACAGGCATTAAGTGGTAGGAACCCCCAGCCCACACCTTTGTGATCCTTTTGTTCTACAACAGGGCTTCTCAACCTCCACACTACTGACCTTTGGGCCTGATCATTCTTTGTTGTGGGGCCTGTCGCGTGCATCGTACAGTGTGTAGCAGCATCCCCAGTCTCTACCAACTAAACGCCCATAGCACTCCCCTGCCAAATTATGACAGTTTGGCAAATGTCTCTAGACGTTGACAAATGTCTCCGGGGGCAGAATTGTTCCCGATTGAGTTCCAAAGGCTTCTGCCAACTTGGCCTTATATATATGCCCCCCTACAATTAAAATTACTTTTCACTTGTGGAAGTTGGGGCCATTTGGCCTAAGAAAGGCTCTTCTTTGTCTTAGTGGTTCTTACGCTTTAAGACGTGTCAGAATCACCTGGGAAACTTGCTTAGAAATACCGATTCAGGGGCCCTACCCAGGTAGTTTGATTCAGAGGATCTGAGGTGGGGGGCAGGAATATATATTCTGAGTGAGATTTTAATAAGCATCCCCAGTGATTCTGGTACTTTGAGAATTGGTGCACCAGCTACAAGAGCATTGTGTTGGAGAGGATTGAGGCTTTTCTGGGTGATCTTGAAGGGTTGGAGATGTAGAGAGGCATGTTTCTGTTTATAGCAGAAGAAAAACTCATTTCCAGTCAGAGGTGTTGGTGGCACGGGTAGTGAGCCCCCATCACGGGAGAAGCCAGGACTGAGCCAGCATGTCTCAGACTCCAAGAATTTGTCCTCATCTGTGTCATGGATCCTATTTTTTTACTTTGCCATTTACTTGATTTGGCTCACTGATTTTTTTTTTGTTTTTAATTTAAATCAACTTAGTTTAAAAGGGTATTCTGTGTGACTGCTGTAAAAGAAGCTGAGTTTTGCTGTAAGAAGGGAAACAAACTTTAAAACAAATTGAAGTAAAGCCAGGTAGTTCTAATGAGATATTATGGTCACCCTAACTTTGGGGCCTGAACCCTGCTTTTCTTTTTAATTTTAATTTTTAATTTTTCTGGGTGTGTAGTGGGTTTATATATTTATGGAGTACATGAGATATTTTGATACGGGCATACAATGTGTAATAATCACATCAGGATAAATGGGGTATCTGTCACCTCAAGGATTTATCCTTTGTGTTACAAACAATCTGATTACATTTTTAGTGTTTTGTTTTTTTTTTTTTTTGAGATGGAGTCTCGCTCTGTCACCCAGGCTGGAGTGCAGTGTTGCCATCTCAGCTCACTGCAAGCTCCGCCTCCTGGGTTCATGCCATTCTCCTTCCTCAGCCTCCCGAGTAGCTGGGATTACAGGCACCTGCCACCACACCCGGCTAATTTTTTGTATTTTTGGTAGAGACGGGGTTTCACCGTGGTCTTGATCTCCTGACCTCGTGATCCGCCCGCCTCGGCCTCCCAAAGTGCTGGGATTACAGGCATGAGCCACTGCGCCCGGCCAGTTATTTTTAAATGTATCATTAAATTATTATTGATCATAGTCACCCTGTTGTGCTGTCAAATAGTAGGTCTTATTCATTCTTTGTGTGTGTGTTTTTTTGTTTTTTTGGGGTTTGTTTTTTTTTTTTTTTTTTGAGATGGAGTCTCGCTCTGTTGCCAGGCTGGAGTGCAGTGGTGCAATCTTGGCTCACTGCAACCCTCTGTATTTTTTTTTTTTTTTTTTTTTTTGAGACGGAGTCTCGCTCTGTCGCCCAGGTCGGACTGCGGACTGCAGTGGCGCAATCTCGGCTCACTGCAAGCTCCGCTTCCCGGGTTCACGCCATTCTCCTGCCTCAGCCTCCCGAGTAGCTGGGACTACAGGCGCCCGCCACCGCGCCCGGCTAATTTTTTGTATTTTTAGTAGAGACGGGGTTTCACCTTGTTAGCCAGGATGGTCTCGATCTCCTGACCTCATGATCCACCCGCCTCGGCCTCCCAAAGTGCTGGGATTACAGGCGTGAGCCACCGCGCCCGGCCCTCTGTATTTTTTTAATACCAATTAGCCATCCCCACATTCCCCCCACCCTTCCACTACCCTTCCCAGCCTCAGGTTTCTTCATCATTCTAGTCTCTATCTCCATGAGTTTGTTTTAATTTTTAGCTCACACAAGTGAGAACTTGCAAAGTTTGTCTTTCTATGCCTGGCTTATTTCACTTAACATAATGACCTCCAGTTTTATCCATGTTGTTGCAAATCACAGGATCTTATTCTCCTGCTTTTCTTTTGTTTCAAGGGGCGAGTGATGGGTTGCAGGGATGTTAAGATATCTCTCCACTTGAGACTTTATCCTGAGCTTGTCAGGAGAACTGGAGGAGAATTGAATCAAGATGCATTTCTCTAGGCGAATCTGGCTCTGAGAGCCCCTGGGTGGAAGTTCCTTACACTCATATCTGCTAGTTGAACCTCATGGTAACCCCATGAAGTCTGGGGGAAGTGCCCAAAGAGGCCACAGGTGGTTCTGGGGCATCTCAGGGGGCCTCAGTCCAGCACTCACACTCAAGGAGGGATCCGGGCAGGGCCATTGGGAGAAGGCAGGGTGTCCGGTGGCCCTCAGCAGCCTGCGGGAATGTGTGTGAGTGTATGTGTGTTAACCATATCTATAGGAGTGTACATGGGAGTGCATCTGTGAGGCATTGTAGCCTGGAGGCTAAGCTGTGGACCCAGACATACTCTGCCTGACTCCAGTCCCAGCTCTGTAATCTTGAGCAAGTGGTTTAATCTCCTCGGGCCTCAGCCTCCTCATCTGTGAAATGGGTAGGTAGAAGTAGTACCTACCTTCCAGGATGGTTGGAAGATCAAGTGATATACATTCAAGTTCCCTACATGCAGTAAGCCCTCTAAATACTCACTGTTGATGTATGTGTATGTGTGTCTATCTGTCTGTCTCTGCTTGTCTCTCAGTGGGTGTGTGTCTGTCCTGTCTACATTTGTGAGGCCAGCCTAGGCCTGGTCTCTCAGCATGCCTCCCTCTTTCTTCTCCCTACAGCACTGTTGGTCACCGCAGGCCTGTCTTCCTATTCACCGTGGGCAGCAGAGGGATGGCTGCTCAGCTGCTGACTGATGAGGCACTGGTGAGTCATGTTGCCCTGTCACTCTCCTTTCCAAAGGCTGGATCCTGCCTTGGGTGAGCCTCTGCTGCTCGAACCCTCTCCAAGGCCCCCAGTCCCATCTTCTGGGGCTGTGTCTGCCCTGATGAAGAGGGCTGTGCTTATAGATGATGCTGACCCTGGCTGTGGGGTCAGTTGTAGGGGACAGGGAAGCTTTGGAATGGCCAAACTAGCTCTCTGGACTCTTAGGAGACACAGGTGGGCACCTGTGGGAAGTGGTGGTTTAGACATGTGACATTGAGTGAAAACTTGCGCAGGACCATGCTGGATGTGTGACCTTTAAAATGGGCAAACACACTAAATGCTTCTTGTGAATGTGAATGCCCACATGTGTGATGAAAGTACAAAAGCTTATGGGAATGAGGCCCACAAATTCACCCATGATTTTACCCCAAAAGATAATCACTCTGGAATGTTTGAGTCTGGCTAAGCAATTTTAATGTTAAAGATTGCTTTTTCATCAGAGATTTCATCCTGAGCATTTCTCCACATCATTAAAAACTCCTTTGTAACGTCCATCTTAATGACCCCATAAAAGTGTTGTTCAGTGGCCATACCCTGGTTTACTTAATGGTTCCTCTGTTGTTGGACCTTTATTGGTTTCCAAGTATTCTTTTTTTGGTTATAAACAGTGTCATGAGGGACACTGGGCACAAATCTTTCTTTGTGTCTTATATGATTTCTTTAGGAGTGATTCCTTGAAGAGGAAGATTGGGTTGGGTATTTTTGAGGTATTTTGATATTATTTCCACATCAGTTACGGCGGTATGTATTCCCACCAGCATGTCTGAGCGGGTCTCTGATGATTTATATGGCTGTTGTCAGGCATTTATTCTGCATGTTGGATATATTTAGATTGGTGCAATATTGCACCATGATAATAAATGATAAATGGATATAAATGACAAATGCTATAAACCATGATGAGCCTGATAGGGGACAAATGGTGCCACGTGATTTATTTCTGAGTAGCATTGTTTGTATTATTAGTGAAGTTCAAGTCTTAGAAAATGTTTACTAGCCATTTCTGTGGGCAGGGAAATGATCCATCTTGTGCTTTAGCAGTCTACAGGAATCTGAGTATGCTTTAAAGACTTTACAGAAGCAAATGTGTGTGTGTAAATATTTGTGGCAAATATTCTTCCCAGATTTGCTTTTTGTTTCTTTATTTTACTTTATTTTTTCTGTATAAAAGCATTTCATATTTTTAAAATCAAATCTGTTGGTTTCTCCCACTGTGGTGTCTTTCTTCATCTTTAAGCTGTGAAAGGGTTTCTCCATCCACAGGTCACATAGCAGCTATATTTTCTTCCTTTTCACCATTTGTCATTTGAATGTTAACAATGAACTTTTGAATCTACCTGTAATTGATTTTGCTATATAAATGTGTCAGTAGACTTATTTGGGAGCTTTGGTTTATTCTGTCTTCATTTGTTTGGTACCTTTGTTGAGGTACACATCACGTATCACAAAGTGTACAATTCACTGATTTTGGGTACATTCATAGAGTCGCGTTAACCATCACCACAGTCCATTTCAGAATATTTTCATCATCCTGAAAAAGAGCCGAGTACCCATTGGCACTCATTTCCATTTTCCCCCATCAGTCCACGGCCCCTGGCAACCAGTAATCAGCTTTCTGTCTCTATGAATTTGACTGTTCTGGACATTTCAAATAAATGGAATCATACATGGTGTGGTCTTTTGTGACTGGCTTCTTTCACTCAGCATAATATTTGCAAGGTTCAACCATGTGGTAGCACATATAGAGCTTCATTCCTTTTTTTGACTGAATAATATTCCAGTGTGTGTTTCTACATATTTTATTTATCCTTTCATCAGTTGATGGACATTTGGGTTGTTTCCACTTTTTGGCTATTATGAATAATGCTGCTATGAATATTCATGTATAAGTCTTTGAACATATGTTCTCAGTTCTCTTAGGTGTGTACCTGGAAGTGGAATGTTGGGTCATATGGTTAACTCTGTTGAACCAGTAAAGGAACCACCAGACTGTTTTCCTAAGCGATTGCACCATGATGCCTTCATTTTTGTCTCATCTGTGATTCTTGCCTTGAATTCTTCTTTTACCTACATTACTTAGAAAGATTTGTTGATTGTTTTTATTTCAACAGGGTTGGGAGTTTTGGTTTAAGTTTTTTTTTTTTTTAATTACTACTAGTGTAATTACATTCAATTTTTAAAAAAAATTGAGCCTGTCTGGTTTCAGCGTTTTCCCTGTGGTGAAATGGTTTGTGTCATTAGACAGGAAACCGAAAAAGATGGAGTACTAGAAAAAGGGGCCTTGGACACGTACGTGCAGAGAACTCAGAGGCCCTTTGTTAGCACTTCTGTCCCAACACGATGGGCTCCCAGACCTGGAAGGCTGTGTTCTGTGTCTCAGCACAACCCTGGTGCCAGTCTGGGCTTGGTGCCTGGAGACTGCTCAGTGAATAGTTGAGTGAATTAGGTGGGTGTACTTAGGGAAGACTTCCAGAAGGAATTGTTGTATTACAATTTTGTAAAATAAATAAATATAGGTGTGAGAGGGAACTTTTGGAGGTAATGGATCCGTTTATGGCCTTGATGGTGGTGATGGTTCCACGGGTGTATATGCATCTGCAAACTCATCAAGTTATGTATATTATTAAATATGCACAGCTTTTTATATATCAGTCACACCTCAATCAAGTAGTTTAAATTTTTAGAAAAGGAGGAATTATTAGCTGGGCTGGCTGAAAGATACATTGGGCCAAAAGGTCAAATAATATCATATAAGGATCTACAGTTGTACATAAGATATATATTAAATATCAACATTAAATAATAGCAAGAGTCGACATTTACTGAGAGCTTCCTCCATCACACGAGGCACTGTGTTTGGACCATATTTGTACACATTTAACCTTACGACCCTGTGGAGGGGGACATTGTTATCAGGAAGCCTGCCTCTCATATGAGGCTTAGAAAGAGAAAGACAGTTGTCCAAGGAAACACAGCTCATGAGGGGCAGAGCCAGGATTCCGTTGCAGAGTGTGGTTCCTGAGCCTACACTCTGAACCACCAGCCCAACTGCTTTCTATCAAAGGTGACCCCTCAGGCAGAGGAGGCTATCTTGAGCCCAAGCCCCAGAAGGGCACCCTAGGACCATAGAGGGACTAGCCAGCGGGGGTGAGGCCTCCCCTTGGGATTCAGTTGGTGGTGGGGACACTCAGTATGCTGGAGAGAGCCAGTGAGCTCTGAGTGTCAGTAACAATAGCTGGCACTTATTGAGTGCCTGCTGTATGCTATGCATTACCATTCTGAGTGTCTTACATAAATAAGTGGGCAGGTGGGGCCTGTAGCAAATTGGAGCTTTCTTGCCCCATCAAAGGGTCAGCCACCACTCAGCTCCAGCCTAGAGTGGCCAGATATTCTGCTGTTTAAAGAGAAACTAGAAATTCATTTTCTTGGTAAATTGTGGATGTGTTTTTCATGTGAGTAACAATTAAAAACAATTTTGAAACCCCCATAGGAGCAAAATAGAAATGTGTACAGCTGGCTTCAGGCCCAGGTACATCTCATATGCTCTGTGTGCTCAGAACTCCCGTTCTTTCCTTGTGCCTTGGGGGTTGTACCACTGAATCAGTTCAGAACAGCAGGTCCCTCTGTAGGACACAATAGGTCTCTCATTACTCACATGCCATGCTGTGAGGAAGCCCAAGCAGCCACAAGGAAAAGTGATGTGGAGAAAAAGAGATGCCCACCAAGGCCTCAGCTGTGCCATCCATACCAGCTCAAGAGACAGACTTGTAAACAAAGAAGCTAGCAGACTACTCTAGCCCAGCTGCCATCCAACTGCCACCACACAAGAGATGCCAGGCACGAACTGCCCAGCTGAGCCCATCAACCCCAAAATAGTAATAAATTGTTGTTTTTGAGCCATTAAGTTCTGAGATGGCTGCTACCCAGCAAAATATAACTGGATCAGAAATTTAATCTGTGGCCATGGCTCAAGATCTTCATGTGGCAGAGTCATGCATGGATGATGTGATCAGCCAGCAATAATGTGAGACGTGCAGGCCTTCATCACACTAGGGAGGAGGTCGACTGTCAAGCACCATCTCTGGAAGTGGCTTCAGGATCGCTTGTGATCTGTCTGGAAGAGAAGCGCCAGCTGGGACACTCTGTGATATTTATCCAACTGTCTTCTTTATAGGCAAAAGACGTGCCATCCATCTCAGGGTCTGATCCAAACTAAACTGCTCCTTGGCTGTGATGCCAGCTAGATTGGTATTATACATGGATGAGGCCATCTAATGTTGGGGCTGAGAGTTGAACTGACTAGGTTTAAAATGCTGCCACTCCCATCTGTGTGACCTCTTGTGCCTCAGTCTCCCCCTTTGTAAAAGAAATGAGCTCATAAAAGTGCCTACATAGTAGGGTTCTTTTGAAGATTAAGTGAGATGGTGTGTGCAGTGGGCTTAGAACAATACCTGGCATGTAGTATGTGCTTAATGAACATTAGTTATTTTTATCATTATTTACTAATGAATTAGTATGGAAGAAACCTGGTGCCAATACCATGTCTGTCTTATTCACAGTTGTATGCCCAGTGCCTGGTGCATGGCAGGCACTTAATAAATATTCGTCAAATGAATACATGAAAGGGTGAAGTATCACTCTGTGTGTTTCCAGGAACCATCAATGAACATATTTAGAATATGTTAGAATATGTATTAGATACCATTGATCTAGAATTCCTGTTTAGGGGGTAAAAATTCAACCATACTTTTCTGGTAGCCCGGAAAATTATAAATTAATCAGTTAAATTTCCGATCCAGTTATATTTTGCTGGGTAGTAACCATCTCAGAACTTAATGGCTCAAAAACTACAATTTATTACTATTTTGGGGTTGATGGGCTCAGCTGGGCAGTTCGTGCCTGGCATCTCTTGTGTGGTGGCTGTTGGATGGCAGCTGGGCTAGAGTAGTCTGCTGGCTTCTTTGCTCACATGTCTGTCTCTTGCTGTGGTATGGATGGCACCGCTGAGGCCTTGGTGGGCATCTTTTTTTTTTCCACATGGATTTTCCTTGTGGCTGCTTGGGCTTCCTCACAGCATGGCATGTGAGTAATGAGACATAATGAGACACCTGTTGTGATGACTGGCTTCTCCCAGAGCAAGTGTTCCAGGAGGCTGAGGCAGGAGCTGGAAGTCTTCTGTGATCTAGCCTGAGAGTCCCAGAACATTACCTCTGCCAGATTCTATTGGTCAAGCAGGTCCCTAAGGCCAGCCCACATTCAAGGATGGGGGAACTAGACTCCACTAGTGAAGGATTTGAGGCCATTTTCAACAAGTCTACCCACTTACTATTGTCTACCAAAGCTGACTTATATTGAAAGAGACAGTGAAAATGGGTAATTTGATCCAGCAAAATATAACTGTATCAGAAATTTAACTGGTGTTTTAATTTACAATTTTCTGGGCTACCAGAAAAGCATGGTTGAATTTTTACCCCCTAAACAGGAATTCTAGATCAATGGTATCTAATACGTATTCTGATATATTCTAAATATGTTCATTGATGGTTCTTGGAAAGGTACCTGCATTTTCCTTGCTTGGGCAGCAGGACTGGGCATTTCTGATTCACAGCCCTGAGTATGATAATTGAGAGTATGAGAGTTGTATGCTCATTTTGGGCAAATACTCAAAGCAGGTAGCTTTTTATGTGTCTTCCTATCACATACGATTGCTTTCTTGGGCCTGTTCAAGGTACCATGTAAGAAATTTAAGGATTCAGTCATTTGTTGTACAAACATTTATTGAGTACCTACTAAGTGCCAGGCGCTGTTCTAGGGTCTGAGGATTCTGTGGTGGCCCAGGCAGACACAACTTCACAACCCCCCATGACGTAGATGCTGTTATCCCCTTTTAACAGAGGAAGAAACTGAAGCCTGCAGAGGTTAGGTAATTGAAGATGTTCACTTTCATACATTCACATAGCTAGAAAATGGCCAAGCCAGGGTTTGATAACAGGTCTTTGTACTTCCCAGACATGCCCTTAAGACACTGCACTGTCTTTCAAAAAACAAACAAACAAACAAAAACACTCACCCCCCTGTATTACTTGTGGCTGTGTAACAAGTTACCCCCAAACTCAGTTGCTTAAAGCAACAATTATTTACTATTTTACACAGTTTCTGAGGGTCAGGAATGGGGCAGTGGCATGGCTGTGGCTCAAGATCTTCAGTCTTCTCAGGGCTTCCCAGGCTGCAGAATCCCTTCTGAGAGCCTCACACAGTGGTTGGTGGTGGGATGCCTTAACTCCTTACTGACATTGGTGGGAGGCTTCAGCTGCTGGTCAGATGGGCCTCTCCAAAGGACTCTGCAGGGCAGCTGGCTTCCTCCAAAGTGAGTAATCCAAGGGAAAAAGAGGGAGTGTGCCCAGGACCAAAGCTATGATCTTTATAACCTTTTTGTCTTTTTTTTTCCCCCTAAATTTCTTATTGTGCTAAAATACACATAACATAAAATTTGCCATCTTAACCATTTTTAAGTGTGCAGTTGAGTGGCATTAAATGCATTCCTAATGTGCAGCGCCACCACCATCCATCTCCAGAACTCTTTGATCTTGTAAAACTGAAACTCTGCAGCCATTAAACAAACACTTTCCATCCCCCTCCCCTCCGCCCCTGGCAGCTGCCATTCCACAAGTCTCTATAAATTTGACTTGATACTTCATTTAAATCATGGAATCGTGCAGTAGTTTTACTTCTGTGTCTGGCTTATTTCGCTGAGCATAATGTCCCCAAGGTTCACCCTTGTAGCATGTGTCAGAATTTTTTTTTTTTAAAGGCGGAATAATATCCCATTGTATGCATAGACTGCATTTTGCTTATCCACTCGTGCTTACGTACACTTGGGTTGCTTCCACCTTTTGGCGATTGTGAATAGTGAGTGTGCATATAACCTTTCCTTGGAAGTGACACCACACTAACCTCTGCTGTATGTTGTTGATCACACAGAATCACCCTGGCACAGTGAAGGGGCTACATAAGGCTGTGGATACCAGGAACTGGGGATCATTCGGGGCTGTCTTGGAGGCTGCCAACACACACACACACACATACACATAAAACATGAAAATATTCACAGTGTCACTCCTCTGATACAGCTGCTGTTCACATTTTGACACATTTCCTTCCATCTTTTTCCTGTGTATTGTTTTCATGTGGTTGAGATAAAATGGTTATTTAGAATTCTGGAAACCCAGAAGCAACTCTACATGGAAAAGCTCTGCATAATCTTGTAATGAAAATAGCTATGTAATTGGCCATGGGGGTAGGCTATTATTTAATGAATCCCATGACATGGATGTTATGGTTGTCCAAAGACTTGCCCATATAAATAAAATGGAGTGGACATCTTTGTGCATGAAGCTTTGCCCAATTTTTGGATTATCTTGTTGGGATAGATTTCCAGAAGTAAAATGTCTGAACATTTTAAACACATAAAATGTGTAATATTAACCTTTTAATTGAAGAAACAATAGGTAAAACGCACCTATTTGAAAATTAGTAAACTGGGAAAATGAATTCTCCCACTTCCCCTCCCCATCCTGAAACTACTGGCATCACCTGCTCTTACCAGATTCTATTTTGGTTAAGAGCTTTATTGAGGTATAATTCACGTATCGTAAAATCCATCCATATAAAGTAGACACATTAATATCCAGTGCTTTTTAGTTTATTTACAGTTATGCAACCATCACCACAATATTTTAGAAAATTTTTACCACTCCAAAAAGAAACCCCATACCCATTGGCAGTCACTCCCCATTTCTCTCCAACCCACCCTCACCCCTAGGCAACCACACATCTACCTTCATTCTATTTTGCCTATTCCGGACATTGTATATAAATGAGGCATACGATATGGATTTTGCCTGTCCCGGACATTGTGTATAAATGAGGCATACGATACAGATTTTGCCTGTTCCGGACATTGTCCATAAATGAGGCATACGATATGGATTTTGCCTGTTCTGGACATTGTACATAAATGAGCCATACGATATGGATTTTGCCTGTTCTGGACATTGTACATAAATGAGGCATACGATATGGATTTTGCCTGTCCCGGACGTTGCATATAAATGAGGCATACGATATGGATTTTGCCTGTTCCGGACATTGTACATAAATGAGGCATACGGTATGGATTTTGCCTGTTCTGGACATTGTACATAAATGAGGCATACGATATGGATTTTGCCTATTCCGGACATTGTGTACAAATGAGGCATACGATATGGTCTTCTGTGTCCGGCATCTTTCACTTGGTGTCATGTTTTCCAGGTTCCTTCATGTTGCAGCGTGTGTCAGAGCTGTCGTGTGGACGAACCACATTGTTTATCCATTCGTCAGGAGATGGACATTTGAGTCGTTTCCACTTTGGGACTATTGCGAGTAACATTGCTATGAGCATCAGTGTATAGTTTTTGTGTGGCACTCTGTTTTCATTTTTCTTAGATATCTACCAAGAATGGAAGTGCTAGGTCATAAGGTAACTCTGTGTTTATTCACTTGAGGAAATGCCAGACTGTCTTCCAAAGCAGCTGAACCATTTTACATCCCCACCAGCTGTGCATTCTTACCAGTTTCTTGCATTCACTTCCATAAAGAGGTCTGCGCCTGTATAAGCACATATGTGTAAATTTCCCTTTATTATTTCCTCTTATGGAAATGTTAACAAACTAGACACACTGTTCTGGGCATTGATCTGTTTTTTCATGTAACAGTATATTCGGGAGATCATTCTGCACCTGCAGCTAAGGGGCTGCCCCCTTTTTTTTTGTTATGGCTGTGTGTATTCCACTGTGGTGGATTCACTGACCTGATTTATCCAAACCCCTACTGATGGCCATTTGGGATGTGTTCAGTCTTTTTACTTCTTCATCTGATACTGTAATAAATATCCTTACACATCTATGTTTTTGCATGTGTATTAATATATCTGAATTAGTCTAAAGTGTTCAAAAGAATTTGAATATTAGTTTTGATAGATTTTGCTAAATGCCACTCCATAGACATTGTCCCAGTCTGTTCTCCTATCAGGAGTGTCAGAGAGGAATGTTTCAGTATTTGAGTTGGAGAGAGTATTTCCTTTAGAGAGGAATGTTGTTGCAGTATTTGTCCTTTTGTGACTGGCATATTTCATGGAGCAGAATGTCCTCAAGGTTCACCCATGTTGTAGCATGTGTCAGAATTTCTTTCCTTATTAAGTCTGAATGAGATTTCATTGTATATAGAGACCACATTTTCTTCTTCTTTTTGTCTGTTAGTGTACACTTGTTGCTTCCACCTTTTGTCTATTGTGAATAGTGCTGTTAGGAACATGGGTGTGCAAATACAGAGTGCACCTGTAAAATTCTAAATTAGATTCTGTCCCTCTCCTGCTCAGACCTTCCAAAGAATGAATAAGAAGGAGCCAGCTTAGGCCAGACCTGAAGGAAGAGCATTTTGGGCAGAAGAAACGGCTAGTGCAAGTTCCCTGGGGGATATTCGAGGAGAGAAGGCAGGCTGGCAGGGCTGGAGCAGAGCACAAGGGGCAGAGCAGTTGTGGGGACAGTGTGGGGGTCAGAGGTCAGAGTCAGGACTACATGTATGGGCACCACAAGTTTTCATTACCTGCCGCTCTGGGTGGTTCGTGAGAGGCAGCAGCCTGCAAGGATGAGGACTCGGGCTCTGGAGACAGCCCATGAGGTTCAAAGCCTGGCTGTCCCACGCAGTAGCTGTGTGCTTTGGTCCAGGAACCTACCCTGTCTGTGCCTTGGTTTCTTTTATCTCTACCTTCCAGCCTCCCTCCAGTGCCCCCTATTGACAGAGCTTCACAGGGAGTAGCTGCTAAGGCAGAAACATCACGGGATCGCAGAGTCAAAGCCCGCAGATCTCTGTGCAGAGTGTGGAAGGGGGGCTTTTGGGGATGAAAGACAATCACTTAATCACTTTTAAACAGGCATACTATATTATAATGTTAGCACCTGACTCGTAGGTCTGTTTTAAGTTAATAATGACTGAATCAATATGTGCCAGCACGGTATCTATTTCTCAAGGCTGCTGTAAATAAGTACCACAGACTGTGCAGCTTAAACAAAGGACATTTATTCTGTCACAGTTCTGGAGGCTGGAAGTCCCTGATCAAAGTATCCACAGGACCACGCTCCCTCTGAAGGCTCAAGGGAAGGCTCTGTTCCAGGCCTGTCTCCCACCTGCTGGCAAGTTCCCTGACTTGTGGCAGCATAACTCCATTCTTCACACAGCCTTGTCCCTGTGTACATGTCTCTCTCTGTCCATGTTTTTCCTTTCTGAAATGCAAATTAAAACCACAACACCACCTTACCCCAGCCAGGATGGCCATTATTAAAAAGTCAAAAAACAATAGATTGGCGTGGATGTGGTGAAAAGGGAATGCTTATACACTGCTGCTGGGAATATAAATTAGTACAACTTCTTTGGAAAACAGTATTGAGGTTTCTCAAAGAACTAAAAGTAGATCTCCCATTTGATCCAGCAATCTCACTACTTGGTGTCAACGCAAAGGAAAATAAGTATTTATATCAAAAAGACACCTGCACGTGTATGTTTATTGCAGCACGATTCACAATTGCAAATATATGCAGTCAACCTAAGTGCCCATCAACCAATGAATAAGGAAAGTGCCCATCAACCCATAGATAAAGAAAATGTGATACACACACATATAATATATATGTATATCACATTTATACACATACACACATACATACACACACATACCATGGAATACTACTCAGCCATAAAAAATAATGAAATAATGTCTTTTACAGCAACTTAGATGGAACTAGAGGCCATTATCATAAGTTAAGTAACTCAGGAATGGAAAACCAAATGCTGTGTGTTCTCACTTATGAGTGGGAGCTAAGCGATGGATATACAGAGGCATACTGAGTGTTATAATAGACTTTGGAAACTCAGAAGCGGGCAAGGTGGCAGGGGGGTGAGGGGTGAAAAACTACATATTGGGTACAATGTACACTATTCAGGTGATGGGTGCACTAAAATCCCAGACTTTACCACTGTACATTTCATCCCTGTAACCAAAAATTACCTGTACCCCTAAAGCTATTGAGATTTTAAAAATTGAAAAACAAATTTCCCTTTTCTATAAGGACACCAGTCCTGTTGGATTAGGGCCCCCTACCCCCACTCCAGGATGACCTCATTTTAACTGATTTCATCTGCAGCAGCCCTGTTTCCAAATAAGGTCATGTTCTTGAGACCTTGAAGGTTGGGACATCAGCATATGAATTGGAGGGGCTCATAATTCAACCCATACCAACCACTTAGAGTAGTACCTGGCACATAGCAGCTGCTGCATAATGACTGGTGTTGCCTACCTCATCATCACCATCCACACTGCTCCGCCAGGTTCTTTCAGTCCACAGGCTTGTGACATCTACCACAAAGTGCTGCTCCTTCCACGTGGACTTCTCTCCACTCCCCAGCAGTCTCATCTGCCTTTTCACCTTCGGGTCTTGATCCAAGCTCTCTTCCCTACCCAGAATCTCCCACTAAAGACCCAACCACCAGTTCTCTTCACAGACTACTCAAAGTCTTCCTGGGCACCCCCCACAGCTGGCATTACTCAGGCACCTGGAGACCTTTGTTCATACCTTCATGATTGATTGCGTTTACCAAATTACGTGTCTTTGTCTGCCTCTGCCATGAGGAACTAGTTCTTGAACATTTTGTGTCTGTATCCCAGCACTGGGCTTGCTGCCTGGTGCTTAGTAGGGGCTCAGAAAAGTTAGCTGTGCCCCTGGATTCCATCTGGGGCTCTGCCTCTGCTGTGCTCCTAATGCATTTGTTGATTCACTGGGTTAGACTCACTTTGCCTTCAGTTCCTTTCCATCTGGTTCTCAGATCTGTGACCTTCTGTTCCAGAATGTTTCATATGGGATTTATTTCTCTATCAGAGTGCCAACCCAATATAACTAGACACAGAGAAAACTGTGAGTGATCCCTTTAGAACTCTGCATCTTATTGAAATCACTTCAGCTACATCCCATCTGCCTCCCCTAAATCCTCTTGGCTTTTCTGGCCATTCCTCCACGCCTCTGTAAGGAGGGCCCTGCGATGAGCGGATGTGGGTTTCCTCTTACAGGAATCAGTGACGTTCAGGGATGTGACTGTGGACTTCACCCAGGAGGAGTGGCAGCAGCTGGAGCCTGCCCAGAAGGACCTGTACAGGGATGTCATGCTGGAGAACTACAGGAACCTGGTCTCACTGGGTAAGGGGCAGCTTCGTTGAGTTACTCATCATTGGCCCATAACTTCAGGACCACAAATAAATTAAAAAAAAAAAAAGATCAACAGATCTGACTACATGGAAAGTTTTAAAATTTGCTCTACTTGAAGCTAAAAATAAAGTTGATCACGATGGTATGGGAAATAATATTTCTCACGTGTTTTACATTCAAAGGGTCATAATTATGTAAGCAGCTCCTGGGAATAAGAAAAAGACTAAGCGAATAATAGAATGGACCAAACTTATGAGCTGGTGATTCATAGATTTAGAAATACACAAAGTTAACACTTTATAAAAGTTTTTTAAACCTTACTACTGGAGACACACAAATTGAGGTACTAGCAGTTTTTGCCCATGAAGTGCACAAAGATGAAAAAAGAATAATAGCCCATATTATGAGGCTGTAGAGGAAAGGACTCTCATTTTAGGAGTATAAAGTTGGGACAGCTCTTTTGGAGGATAGCTTGGCCTTATCAGTCAAATATTGAAGGATTCCATTTTTAGAGATCTGTCCTTTAGAAATTCTCATGTAAGTATGCAAAGTTTTCCATGGGAAGAAAAATCAAGGAAAACGACCTAAATGCCCAGCTGTCTAAGACTGACTGAACGTATCAAGGCCTATCGATATGTTGGAAACCAGGCAGCTCTTCAAAGCTGAGGACTGTTTGTAGGCACTGCCATGAAAAGATGTCCCACAACATACTGTTAGGTTAAAACACTCACTTTTGTAATCAGAGCGTGGTCCTATTTCTTTAACAGCTTTTCTGGAGGTATTATTGACCTGTAATTAACCACGCATATATAAAGTGAAGAGTTTGATGCATTTTGACATAGTGCATACCCAGGAAACCATCACCATGATCAAGATAAAGGACATATCTATCATCCCCAAGAGATTCCTCATCCTCCTTTATTACCCCTCTCTCCCCTTCCTCAACCCCCATCCCCAGGGATCCCCTGGTCTGCTTTATGTCACTGTGGTTGAGTTTACCTGCTCTCCAGTTTTATATACATGGAATCATACAGTATGTACCCTTTTTTTTTTGGTCTGGCTTTTTTTGGTTTGACTTGGCATTATTTTGAGATTCACCCATGTCATTGCATGTCTCATAGTTCATTTATTTTTATCTCTGTGTATTATTCCACTGTATGTGTATGCCACAATTTGTTCAGCCATTCGCCTGGTGATCAACATTTGGGTCATTTCCAGTTCTGGGCTATTACAAATAAAGCTGCTGTGAACATTTGTGAACAGTTCTTTGTGTAGACATTTGCTTTTCCTTCTGTTGAGTGGAAAGTCTGGATCATGTGCTACATGTATATTTAACTTGTTTAAGAAACTGCCAACCTGTTTTCCAAAGTGATTGTACTATTTCACATTTCCACCAGCAGCGCACAAGCTTCATTCTAATTGCTTTATCTTTTAAATTTAGCCTCCCTTGTAGGTGTGTGGTCTCATCACTGTGCTTTTCATTTGATACTGACACTTGTAGGTGTGTGGTCTCATCACTGCGCTTTTCATTTGATACTGATAATCTTTTCCTGCGCTTATTTGATGTTTGTATATTCTCTTTGGTAAAGTATCTGTTCAAGTCTTTTCCTGTTTTTTTTTTTTTTTCTGTTGGGTTATTATTGAATTTTGAAAGTTCACTATGTATTCTTTAACTATCTAGAAGTCCAATGCGCTATCCATTGCGTCACAGAGCCAGACCACTATGTATTCTTGATACAAGATTTTCTTTAGATATATGCCGTGCAAATATTACCTCCCATTCTGTGGATTGTGTTTTCACTTTCTTGATGGCATTATTTCTGACTCTAAAGTTTTTAATTTTGATGTAGTGCGATGTATCTATTTTTTGTTGTTCTCGTTGCCTGTATTTTTGGTGGTATATCTAAACAATCTAACTCAAAGCCAT